>NC_000016.10:8135000-8760000 GCF_000001405.40 Homo sapiens
ATCTCACTGAACTCCTTTCTTCTTCAGTAAAATTGGGATGACAAGTCCTCCTCACAGGTTCTCAGGATAACTGGGGTTAAGCTGTGAAGTCTACTCCAGAATCAGAAATACTGTAAGCACTTAGCACATTAAAGATTGTAATGCTACAGCTATTGTTCCATTTCTTAACTACCCTTTGTAGTACAATGTCTTGAAAGAGTTGTTTCTAGTTTTTCTTCTCCCTTTTCTAGTCCTCCACCACTTGACTGACACTGGTAGACACACAATGAAGTGACCGAGTAAGCATTGGCCGTCTGCTCTCAAACAACATGATATATTCGCTGATAACTCAAATTTAGATTCCCAGCCCAGAACCCTCTCCCAAATGCCAGACTCTTATATATACTTCTCTTTTTAACATCTCTATTTGGATGACCAATTGACATCTCAAACTCAAAATATCTAAAACTAAACTCTTCATCCGCCCTTCAAATCCTGCTCCATCCACAGCCTTCCCCATCTCCATTGAGAACAACCCTATCCTTTTAACTGCCCAGATCAAAAAACCATAAAAGCATCCTAATTCCTTTCTTTTTTAAGAACCCCACATCCCATCCACCAGAACATCCTATGGGTTCTGCCATCTTGCCAACCCAGAACTTGATGGAATGAGGACCGTGTAGCTCTGTAAGGAAACAAGGAATTCAAAAGAAACTTTATGTGAAGTATTTAGTTGTTGGGTTAACTCTGTTGGCAACTACTCAATCCTAAAACTTGTTTTTGCTCACTGGTTTCCGTTGTAATGTACACTACATTAGCCAGTTTGAGTGTTTAACTATTGTGTGTCTGTTTCAATGGAGGAAAGAAATGGTGTGATTGTTTCTCTCTCAATCATCAACAAGTGGAAAAGGAAGAAGATGTGAAATTCCCCAGTAAACTGCAGAGAGACTCTGATTGGCTTACTGGCATTGTGCTTGTGGTGATATTACCAGTAGCATGGGGACTAGAGAGGTACCAACCAGGGTACAGGGGTCACACTTCTGTTCCTTATCTTCTGAAATGCCATCTCCTAATTGCTGTTGGCCAAGAATCAAGGATATTTCACCACTAGTAAATAATCCTTTACCAGGAGAAAGAGTGAGATGGTTGTGTCCTTTCAGGGTATTCCAAGAGCTAAATATTAATGTGTATGTGTGTGCATGCATGGGTGGTTGAAGCATTTGAAAACAGCCTTCTCAATTATTATAACTAATTTACGTCTACAAAATAGTTTCTGGAACTCTTTCACTGCCTGATTTCATTTGATTCTCAGAGATATCCTGAGATCAAGGGAAGACCATCCATTACTATTTCCATATCATCCATGATTCCCTTACTCCACTTTACATTTTATTTTTTTCTAACGCATACATCACTTCTCACATAACACTTAAAGTGCTTGTTCATTATATAGGCTGCATATTTTCTCACTTCTGCTAGAATGAGAGCAGAAATTTTTACTTACTTCACTCATTAATCCCTAATATCTAGAATACTTCCAAGCACACCATAGGCACTCAATAAATCTTTGCTGAGTGAATAAATATTTATTTGTCTATGAAGTACATATCAACATCTACATTATCATCACCACACAAAGACTGTAACTTCCTATGGACCTCTATTCTGCTGTTCCCTCTCCATGGTACTCTTTTCTGGGACACAGCTAGTCCCTTCTTAATATCCAAACCTCAGTTAAGAGGTATGATGTTCCTGAAGACCTGATAAAATAAATTGGCGATCAGACAATGAAAGCCTTTAATGCATCACTTTTCTACTTTTTATTGTCTACCAGGAAGCTCAGAGCTAGGTGCATTGTCCAATTCAATCATTAGTTCACCCCTTTCATTGCTCTTTTCTTAGGTTCCTTTATTCTATGGGCCTGTGTAGTTTCACAATAAACTCACTGCTTTTTAAAAAAGTTCAAAAAGTGGGTATACCCAGCATGTTGGTTGGCCCAGGTGGGTGGATTGCTTGAGTCCAGGGGTTCAAGACCAGCCTGGGCAACACGGCGAAACCCCATCTCTACTAAAAATACAAAAAATTCGTCAGGTGTCATGGCATGTGCCTGTAGTGTCAGCTATTAGGGAGGCTCAGGTGGAAGGATGACTTGAGTCCAGGAGGTGGAGGGTGCAGCGAGCCAAGATCATGTCACTGCACTCCAGCCTGGGCCATAGAGGCAGACCCTGTATTAAAAAAAAAAAAAAAAAAAAAAACTAGAGATAGGTTAAATTTAGATTAAGTACAAACTACGATATTACCAAAGGAGTTCTCTTTCTATCAAATTATGATGCCCAAATCACAACCCTAAAAAAAACTGTAAAAATTTATTGGATGCTTAATATGTACCAGACATACCACCACTCTCTATTTTATAATAAGTGATTCACTTCTCCAATTTATGAGACATCCCTGGCTCCTAAAAGTATTGGAATTTTAAGCTCCTGGCCTAGAGGTCAGATTACATTTGAGAGCTGGTTACACGGCCAGGAAGGATTCTGGAGAATGCATCTTTTTAGCCTTAAAGGAACATGTGTGGAACAGAGAGCTGACACTCTGATAAATACAGAGACACGCTAAGGTCTTAAAAGAAACCATCCAGTCCACTGCTTTCCATGTGCCCCCCTAACACACACACACATACTCACTCCTAGAATGTTTACCTCTTTATGTGCACCACTTTGCCCTGGTTGCCCAAAGCAGGCACTTACCTTCTAATGACGCAGACTATTGTATTGTGTTCACCCTGTAAGGCTTCAGTGCTTGTTCAAAAGCAAAGATCTGGTGATGGCTGATAAGATGCCTGCTTTCTCTCCGCCTTTGTTATGTAGATGAGTTTCCATTTTATTTTCGTTGTTTCCGTTGAATCCTGAGCGTTTTAATAGTTGTGAAGCTTCAGTGAACTCGAGTGGAGCTTAAGATCCGAGATGTTAAATCGGTTCAGCAATAAGATCTAGCAGAAAATGAGGGCCTCATTCTTACTTCTCCTTTTCCTCCTGAATAATGAAGAACTGATTTCTGCTATTAATGTGACTCTTACAGGAGGAACTCTGCAGTAATCCAGGGTAATTCATCATTAATTAACGTGCCATCTTTTCAACCTGTCCCCATTTAATCATAAAAGCTGGTGAATGTTAGAGCTAAGGGGTAGCTGATGGTTGAAAGAGTAGAAGGAAAATACTAACTCTGGGCACGTTTCAGGGTGAGAATTATTTTCCCTTTAGAAAATTGTAAGAATCCTTGGCGGGGCGTGGTGGTTCTCGCCTGTAATCCTAGCACTTTGGGAGACCGAGGTGGGTGCATCACGAGGTCAAGAGTTCAAGACCAGCCTGGCCAAGATGGTGAAACCCCCTTCTCTACTAAAAATACAAAAAATTAGCCGGTCATGGTGGTGGGTGCCTGTAATCCCAGCTACTCAGGAGGCTGAGACAGAGAACTGCTTGAACCTGGGACAAGGAGGTTGCAGTGAGCCAAAATCATACCACTGCCCTCCAGCCTGGGCAACAGAGCAAGACTCCATCTTAAAAAGAAAAAAAATAAAAATAAAAAAGGAAAGAAAATCGTAAGAATCCAACAAGTTGTTTGCAAGTGCTGTGAGCCCCATGGGATATCTGCTGCGTGTACTCTGCTGCTCTGATCTCTGGCTTCTTAAAGACTTTCTATTTAGCAACTTCAGGACTCATATTTTTGTTGCTTTTTCATGGGATCCAATTTGAACCATTTTTGAGCCTTCTATGCTAATCTCTTTCATTTTCAAGGCTTTTAAAATTGTAGTAAAATATACATAACATAAAAGCTGCCATTGTAACCATTTTTAAGTGTGTGTAGTTTAGTTCATTAAGTGTCTTCATGTTGTTGTGCAATCTTCACCACTATTTTTTTTTCTTTTGAGACAGAGTTTTGCTATGTTGCCCAGGCTACAGTGCAATGGCATGAACTTGGCTCACTGTAACCTCCGCCACCTGGGTTCAAGTGATTCTCCTGCCTCAGCCTCCTGAGTAGCTGGGATTACAGGTGCCTGCCACCATGCCCAGATAATTTTTTTTTTCTATTTTTAGTACAGTCAAGTTTTCACCATGTTGGCCAGGCTGGTCTCGAACTCTTGACCTCAGGCTATCCACCCACCTCAGTCTCCCAAAGTGCTGGGATTACAGCCGTGAGCCACCACATCCAGCCACCACTATCTGTCTATAGAACTTTTTCATCATCCAAAAATGAAACTCAAACCCATTAAAAAATAACTCTCCATTTTCTCCTACCCCGAATCCTTGATAACCACATCCCACTTTTTGTCTCTAGGAATTTGACTATCGTAGATACCTCAGAGGAAGGGAGTCATACAATATTTGTCCTTTTGTGTTTGGCTTATTTCGCTTAACATAATAATGTCTTCGAGGTTCATTCAGGTTGTAGCATGTATCCAAGTTTCACTCCTTTTTAAGGTTAAATAACATTCCACTATTTATCCGTGTCTGTATGTGTGTACCACATTTTGTCTATCCATTCATCTCTCAGTGGACATTTGTGATAGTTCCACACTTTGGCTAATGTGAATCCTACTGCTATGGATTTGGTGTACAGATACCTCTTTGAGCTGCAGTCCTCAGAGTTTGTGTGTATATACCTGGAAGTGGAACGGTTGGATTATTTGGCAATTCTATGTTTAATTTTTTTGGGAACTGTCATACTGTTTTCTATAGCTGTTGCACCATTTTACATTCCCTCCAGCAATGCACATGGGCCTCAGTTTCTCCAAATCCTCACCAACATTTGTTTTCTGTTTTTAATAGTAGCCTTCCTACTAGGTGTAATGTGGCATTTTATTCCAGCTTCGATTTGCATTTCAGCAATGATTTGTGATATAAATATCTATTCATGTGCTTGTTGGCCAGTTGTATATCTGTTTTGGAGAAATATCTATTCAAATTCTCTGTCCTTTCATTTTTTTTCAAGAGATGGGGTATTGCTCTGTCACCCAGGCTGGAGTGCAGGGGTGCAAAAACATGGCTCAGTGCAGCCTCAACCTCTTATGCTCAAGCAATCCTCCCGCCTCAGTCACCCCGAGTAGCTGAGACTACAGGTGCATGCCACCACACCCAGCTCATTATTGTATTTTTTGTAGAGAAGAGGTTTCACCCTGTTGCCCAGGCTGGTCTCAAATTCCTGAGCTCAGCAATTCACCCGCCTTGACCTCCCAAAGTGCTGGGATTACAGGTGTGAACCACCATGCCAGGCCACGTGTTCATTTTTAAATTGAGTTTTGTTGTTGTTGTTGAGTTGTAAGAGTTCTTTATATATTCTGGATAGCAATCTTTTATCAGATAGGTGATATACATCTATTTTTTTCCATTCTGTGGGTCTTGTTTTGACTGTTGATAGTGTCCTTTAAAGCATGAAAGTTGAATTTTGATGAAGTTTAGTTTATCTATATTTTTTCTTTTCTTACCTGGACTTTTAGTGTCATATCCAAGAAACTATTGCTAAATCCAATGTCATAAAGATTTTCCTCTATCTTTTCTTCTAAGACATTTATAGTTTTAGCTCTTTCATTTAAGTATTTAATTCATTTTGAGTCAATTGTTGTAAAAGTTTGGATAAAGTATTTAATCTCCCTGAGATTAATTTTCTCATCTGTCAAATGGGTAGGGTAACACCTGCCTCTTGGAGCTACTGTAAAGATTATATGAATAAAATATTGAGCACATGGTAAATGTTCATTAAATGATTGCTCAATTTAAAACCTCTCTAAGCTTTCATTTTCTGTCTGCATAATAAGAAAATTAACATTTCCTATGTACAACATAGTTTATGGGTTAGTGAAGATGAGAAAAGAGGGAAAATAAAAACATCTGGAAAATGCCAAATGGAAGAATATTTGAATTTTCGATATGGCTAATTCAAATGTGAATCTTTTTACACAGCTTAATAACAACTTTTAAGATTATCTGCTTTTTTATTGATAAACATCACACGTAGCTGACAACTGCATTTCATCCCTGAGATTTACTCTAACACTTTTCCCACCTGACTTTTTCCATACCCAACTGAAAAAATTAAAATTCAGAAGTGACTTTTGTCCATACTACATGTAACAAAATTTTTTTTTCCAACTTTGATATGTCTATCTAAAAAGTGTTTGCATTGACTGGCGTAACGAAAATCTTTTGTTAATTAAAAAAATAAACAGATGACTAGGCACAGTGGCTCAAGCCTGTAATCCCAGCATTTTGGGAGACCAAGGCAGGTGGATTGCCTGAGCTCAGGAGTTTGAGACCAGCTTGGGCAACATGGCGAAACCTCATCTCTACCAAAAATGCAAAAAATTAGCCAGGTGTGGTGGCACTCTCCCGTAGTCGCAGCTACTCAAGACACTGAGGTGTCAAGCTCGCTTGAGTCTGGGAGGCAGAGGTTGCCGTGAACTGAGATTGCACCAGTGCACTCCAACCTGAGTGACAGTGAGACCCCGTCTCAAAAAATAAAAATGAAGTAAAAACAATTGGCAATACCGTGTGCTAGCAATAATCCATGGTTCTCTCATACGTTGCTGACAGAAATCAAAATGGTGCTGCCACTTTGGAAATTAGTATGACATTTTCATAAAACTAAATACATATATCTCTTATGACCATCAGCCCTATTCCTGGTATCTATCCTAGAGAAAACTTACATTCATACAAAAGCCGTGTATCTACATGTTAATGGCAGATTTATTCACAATTACCAAAAACTTTTTTTTTTTTTTGAGAAAGAGTCTTGCTCCATTGCCCAGGCTGGAGTGTAGTGGTGTGATCTCAGCTAACTGCAACCTTCACCTCCTGGGTTCAAGTGATTCTCTTGCCTCACCTCCTGAATAGCTGGGACTACAGGTGCAAGCCACCATGCCGGCTAATTTTTGTATTTTTAGTAGAGACAGGGTTTAACCATGTTGCCCAGGCTGCTCTCAAACTCCTGACCTCAAGCGACCTACCTGCTTCAGTCTCCCAAAGTGCTGGGATTACAGGCATGAGCCACTGCACCCGGCCATAATTCCCAAAAGCTTAAAACAACTAAAATATCCTTCAACTGGTGAATAAATAAGCTACGGTATACTATATCCATACAATGGAATGCTACTCAACAATAAAAAAGAATAAACTACTGATATATGCAACACCATGGACACATTTCAAATGCATTATTCTGAGGGAAAGCAGCCAGCCTAAAAAAGCTACAAACTTAGGGTTTCATTTATCATGCTATTCTGGAAAAGGCAGATATGTAGGAACAGAGAACAAATCACTGGTTTCCAAGAGCTGAGGATGGGGGAGGGGCAGACTACAAGGGTTATAGAAAAAACAAAGGGGTACTTAATTTTGTTGGTGGCTACATAATGGTGGGCATTTCTCATAATTCACAGAACTGTACACAAAAGATGAATTTTACTGTATATAAATGATCCCTCCATTTTAAACTAATGAAAAAAAATTTTGTTGACTTTCATATTTACTTATCTATTATTTATTTCTGTCACCCAGGCTGCAGTGTGGTGGTGCGATCTCAGCTCACTGCAACCTCTGCCTCCTGGGTTCAAGTGATTCTCCTGCCTCAGCCTCCCAAGTAGCCAGGATTACAGGTACGTGCCACCACGCCCAGCAGTTTTTTTTTGTTTTGTATTGTTTTTAGTAGAGACGGGGTTTCACCATGTTGGCCAGGCTGGTCTCGAACTCCTGACCTCAAGTGATCTTCCTGCCTCAGCCTCCGAAAATGCTGGCATTATAGGCGTGAGCCACCATGCCCGGTCAAAATCTTGTTGACTTTCAAATAGTAAGTGTTCAAAATACCGAACTCATCTTAGACGCTCACCCCTGGCTAGCCTGTGTATATTGTTTCCAGCGAGGCAGTGTCTTTTTGTATCAAATTCATAGTCCTTGGTTGAACTTTTGCTCGAAGCCCTTCTGAACCCGTGGAAATTTGGGGAAGACTCCATGATTCAGTGTTACTATCCACAGAAAAGAATCCGCAGACTCTACAATTACAAGATACCAGGACTCAATATTTCATGAGGCATAGTTTATTAAATGGTTGCCAGTCGTTTATGTTCGTGAACGGCTAAATATGACTGGTGACTCTGACAGTTACAATTTGTCAACAGCTGCTTCCAGTGTCTTTACTTCATTTTAAGTCTTGCACGTTTCATTATGAATGGCGGGCTAAACGTATCTATAACTTTGATAACTCAATTCACTTTGTTAGTAATGGTTTCTGAAGCAGTTATAACATAACAGTAACCATGCTAGGGATAAATGTTTCATAAAGAATCCATTATTATTTATTTATCATTTATAACATGTGTTCCAAAAGCATTACAGAATATATATTAAACATTTATAGATAATTTTATGCTACTACTAGCATGTGATATAAATACATTATTAATTCTCTTGAATTGTTGATGGATTGAGCTCAAAATAAAGCTGTGCCAACTGGGTCCTTGCCAATAAAGTGGGGAAAAAAAGAAGGAAGTCTACTGCATCTGAAACTTTCAGAGACACAGTATTTTTCCCACAGAAGGTTTTATTTTTTTGAGACAGAGCCTAACTCTGTTGCCCAGGCTGGAGTGCAGTAGCACAATCTCTGTTCGCTGTAACCTCTGCCTCCTGGGTTCAAGCAATTCTCCTGCCTCAGCCTCCCAAGTAGCTGGGATTACAGGCATGTGCCACCATGCCTGGCTAATTTTTTGTATTTTTAGTAGAGATGGTGTTTCACCATGTTGGCCAGGCTGGTCTCAAACTCCTGACCTCAAGTGATCCACCTGCCTCGGTCTCCCGAAGTGCTGGGATTACAGGCGTGAGCCACCATGCCTGGCCTGCATTTATTTTATTTTACCTCGATTGCACTTTTGCAACAACTTCTGTAGACCCCATCCTGTTTTCTTTATTAAGCACAGGCTGTTTGAAATGCTAAAGCCAAAGCTAGTCTCCTTCCCCAGGAACAGGCATTTCTCTGAAGTGAGGATGCTTTGTCAAATGGGTCCTGCATTTCTGCTGCCCCTTATTGGATTGGAGGACCCCTGCCTGGATTCAGCACTGTATGTACTGAAAATAAACTGTTATTCATTGTTTTTGATGCCCTTTTATAGGCTATTGTGTTGAGAGATTTTTTTTCCACCTTTTTTCTTGCAACTCTCTCTTTGTAACTGTGGAGATTTGCATCTATAAAAATGGGAAGAGGAGACTTGGTAAGGTTTCCAAAATCTTAGGTCGGCACAAGGCAACCATACTTATAACAAAAATAAATCAACACAGAGTAAAGAGGTACCTTGCTTTACTAACAGAATGTACAATGACTCAAGCTTTGCTCTGTAACTTGTGAGTGAGCTGGTTAGGCTTGTTCTGTGGGTTTCTTCTGGTTAGTTTCTGACACTGGCTAATATTGATACCAACTAAGCAATTTTGAAAATAAAAATCTATATGACTAGCAAAGGTGTACAGGGACAAACACGTTTTGATAATGTTCACAGCCAAGTAGTTGGCCATGATCAGATGCACACCAGATGGAAATCCTACTATTTGTGCATAAGATTATTTTATCACTTTAAAGATTTTAAATACTACGGATAAAAGAGCAATATAAATGTGTTTTTTTCAGAGCAATGTATGAAGATTAAGTCAAATTTAGAAAAAGTTTTAGTCTAAGAGTTCAAAAAAGGTAGCATTTTCTAGGTGTAAAAATCCCCAAAGCAACCAATTGCCTTCCATTTCATACGTATCGGTTGGATTGTACATCATATATAATCGGCAGGCCAAAGTCAAGATTGACCTGGCAATGTGGATCACTGATGCAAATTTCAAGAGTATGGAGCGTTAACAATCCCTCTTCTGGGTTTATCAATCCCTCTCAAAGGAAATGAAATCACTACCTCATAAAAATATCTGCACTCCTATGTTTATTCAGAATAACCAAGATATGGAAACAACAAAAGTGCCCATTGATGGATAAATGGACTTAAAAACTGTGATACAGACACACAGTGAAATATTATTTAGCTTTAGAAAAGGATATCCTCTGTGATCACAGCACTTTGGGGGGCCAAGACAGGATTGCTTGAGCCCAGGAGTTCAAGGTCAAGCCTGGGCAACACGGTGAGACCCTGTCTCTAAAAAAAAAAAAAAGAAAAAAAAAAGAAAAAAGGAGAAAGGATACCCTGCCATTTTCCATAATATGGATGAATCTGGTGACCATTAAGATAAGTGAAATGATCCAGACACAGAAAGTAAAGTACTACATGATCTCACTTATGTGTGGAATCTAAAAAAAAAATGTCAAATACACAGAGAATTAAACAGTGGTTACCAGGGATGGGGGAAAGGGGACAGAAGGAAATGGGGAAATATAGGTCAAAGAATACAAAGTAACAGATAAGTAGGATGAAGAAGTCCAAAGATGTTATGTACGACATGAGCACTATACTTAATAATACTGTATTGTACTTGGGATTTTTGTGATAAGAATAGATTTTAGGTGCTCTTGCCACATTAAAAAAACATGGGTATGTGAGATGATGGATACGTTCATTTGCTTTACGGCTGTAAACACTTCAGTATCTATTTGTATATCAAAACACATTGCACACCTTAAATATATACAATAAAATTTTTAAAAATAAAAAAGAATGTGGAGAGTTGATTAAATGGTATTTAGTTTCATCAGTACTTTGTGAATACCTATGATGTCCTAGATGAAAATACAAAGAACAATAAGACAGTTTCCTTTCCCCAAGAAACTGCTATCTAATGGATTTGCTCAGTCTCAGATATGTTATGGTAGATTCTGGGAACTCACACCTAAGATTTCAAACTCGAATGGCAATGTTATGTGCAGGGAAGCACAGACTAAGAAAGAGAAATTTGTCACTAAGCAGCCATCATTGATCTCTTCAAAGCTAATCCTTATATTATTGTTCCTCTTATGGTTTAGTGATTTTTTTTTGTGTGTATTGCTTATATGGCATTTTATTTGAGGGCCTTGGTCACAGAGCCTGGAATTAATTAAGATTTGGTCCAAGAGCTGCTTAATTGCCTGTACTTAGAATATGGGGATTCAGGGGAGAGATGGAAATGACAAGGCAAGTCATGCATAATGCATCCCCCACACCCCTCGCTGAGTGACCATTACACTGATGGCTGTTATTCAGGGTTTTTTCTTTTTTTTAATCAGTACATGGTGCCAAGAACCTGGCATTTTCAAATACTCATTAGTGCTATTCTCTGGGGGCTTAAGATAGCAGATATTAAAGAATGAAGTCTCAAGAGACAGAATGATACCACAGTGGCTAACAGTGACAGAAGTTCAGGTGTATCAACCCTCATCACTTGTGGATGCATCACATGGCTAAATTAGCTTTCAAAGTCTTAAACCGAACATGTAAGGCCCACAAATGTCATGTGGTATATTCTCTGGAGGTTAAATTTAGGTTTTCCCTGGCTCCCGCTGCCAATTTGAAAGAAAGGAAAATGTCAGCAAGCGTGGAGTTGAAGTTGAGGTTGGAGACTGCCAGTGTGGATCCTGCTGACGTTGAAATTAAACTGCCTCTGGAAATCTGAGCTGTGGAGCAGGATCCGCTGCCCCTAAACTTTTCCGGATCGCTAGTTAGGTCCTCGGTTTGCTCCGATGCAACAGCGATTTGCTCCAGTTGACTTGCCTGGTCAGGGGGTTCTAGCCAGACTTTTGCCTTCATGATAATTGAGTGTATTTAGATGCAGCCGATAATCTGCTGGGCTGGCGTTAGAAAGAGCAAGATAAGAAATGCTATTCCTCCAGGCAAGGGCGCCAACAGCGCAGAGAAAATGTGCATAGTTATTCTATGGCCTGAGGATATTGCAAGGGAAGACCTTGGATTGAGGGGATTGAGAGATGTTTACCGTCCAACCCTTAGCACCCTGTGAAACCATCTCTAGCAGCAAAATTGACTTCAAGTTGAGATCTGAATATAAGTGATTGGGGCCAGGCGCGTTTAATCCCAGCACTTTGGGAGGCTGAGGCGGACGGATCATTTCAGGTCAGGAGTTGGAGACCAGCCTGACCAACATGGTGAAACCCTGTCTCTCCTAAAAATAGAAAAAAAATTAGCCAGGCATGGTGGCACATGCCTGTAGTCCCAGCTACTCAGGAGGCTGAGGCAAGAGAATCACTTGAACCCAGGAGGCAGAGGTTACAGTGAGCCAAGACGCCACTGCACTCCAGCCTGGGTGACAGAGTGAGACTTGCTCTCAAAAAAAAAAAAGAAAGAAAGAAAGAAAGAAAAATAAGAAAAATAATATAAGATATTGGTGGAAAAGAATCTCTTCTCTCCTGTATCCAGAAGTTGGGTGTCTTGACTATAGACCCTGCATAAAGAGATGCTATGTGATACTCTTAGATCAATTATGATTGTGCTTGGCTGCATTTAACAGAAAAACGGAAAGGATGGGGGCTTAAATGAGGGAGAGCTTTGTTCCACCCTCACATTAAAAATAAAGTTTAGAGGCTAGGCGTGGTGGTTCATGCCTGTAATCTCAGCACTTTGGGAGGCCAAGGCAGGCGGATCACGAGGTCAGGAGATCGAGCCCATCCTGGCTAACATGGTGAAACCCCATCTCTACTAAAAATACGAAAAAAATTAGCCGGGCATGGTGGCAGGTGCCTGTGGTCCCAGCTACTCGGGAGGCTGAGGCAGGAGAATGGCGTGAACCTGGAGGCGGAGCTTGCAGTAAGCAGAGATTGTGCTACTGGACTCCAGCCTGGGTGACAGAGCAACACTCCGTCTCAAAATAAATAAATAAATAAATAAATAAATAAAGTTTAGAGACAGGCAGCTCAGGGCTGACAGAATGGCTTAGGAACTCAGGCTTTCATCCTCAGGGTCAGTTCGTGGTCCCAAAACGGCTGCTGGAACTCCAGCCATCATGGCCCCATCCCAGGCAGCAGGAAATAGGAAGAGGGAAAAGGATCCACTTCCCAGCAAAGTGAGCTTCTTCTAAAACATTTTGTCATAAATCCCGTACATTTTCATTTACATATAATTGAAGAGAACTGAGTTGCATAGCCACTCCTTGCCACTAGGAAGGTTGTAGTGTTGTAGTGAATGTAGTAATATAGTATTGTAGCAATGTGGTATTGTAGTAATGTGTTATTGTAGTAACACAGTACTGTAGCAGAGCACTTTGCCGCACCAAATATAATGAGAGCGTTTTTTCTAAGTAACAAGGAAAGAATAGATGTTAGGTAGGCAGTAGCAGTCTCTGCAATTGCCATAAACCTAACACCTGTTATCTAGAATCTAGAGAACCAGATCTTCAAATTGCTTTTTTTTTTTTTTTTTTCAGACAGAGTTTCACTCTGTTGCCCAGGCTGGAGTGCAGTAGCGTGAGCTCAGCTCACTGCAACGTCCACCTTCCAGGTTCAAGTGATTCTCATGCCTCAGCCTCCCCAGTAGCTGGGATTACAGGCGTGGGCCACCACGCCTAGGTAATATTGTTATTTTTAGTATAAGTGGCGTTTTGCCATGTTGGCCAGGCTGTTCTTGAACTCCTGGCCTCAAGTGATCCACCCGCCTCAGCCTCCCAAAGTGCTGGGATTACAGGTGTGAGCCACTGCATCCAGCCCAAATTACTTTTTAACAGATCATGTGGTATAGACGGAAGTGCTTGGATTAGGAGTGAGACCATCTCTGATGCTTACTAACTGGGTGACCTTAAGAGATCTATTTAACTTCTCTATATCTCTGTTTCCTCATCTGCAAAATGATTATCAGCCTATTCAGTACACAGGTAAGTATCTCCTCAGATAAGAAACGTGGAAGCAGTGTGCCAAACAATAAAGTGTCAAATAGACGCTGGAGATTAATTAACATTATTATGACTTATCCAGGTCCTGTATTCTTTAAGAAAACTCATTCAAAAATGCTTCATTATTCATACAACTATAATTTATATTATTTGTTATATTGATAGCACCTTTCGTGTATACCACACTTTTCAACCCATAAATCACTTTTATACACGGCTCTCACTTCATCCCCATGACTCTCCCTGTGAGCAGGATTGGGGAGGAATCGCCATTTACCCAAATTTACTGGTAATACAACTGAAGTTCTGAGAACTGAGTGTCTTGTACAAGCTCACACCAAGTTATCTGTGACTGATAATGACTTAAGTATTAGAACTCATGAGACTCTGTCTTCTTAGACAAAATGAATCCCTGAATTTAGAGATGGGGTGGTTGACCATGGCTTTGCAGACTTGGCCCCAGCATCTGGAAGCCCACGGACCGCTGATTCTCATTCTACCCAAGCTGGAAACCATTTTCTTTCCTCCTCCTTGCCCGTTTCTCTTAGATCTTTATCTCAGAGGTGGCACCACCACCTGCTCTCAGCCAAGCCAGGGACCCAGAAGTCTCCTGGGTCAGCACAATGCTTCACTTCCCACCTTCCTCCCCTGTTGTTGACTTCTTTCTGCTTGCTGGCTCTATATCTTCACAGCCTGTAAAAGCAGGTCAGCCTTTCAAGTGATCTTTGTACATCTTTCTTTTTTTATTTTTCCATATCCCTAAAATATTTACCACCTCACGGGCACAGGGAACTTTATAAAGTGCAAGTCTGATTCTATCATTTCTATTTAAAATTCCTGAGTGGCTCCCTGTGGTTCCCAAGATAAAGTCCAGTTCTTTAAAACAAAATTGTATAATGCTTTTGTGGTCTGACCCCTGCCTGGATGCCCCAGCTCCCAAATCTCACTTCTCTCCTGTCTCCCGTTGTATCTTCCAGGAAGGCAACATGCGCTTTCTCTCAAATTAGAGTGTTTGAATGTGCTGTTTCTTTTATATGAATTACTTGTATCTTCTTTGCCTGCTTGGTTCCTTCTTGTCCTTAAGCCCATCCAAGATATCACCTCCTTCAGGAAGGTTCCTCTGCTGCCCCAGGCTGGATCAAACAGCCCAACTGTTCCGGAAATATTTGGTGTGTCTCCCCAACACAGCACTTGATATGCTGTATTGTCATTTTCTGTTTGCGAGTCAAGCCTTTTTCTAGACTATAACTCTTACAGGCCAGGAACAGCAATGTTTTGAGCTCTAATGCATATCAGGGACTGTTCTAGGCTGTACATATGCAGAAACTCATACAGTCCTTCCAGGAATCTGACAACATGTTGTTTTGTTATCTCTTACAGAGATTAGGGCACTGATGCATTTAAAAGATAGGTATAGGGCCGGGCATGGTAGCTCACCCCTGTAATCTAGCACTTTGGGAAGCCGAGGCGGGTGGATGACAAGGTCAAGAGGTCGAGACCATCCTGGCCAACATAGTGAAACCCGTTTCTACTAAAAATACAAAAATTATCCTGGCGTGGTGGCGGGCGCCTGTAGTCCCAGCTACTCAGGAGGCTGAGGCAGGAGAATCACTTGAACCTGGAGGTGGAGTTTGCAGTGAGCCGAGATTGTGCCACTGCACTCTAGCCTGGCGGCAGAGCGAGCTTCCATCTCAAAAAAAAAAAAAAAAGATGGGTATGGGGTACAAGATCTCATGGCCGATGTCAGAGCTGAGATCTAAACACAGAAGCATGGCTGGAAGCAGTGGCTCACGCCTGTAATCCCTGTGTTTTGGGAGACCATGGTTGGAGGATTGTTTGAGTCCAATAGGAGTTCAAGACCAGCCATGGCAACATGGTGAGACCCCACCCCCTGGGTCTCTACAAAAAAGAAATTCTTTTTTTAAAGCCAGGCACAATGATGTGCACCTGTGGTCCCAGCTACTCAAGAGGCTGAGGTGGAAGGATCACTTGAGCCCAGGAGTTCAAGCCTGCAGTGAACCGTGATGGTGCTACTGCACTCCAGCCTGGACAACAGAGCTAGACCCTAACTTAAATAAACAAACAACAAACACAGAGGCAATCCACTTTAGACATTTTGGGTCATGACTAGCTATATAGTTTTTTAATTCACATATAATCCACATACCACAGAATTCAGTGGGGTTTTTTTAGCATAGTCAAAAAGTTATAAACAATAATCACCACTATATAATGCCAGAATAGTTTCAGTACCCCCAAAAGAAACTCCCCATTTCTCACTGCTCACAGCCTCTAGCAGCCACTTATCTACTTATTGCCTCTATGAATTTGTCTGTTTCAGACATTTCATATGCGTGGAATCACATGACTTGTATACCTTTGTATCTGGCTTCTTTTACCTAGCACATTGTCTTTTTTTTCATTCATTAATTCAATAAATATTTATTGAATGCTTAATATATGTCAAACATAGGTTTTTTTTTTCCAACTTTTATTTTAAGTTCAGGGGTACACGTGCAGGATGTGCAGGTTTGTTGCAAAGGTAAACATGTGCCATGGTGGTTTACTGCACAGATCATCCCATCACCCAAGTATTAAGCCCAGCATCCATTAGTTATTCTTCCTGTTGCTCTCCCTCCTCCCACCCCCCAGCATCCAAAAGGCCCCAGTATGTGTCGTCTCCCTCCATGAGGCCACAGGTTCTCATCATTCAGCTCCCACTTATAAGTGAGAATATGCAATATTTGGTTTTACGTTTCTGCATTAGTTTGCTGAGGATAATGGCTTCCAGCTCTATCTGTGTCCCTGCAAGGACATGAACTCATTCCTTTTAATGGCTGCGTGGTATTCCATGGTGTACCACATTTTCTTTATCCAGTCTATCACTGATGGGCACTTAGGTTGATTCCATGTCTTTGCCATTGTGAAGAGCACCTACATGTTTTCAAGGGTCATCTCTGTTGTAGAAGTATCAGTGCTCCATTCCTTTTGGTGGCTGAATAATATTCCATCTCATGTATATGCTCCAATTGCTTTATTTGCTCATCAGTTGATAGATATTTGGGCAGCTTCCATTTTGAAGCTACCCTGAGTATGCTTTTACAAACACTCCTACATACGTTTTTGTGTGGACCTGGGTTGTCAGTTCTCTTGGGTATAAATCCCTAAAATTGAAATTGCTGGGACATATGATAATTTCATGTCTAACATTTTGAGAAACTGCCACTCTGCTTTCCAAAGCAACTGCACTATTTTACTATTCCCACGAGGCAAGCAGTATACAAGGGTCCTAATTTCCCCACATCTCTGCCAAAATTTATTATTATCATTATAAATATATTATTTTAATATTGTTTATATATTATATATTATTTACGTATAAATTATATATTATATAATAGCTATCCTTCTGAGTGTGAAGTAATAGCTCATTGTGGTTTTGAATTGCATTTCACGAATATTGAGCATTTTTTTCATGTCCTTATTGACTTTTTGTATATTTTCTTTGAAAAAAATGTCCATTGAAAATTTCCCCACAAATTAAAATTAAAAATACACCATTTTTGGTGGTGTATTTGTCTTTTTATTGTTGAATTATAAGAATTATTTATATATTCTGGGTACTAGAATCTTATCAGATACATGCTTTGCAAATATTTTCTTCCATTCTGTGGGTCATTTTTTTCACTTTCTTGTGTCCTTTGTGAAGGACAGTTTTTAGTTCTGATGAGGTTATATTTATCTATTTTTTTCTTCTGTAGCTTGTGGTTTAAGTGTCTTAGCTCAGAAACCATTGCCTAATTCAAGGCCACAAATATTTATAACAATGTTTCTTCTAAGAGTTTATAGTTTTAACTCTCAATTTAGGTCTTTGACCAATTTTGAGTTAATTTTTACATATGATGTGGAGTAAGGGTTTGACTTCATTCTTTTGCATATGGATATTCAGTTGTTGAAAATACTATTTTTCCCCATTAAATGGTTTTGTCAGCCAGGTGCGGTGGCTCGCGCTTGTGATCTCAGCACTTTGGGAGGCCGAGGCGGGTGGATTATGTGAGCTGGGGACTTTGAGACCAGCCTGGGCAACATGGCGAAACCCTGTCTCTATTAAAAATGCAAAAGTTAGCAGGGTATGGTGACATGCACCCATAATTCCAGCTACTCAGGAAGCTGAAGCAGGAGGATCACTTGAACCTAGGAGATAGAAGTTGCAGTGAACCAGAATGGCAGCTCCAGTGCACTGCAGCCCGGACGACAGAACAAGACTCTGTCTCAGAAAAAAAAGGTTTTGTCATTGTCGTTGAAAATCAATTGGCCATAAATGTGGGAGTTTACTTCTAGGTGCTCTGTTATATTCCATTGATCTATATGTCTATTCTTATGCTACTACCACCCAATCTTGATTACTATAGCATTGTAGTAAGTTTTGAAATGGGAAATGTGAGTCCACCAACTTTGTTCTTTTTCAAGATGGTTTTTACTGGCCCCAAGGTACTTACATTTCTGTATAAGTTTTAGAATCAGCTGACCAATTTCTACTAAAAAAAAGTCCAGAATCTTAATAAGACTTGAATTGATGATATAAGTAACTTTAAGGATTACTATCATTCAAACATCACTAAGTCTTCCAGTCCATGAACACAGGACGTCTTTCCATTCAAGACATGTTTAATTTTCTTTAACCATCATTTATAGTTTCGGAGGGTAAGACTCTTATACTTTTTTTGTTCATATATTCCTAAGTATTATATTCTTTTTGATGCTATGGTCAATGAGATGTTTATCTTAAATTTCAGATTTTGCATTACTGGTGTATCAAAATATAACTGATTATTCATATTGTATCCCACAAACTTGCTGAGCTTATTTATTAGCTCTAACAGGTTTTGGTATTTTTAGGTGTGGATTCCTTATTATTTTCTTTATAGAAAATCATGTCATCTGCATATAGGGATAGTTTTTCTTCTTTCTTTCCAATCTGGATACCTTTTAAAAATAATTAATTACCTACACCTTATTTTCTTCAAATAATTTGTAGAATTTATCACAATTACCCCTTTACACATGCTTGTGTGATTAACTAATTTAGTCTTCTTATCTAGACTTTAAATTCTTTTTTTTTTTTTTTTTTTTTTTTGAGGCGGAGTCTCGCTCTGTCTCCCAGGCTGGAGTGCAGTGGCGCAATCTTGGCTCACTGCAAGCTCCACCTCCCGGGTTCACGCCATTCTCCTGCCTCAGCCTCCCAAGTAGCTGGGACTACAGGCGCCCGCCACTACGCCCGGCTAATTTTTTGTATTTTTAGTAGAGACGGGGTTTCACCGTGTTAGCCAGGATGGTCTCGATCTCCGACCTCGTGATCCACCTGCCTCGTCCTCCCAAAGTGCGGGGATTACAGGCGTGAGCCACCGTGCCCGGCCTAGACTTTAAATTCTACAAAGATAGTGAGGGTGCTAACTTTGACACTACCATAATCCCAAAGCCAACTAAGTGCTTGTACATACTATGTGTTCCGTAAGTAGTGTTTGAATGGGATCATTGAACGGGAGAAGAAAAGAAGGATTTTAATCTGGGAAAAAGCACAGCTAGATTTAGACTTTGGAAAGGTCATTACTCTGGCCTAAGGCAGGGTACCTGTAAGGAGACTGTTGGGATTATTGGGATGGGACATAGTGAGGAAACACCCCCAGAGCAAAATGTGGAGAGGAGGGAAAGAATTCAAACGACATTCCCAGACATGGCCAAAGAGAAGATGTAAGAGGTGAGAGAGAGACCGGGGGTATAATAATGACTCCCAGGTTTCCAGATTGTGTGAACCTTGGTGCCATTCACAGGGAAGAGAATCCATGTAGAAAACTGGGTCAAGAAGAGGGAAAATGTGTCTAGGATGCCTTACTACTCCCACATGGCTGGTGTGGTCCCCAAGGTCTGGTCATCCTGGCACACAGACATGCACACAAGGAAGGTTCAGTTCTTTTGGTGCTGGAGCTCCTCAGTTTTAACCAACAGCCTTCTCAGAACGGCCTCTCCTCGGGGACATCTCTGGATCCTCAGTAGTCATTGACACAGGGAGAGTTTAACTCCTCTCTCAGAGCTGCTGCTGCCAGGCATACTCTGAATGCCCAGGGGCCCAGGATTTCTCACTAATGTTGTTTTTCCTCCTTTCATAAGGACTTGGGTTTTACCTAAAACCCAAGGACTCCCTCCAAGCTCAAAGCTACTTCCTTTGACACAATCAGAATATAGGGTAACACTTAGCACCTCACTGGTAGGCATTAGAGGCGCTGTACAAGTATTCTTGCTCTCTTCTCACTTTGCACACTTGGTAGGCTTGTACTTCATGTATTTGAAATTGTGAATGGTTATGTGAGTCCATTTGGCTAATGGCATGGGTCCCTTCCGGACAGAAGCTTTAAAGGCAGATGTGTGGCTTGTGCTGTGCCCCTTCCTCCCACCTCTGACAGTGAGGAGCAGAGAAATGGAGTCTTTTTCAACTCAGCCTTTGCTCCTCATTGACCACAATAAGTTGAGCCGTCCTCACACCCATCTCCATCAAATGTGAACACTTAATGTGACTGAGAAATAACTCACTTTGTTGTTTCAGCCCACTAAGATTTTTGGGCTTGTTTGTTACTGTGGCATCATGTAGACTCTCCTGACTGATACCTCTAGGACTTTCCACCTAGGACTTTCACAGCTAGAGAGAAGTGAGAGTCCGGCTTCAAGCTTCAAAAAAGAGGCTGACTCTCTTGTTAGGGACTAATGCAGCTGATGACTTTAGGTTAAAGTAAATGTTTATTTGCCATTCTGAAAATCCTAGGGCTCTTAAGAAATAAGCTGAATCTACTCTGCCTGTGCTCTGTAAATGAAACAAGAAAGCCTGACTCTGCCTGTGCTCTATAAATGAAACAAGAAAGCCTGGATGACAGCACATCTGTTTATAGCATGGTCTGCTGAATTTTTAAAGCCCACTGTTGAGATCTACTACTCAGAAAAAAAGATTCCTTTCAAAATATTACTGCTCATTAAAAATGCACCCAATCACCCAAGAGTTCTGGTGGATATGTACAAGGCAATTAACACTGTTTTCAGGCCTGCTAATGCAATATGCATTTTCCAGTCCATGGCTCAAGGAGTAATTTTGACTTCCAAGTCTTATTATTTAAGAAATACGTTTTGTAAGGCCATGGTTGCCATAGATATTGTCCTCTGATGGATCTGAGCAAAGTAAAATTGAAAACCTTTTGGAAAAATTCACCATTCTAGATGCCATTAAGAATGTTTATGATTCATGGGAGAAGGTCAAGATTTCAATATTTAGCAGGAGTTTGGAAGAAGTTGAGGCCGACTGTCACGGATAAGTTAGAGGGACCAAGAGTTCACTGGAGGATGTAACTGCAGATGTGGTGGAAACAGCAAGAGAACTAGAATTAGAAGGGGAGCCTGAAGATGTGACTGAAATGCTGCAATCTCATGATCAAACTTTAATGAATGAGGACTTGTTTTTTATGGGTGAGCAAGTAAAGTGGTTTCTTAAGCTAGAATCTACTCCTGGGAAAGATGCTGCGAACATTGTTGTAATGACAACAAAGGATCTAGAATATTACATAACTTAATTGATAAAGCAGTGGTAGGGTTGGAAAGGACTGACAAATTTTGAAAGAAGTTCTACTGGCTGGGCGCCGTGGCTCATGCCTGTAACCCTGGCACTTTGGGAGGCCTAGGCTGGTGGATCACTTGAGGCCAGGAGTTTGAGACCAGCCTGGCCAACCTGGTGAAACCCTGTCTCTACTAAAAATACAAAACTTATCCAGCCATTGTGATGCAAGCCTGTAATCCCAGCTACTTGGGTGGCTGAGGCATGAGAATCTCTTGAACCCAGGACAGAGAGGTTGCAGTGAGCCAAGATTGTGCTACTACTCTCCAACCTGGGTGACCAAGCGAGACTGGGTTTCAAGAACAAAAAATCCACCTAACAAACAAACAAACAACAAAAAAGAAAGAAGTTCTACCTTGGGTGAAATGCTATCAAACAGCATCACATGCTGCAGAGAAATCTTCAATGAAAGAAAGAGTCCATCGGTGTGGCAAACTTCATTGCTGTCTTATTGTACGAAATTGTCACAGCCACCCCCATGTTTAGCCCAGTGCTCCCCTGATCAGTCAACTCCCCTTGCCATCCCCATCGAGGCAAGACCCTCCACCAGCAAAAAGATGACAATTTGCTGAAGGCTCAGATGATCATTAGCATTTTTAGCAAAAGTATTTTAAATTAAGGTATGTGTATTTTTTTAGACATAATGCTGTTGCATACTTCATAGTCCACAGAATAGTTTCACTGTAACTTTTATATGCACTAGGAAACCAAAAAAAAATCTGTGTGACTCACTTTATTATGATATTTTATTTATTGCAGTGGTCTGGAATTGAAATTGTAACATCTTCAAGGTGTGCCTGTATATATGTGTGTGTATATATATATATATATATATATATATATATATATATATATATATATATATACACATACACACACATATATATATACGCACATTTATATCTCCTAGAATATTCTCTGATGCATAGTAGGTACACATCATACAGTAGTAGATGACTTCTTTTCTTTTCTTTCTTTCTTTTTTTTTTTTAGACGGAGTCTCACTCTGTCGTCAGGCTGGAGAGCATGGCGCAATCTCAGCTCACTGCAACCTCCACCTCCCAGGTTCAAGAGACTCTCCTGCCTCAGCCTCTGGAGTAGCTGGGATTACAGGTGCACACCACCACACCTACCTAATTTTTTAGGATTTTTAGTAGAAACGGGGTTTCACCATATTGGCCAGGCTGATCTTAAACCCCTGACCTCAGGTGATCCACCTGCCTCGGCTTCCTAAAGTGCTGGGATTACAGGCGTGAGCCACTGTGCCTGGCCTGGTGCCTTCTTTTCCTATATGCTGCTGCCTCACTGAACTCTTCTCATATAAAGAATGCCTTCCAAGAAAGCTCATCTATCTCTGTATTCATGTGGTTTCCCAGTTACTTCTTCCTTTTTCAGTTGTGAATCATAGCATGTTTCCAGGCATGCTTTATCTCCTATTTCCTGCATAAATAATCATCCCAGATCCAAGGGGCAATGTATATGCAATGGTCCCAGGGCTGGCACAGCACTTAGCTCAGCTTTCAGTATGCAGTGTGATGAAAAGGGGTGTCAAGTTGGGAGAGAAACCTCATGTAACATAGTTCAGGCCACTTACATTCCTCTGAAGAGAGAGAAAGGATGCATTTGGGCTGCAATTCTGCACCTTATAAATAGACATATATAGCTCTGCATACATTTTTAATATGGGCTTTATTGCTAGCTTTATTGAATCCACGATGGGGCTTCTCTCGGGAAGCCACAGAACATAGGAAGATTGCACAGACGCCGGCATTAACCAGGACCACGATAGACCAAGCAAATAAGGCTGTGCAAACAGCAGTATTCATGGGAGCTGCATCCTACAATTCAAATAACATAATAACAAATAATGTGCTCAAGCAAGCCCCACAGCTGCTATTTAAAGTATTTTATGCATTTCTTATCCATGTTGTTCATGCTAGCACAAAAGTAGGCAGGGAAAATGTATTTTAAAGAAGTATCTTAATACTGCCTACAGAGCCCTACATAAAGGGCCCTGCTTTCCTCGGCAACCTCACCTTGCACCCGGCCTCTCCCTTCGCTAACTCTGCATCAGACAAACTGCACAACCCTTGAACAGTCAAAATTATTTCCTATCTCCATTCCTTTACTCTGGCAATTTTCTCTGCCCAGAGTCAGTGTTCTCTCTCACACACATACACACACACACACACAGGTGTTCACACACCTTCCTATGTCACTGGATCTCTCATACCCTTCTGGTCTCAGGTCAAGTCCAATCTGTTCTGAGAGCCTTTCTTTCGTTACCAAGTCAAAAGCAGAAACTCCTGTTCATTTCCATCGTTTACCCTGTTTACTAGAAGCATTTATTTTTGGATGTCATTTTCTTATCTATCTTTTCATATCTTTATTATCTGTGTCTCCTTCTAGAACAGCGGTCCCCAACCCTCCAGGCCACAAATCAGTACTGGTCCGTGACCTGTTAGGAACCCACTGCACAGCAGGAAGCCAGTGAGCATCACCACCTCAGCTCCACCTCCTGCCAGATCAGCAGAGGCATTAGAGTCTCATAGCAGCACAAATCCTATTGTAAACCGTGCATGAGAGGGATCTAGGTTGCGTGCTCCTTACGAGAATTTTTTTTTATTATTATTTTTGAGATGGAGTTTTGCTCTTGTTGCCCAGGCTGGAGTTGAACAGTGGGTCTTGGCTGACTGCAACCTTTGCCTCCCGGTTTCAATCGATTCTTCTGTCTCAGCTTCCCAAGTAGCTGGGATTAAATGTGCCCACCACGGTGCCTGGCTATTTTTTTTTTTTTTTGTATGTTTAGTAGAGATGGGGTTTCACCATGTTGGCCAAGCTGATCTAGAACTCCTGACCTCAGGTGATCCGCCTACCTCGGCCTCCCAAAGTGCTGGGATTACAGGCATGAGCCACCATACCTGGCCTCCTTATGAGAATCTGATAGTCAACGTAATATGCTTGAATTATCCTGAAACCAACCCCCTATCCCCTGTTCATGGAAAAATTGTCTTCCATGAAATCAGTCCCTGGCGCCAAAAAGGTTGGGGACCGCTGCTCTAGACCATAAACTTCATGGGAGCAAAAATCCTATCTGATTTGTTCATCACTGGATCTCCAATACATAGACAACAGTGGTCGGCATGCAGCAGGTTTACAATAAATATTTAATCAATGAATAGGTGAATGAATCAGAATAAATCCCACAACACAACCATCAATGACCAACAGGCTCCTTCATCTTCTTTGTCCACTGTGAATCTCTCCTTGATGTAAACTTCATGAAGGGCAGGGCTCTGCCTGTTTATGGCTGAGACTGGGAATGGCACTTAGTAGATCCTCAATAAGCATGATTAAACTGAAGAGAACTAAAATCTTTTCCAGAAGTATCAGGGGGTCTGTGTGGTCCATGGTGGCTCTAGCAGTGTTTTTCCCATTGTATTTCTTTTATACTCTATCTGGGAGAGAATGGAGTTTCCAAGAGTGAGGCTTTTCCCCTGCTTCCTCTGACTAGAAAATTACCCCTTTGTAAAACTGGGCCAGGGAAGCCCCCATCCTTTATTGATGAAAATGATTCTTGGAATATAAGTTGCCCCCTGCATGCAGAATTTAGGGAGTGAACAGATAGTTGGGGTTAAGGTTGTTATTATTTGAAAATGTCCAATAAGAGCATCCACTCCCCTTGCCTCCCCTGATAAACATTTATAAACTATTATAAACCAATCACCATTGAGAGGTTCCCCTTAGCCAGATCCTGGTTTAACAGAGAGCATGTAACCCAACTGTGGTCAGTAAGACATTCAGAAGGCTGGGCGCAGTGGCTCACGCCTGAAACCTCAGCACTTTGGGAGGCCGAGGAAGGTCCATCACTTCAGGTCAGGAGTTTGAGACCAGCCTGGCCAACATGGTGAAAGTCCGTCTCTACTAAAAATACAAAAAAGTTAGTCCAGCATGGTGGCAGGCACCTGTAATCCCAGATACTTGGGAGGCTGAGGCAGGAGAATCACTTGAACCAGGGAGGTGGAGGTTGCAGTGAGCCAAGATCGCACCATTGCACTCTAGCCTGGGCAACAAGAGCAAAACTTCATCTCAAAAAATAAAAAATAAAACAAAAAAAAACATGCAGAAAAATCAGCTTAAGGGGGTGATGGTGTCCGGTAACTACCTCCCAGAAAAATAAGAAAAACCACACATGTGAAAAATATTCTGCAACACACACTGGGGCCTGTTGGAGGTTGGGAGGGGGAGGAGGGAGAGCATCAGGAAGAATAGCTAATAGATGCTGGGCTTCATACCTGGGTGATGGGAAGATCTGTGTGGCAAACCACCATCATACACATTTACCTATGTAACAAACTTGCACATCCTGCACAGGTGCCCTTGAACTTAAAATGAAAAAAATTAGAAGTTCTGTGGCACCCCTGAAGCCCCCTTGCTACCTCTTTGGGACGCTGTCATGGGAGGATATGATGCCTAGACAGAGACACCCACCTTGTGACTGTGAAGGGAAACCTCACCAGCACAGAAAGTGCAACATGGAAAACGTGGAAACGTCTGCATCTGAAATGACATTTCGGAGAGTCCAACCCAACCCAGGGACGACCTACGGCTGCACTTCCCTTTAAGTACACATGAGATGTTCTTTTTTTTAAAGCCACCATTAGTTAAGAAGTCTGTTATTTGTAGTCACGTGTATTCTAAGTGTTATGCACACTCTATGCCAGCCGTTGTGCTAATTTGGGGGAGTGGGAGATAAATAAAACAGAATATCCACCCTCAAACAGTTCCCTGGCTAATGGGAGTATAGAGAAGTAAATTCACAGCTGCAAAAAGATGGGGTCAAGGCCAGAACCAGAGCAGGTACAGGAAGTTTTTGGAAACTGGGGGAGAAACACACAAATTTTACTGGGGCGTCATAGAAGACAACCCCCAAAGAAACACAAATCTGGCCTTGAGATTTTTATTGTTGTTGTTATTTTTTTTGAGACAGAGTCCTGCTCTGTCACCCAGGCTGGAGTGCAGTGGCACAACATCGGCTCATTGCAATCTCTGCTTCCCGAGTTCAAGTGATGCTCCTGCCTCAGCCTCCTGAGTAGCTGGGATTACAGGTGCCTGCCACCACACCCAGCTAATTTTTGTATTTTTAGCAGAGACGGGGTTTCACTGTATTGGCTAGGCTGGTCTGGAACTCCTGACCTCAAATGATCCGCCCTCTTCAGCCTCCCAAAGTGCTGGGATTACAGGCATGAGCCACCGCACCCAGCCTTGGCATTGAGGTTTTAAGATCAGTAGGAGTTAGCAATTAGAGGAAAGAGGAGGGTGCATTTCATTTAAAAGGGGAGCAATGAGAAGAGAGCCACAAAGTCTTAGGGAATGGAATGAGCCTCTATGTGTCCGGCATGAAGATGAAGGCTATTGGACTTCCAAGTGAGTGTGGGGGCCATTATGGTGCTTTTCATCCAGGGACAGAGTAATGGTCAAATCCTGCCACCCATCCTTCTCATGTCTTCATTTCCCAACAGCAATCTCTACACACAGCAGCCTCATTCCTTTTTCCATGGCTTAGCCAGCATGCCATATTTGACCTTTGCATAGCTCCAGTGAGAGCTGAGTTGATGGGACAACAAACTTCATTCTCCTTTGAATCTATGGAATGTGGAAGTACAGAAGAGAACCTGCCCTAACTTACCTACCGGTGAAGAACAGGGAAAGGGGGGCAGAGGGAAGAGGAAGCGAGTGTGTGTTTCCATCGCCTGGGAGCAGTCATTGCCAGAGGTGGACCACACAGAGTCTCCAAAGGCTCAGGAGCTCCACTGACCAGTGCGCATGAACCTGAGCTCTGACTGAACCTATCAGCAACCCACCTCTTATGCGAAAGAGAAATATTTTAGGAGGGTACTGAGAGATACGGCAATGTTGGAGAAAGACAAAAATTTCCGCCCCCACCCCCATCAAAAAAAAAAAGTCAAAGACTGAAAGTAGAAAAACCAGCCAGGCATAGTGGCTCACACCTGTAATCCCAGCACTTTGGGAGGCCAAGGTGGGCAGATCACGAGGTCAGGGGTTCGAGACCAGCCTGGCGAATATGATGAAACCACGTCTCTACTAAAAAATACAAAAATTAACCTGGCGTGGTGGCGCGTGGTTGTAGTCCCAGCTGCTCGGGAGGCTGAGGTAGGAGAATCTCTGGAACCTGGAAGGTGGAGGTTGCAGTGAGCTGAGATCATGCCACTGCACTCCAGCCTGGGCGACAGAGCAAGACTCCATCTCAAAAAAAAAAAAAAAAGTAGAAAAACGTAAACTCACTTGGTCATGAAAAACCTTCCAATGCCACGAGAAGGAATTGGGATGTGATCACCAGGCTACCTGGGAAGCAACTGGGATGTGATCGGGTGGCCACCACAGCCACCCGAGCCACGGAAGGAGTTTCAGCAAGTGGTAGGAATCTGAGGTGAGTCGTCAATAGGCCACTGGAGCATTAGTCCTGAGAACCGGCAGGTGAGGTAATGGCAGAGCCTTGCGGATGCACAGTTTGGAAGCAAAGCAGACAAGGACGATGCCCTCCCATCCGGGCCTTTCCTCTTCTGAACCAAACGGTGCTCTTGGATCTTGGATGGTTCTGTGTTCTGTAAGACATCGGCATCAGGGTCCCGGGAGACAGAACCTCTGTGACAAATAATAACTGTGATGAATAGTGAGAGCTCTAGATGAGGGTTGGCCATCTTTTTCTGTAAGGGGTCATGTACTAAATATTTTATATTCTGAGGGCCAAAGGGTCTCTTTAGCGACAGCTCCTGTATGCCATTACAGCACAAAAGTAGACATAGACAATGCATACATAGAGAGGTGTAGTTGTGTTCTAATAAAACTTTAGGGGTGGCAGCTAGATTTGACCCATGGGATAGGATGTAGCTGTTAGTTTGCAGACTTCTGCTTTGGAAATGGTGCTGTTTGCACCTCTACCTACCTGTGTGCCCTTGGAAGAACTCCTTAACTCCCTGAGCTTCAGTGTCCTTTTCTGCAAATTGCACATAATACCTATGATGTAGTTCTGTGATGAGGAAGAAATGCAATAACCCTTGTAAGATATTTAGCACAATGCTTCACATGGTGGTGTGCCATGGAGTGAGTCGAGGTTTTGTTTTTCTGTTGCTGCTGCTGTTGATTGTCCTGGTCCTATCAGGTGTGATTGAAAATGGAGCCCAACCTAGAAGCCAGCAGTACTGGAGAGAAAAACATTCACCAGAGCGGAGTCCAAAAGGAAGATATTCTCTTTCCAGCTGTGTTTTTCTTTAGCTGTGGCTGAGGCTGTCTCTAATTCCTGAAGGACTTGGGCCATTTAAGTGGATGTGATTGGTATTAATTATTTAAAACAATTATTTATTAATAAATAAGAACCTAAGAATGCCCTGCACTTGTTCAGTGCTTTATAGTTTTCTTTTATTTTTGCTTTATTCTTTTCAAAAGGCTTTTAAACTGGGGCACAGAGTGTACCGGGAGGCATATGAAAATAGGGGAAGAAAGGCATCTTTCTAGATTATCAAGCATACTCAATTTGGGGGGGAAACCACATTATTTTACGTTAAAGCAAACTGGAATATATTATGGTGCAGAATAGGAATATATTATGGTGCAGAATACAGAATATATGTGATTTTTTTTAAGATAAAGTATGAGACTTCAAAGATATTTCAAGTTTTAAGATTCACCACTTTGGGCTGTGCCCCAGACGGTTGAGAGATAAGGAACATGCTTATGTCTTTTCTGCACAGCCCCAGAAGGAATTTTTACAAATTCTGCAGATGAAGAAACTCTGCAGAGAAGTCGGTGGGCTTCCTCAAGGTCTACTGAGAACTCACTGGCAGAAAGAGTTTTTTTTGTTTTTTTTTTTCATGTCTAAATAGTATTTATTTTATCTGATGTGTTTGAATAGTGTCTTCTGGATTTTAGAGATTTGCCTGGTTCTAGGGGTTTTTATATGATACGTAGTTCAGGCCTGGATAACACAAAGTGAGGAAGGGAAAGGTACTAGTCAATTGGATCCTTGGATCTTTGATGAAACTGGATCAGGGTATCCCTTACATGAAGGCTGCATAGGGCCCCTCAATGCTCTTTTTTATTGTTGGTGGTCACTATTGTCACTCTTTTTTTTCTTTTTTGGGTCACTATTGTCACTCTTTGCTTCATCATCCTTGGTCCATACTGGTTTATTTACCTATCACATAATACTCAGCCAAGCAATTAAGGCACAAAACTGTTGTGACATGTGTGGGGGAAATTTTGATAGACATACAATATACACAAAGGTAATCTGACACAAAGACTAATTTCTTTATGATCTTCCGGTCCATCTAGAGTGCTCTCTTACTTCCCCTGACTTCTTAGAAAGTGAGATTTTTCCCCTTTGTTGCTTCTTTTTTCATTTCCATTTTTATTATTTATTTATTTGTTTGTTTGTTTTGTTTTTGTTTTTGAGATGGAGTCTCCCTCTGTTGCCCAGGCTGGAGTGCAGTGGCACAATCTCAGCTCACTTCAACCTCTGTCTCCTGGGTTCCAGTGATTCTCGTGCCTCAGCCTCCCGAGTAACTGGGATTACAGGCACACACCACCACACCCAACTATTTTTTGTATTTTTAGAAGAGATGCCGTTTCATCATGTTGGCCAGGGTGGTCTTGAACTGCTGACCTCAAGTGATCCAACCAGCCTCAGCCTCCCAAAGTGCTGGGAGTACAGGCGTGAGCCACCACACCCAACCTATTTGTTTATTTATTATTATTTCAGTAGTTTTTTGGGAAACAGGTGGTGTTTGGTTGCATGGTTAAGTTATTTGGTGGTGACTTCTAATTATTTCGCTGCACCCATCACCTGAGCAGTGTACACTGTATCTAATGGGTAGTCTTTTATCCCTCACCCCCCTCCCACCCTTTCCATTGTATCATTCTTTGCTTTTGCATCCTCATAGCTTAGCCCCCACTTACGAGTGGAGAACATACGGTGTTTTGTTTTCCATTCCTGAGTCGCTTCACTTAGAAATAATGGTCTTCAATTCCATCCAGGTTGCTGCAAATGCCATTATTTAGAATGAGCTCTTAAACCTAGGATTCCTGGCTCCTATTTCCTCCCCATGCACACTGGTGAAGGAGACTCACAGTGAAGCAGGAGCCTGAGTAACACTATGTTTCAGGCACTGTGCTAAGTACTGAGGGTATACAACGGGGATTAAGACTGGGTCCAGAGGCCAAGGACGGTGGCTCACATATGTAATCCCAGCACTTTGGGAGGCTGAGGAGGGCAGATCACTGGAGGTCAGGAGTTCAAGACCAGCCTAGCCGACATGGTGAAACTCCATCCCTACTAAAAAAATACCAAAATTATCCCTGCGTGGTGGTGCACCCTGTAGTCCCAGCTACTCAGGAGGATGAGGCAAGAGAATCACTCGAACCTGGGAGGCAGAGGTTGCAGTGAGCTGAGATCATGCCACTGCACTCCAGTTTGGGTAATAGAGAGAGACTCAGTCTCCAAAGAAAAGAAAGAAAGAAAAAGACTGGATCCAAAAAGATATAGAAACCCTCAAGTTCAACAGCTGGTTGGCCTGAAAAAGCACCTGGCACTGAGCCTGCTGCATCCCCAAGGAACCTTGAATCACACCTTTTATTGACACTCTTTTCCCCAGTTCCATCAGGATTCAGTCCATTCACCTTAGTTTTGGCCTCAGTTTCCTGACACGGCAACAAAAGTTTCCATTCAACCCTGAGCTCTGCCATTAATGCTTGCTTGCTTGCTCAGGCATGACTCTTTGCCTACCAGGAAAGATCCTACTGCGATAGCCATATATTCCATGAATCCTCCCTTGTATCACCTGCTACCTGGATCTTCAACTGCAATGCACAGTGTGTCTGTATCTGCATTTCTTCTCTTTTTTTTTTTCTTTTTTTTTTTTTTTTTTTTTTTTTGAGACAGAGTCTTGCTCTGTCACCCAAGCTGGAGTGCAGTGGTACCATCTTGGCTCACTGCAACCTCCGTCTCCCTGGTTCAAGCCGTTCTCCTGCCTCAGCCTCCTGAGTAGCTGGGATTATAGGTGTGCGCCACCATGCCTGGCTAGTTTTTGTATTTTTAGTAGAGATGGGGTCTCACCATGTTGGCCAGGCTAGTGTTGAACTTCTGACCTCGGGCGATCCACCTGCCTTGGCCTCCCAAAGTGCTGGGGTTATAGGCATGAGCCACCATGTCCAGCCTTTATCTGCGTTTCTCCCCACCCCATTGAGAGGAATCTGACCCCTGTTGGAATCCTAGTTTTGCCTTTTTAATCCCCTTGGATTCTGTGGCATCCCTCTTTATTTTTTTTCCAAAGAGCCAGTCTCATCCACCTGTGTTTCTGCTACCGTACCTCCACCAGGCTGTGCAGTTGACACATACTGTGTCAAGACAGAGATTGTGCCTTATTTCCTCTGAAACCTTAGCACATAGCACAATGCCTGGCACATGGAGGCTGCTTTGTAGTGATCACAGAATCCATGGATGAAGACTTCTTGTTGGTTTTTCTGCACTGCAATGTCAATCATTGCCTGTTGCCTGATGATAGAGTTGGTTACTCACCTGCAGATTCAGAACCAAACCCCCACAAGATGTTAGAAATGAGGCTTTTATAAATTTCTAGCGTCATCCAAAATTGGCTTGGTTACTGAGATGAGACTAACACTGGGTATTTGGGGAATAGAAAGCAGGAAAGGGACTGCCTTTTCCTAAATCCATGTGAGAAGAAATTGGGGAAACAGTAATTCAAACACTGCAGTTATCATTGTACCTAAGTGGTGTGGATGGCACATTCTGCAGACGTAGTAGGCCTCAGGGTTTATATCAATGTCATAATAAGTCAGCTGCTAGGAATACAGGGAGTCCTGAGTCCAAATCCTGCCTGCCACTAATTAGGTTGGTGCAGAAGTAATTGCGTTTTTTGCCTCTAAAAGTAACGACAAAACTGCAATTACTCTTGCACCAACATAATCTTATTGGTGTGAGCTTTAGAACATTTCTTGGGCTCTGTAAGGCAAAAGTTACACAGTCGATAAAATAGAAACAGGATGCCTCCACCAAAATCTCAAAGGGAGGATGGAATTAGTCTAAACGAACTGTCAGGTGCGAGGGTTGGCACCCACTAGGTGTGAGTCGATGTGCCAGCAGCTCTTCACTTATGACAGATTTGGTTCCTGAAAGAGTTGTCAGTGGGGGCTACTGTGAGGAGGGGGCAGTGGGGCTGGAGCTCCATCAGCCTTGTGCTTTGGTGACTATGCATGATTGTCCTTAGCTTTTGTCCCCAAATAAAACAGTGTCATAAGGACTCTTGAGCTGATTTCTGGCTCAGAGCCCTCCATTTTATGCTCTTAGCAAACTACCCATGATATTCTGCCCCAGTCTTCGGAAGGAATCTATTTATAGCAGCCATCATTAACTCTCCCTTCCCGGTCCACAGAGCCTCACCTGTTCCCCCCTCTCCTGCAGAAGTTGACTTCAGAGCATTTTCGGAGTCTTCTTTGTAATATTAGTTAACATGTACAGGAAAGCCCCAAGGTCATGTTCCACTCTTGGCACCCTTCACTTTAGATTTGAGAAATCCCCTAAAAGGCTTGTTAGCGGAGGCTGCCTCACACCTATGAAACTTTAAAAATATCTGGCTAATCAGCCACTTTGCACACTTCCACGCGGGCAGAGAAAGAACCTCTGCTTTCCTCCACATCCCTTCTCCCGGCATCGCATTTGTGCGGACGAGAGCTGTCAAAATCTGACTTCCTACGGTATTTAAAATACAAGACAGGGAACATCTCATCTGAAACCGGCATTACCACTTAAAGAGGAACCAAAACCAGGAGGGAGAAGCAGAAAGTGGAGTGGGGAGGAGGGCGTAGGATTCTGGAAGATCTTCCTTGTTCCAATTCACTTTTTACTAGAATCTGGTCATTGGAATTTAAAGGGATATTAACAATAATAATATGAAAATAAGTCATCACTTATCAAATGCCTGCTACATGCTAGGAACTCTGGTAACTACTCAATTTTCTTATCTGAGTCTCTCAAAAACACTGAAAAGTGGCTGGGTGAGGTGGCTCACGCCTGTGGTCCCAGCACTTTGGGAGGCCGAGGTGGGCGGATCAAGAGGTCAGGAGATCGAGACCATCCTGGCTAACACGGTGAAACTCCATCTCTACTAAACAAAATACAAAAACATTAGCCCGGCGTGGTGGCGGGCGCCTGTAGTCCCAGCTACTCGGGAGGCTGAGGCAGGAGAATGGCGTGAACCCGGGAGGTGGAGCTTTCAGTGAGCCAAGATTGCGCCACTGCACTTCAGCCTGGGAGACAGAGCGAGACTCCATCTCAAAAAAATAAATAAATAAATAAAATTAAAAAAAATAAAAAACACTGAAAAATAAATCTCAGCTTACATATCAGCAAATTGGTGTTAAGAAAGGGTTAAGCGGCAGTCTCAAACTAACACAGCCAGTGTGTACCCTGGGCAGGATTCTCTCCTATCTGTCTCCAAAATCTGTGCTCGTGCCAGTATGCATGCCATCTCCTAGGTGAAATGCAAATTTCCAACATGGACCATTCTCTAACCTACTTAGATGGAACTGCCATGGGGACTTCTCCTATTGCCTGCCCTTCACCAGAGATAAAGCCAATCGCTATTCTACAATGACATTTGTAAACTTGTGAGCCACACAACACTGTCATCAGAATTTTCTGAGAGTGTTTATCGAATACACAGATTCCTGAACCCTCCTAAGAAGTATTGAATTTGAATCTCTGAAGGGGGCCACGGACACCTCGCGTCATTGAGCATTTCCCGGTGGTGCTTGTCCACAGTGATGCTTCTTAACCACTGTTCTATGTCTAAGCTGATTTGCAGAGATTCTTTAGGGCTTGGCTGCGGATAAACCCTGCAGATCCTCTGCAGAAAATGGAAGGCTCCCTTCTCAACACCTCCTCCTAGAAAAGTCAACATCAGGGTGAAGGGAGAGAAAATCCGCAGTCCGTGAGCAGATGAATTAGTCTATTCCAAAAGGTGCCCAGTACTGAATTATGAAAACAAAGATAAGTGGCACAAGAAGATATCAATTTGTCAGACTCACAAGGAAAAGTCTCGTGAGTTAAAATAGCAGCATCTTAGATTTTGAACTCATAGACTGGAGAAAGGGGGGATGATGGAATTAGAAGAAAACTTGCTTATTTGGACAGAGGGAGGGACTTGAGAAAATATCACAGTTATGGAAATGATTCAGGAGAAAGCAGTTCGTCCAGTCAACCCAGGCAGGGGAGTAGCTAGCAGAGGCTGATTCATTTCAGGCTTCCATCTGGGAGGCAGAAAAACAGGGAGAAAATGTGTCCCTAAAAGATGGAGATATGAGGAAGGAGCTGGCAATGATTGACACTGCAGTGCAGAAAACCCAATGAGAAGCTTTCGTCTATGACTTTCACAATCACTACAAAAGCAACTACTGTGTACCGGGCACTGTGCTATGTGCTAGGGTCTCAGAGAAAAGAAAACACAATCTCTGTCCAGATACAGTATGATTCAACTGTCACAGTCTGGTGGAGGGACAGAATTATAAACAGACAACCATAACATGGTGTAATAGCACTGTACTACAAACAGAGGCAAGGGGACCGTGAGAACATAGAGGGAGGGCTGTGTTAAGTTAGGGAAGGTAAATCAAGGAAGGCTGCCTGGAGGTGATGACGTCTCAGCAGCCTCTGGGTAGATTAGAATTAGGCTGGGAGGAAAAAAGGGGGACAGATTCAGAGCTCCCACAAGATGGGTACAAACTAGGCTTTTGTAATTTTTATTTTTTATTTATTTATTTTTGAGACAGAGTCTTGCTCTACTGCCCAGGCTGGAGTGCAGTGGTGCAATCTCGGCTCACAGCAACCTCTGCCTACTGGGATCAAGTGATTCTCGTGCCTCAGCCTCATGAGTAGCTGGGATTACAGTAGCCAGCCACCATACCTGGCTAATTTTTTTTTGTATTTTGAGTAGAGAAGGGGTTTCACCATGTTGGGCCAGGCTTTTCTCAAACTCCTGACCTCAAGTGATCTGCCCGCCTTGGCCTCCCGAAGTACTGAGATTACAGGCATGAGCCACCGTGTTCGGCTGAGGCTTTTATAAATTTCTATCCTCATCCAAAATTGGCTTAGTTACTGAGATGAAACTGAGACCAAGAATTTGGTGTTCCTGGTGTTAGATCCACCAGGAATTGGGGGTATAGAGGGCAAGAAGAGGAATGACTCTTCCTGGACCCATGTGGTGAGAAGAAATTGGGAAAGCAGTAATTCAAACACTGCAATCATAATTGCCCCTAAGTGGTATGAATGGCACCTTCTGTGGGTTCAGAAGAGGGTAATGGGAGGCCAAAATGGCCACCAAATATGGAACAGGCGGAACTTGTGTAAGGGGCTGGTTTTATATTGGTGAGGTTGGAATAGACAGGAAAATTGAATGTGTTAAATAGTTAGATTATAGTAGTCAGTGTAGTCTGGGTATGCTGTTCCCACTGTCTCCTCAGACTTGGGCTCTCTGGACGGGGTTCTTTTGAGGATGGGTTAGTATTTATTAGGCATAGAGAAACAGCATGTCTCAAATAATCCTTCTGAGTTCCCTGAGGAGTGGTTTCCTATGTGCCGAGGGTTTGTTTGAGTGCAGAGGACACTACAGAAGGATTGCATGTTGACCTGTGGCATTTAATCAAAATAACCTTTCTGTTCCAATGTAACTGTTGAACACATTCAATTTATTTGTCTATTCCACTGGAACCTTTAGGGAAGGTGTCGTTCATTGACAGTATTTGGTCTAAATTCTAAGAGTGAGATTAATGAAATCCAGTTTGCCAAGTTGAATGAGAACAGAAGATGGGTAGTCAGATGTCTGTCATTATTTTTATTTTTTTAATTGTATTATTATTTTTTTGAGACAGAGTCTCACTCTGTCTCCCAGGCTGGTGTGCAGTGGTGCTATCTTGGCTCACTGCAAGCTCCACCTCCCGGGTTCAAGCCATTCTCCTGCCTCAGCCTCCTGAGTAGCTGGGACTACAGGTGCCGGCCACCATGCCCGGCTAATTTTTTTGTATTTTTAGTAGAGATGGGGTTTCACTGTGTTAGCCAGGATGGTCTCGATCTGCTGACCTCGTGATCCTCCCACCTTGGCCTCCCAAAGGGCTGGGATTACAAGTGAGCCACCACACCCGGCCTTTGTTTTCATTTTAACAGAGTTCTCACCAGGTGTGGTGGCTCATACCTGTAATCTCAGCACTTTGGGAGGCCGAGGCAGGAGGAGTGAGCCCATGAGTTAGAGAACAGCCCTAGGCAACATAGCAAGACATTGTCTCTACAAATAATTATTTTAGAAAAGAAAAAAAATGGAGTTCTCAATGCAATTTGAGCCATACGCAGAAGATAAAACACAGGTTTTTAATCCATAAAGCACAGGTCTTAATCCATAGACACCAAAAAGATCTCTGAACCCCCTAAAATTCTTTAGTCTTTTGAGTACATGTACATAGCTACATTTTTTTTTCTGGGGAATAAATCCATTGCTTTAACATTTTCAAAGAGGTAAGGCTCACACACCCATGCAGATGCATTCACACTCACACAAAAGGTTAAAAGCCGTGGATTTAGGGCGATGAGCTTGAGTAAAGCATTGAACGTTGGAAGCCTGAAAAGGTTTATATTTTGGTTTCTGTCCAAATCACATATTGAAGGCACCTTATGTAAGCCAGGCATTTTTTTTTTTTTTTTTTTTTTTTTTTTTTTTTTTTTTTTCAGTTAGTCTTGGTTAAGTTGGATTTGATGATGAGTTAGGATGAAGGTAAGGTCAGAATTGCGCCACATTCAAGAAATGCACAGACAGATAAGTCTGATAATTGCCCCATAGGGAAGAAGTGCACGAGACACCACAGTCTGGCAGAGTGACCTAATAGCACTCTTTCTGTGTAGGAAATAGAATTAAGTAGATATTAATTGAAATGCAAATGTTTGATTTGCATCGAATTGAATAGAAAGAACCCTTTATGTGCACTTAATACTCATGTACACGTTGCTGTTGAGGGCAAACACATTTGGCATTTTTGCCCACTTGATGTTTACAAAAAGGGAGGCATTCCCATTTTGCAAACAGCCCACAGGTACATTAAATAACCCATTTCATGATGGACATCTGGACTCCTCAAACCTGCCAAAAGTGGCTAGGCTCACGGCCGCCTTCCAACTTTATGATGGAGAACGGCTCCCTTCAAATGTAAAAACCATCACTCAGCAAAGCGTGGCAGGTTGGGGTCTCATCTGTCCAAATGTAGCACACACATTCATTTTGATTTCAGCTGTGTCCAATTCGCTGCCTGCATATGCAATATCGCACACACCTGAGCAGGAAAAAAAAAAAAACCTTGTCAATTAAAGCAGCAATTTTATAAGGTGGCCTGACAGTGGTCACCTGAATGATGGCGAAACTCATTAGTGAGATACATAGGTAGGTAGGAATAACTGACAGGCCTCTTTAATTTGGGATTTTGTATAAAATTGTGAAAAACAGGCTTAGCTGAGCGTAATGAAACCCACACTGTGCAAGAGAAAGCAGAAATATTTGACTATGGAGTTATTATAAGCATCGTTTCTAGCCTTCCGCACTGAGTGTATGATAAAGTCCTTGGCCAGGTGCGGTCAGGATAATTCACTCCAACTTGCTCCAGTCCATCCTTCACTTCCCTTTGATGATCTTTTGTGTGTGCGGTACTCATTCCAGCCAGTGCGTTTGAACGGCGCTTGCAGTAAAAGCTGGGAGAGTTCGAGGTCGCCACCTAGTGGCCAGCAAGACTGCTATTCACGCTCCCATTTTGTCCCGGACCAGGGGTCAGTTTGCAGATCCTTCATGAGTCATTGTCATAATGGGACTCAAATATCAATGTTTGCCTCTAAAGTTCACTTCAAATAGAAATGTTAAAAAAAAAAAACCCTAGGATATCTCTAAGTGGCGATCTCTTGACCTCAACCCATTTGATGCGTGCTATACAGATAAAAAGCAAAACCCATGGCAGAAAAGGCTATTTTCGGAGGCCCACGATGTAAAGAAAGCATAAGCAGGCATATGTATACATGTGTATTTTTGCAGGCGTGTATCAGAAGTTGCAGATGCAAAGATTTTGCAATTGAAAGTTTCCAACTTTCCTCCCATGTAAATATAATATTTTCATTTTTGTGCACAAATGGTTGACTTTCAAGGTATAACAATTATGCAATTAAAATAAGAAAGATTGTACTGAGTACCAATTATGTGCCTGGAACTGTGCTAGGCAATTTTCATATGTTATTCATTAAAATGTATATAATTCAATCTTACTAGGAAGGGGCCTTAATGTGGGTGCAGCCCAGCCTTTCTACCCAATAACAAAAAACCCTCCACACTGGTGCCTCTCAAATATCTATGAGGAAGAACAGGCCAATGCTTTTATTTATTTTTTTATTTTTATTTTATTTATTTATTTTTTTTGAGACTGAGTCTTGCTCTGTCGCCCAGGCTGGAGTGCAGTGGCTTGACCTTGGCTCACTGCAATCTCCGCCTGCCTGGTTCAAGTGATTCTCCTGCTTCAGCCTCCCAAGTAGCTGAGATTACAGGCACCTGCCACCACATCTGGCTAATTTTTATACTTTTAGTAGAGACGGGGTTTCACCGTGTTGGCCAGGCTGGTCTCAAACTCCTGAGCTCACGTGATCTGCCTGCCTCGGCCTCCCAAAGAGCTGGGATTACAGGTGTGAGGCACCTCACCTGGTTCATTATTAAAAAAAAAAAAAAAGTTATTTGAAGAATGAAATTAAATGTGCAATATTCAAGCCTAAGTTATTTCAATTATTTTTATTATTTGATTCAACAAATAGAAAATTATTGTATCAAATTGCTAGAAAACCTTATAAATTCTTGCTCTCAATTTCTGAATTTACTTCGCTGCAGACCAGTAACAATGTGTAGACTGGTGTCAATATTCAGACCACATTTTGAATAGAGCTGATCTATAGGATCCTTGCCTGGCATCATCTAGTCACGGAATAGCTTCCATGCCCAAGACTACTACCTCACAACGCAGCCCATTCCATTGCTGGACTGGTTTGATGACCGCAAACCTAAATCTGCTTTTCTGTATTCATTGGCTGTGACTCTACCTCTCATCCATCCTCAACAAGACTCATCTTTCATTCCCCAGTCACAGCTTTTCAGATATAGGATAACTGCCTCAGGATCAAGTTCTGACTTCCATCCTCCTTCTACATACTTGATTTTGCAATAGTCCACTTAAAGTGGCTTTCAGGAATAAATGCAGCTGGAGGCAATAAGAGAGGTTTCCACCTCATTGTCTTGCTTCTCTGTCACCTAATTTCTGACTTATTCAAAAGAGGAGAGAAGAGTGATCTCATGGTTCAGGATGCAGATACTATTTGACCCTGTTCACGGTAGGCTAGGTCACTGTGAAGTTCAAGATCATGCACCCAGGAGTTATTCTCTCCTTTGCATTTCTGCCATCATTTGACAGAAAGTAAAATGTTCATGGCTGCCTGATTTCATAGGAGCATTCAGGATGGTTACTCTCTTTTCTTGCATAATCTAAAAAGCCATTGCTTTAAGTTCCTGTATCATGTGGCTGGCAATACATGGAAAGATACATCAATTCATATTAATGTTTAAAGGAGCAGGTAAAGAACTTGCCTAGGCTTCAAGATAAAGCCAAAAGCTTCAAGATGGCTCCTTCAAAGAGGTTCTTTGGCCTGGACCTAGGTAGTTGCAAATTCATAGTCGTATTTTCACTTGCTCTGCCTTTTGATGTGAAATGTTGATCCAGTTACTAAACATTCCTGTGCCTTAATTTCGTCCTCTGAAAAAAAGTGGATATAATAGAATTTACTTCATATGGTGGCTATGAAGATTAAATGACATTTAACAAAATAATCCATGCAACACACTTAGAACAGATCACCAAACCTTGGAAGCAGATGCTTAGGATGATTTTGATTTTTAACAGATGACTATTGTCTTTTAACTTCCCAGGGAACTTTGAGAAGATGTGTTTGATTGGAAGGCATGTGAATATTCCTGGAGCTTCTAATCAAAGACCATGAAATACCATTGCAATGACATGAAGTCAGAATACATACAGTACGGTCTAACCACCAGGAAGTAGGAAGGGAAATTTACCTTTCTGGTTCTGAAGGTGTTCTTCCTGTTAATTTAGCCGTCAAACACATCAGTTTACTATGGCAGTGCTGGCGTTGCTTTTACTGTTAGCCACTTTGACTTGTTTTCTTGTGATAACATCATAATCTTAGTTCATACTGACCTTTTCCCCAGCCAAAACACCTAAGTAGCTCTCATTTGTGTCTCTCTAAGCACATCCTTTATCCTCTACTTGGACTTCCTTTAGGGGATTGGGTGCAGAATCTTATGTGTATTCCTGTTCAGTTTTATCTCACACTTGGCCCACGGCTTCCAAATATCATCATTAGTATTAAATAGAGATGTCATCTAGTCTAGGGTTTGGTGCACCCTATTTTTTTCCATAAAACTCTGTGTTCAACTCATATCTTGTGTGAAATCCAAGAAGTTACAGCAATGACAATGGAGATTTCTGAGAGAAGTGGGGACAGGGTCTTGCCCACTGGACTTCCCCAGAAGCCACTGGAAGTCCTTTATAAAACCCCAAGAATCTGAGAAGCCAAGTTGTAAACATGCTTCCTAAGCCTAACTCTATTATTTTACCAATGGGGAGACTGAGGCCAAGAGAGCATATGAGAGTTATACAAAATGATGCAGCTAATTAATGGCGCAGCTGGGTCTATTTCATTTCTACTAGAAAAATGGAAAATGGGATATCACCTTTCCTTAAATCCAAGTCTTAAATGTCAGAATCTATCAGCTTTGGAGATTTATCTGTGAACACAGGGTCAAAGCTGGACTCTGAAAGGTTAAGCCTTTAATCAAATCATGGAATTGATCCCTTGCAGGTCAAGTGGATTCCTATAAAATGTGCTCATGCATCATTAGCCACCTATCCAATTTTGTATATGTGCAACACTGGTCATTTAATGGGATTTGGTTAAAAAAATGCCGCAGCACAGAATGCCTTCAGTTGAGAACTCCATGCAGCAGTAATGTTGTCTCAGGTAATTTATTCCTTATTCATGAAGTTCTTCTGACTCCAGAGGTTCTGCTCTTGACCACGATGTCTGCTTCTTCTCAATGTGCTCACTGTCCTATAAATAACGCAGTTAGCAAAGTGAGCTGAAGAGGAGCTGACATTTAGCAAAGAATTATTAGATTCCAGGCAACTGCCTTAAAATATTTTTATTAATTTATTCATACAATGCTCACAATCACCCTTTGAGGTAGGTAGGTAGTAGTACTCATAGTAGTAGTATTTTAACCATTTCATATATATCCATATGTCAGAAATATATACATTCATAGATATAAATAGCTATGAGAAATATATCTATTCATATATAGAGAGATACATGTAAGTTATATAGATTATAAATCAGGGACCATCTGTATATATATTTATAGGCCATCTGTATATATATTCATATTATACAGATGGTCCCCAACTTACCATGATGCAACTTACAATGGTTCAGCTATGGTTTTTCAACTTTATGATGGTGCAAAAGTAATACACATTCAGTAGAAACCCATACTTCAAATACCCATACAACCCTTCTGTTTTTTACCATCAGTACAACATTCAACAAATTACATGAGATATTCAACCCTTCATTATAAAATAGGCTTTATGCTAGATAATTGTGCCCAAAGGTAGGCTAATCTAAGTGTTCTGAGCATGTTTAAAGTGGTTAGGCTACGCTACGATGTTTGGTTACGAAGTTACATATATAAAATGTATTTTTGACTTCGATATTTTCAACTTATGATGGGTTTATTGGGATGTAATGCCATCGTTAAGTCAAGGAACATTTGTGTGTATGTATGTGTGTGCGTATAGATATATATGTGTGTGTATATACATATATCTCAAGTCTAATTATCTAATTATCTCTATATTATATATTCATATAAAGTAGCTTGTCTAAACTCACGTAGCTTGTAAGCAAAAAAGACAGAATTTGAAGTCAGAAACCCCAGTTTTGGCTGGGTGCAGTGGCTCACACCTATAATCCCAGTACGTTGGGAGGCCAAGGTGGGCAGATCACCTGAGGTCAGGAGTTCGAGACCAGCCTGGGCAATGTGGTGAAACCCTGTCTCTACTAAAAATACAAAAATCAGCCAGGCGTGGTGGCACATGCCTGTGATCTCAGCTACTTGGGAGGCTGAGGCAGGAGAATCACTTGACCCCAGGAGGTAGAGGTTGCAGTGAGCCGAGATTATGCCACTGCACCCCAGCCTGGGCAACAGAGAGAGACTCTATTTAAAAAAAAAAAAAGAAAGAAATTCCAGTTTCTAGACTGTGAGTTTAACCACCTTGCTGTGCTATTGCTAACAATTATGCCGGATGCTTTCATCCACGGTATTTCATTTCAAACACACACACACACGGAGCCAACTTATCCATTAGGTACAGTAGGCACAGTGCCTACGGCTCACAATAATTTTCGGAGTGTATGAAAATGTTTTCATGTCTTTTAAAAACAGAAAAAAAAAGAATCAACTTTAGATTAAAGAAAATGTCCTGATATATAATCTCAATATCCTTGCCTTTATACCAAATGAAATATGCTGTTCAATATTTCCTATGGAGAGGGAGACTATGGCTTTGGAATATGACCTTGTGTGTACAAACGGCACTATTATCCCCATGTTGCAGAACATGAAGCTGAGGTTCCGAGAAGCGAGTTCACATGTCCCAGTTAACTCAGGACGCAGCAGACAGGACCTGCACACACGCTGTGGTCTGTGAGCTCCAAAGTCAGCAATCTTTGCAGCAGATGCTTTCATGGACAATGGCAGAAAGGTTCTATTTTAGAGTTCCCTTTCAGGAGGCACGAATAAACATGCTCTCTCCAGCTCGAAGCCAAAGAACCCCAGGTGCCACCTGGTCATGATATTTTGGGGTAGGGAAGCAGGCATCCATGGTTACACCCTTCTTCTACAATCTGGAAACGCAAGAAGAAAGGAGGAAGCTGGAGGGACTGTGGTTAGAAAGAAGCTAGGAGCTGAGCAAGCATTGCCCATCTTCAGGGTCTTTGTTTTTCTCAAGGATAAAAAAAAAAAAAAAAGTATTCTCTTCCCACACTCTGTAGGGGTGGGTTGCCCCTACACACCTGTGGGTGTTTCTCGTAAGGTGGGACGAGAGATTTGGAAAAGAAAAAGACACAGAGACAAAGTATAGAGAAAGAAATAAGGGGACCCGGGGAACCAGCGTTCAGCATATGGAGGATCCCGCCAGCCTCTGAGTTCCCTTAGTATTTATTCATCATCTGTGGGTGTTTCTCAAAGAGGGGGATGTGTCAGGGTCACAAGACAATTGTGGGGAGAGGGTCAGCAGACAAACACGTGAACAAACGTCTTGGCATCATAGACAATGTAAAGGATTAAGTGCTGTGCTTTTAGATATGCATACACATAAACATCTCAATGCTTTACAAAGCAGTATTGCTGCCCGCAGGTCCCACCTCCAGCCCTAAGGCGGTTTTTCCCTATCTCAGTAGATGGGGCATACAATCGGGTTTTATACCGAGACATTCCATTGCCCAGGGACAGGCAGGAGACAGATGCCTTCCTCTTGTCTCAACTGCAAGAGGCATTCCTTCCTCTTTTACTAATCCTCCTCAGCACAGACCCTTTACGGGTGTCGGGCTGGGGGACGGTCAGGTCTTTCCCTTCCCACGAGGCCATATTTCAGACTATCACATGGGGAGAAACCTTGGACAATAACTGGCTTTCCTAGGCAGAGGTCCCTGCGGCCTTCCGCAGTTTTTGTGTCCCTGGGTACTTGAGATTAAGGAGTGGTGATGACTCTTAAGGAGCGTGCTGCCTTCAAGCATCTGTTTAACAAAGCACATCCTGCACCGCCCTTAATCCATTCAACTCTGAGTTGACACAGCACACGTTTCAGAGAGCATGGGGTTGGGGGTAAGGTTATAGATTAACAGAATCTCAAGGCAGAAGAATTTTTCTTAGTACATAACAAAATGGAGTCTCCTATGTCTACTTCTTTCTACACAGACACAGTAACAATCTGATCTCTCTTGCTTTTCCCCACACACACTCCAGCCCAGCTGTCTACAGTGATAAATGATGGGCCTTTCTTTAAATTTCCTTTCTGCTCTGCGTGAGGACTGGCCAGTGTGGATATGTACTCGACACGGATAAATGGCTCTGGCAAGCCCACCAGACTGTCCACGTGGCAACAGATGGTCCAGCTCAAAGCTTTTGTTGTGCTAATGTTGGAACTTGCTGCTACCTGAAGCAGTTATCGTTTCATAAACAATGATGCTGCCACTGCTCTGTGGATAAACTGTCCTTTATACTTTGCAGGGCCCACCATGGGTGTTGACGGCTTCATGATGGTAAGAAGAGAACCCCCAGTCATCCAGCTGGCGTGGCAGCCAAAGAGAAACACTTAATCGGATGGAGATGGTGAGGTTGGAGATGATATTTGGCTTCTGTTCATGTGCCATGCATAAGTCCAGATGTCTGCCCTGAATTATGGTTGATGAGAAGGAGTAAAGTTCCACTGTGTTTCAGAGTCAGAAGTGAGATTGGAGACAAATTGTTCCCTCGGAGTCTTGACGTTTACACAGATTCCCTTAGACCTTTGGTAGAAATTGTAATAATGAATATATAGGGAAGCGGTAATAATGAATATATAGAGAAGGGGTAATAATGAATATATAGAGAAGGGGTAAAAATGAATATATACAGAAGGGGTAATAATGAATATATAGAGAAGGGGTAATAATGAATATATAGGGAAGGGGTAATAATGAATACATAGAGAAGGGGTAATAACGAATGTACAGGGAAGGGGTAATAATGAATATACAGGGAAGGGGTAATAATGAATATATAGGGAAGGGGTAACAATGAATAAATAGGGAAGGGTTTGAGATTTTTCAAGGACTTACTATGTTCAAGATCTTATAATGACATAATTATTGTTTAATTATTGTTGGTAGTAGTATAGTAGTAATTGTAGCAACTATCTTTTAATGAGAGCCTTCTTAAAGGCCAGGCACTGTGCTGAGACGTTTACACAAATTATCTGATTATAATTATTGCAAGAAATTCACAAAGGAACTGAAGAATAGTGTGCTGGTGAATCAGTTCTCTGTTGGGGAGGTGGGGGCAGAGCCCTGCTGTGTAGTGTTTGCTGATTTCTCTAGTGTAAATGCTCCCACCGTGGCCAATTTTAAGCTGCCAACAATGTAACAACCTGCTCACAAAATTTATGAGTATACAACAATCAGCCTTCGTGAACCAGTGCAAGCTGGTTCCAGCACATCACTGAAACTCAGGTACAGAAGGTTTGACCAAGATCACCCAACTATTAAGGGACAGAACTGAGATATCTGCTCAAGAACTCAATATACTGCTCTAAATCTATAAACCCATCAGCTATTTCAATCCACATAACAAATCCATGTAGCATGCATTACAAGAGACCTCTGACTTTCAGGAGTTAAACAAAAGAGCTGCCCAGCATCACACACCTGTGATGGGACCGGATTCAGGCATGGCCTGTCTGAGCTCACAGCAGAGGCCCTGGTGCCAGCCAATAACAAATGAAAAAGCTGGAATGAATATTTATCACATCTTTGTTTTCCCTTGAAGAGTGGAGAAAATCAAAAATGAAAGCAATCCATATCCCGAAGAAATCCATCTCTATTGGTATCATCTCAGACATTGGTCATCGTATTTGGGGAAGCAGCCTGACTGGGTTCCTGAAATCACACCACAGAGGTGATGGCAGTGGGACTTCGCCTGCCCCTTAGGTTAAACATTATCTGATTTAGGCTGTAGAAGTTATTTAGAATCTTCAAAGTTGCTTCAGGTGAAGGCTGTTGGAAGGCAAAGAGTATTTTCAACAGACATTCTTGGTAAAATATCTCATCTTCTTCCTGAAAACTCCAGAGAGCCCACCAGAGCATATAATAGTCGCTGCTCCAAGAAGGCTGAGATTCTAGGATGCACGCACAGCCCACTCTCAACTCATGACCTCCTCTGTGCCCAGGGAGCAGAACCTGCTAATGAGAGGAACAGAAAAACCCACACAGGTGAGCCCAGCAGATATTAAAACTTGTTCCCCGTGGTTATGTGTCTCCCTTATTAAGTCATAAGCTCCCACAACCTCTTTAATACATGGTAAATACTGAATGAATGAATGAATGATTGCAGAAAACGTTATAAAGAGGAGACAAGAAACAGCTCAGATATCGAACTACCGTATTTCCTGATATGCAAGAATCAGAGGTATACAAGAAACTACTCTCATTTTACAAGGACATTATGGGAAGGAAGGAAGGAGAACCAGAATAGATTTCATCATCCATGTGTTTATAATTATTTTCAATTGCATTTATAATGACAGTTTTTTTGTTTATGCTCATGCAAGTATGTTTATACTGAAATGATACAAATTCTTTTGCACCACTGAAAACCAAATTATTATTTTATATCTGTTTGATTCTCTGTAATCCATTTACTATTTGGGCATCTTAGATGAAGAGTATTTTAGGGTTTTGGTTTTGTTTGTTTGTTTGTTTGTTTTGACAGAGTCTGGCTCCATCATCCAGGCTGGAGTGCACTGGCATGATCTTGGCTCACTGCAGCCTCTACCTCCTGAGTTCAAGCCATTCTGCTGCCTCAGACTCCCTAGCAGCTGGGACTACAGGTGCGAGCCACCACGTCCAGCTAAGTTTTTGTATTTTTAATAGAGACAGGGTTTCACCATGTGGGCCAGGCTGGTCTCAAACTCCTGACCTTCAGTGATCCACCCAATTCGGCCTTCCAAAGTGCTGGGATTACAGGCGTGGGCCACCATGCCTGGCCTATTCTAGGTATTTTAAAAAAATGCATTAAAATGCCTGCAAATACAGTGCCAGTTTTTTAAGGAATATTCCATCCCTAAAACTCTCTAATTATTTGTGCCTTGTTTCCCCCTCAGAGGAGAGTGAAATATTTCCCCAAATAGAAGGTTAACAGTTGGGATTGTTTTTGTCAGTTTTGCTTTGTCTCCCCCCAACCCTGCCTCATCACTATTGTGAGAGAGAATGCACATTTTTTCTACCCACGGTAAAATTGACAACGGAAACACTGTCTTCTCCAATTCCCAATGCACTGCACCACTGCTGCAGACAAACAGTGAGTCTGAAGTGAAGCGGGAGGGAGTTGGTAGAAATAAGGCCCCACCCAGCGTGAAGCTTCCAGATGATCTGGGGGCCACGCGATGCAGGTGCTATCAGCAAGTAGCAGGCTGCATGGCTGGCTTGTGAGTTATTGCTGTGGTCACAAGATCTCCTTGCTGTAGCATTCTGCGTGTGTAGGTGATAAATCTTAGGGACACGAGGGAACACATCAGGCTTCTCTCCTCTGGCCCATTATTTTTCTCCTACATCATTTAGAAAAGTGCAGGTCTGGACCTTTTAATTTTTTTTTTTTTTTTGATCATGAATGTTTTCTTCAGCTCCATGCCACATTTCCTTCTGCATGTTCAATTTTCACAATGGAGTGTATTTTTAAAGCGTGGCTCAATAGAAGATGAGAGAACAGAAACCTTAAGCAGGAGACAAGAGAAAGAGACAAATACACGCATTTGCTCTCTTTGTTCTCTTGCGAATGGCGATGTGAAAGTCTGGTGGAGTCAGATATAGTTCCTGCTTGCAAAGGGAGCAAAAGGGAAAGAAACTTACATCTTTTAAGACCATGCTATGTACCAAAATCTACACTAGTCTGCAGAGAGAGCACGTCATTGTGGTCAAACGCGTCTATACTGCAAGTCAACGTCCCTGGGTTCAAATCCCAGCTCCTCCTCTTGCAGTTGGATGCCTTGAACAAATGACTTGATGTCTTCACCTGTAAAATGGGCATAATACTAATCCCTACATCACCGGACATTTTAAAATTTAGATTAAGTTAAACACAACATGAAATTAAGCATGTTTAAAAGTATAAATAAGTGGCATTTAGTACATTCAGAAAGTTGTCACCTCTATCTAGTTCCAAAGCATTTTAATCACCTCTAAAATAAATCTTGTATCCATTAAACAGTCACTCCCCATTTCCTCCATCCCAGCGCCTGCCAGCCACTCATCTACTTTCTATCTGTATAGATTTCTTTCTTCTGGATGTTTCCCATAAGTAGAATGATGCTATATGTGACCTTTTGCATCTAGCTTCTTTCACTTAGCATAATGCTTTTGGGATTCATTTACATTGTAACGTACATCAGTACTTCATCCCTTTTTTATGGCTGAGTAATATTCCATTATTTGGATATGTACATTTTGTCTTTCTATTCAAACATTGATGGATATTTGAGTTATTTCCACCTTTCAGCCATTGTAAATAATGTTACCATGAACATTCATGCACAGGTATTTGAATACTTCTTTTAAATTCTTTTGAGTATATACAGTTATTTCTCATTATTCCCAGTAGTTATGTTCTATTAATACATAGCAAACACTGAATTATCAAATACTAAATCCTAGCTAAGAGAAATATATCTGTTTCTCTATCTATTATCTATCTAGATAGCTAGCAAGCTATCATCTATCTAGTGTGTGTGTGTGTGTCTGTGTGTGTGTGTGTGTGTCTGTGTGTCTGTGTGTGGTAACTCATCCTGGGAGATTCTATTTTATTTTACAAAATAGAAAATAAAATTCAGAAGTGCTGGAGTGGCCGAGTGCAGTGGCTTACGCCTGTAAACCCAGCACTTTGGAAGGCCCAGGCAGGCGGATCCCTGAGGTCAGAAGTTCAAGACCAGTGTAGCAAAACCCTGTCTCTACTACAAATGCAATGCAAAAAAAAAAAAAAAAGAAAGAAATTAGCCAGCATGGTGGCACGCACCTGCAGGCTCAGCTACTTGGGAAACTAAGGCAGGGGAATAGCTTGAACCCAGGAGGCAGAGGTTGCAGTGAGCTGAGATCGGGCCACTGCACTCCAGCCTGGGCAACAGAGCAAAACTCCACCTCCAAAAATAAAAATAAAATAAAAACGAAGTGTTTGAGTGACTTGCTTGAGGACACCGCACCGACAGATGCTTTAGTTGTGCTTCAAACTCTATGTATAATTGGCCCCAAAGCCAGCGCTTCTTGCACTGTTCTGCGCTACCCATTACCAGCTCCACCCGGTGGGCATCTCTGCATGAGAGCTGAAATTAGAAGGTAGAGCAAACTTCCCTGGGAATGTGTGCATCAGGCAACTCAAATTTGGGGTTACTATATGCACGTCTGCACAAATAACCCTAAAAGAGCCATAAGAACTGATTTGAAGGTTACAGATAGATTTCAGCAAAAAGGCAAATTTACAAATACAGAATCTATGCATGAGGAGGATCAATGGCACCTAGGTGTGCAATTGCTGAGTCAGGTGGTAATTCAATGTCTGACTTTCTAAAGAACAGCCCAACTGTTTGCCACAGCAGTTGCACCATTTTACAACCTCACAGAATTTTTATGACAGATAAAGAAGTTAGTATTTGTGGGAAATTACAACAGGACCTGGCAAATAGTTACTTAATGTTAATTAAATTAATTAAATAGGTAACACTGCCAGTGTTAGCTGCCAATCTCAATTCTTTCCCACTAATAGGAGAGAGTAGCTCACAGTCAGATAGTGTGGGTGCACTAGTAAGTCTAATTCAAAACAGAAAATGATAAGTGTTTCAGAGCAAAAACTACATTCAACCAGAGGGGGATGCTTCATTTGTTTTTACATTTACCTATATCCACCTGGTGCCACCCACGCGATGTATACTCAAGAAGTGAATCTATTGTCTGTTTTACAATTACTTTCTTTATAATGAACTCACACAGATTCATCGCAGAAATTTGGGGAATCACAGACAAGCATAACAAAAATATTGTGACTCACTTGTAATCTTGAAGTCTTGCTTTTGTATTGCATTTCCTTTCTTTGTTTAAAGCAGTTAAACTCATATGATGTGTGGCCGGGCACAGTGGCTCACACCTGCAATGCCAGCACTTTGGGAAGCCGAGGCAAGTGTATCACTTGAGGTCAGTAGTTCGAGACCAGCCTGGCCAACATGGTGAAACCCTGTCTCTATTAAAAATACAAAAATTAGCTGGGCATGGTGGCACTCGCCTGTAATCCCAGCCACTCAGGAGGCTGAGGCAGGAGAATCTCTTGAGCCTCGGAGGCGGAGGTTGCAGTGAGCCGAAATGGTGCCATTGCACTCCAGCCTGAGCGACAGAGTGAGACTCGGTCTCAAAAAAAAATAAAAATTAAAAAAAAATCATACGATGTGTGCAGTTTTGTAGCTGTATTTTTCACTTAACGCTATACTAACATGTAACCATGTCCCTAAAGAGTCTTTGAATTCCTGATTTTTAAATACCGCATGGGGTTTCCTTGTGTGTTTATACCATACTTTAAATATTCTCCCATTGCTGGTTATTGTCTCCAAATTTCTGTTACTATTAACAACACAATAACTAAAAGGCTTGGACATGAATATTTACAGGCATTAATGATTATTTCCACAAATTTGATTCACACAAAATTGCTTAATCAAAGGTTTGTCTTTTTAATACTATTTTACATAGAACTAGTTCCTCAGGGAAGTTATTTTTCTGCTTTTTGGGTTTTTTGCTGTGTTTTTTTTTTTTAATTTATCTAAATGCTTTTACTTTATTTTACCCAGCCGAATCAAGGCTTTGTTATGCTTACATTTAGTACATATTTTTTTCTCACAACGTTTTCTTAGTTTGCCATTCTGTTGGGTTGGCGCAAAAGTAATTACCGTTTCTGCCATTTCAAAATAACAGCATTTAAAAATAATGGCCAAAAAATGCAATTACTTTTGGGCTAACCTAATGCATTCACAGTGAAATTATTGGATTAATGTCTCTCTTCCCCCACTGGAATATAAGCTCCTAAAGGGTCGGCACTGGACCCATTTATTTCTATGGATCCAGCACTCAGTAGGGTTGGTACACGGTCAGTGCTCAGACAACAGTAGAGGCATGAATGGGTAAATCTCTCCACTGAGTTTTGATCAATTCTCACTTCCACTAGTGGTGCATGAAGATGCATGTTTACCAACCCTTCACTCACCTCATCTCCACCAGGATTTTCAATGTTGCAGGTATTATGATTAGAAAAATAGAGTTGTCATTCTGATCAATGAAAATTGGGATCCTGTTATTTTATTTTGCATTGCATTGATTACTAGAAACATTAAAATTTTTTCTCTTCTTGGCTGGGCACAGTGGCTCTCACCTATAATCCCAGCAGTTTGGGAGGCCAAGGCGTGTGGATTACCTGAGCTCAGGAGTTCCAGACCAGTCTGGCCAACATGGTGAATCCATGTCTCTACTAAAATAGAAAAAATTAACCGGGTGTGGTGGTGCACACCTGCAGTCCCGGCTACAGCTACCTGGGAGGCTGAGCACGAGAATTACTTGAATCTGGGAAGCGAAGGTTACAGTGAGCTGAGATGGTGCCACTGCACTCCAGCCTGGGCAACAGAGCAAGACTCTGTCTCAAAAAAAAAAGAAATTCTCTTCCGTTTAATATTTGCACTGATTCGTTACTTCTCCTCTGTTTCGTTACTTCTCCTCTGTTATATACTAATTCATATACTAATTCATGTTCTTTGCCCAATTTATTTTGTTTTTTGCCCGGTTTACTTGGTCCACATTTATTGAATATTTCTCTACTGGGCCCCAAGCTCTCCCTGGCAATTTTCTGTGCCTTTAATAAGATTATTTCTTTAGGTGCGCATGCATAGGGTGCAAACATAATTCCTCATGCTGTTGACATGGTGAAAGTATATCCTTCATCTTTTCATTTCTCAAATATCTATGTCATGGTGCTGGAGCACCTCAAGGAACACATTCAGGCAGTGTTCTATAATCCTGTGAGTGTTGGATTCTTAGGGTGAACATGGGGAAAGACGGCTGGGAGAAGCAGTCTAATTGACGGTATTTGGTTGTTGTGTATCAGACTCCAATTTGACCTGGGCTTAAATCTCAGCTACTCCACTCACAAGGTACATGACTGAAGCAAGAAACCTAGTCTCCCTAAACTTTTTTTTTTCATTTGTAGAATGCAGACTGGTAATAGGCAATGCATAGAATATTATAAGAATTAACTGAGGTAAGATAGAAACAGAGAAAGAAATAAAGAAGAGAAAGAAAGAGAGAGGAAGGAAGGAAGAGAGAGAGGGAGGGAGAGAGGGAGGGAGGAAAGGAGAGAGGGAAGGAAAGAAGGAAGAAAATGAATGAAGGAGGAAGAAAGGAAGAAGGAACGAAGAAAAGGAAAGAAGGAAGGAAGGGAAGGAAAAAAGAAGAAAGGGAGGGAAAGGAAGGAAGGAAGAAAAGAAAGAGGGAAGGAAGGAAGAAAGAAGGATGGGGGAAGTAAAGGAAGGGGGAAGAAAAAGAAAACGGAAAGGAGGAGGGAGGAAGAACAAGAGAGGGAAAAAAAGCCTATTTCCCATTTCATGAGTGTGGCTTGTATTTGAACACTTTCTGTTTGCTCGATGAGGGTGTTTCCTCACTTCCAGGGCAGTCTATAATCCATCACTGTTGTCTTCCTTTGGAAGCTGTTATGAGGAGTTTTAACAGTCTCCGTTCTGTTTGCTGGAAGCTGATGGAAGAACTCTCCTTATCTCCAATATTAGAACTTGTAGAAAATCGATACAGGGTATAACAACCTTCACCATCATACTTGGTAATAAAGCCTAACTAGAAAATGTGCAGAAACTTTCTGCATCTGGTAACGTTTTGCTGGTGTGAAAAGCAGCCCAGATTATCCGGAGTGATTCCCTTCATTGATCGAAGCATATAAAGAGGAAGGTGCTTTGTATCAGCCCTCATTAAAAATGGAAGACTTGTCTACAACTTCTAACTTGAAAAACTGACCCTGTTGGGGGGAAAGCACAGGATGTGCCTGAATTTTGTTTTTCTTTCCTCTCGTGTCTTTAAGAAACATGCTATAAAGACAGTCTTCTTAATGCCAGCAGAAGGCCGTACAGTTCTGAGCCTTTCATAAATGACATTTGTCCAATAGTCTGATTTACTAAGCATGATTGAAAACCACAATCAGGCCACAAGTGATATTCAGGGAAAAAAAAATACAACAACAAAAGCATTAAGAAACAAGACAGCTTTCCAAGGCTATGAAAACTTATCCAAAAGGAAATATATCACTCAAATATTTACAAAATTGCCGGTGCAATTCAGCCTTCTCAGTAGCAACGATTTTTATGTCCTAAAGAGAGTTTGTATCTAGAGGTAATTGTGTTTTGCAGCAGTTCGTAAGTCTGGGCATTTACGCTGGCAATTCCAGATTTATAGGAATAGAAGAAATTTCCGTGCATGATATACTGTACAAATTGTATGTAATAACCACAATAAAAAATTTCATTAGGCCTGCTATCACCAACCACCAATTCCCCGGGGAGAATTTATGTGCAAACTTCAGTTCCATTTACCATCTGGGATATTCTTTGGAGGATGGGTAGCCCCGGGTTCCTTGGAAAAGATAAGGGGGTATATATATCCTCTCCGTCTCTTGCCTTTGGGACAATCATTTTAGAAAAAGAAGGCCTTTGTGTCTGAGGGAGCAGCAATCTCCAGACACCCCTCCATGAGCTTGCTCACATCCCTCACCTATCCCAAGATCACTTCGGCAGCTGTCCTTAAATTTTGCAGCTCTCAAGTCTGAGCACTACGTCCTGTTGCATATTTTATGCAACCCATCACGGAGATGTGGATGCAGATTTCCATAGTTATAGAAGAGGAGGCAGAAATGGAAAAGACAAATTGGGTCATCTTATAGTTTGCAGCTGTGAAATCCATTTCAAAATTGCAGCCTTGCAGGCCTGAGAGGCTTCCCCGGACTCGATGGAGATATAATCATGGTATCGCCAAGGAATAGCATTCAGGCCTGGCAGTGCTTCTAGGCGAGTAGCATATGTCCTCATAAAACGTCCTCTTTATGACCAGAGTTTCTGTGCATATGCTACAAACAGTGACAACCTGGATCTCGCCTTTGGTAAGGGAATAGGAAATTAAACATCTCACCACCGCTTTGCAGAATGGGAGTCGGCATTCAATAAGAAAGGCTTCCCCCCACCCTCCATCCCTCTCCACAGCCTCCTCCCTGAGTTCTGCCTGTGCCTTATTGATGAGCACGTGCCTGTGTCTGGCATTGTCCAGCTGTCCATGTCCACAGAGCAGGGCAGGCACAGTTCCAAGCTCGTCCTAGAAATCTCCTTGGTAGATTCAGGCTTGAGGAGGACGCGAGAAGGGATGGTAAGGAGTGGGGCTTTTGGAAAGCATTTGAGGATGTTCTAAGTGTCTATAGACAGTTAGAATCCTAAATTCAACTTGTTAAAATTGAGTTGCCGAGTGCCAATCCCTACACTTTTCATTGTGTACATAAGACCTCATTTTATCCCAAGCACCCCATATGGTAATAGGACTGCCCAACTTTATTTTATTTATTATTCATTATTTATTTATTTATTTGAGACAGAGTCTCACCCTCTCACCCAGGCTCGAGTGCAGTGGCGCCATGTCAGCTCATTGCAACCTCCGCCTCCCATGTTCAAGCGATTTCTCTGACTCAGCCTCCCGAGTAGCTGGGATTACAGGTGCGCACCCCCATACCTGGCTAATTTTTGTATTTTTAGAAGAGACGGGGTTTCACCATGTTGGTCAGGCTGGTCTTGAGCTCTTGACCTCAGATAATCTGCCCGCCTCGGCCTCCCAAAGTGCTGGGATTACAGGCATGAGCCACCACACCTGGCCAGGAGTGCTCCACTTTAAAAACCAGGAAAATAAAGGTTAAGACGTTAAAAGACTTAGGAACTACAGATTGCTGAGCATCTACTTTGTGCCAGGTGGTGCATGAGGCAGTAAGGCTACAGATACAGAGGAGACAGGCTCCTTGAAGCACAATGATTATGATGATCCAAGAGGTAAGCGTCACTAAAATTAGATATACATGCACTGTTATTTATAGTTTCTATTTACACAGCGCTACTTTGTGCCTGGTACTATATTGGGAACTTTTGATCCATTTTCACTCTCAATCCTCACAACTCCATGTGGTGGTTCTTATCTTCCTTTTGCAAATGACGAAACTAGGACTCAGGCCACTTACGTGGCTTGAGCAAGGTCACAGAGCAAGAAAGGGCTCAATATGAGGCTCAGTACAAGGCTCAACTTCCCAGCGGGGATCTCCCTCCTGCACCACATCATGTCATTGTCTTCTCTTGGCATGTGAAGTTTCAATTTTGATTCGAATGGATCTTAAAGTGTCAAAACACTGTAAAAACAATATCTCTTTATGGGAAGAGCTAAAATCAGTTGCTAAAAATTCTTCAATGTTAAAGGCACATGAAGAAAAGATAGCAAAGGTTCTGGCATCGAATGGTCTGGATTCCAATTTGAGTCCTGTTGTGTGACATGTGGCGAGTTACTTAACTTCTCTGAATTTTATTTTCTGTCTGTCAAGTGGAGTTAACAAAAGTATCCAATGAGGACTGCTGTGTGTGTTAAATGCACGTTTTTGACACAGCACCATGTATTAAAATATTGTAGTAAGTTATTTTTTCTCTAAAAAGCTACAAATCATAATTATGTCTTTTAGCCAGGTGGGGTGGCTCACGCCTGTAATTCCAACACTATGGGAGGCCGAGGCAGGTGGATCACTTCTTGGGGTCAGGAGTTTGAGATCAGCCTGGCCAAGATGGCGAAACCCTGCATCTACTAAAAATACAAAAATTAGCCAGGCATGGTTGCAGGCACCAGTAGTCCCAGCTACTCGGAAGGCTGATGCAGGAGAATCGCTTGAACCCAGGAGGTGGAGGTTGCAGTGAGGCAAGATGACATCACTGCACTTCAGCCTGGGCAAGTGAGTCTGAGTGAGACTCCAGGGCACTGCAGCCCGAGCGAGACTCCGTCTCAACAACAAACAAAGAAACAAAATCAAGTCTTTTGACTTCTGGAAAGGCACTAGCATTTGAAGGTCCAGCCTAAACAACAACAAAAATGAGTTTCCAACAGAGCCCTGCAATATGATGTCTGAGTGAATGAAAACAGAGGCAAAGTGGCTTTTTCAGTTCAATCACTTATGGGGATTATTTACCAGGCATCTGAGCATGTTCAATGTGTAATGAGAAGACTTCTTGAAATGGAGAATTTGGCTTAGTTCTGCAAATTATTAGCTTAGTACCTACCATTATGCAAGAACTGATGTTTGGCACAATGAGAAAAATCAATGTGAAATGAGATATTGCCCCTTCCCCATTTAATAGAGCTCACATTCAAGTGCAGAGGACAGACACATACATGAGTCACCACAGCCCAAGGCAGCATGGCCATGGCAGAGAAAGAGCCCCACTTGTTCTTCAAGAATGGTGAGCATGCAATCCAAGGTAACACTGGAGGAGAGAGGAGGGGACTGTGGTGGAGAATGTGACTCGGATGTCAAGTTCAAAATATACGTTGAGCCTAAAACCTAAAAGGCACTGAAGTTCACCCTGAAAGGTCGTAACTTTCTTCTGTAGACGAATGTGGTTGAAAAGTGAGACGTTTCATGAGCTGAGTTTAGGGAGTCTATTAGTTAAGATGTTGCTACTGCAAATGATAAGAGATTTAGCAGAAAAAGCAAAAAGAAAGTTATTGGCTACTATCACTGGGAAGTGGAAAGCAAGAGCATTCTGAATTCTTAAATAATATCATTATGAGCCTGTCCCTGTCCATAGTTCAGCTCTTGTTTCATTGGATAGGCTTTACTCTCCTAAAGGTTCTTCCCAAGTGGTGGTAAAAATGGCCACCAGCACTTGTAGGGTTACATGCTACCTGCTTAATTAATTTCCCTGCATAAAGAGCGAGTTTCTTTCTTACTAGCTATTGATTTTCATTCCTGGGCTTGAGTCATTTACCTATTTTTGAACATGTAACAAAGGGCAAGAGGATGAAACATTTTGTTTGGCCAATATGGAACCAGATAATCACCTCTGAAATGGAGAGGAAGAGGTAGCCAGCCATTCATTGTTCACCCAACCACATAGAAAAGGTGTGGAGGGAACAGCTTGCTTCTATAAAAGAGAAACAAATGAAAGGGTATTAGTCAGATAAGATGGGTTATGCTGCTGTAACAAATACTCCCAAAACCTATGAAATCAAATGACAGTGTATTCATCAGATGAGATGGGGTATACTGCTGTAACAAATAATCCCAAAATCTACATGGCTTGAAACAATACAGGTTTATTTCTCATTACACTATATGTTGATGGTTGTTAGAGGTGAGGCAGTCTGCTTTACTCATCTTCACTCAAGCTGAAGGAGAATGCATTCCCAAAGTTCCAAGATTGCTGAGGTAGGAAAAATGAGTATGGTAAAGCTCCTACTTGAGAGTCACACACATCATTCCCATTTTAATTTTCTTTCCAAAGCAAGTCAGACAGCTACACCTAACTTCATGGGGTAGGAAAGTTTAACCTATTATGTGTCTGGAATGAAAGAACACTGAAAAAATTTTGATGGACAGCACCAAAAGTAACAGGGAAATAACAACAGCATATGTCCATTGCAAGAAGACAACTGGTAAAGTGATATATCAATGCAAGCATCATATTTCTGAAAATAATTATGGTGTGTCTGCATGTATGTTTATGTGTGTGTGTGTGGGAGACAGAGAGAGACATTATGATAAGCCCACATATTCAAGATCATGCAATTGGAATCTTTCCTCATTGAGATAATTCTGTCTTTTATTTCAGTTGTATTCATGCTGACAGTATGAATTTATTGACACCATAGAAATTATTAGAACTTTCTGACATCCTTTATTTCAGAGATACAAGATGCTTCATTATGAAGAAGCAATTAAGTAGAAAAAAATTTCCTCTCTAAAATGATAATAATAATAGCAACAACAACAGCAGCCTATTTCTCTTCCCTTAAAAGCCAAAACTACTTACCACAATTTGAAAAAAGAAAAAGAGAAAAGAAAAGCAAAAATTATTTGACATATGATCTGTTTTGGAAAATTCCTGCTCTCCTTTCACTGCAAAACTATTGAAATTCAAGCAGTGTCTGTCCCTTTTTATTCAATTAAATGCAGTCCAAATGGGGACTGGAAAACTCACTTTGAAGATTATGATCTCCAACTACCTAACAAATTTTAATAGTAAATAAAACCAATTTGCCCTAACCTTTATAATTATATAATATTTAAATACTGAAATTAAATTTAGAAATAACATTCCAAATTCTAAACAGCATTGCAATATCTCTCTGCAGGCCATTGGTGGCAAGCAGCTAAGAAGTGCTTTGGAAGAGGACACACGTCAAGTTTTCCTTCTGTCAGTTAAAGTGTCCTGTAAGGGTCCTCACTTCTCCCCATCAGGTCCCATTACTGTCAGAAACCACTGAGTGATGTTACTACTAAAAAACCTCATTGCGGACCTCAAGGCAGACATTGCTTCCTGTCAGAGCCTAGCTGCTTTCTGTAGGATTTCACACTAAGTCTTGACAGAGTCCTTAGGGACTGTCCTTTCCATGCTGCAAATTCCAAAATGGCGCCTCATCAATAACACTCTTTACTGCCATGTCCTGGAAAATGGTTGTTATAACTATACAAACCTATAACCACCATGGGGTAGATGGGACTCCTGGAGATGAGCTACGCTTAGTCTGCCCAACCAGAAGCACACAATCCTGAGGTCCGCCTGAATCTCCTTCTGGTGGGACAGGAATGGTGGTCTCTGGTTGCACCATCAAAAGGAAACTATATTCCCCATAACTCCACAACACAACCAACATGTGCTGTAATCCATCAGATAACCCACTCTCTGCGATCTGATTCGCCTTGCAGCGCAAGATGTTGACTTCAAACCCATTTAGCCTGTGGTGTTTCTCCTGACAGCCTTGACCTCTTGTCAGATTCAAAATCCCTAATGGGCAGTTACTCTGCCCTTGTCAGGGAATGAATGAAGGGCTTGAAGAATGAATGTCAGTATGAGTAGGAGTGATGGAGGGAGAGCTTAGGTAGGAGAGCGTGAGTCCGTGTGCAGGAGTCAATAAGCAGTGGCCCAGACACACCAGGTTTAAAACTCCACAAACATTTCAGCTTCATTTCCTGGCATGTTTGCTTCTGTCCTAGTTCTTTTGTTACTTCCAGCTTAGCTTTCCATTTTACCATGATTCCTTAATCAACCTTCTTGAGGTTCCAGCCTGCTGTCTGGACTCCAGAGCCCTACTGAGGAGTGCTGTGGTCAGCAATGGCAGCCCTGAGCTGGTGGCTGGGTGCTGCCCCTCTCTGGCACTAGCTGGTACTACAGGCTTCCTCCAAAACACAGCTCCTGTTTTAACCCTTTAAGTTTTAACATCTTACCCCGGGGAGAAAAGAGCTCCCAGGTGAACCTTGTGTCAGTGGTAATGAATTCAAGATGAGGACTTGGGGAACGGTAGAGGACCATGGCAGGTGGATAGGCCAGGCCTCTATGCCCTGGATCCTGGGCAAAGGTGATGAATAAAATCAATAAAAGCTAACATTTATTGGTCTTTTTATAAAAGTGATAAAAGTGACACATACCTGATCTCACATAGGCCTCCCAGCAAGCCCGTAAGGTACAATGATTGTTCCATTTTATAGACAAAAACATGGTAGTCTAAAGGAGATAAACAAGTTATCTGATTTCATGCTTTTAAAACCTTGCAGTGCCCAGATTCAAACTAGTTCTTTTATACCAAAACTTAGTCTCTTAACCCATAGTTACAGAAGACCTGGGGACTAATTTAAACAGGATCTGAAATCTTGTGGCTCCAGAAGCATAATAACCTTTTTTCCTTTTATTGGAAACAGGATTACCAACTGTAAAAGGTCTATTGTTCTAACACAGAGCAGCCTAAAACACTCTATTCCTTCCAGAAAGTTAAGCTTCACATTTGCACATAAAGAAGATATCACACAAAAAAATAAAGTTAAGGGAAAAACCTGTAAATCCTCTTATTAAGAACGCTGTGTTTAGAAATCATGCCTGCTTGCCCTTTTATGTTTAAACCTCTGTCTCTTTGTTTCAGAGGAGGAAGGGACTCACCCTTTGCTTCCCAAATAATGTCAAGAGAAGTCATGATTGCCTGTCTGCATGAGCTCACAATATCTATCCCAGGAAAGGGAGTAAACAGAATAAAAACACTCACACATTTACCAAACAGTTGCTAGGTATTTAAATAAGGGTTTCACTCTTGATATATTCCCAGTGCCAAGTAAGCTACACCAGATCCAGGGATTGCAATTTCTTGGACCATTCTGTGTATGTGTGTGTGTGTTGTTAGTAGAGATAGGGTTTCACCATGTTGGCCAGGCTGGTCTCGAACGCTCAACCTCAGGTGATATGCCCGACTAGGCCTCCCAAAGTGCTGGGATTACAGGCGTGAGCCACCATGTCCGGCCAGAAATGAGGCTTTGCCGTGTTGTCCAGGCTGGTCTCGAACTCCTGCACTCAAGCGATCCACCTGCCTAGGCCTCCTAAATTGCTGGTATTTCAGGCGTCTTGGACTATTAAAGACTACTCCTGTCCTCAGACAGGCAAATGTGGGGCTGGTCATTAATGCTCTGCCTTGTCTCTGGTTGAGAATAAGGAAAGATTGGAGCCTCTGTCTTGGTTTTCTACAATTATTGTCATTATAATTTAAAAAAAATACAACTAACTCCCCAAATTGGGAAGCATCTCTAACTACGGCAGATCCTAAAACAACTATACTTACTACATTAAAAGTAATATTTGCATTCAAAATACTTAAAAAGTGATGTGTTCTATAAGCATGGATCCTCTGACCAATTTCTGCCAAGTGTCAAGGAGTTGGTACTTGAAAGGATAAGGGAAATGAAATGGGAAAATATGCAAAACTCAGAATCAGAAAAAATGAGTTTGAATCCTGTCTTCGGTATTTGCCAAAAGAACATCCTTGCGACAGAGACTTGGACAATACTTGTTGAGGGAAGAGCAATTGGGGGCATTGCTATTGGGCACCTCAGGGCACTCCAGAGGTCAGCCAATTTTTGGTTCCAGTGTTACTGTGTCCAGCTGCAGCCTTTAATATTCGGAAATGTTGCTTTGACATTTCCTGTCTCGATATTATAGTAGGAGACGTGAGCAACGATGAATAGCTGATTTAGTGGGCCTGGTTTGTGCACCAGAGGTGTTTTGGATGTTCTTGCAGGATCTTAAGATGCTGTAGTTTTTTATAGGCTGTGCTGTTGGATGATCTGTAGACTCACCAGCATGGTCTCCTTCCTGTATGTTGTTCATTTGGGACATTTTTCTCATTGTGGACTTTTTAAAAAGCTATTTTATTTTATTTTTATGGAGACAGGATCTTGCTATGTTGCACAGGCTTGTCTCAATCTCCTGGCCTCAAGGGATCCTCCCACATCAGCCTCTCAAAATCCTGCAATTATAGGTGTGAGCCAATGCACCCAGCTGTGAACATTCTACTATAGAAACCACCTAGAAAATTAAAGACAGGCTGGGCATGGTGTCTTATATCTGTAATCCCAGCACTTTAGGAGGTCGAGACCGATCACCTGATTTCAGGAATTTGAGACCAGCCTGGCTAACACGGTGAAACCCTATCTCTGCTAAAAATACAAAAATTAGCCAGGCGTGGTGATACCCACCTGTACTCCCAGTTACTAGGAATGCTGAGGCAGAAGAATCACTTGAACCCAGGAGGCAGAGGTTGCAGTGAGCCGAGATCACACCACTGCACTTCAGACTGGGTGACAGGTGACAGAGCGAGACTCCGTCTCAAAAAAAAAACCCACAAAAAACAAAAACAAAACAAAACAAAACAAAAAACCAGGAAAAAAAAAAGAAGATTAAAGAGAAAATCACGGGGCCTGTTAGTCTTGTCTTCAGTTGCTCTCAAATGTGGTACCAGGTTTTCAGCCATGAAAGACGGCATAGGGATTCAGAGTCAAAACACTTCAAAAAACGTTGTCAAAAGGCATGTCACCTGGCCTGATAGGACTGTTAGGTATATATTTGATTGTTGGCTTATTTTGTTTGTTTATAGAAAGATAGTCTTAGAAATAGCCCATCTCTGGACTGCTTAAATTGCGTTCAAGCCTGTCTCTGTCAGGAGAAGCAGATATTTATTTGCTTGATTCTTCCCTACGAGGCCCACACGAAAAGGTTGGGGACTTCCTACCTAGGCCAATTATTCCATTTCCTTGAAATAGTTATGCTCGAAACCTTTCAACATTATTCCATCTCCTGCTATACTGAGTGTGGGGACAAAGGAGAAGGCAAAGGAAGAGGAGGAGAAGAAGAAAAAGAAGAAGGAGAAATCACTCCAGAGTGTTTAATTCTTGTTTCCATGTGTATCCCATGGGGCCACTGGAAACAAACAAACAAAAAAACAAACAAACAAACAAATAAAAAAGCATTTACTCTATCTTTGACACAATTCTCTTTCACATAGAGGAAGATATCAACCATGCCTCATTTGTTAGCCTTTTTTTTTCCCACTCTAAAAACCTTTGACTCCTTCAATCACAAAAAAAAAAAAAATAGCTTGATACTGTAGAAATGGCTTGGATTTTGTTCATTTATTTATTTTGTTAGAAGATCGAATTCAAAATTCAGCTTTGTCACTTACAAGCTATGATTTCTTGGGCAAGTTGAACATTTTTCAATTTTTCTCTAAAACTGGGATAAACTTGTAGATCAGTGATTCTTGAGTTATCATCAGAACCACCCAGGTAGCCTATTAAAACTATCAACGCCCAGGCTGCACCCAAATCTCTGAAATCAGAATCTCTAGAGGACTGTCCAGGGAATGTTTATTTTTCAAACCTCCTCCAGGGGATACTGATGCTACTCGACCATCTGAGTTTGGGAAGCACTCTACTAAGTTATCTCTGAAGTTCTTTCTCAGCCAGAGATTCTAGGATTCAAAATTTCCCTAAAAGACCAACAAACACTTTGAAAGAAGCTACCTATTCAAGGAAGGCCACCTCCACTCTGCTGATCTGGAAAATGAGTTTATCGTTGGGGGCTGCTCCTGTCTCTCTGGGATTTCTGTGTTCCTGGAGCTCTTTAACAGTTAAGGTACTTTCAGCTGCAGATATTGGAATCTCACATGCAACTAACTTAGACAACACAGCAGTATGTTACCTCACATCGGAGGTGGAACGGGCCATGAATCAGCAGCTCGGCAATGTCATCGGAGACCCAGGATCTGTTCACATCTCCACTTTACCATTCTCAGCATTTACTTCAGCCCCAGCAGGAGGTATAATAAGATGGCTGGACATGTCCAGGTATCACATCCAGACAGGACAGTGCCCAGGGGAAGGAACAGCCTGTTCTTCCTGTGGTTCTGTCTTAGGAGAGAGGAAGATATGCCCAAAGGACCCACAGCATACTTCCCAGGCGTTGATCAGCTGGAATTCGACCACCTGGTTGTCTCTAAGCCAACGATTCATAAAGGGACAGGGAAGAGGCCCTTAGAACACTTGGGCCCATCTGAGCTGGGAGTGCATCTGCTTCTTAGGCAGCACGTGCTGCAAGGTAGGGAAGTGTTGAGACTGGAACAAGATTGGTTCCTGTTAAGAAAGGGGAATGGAGTGAATGCTGTCCACCCCAAGCTCTGTCCTGAGAGAGAGTGCACAGTGATAACTATTACTGCCATCACCCAAGGGAAGAAGGGTGTGAGGAGATAGTTATACTTAAAACAAAATAAAAGCTTGCAATAATTTCTCAGGTTCCAGATGCTCTTTATTACGTAATGGTGATCATGAAAGGCCTTAATGGGTATGATTCTCCCGGAATTTCTACTCCCTCTCAGAAGCAGGGCTGGGGAGGTCTTTGCATGTCAATGAGCAGGTAATTGGAGCTACAAAGAAATAAGACGGTACAGTGACTTCCTGGCTCAGCTCTTGAAGGGGAGAAAAACCAAAGAATGTCCTAGAAACGCCCAGGTCCCTACTGGCTAAAAGTGTAAGTCCACAGTAAGGGAGGAGTCCAGCCTAACAGGGTTTTAGGTACCGATGAGTTATTTCTTTATCTTCATCCACTCAATCTTTCCATTTATTAATTCAGTCATTAATTCAACAACCTTCATGGAGTTCCACTTAACTGGTGATTTTTCTAGGCTTTGGAGACACCAAGATAAATGAGACAGTATTGATATATCTCTCTCTGTCTCACTAAGGAGTCTTGGTTAAACATGAAGTATCTGGAGTTATATTCAAATCCTGGCTCTGACACTGTCTAGTTGGATTTTATTGGTTTCTGTCTTTCTCCCTCCTTCCTCCCTCCCTCTCTTCTCACATCTGAAAATGAATATATATATATTTATATAGCCAACCCCAGTGGGTTGGTATCAGGATTAGATGAGGTAGTGCAAGCACAGCATGCAGCTGAGTGTTCCCTGGCAAATATTAGGTGCTCAATACATGCTTACTATTGTCCTGATTATTATTATTATTAAGCTGTGCCCCCAGCCCACATGAAGCTCAGAATCTAAACCTGATGTTAAAGGAAAATGCCCATGATGAGAACGTATGAAACTCTAACCAATAGTACTCTCTTTTTTGGGGGGGCAGGCTCTCCATGATTTGAAATTTAAGGAAAAGCTGCCATTTATGGAGCAACTACTATCTGCCAGTCTGTGTGAAAGGGGATTAGAAGTGGTGTTTTGTTTAACCCTCATAGCAACAGAGCGAGGTAGAATTTTAGTATTGTCCTCATTTTACTGATGAGGAAACTGAGACAAAAGTGGTTAGACTAGTAGCCTGAGGCTGTACATTTTTCTTTGTGCTAAGGGGTGGAAAGATCCACCACTGAGTTTAATTGCTTCAAAAATTTGTGTTTTCTCCCCTCCTACTATGCGTTTTAAGTAATCTTTTATATTTAAGAGGTACAGTTCTCCCTTCTCTTCCAAATACATCTATTATCTATGAATATGTACAATATCTACTTCCTTTTTTTCCTGTGAACCAAAAATGTGAATCATCATTATGTTGAATGGTAAAATTCTAGAAATTCCTTGCTAATTATATGTTCACATTACATTTCTTAGGGAAGGTTCTCCCCCAAGAAAAGGGGAGGTCAAAATTTTGAGCATTTTCTTAAAGGAAGCATTTCTGTCTTTGGAAGAATAGCAATCCTCTACTGCAAAATACAGAGTATCTATATTCCAGCAAATACTTTCGAACTATTACCACCTGAAGAAGGTACATTAAATCTCTAAAGGATTAAACTTTCCTGCTTCCTGTAGTGGTTATTCTATTGCAAATTTCCAAGTACTATAGGTCCCTGGTGACATTCACTGTAATGGAATATCTACCAGGAGTGGGGTGGATGAATACAACTGTTTGTCAAGACCACTTACTTTCTGTAATTTTTATTTTTATTTTTATTTTTTTGAGTCAGAGTCTCACTCTGTCACCCGGGCTGGAGAGCAGTGGCATGATCTTGGCTCCCTGCAAACTCCACCTCCAAGGTTGAAGTGATTCTCCTGCCTCAGCCTCCTGAGTAGCTAGAATTACAGGTGCCTGCTACCACAGCCAGTGAATTTTTGTATTATTAGTAGAGATGGTATTTCACCATGTTGGCCAGGCTGGTTTCAAACTCCTGACCTCAGGTGATCTCTCGCCTTGGCCTCCCAAACTGCTGGGATTACAGGTGTGAACCACTGCGCTCGGCCAACCACTTTTTTTTCTACTTCTTATAGAGACTATGGAATATGTGGCATGCTATGTGAGTATGAGTCCCACCATTACACCATCCAAAGTACAATTGAATTTTAATAGCTAATTTGGGTTTGAAACAGAGGTGACTTATCTAAGAGGACCACAGGAGATCTCAAAATCGGAAGAACTCTCCCTTAACTCCAGACTCATATTATTAACAGCCTATTGTGTGTCACCAGCTGGATATTCCACAGATAATTCAAGTTTAGCAAGCCCTAGTCTGATTTCCCCATCTCCCCAAGTACATCTAATCAGCCTCCTGCATTGCCTCCTCCATCAACAGTCAACACTATCCACCCTGTCCTGCACAGCCGAAGCCTGGAAAGCATCCTAGTCTTCTCCCGTTTTACCATCCCAAATATGAGTCTGATCAATTTCATCTTCCTAATTGTTAAGACCCAGAGTCTTGTATCCTGGAGCGTATGGGTTAAGAGTCCAGTGGCGTTTCTTTACTATGGACATGGAAGTTCTAGGATGCAAAATAAAAAGCTTAATTAGAAATGGAGCAGCAGAAACAGATATTTCAAACACCAAAAACTGAGAACATGTTTGCAGTTGTTACATGCTGGGCACTAATTAACCATGATGCAGATGAACTCCAGTGTCCATTGTTTCACTGGGGATGTAAGCCACAGCTCAGGAGACATAGCAGGTATAGTGAATACTGTGCTGTCAGCCTCTTCTCTAGACATTGACAATGGTGTAACTTGAACTTGGGCTCTCTCCTTGTGCTCCCACACCCAGTGGGCTTACCCTGATCAGAGCCTTAATAGACAGGATTTTAGGTATCCATTTACTTGTCTGTCTCCTTTCTAAACTTGAGCAACTTGAATGCAAGAGTTGTGTCTAATGTCTCTCACATCAATAAGTCCTGGTACAGTTGGCAACACTTAGTCATTTAGTGAGTGCATTACTTTCTTGTGGCTGCCATAAGAAGTGACCACACACTGGGAGGTTCAAGACAACAGAAATTTATTTTCCCATGGTTCTGGACCCCAGTTATCAGAAATCAAGATGTTATCAAGGCCCTGCTTCCTCCAAGTGCTATTGGGAAGAATCCTTCCTTGCCTCTCCCCGCTCCTGGTGGCTCCTGGCATTCCTTGGCTTGTAGCTGCATCACTCCAATCTCCGTCTTTGTCTTCACATGGTTTTTTTTTCCTCTGTGTATGTGTGTCTCTGTAATCTCTCCTCTTCTTACAAGGACAGCAGCCATTGCAGTTATTGGATTAAGGGCCGACCCTAAATCCAGTACAGTATCATCTTGAGATCTTTAAGAACCTGTTTCCAGATAAGGTTACATTATGTGGTTCCAGGTGGACATGAATTTTGAGGGCACTAGACAAATATACAATAAATAGTAACTGCTGTGATTTTTCTATGATCCCCTCATCTACACAGATTCCTTCATTATACGCTTTCATTGAACCATGATCCTTTCTTTTAATTCGCAAGCTTTATGAGAGTGGGACAATTGCGGATCTCGCTCTACTCATTATTTTATCCCTAGTACTCACTACTGTGCCTTTCACATAGTGGGACACAACAAATAACTGTTTAATAAATGAATGACTGAATTAATGAATAGATACATGAATAATTACTGACATAAATTTGCTGCAGTTCCAATCCTGAGCTAGGAGGTTCCAACAAAGGCCTCAGAAGCTCTGGCTGCAGAGCCAGCCTTCACACAAGGTTCAGCTGGCTCTCTCTGGAACTGGTTGAGTTTGTTTAATCATATTATACAGTGTGCGTGTTTTACATGATCAATATATGTCACCCTAAGTGAACATGTCACCCAGCCTAATGGCTTCTGCAGGAACAGTTTATTGGGGTTGGCATTCTCCTTTGTAGATGCCTGCTCCAGCGAGGGCAGCAGCAATGGGCCCAGGACCCTCAGTGCCCCTCACCTCCCTTGTGCTGTTTTTTGCTAAATGAAATATGACAAGAGAGTGGCTTCCAGTAATTGCAATAATTGACTGTAGAGAGTCCATGATTATGTCATTAGCTCCTCTCTGGTTAATGTGTTATGATTGTGGCCATATTTCTCTGCTTTGGAAATCATCAAAATTTCATGAAGGGATGACCAGGATGGTGGAAAACTGCCTTCACCGCTCTTCCCCACTAGACCCCAAGTTTTATCATACTAGTGAAACTTTTAAAAAGTAAGATCTATAGTAAGAAGACCTGGGTACCAGTTCCAGCTTGACCATTTATTACCATGTGGTCAGTGGTAAAAATGTTTAACTCTGAGATCTCTGATCTTCAACTCTCAGGGTTGGGGATTGGGAGAGATGACAATAGTCCATTCCCTCCCTACTACATATGGTGATTGAGAAAATCCAGGTATGCCACTGTGCACATTACTAACATCATAGAATTCATATTATTTAAAATGCTTGCATTCTACCTGTTCATAGAGAGAGAAGGATAGCCCAATATTTTTAATGTGCCTACCTGGACATTACTCAGCTATTGGTTTCTTGGATAATTACAAAAAACAGAGACAAGAGACTATGGTCACCAGATGATAAACTGGACCTCAGGATGTCTTTTATTTCAGAGTGGAAGCCTGTGCTAACAACCCTTTCCCTGATGAAGCAATTTTTCTTCTAAAAATGCAGAAATGCCAAGATTATCAGTGAAGGGAACATGACAGAAATCAACTAACCAGAGATGGCAAATGTACATTCATCACTCATTGCTTTTTATCGTCTTCCTGAGGCTCTGGCAAGTATTACAGAAAACAGTTGTTCTTTTTCCCGTGGAGTTTTGAAATGAGTGGTGCAATGAAGAGTGTTTAACAACCCACTTTTGGTGAGGCTGGGGTGAACCCTGGTTCATAGCTGGCAGACACCCATGGTGTAAATTTTCCCAACATGGCTGACGTCAAGCTACCAATGTAGCATTGCCAAATGCAGTTGGTAAGTGACATGCTCAGTCAGCTCTCATGAGCCTGTGTGAACTGACTTCCCCACGTCATTGAAGTCTTTTTCAATACAAAGTTCCAGAGCTCCACATCCAACCATTCAGAATTGCCACAGAAAAGTGAAAACATTTTGCTATGTCTTTTAATTATCTAATTTTACAGATAAATAGAGTTCCAGAGAAGATAAAGAAAATGTACAAAAATCACACAGCAAATCAGGGAGCTAAAACTCCAGTTTCCAGCATGCAGTTTCTTTTCGCTGTGTGACACATTTCCACAGGCTGCATGGGAAGGTAGGATGATTCTACAACCACCGGGCCAACAGTGGTTCAGAGAAGGATCTAGCACAGTTGCCAGATATCTTAATATCTCTTTATTTATTTAAGCCTAACAACTCTATGACATAGGTACTATCATTATACCTATTTGACAGACAAGAAAATAAAGGCTTAGGGAAGTCACATAGCTTTCCTGAGGTTGGAGGGTGACCAAGTGGTGGAGCTATAAAAATCATACTTCAAGATGCAGGCTCTTAACTACTTGCCTTAGGCAGCTTCTGACATAACTCCAATAATTTCCACCACCTGGTATTTGTGGTCTTGCGCAATTCCCTCCCTTTGAGGGTAGACTGGATTGAGTGACCTGCTTCTAATAGGCAGAATACAGCAAAGGCAATGAGATGTTATTTGTATGATTAGCTACAAAAAACTGTGACTTCCATCTTGCTGGTACAGTCATTCCTTAGCATCCACAGGGGTTTGGTTTTAGGACCTCCATGGACACCAAAATCTGCAGATGCTCAAGTCTCTCATATAAAATGACCTGGTAGGTGCACATAACTTATGCACATTCTCTCACACACTTTAATCATCTCTAGAATACTTACGTGTAATACTGAATAGAAGGTAAATGCTATGTAAATGTTGTTATACTGTATTGTTTTTATTTGTATTACTTATTTTTTTTAGTATTCTTGATTCACAGTTGATTGAATCTGTAGATGCAGTGCCCACAGATACATAGGGCCACCTTTATTCTCTCTTCTGTCTTCTTTATTGCTTACTCTGATGAAGCTAACCACCATGTTGTAAGATACCCTACGTAGTGGCCCACATGGCAAGGAACTGAGAAAGACATCTGGCCAATAGCTCTTGGGGAACTGGGAGCTTAGTCCAATAGCTTGTAAGATTCTTAACTGCCAACAACCACATTTGTGAGCTCGGAAGTAGATTCTCACCCAGTCAAACTTTCAGATGAGGATGCAACCTCAGCCAATGCCTGGACTACAGCCTTTCAAGAAACCCTCAAGACATGGGTACCATCTAATTTATGCCAGGATTCCTGACCCACTGAAACTGAAATAATCAATGCTGTTATTTAAGCTGCTATATATTGAGGTAATTTGTTAGCAATAGATAACTAATATAAAAATAGTCTATCTAGAGTTAAACATTCAAATAGGATAACTTGGGTGACAAAGTTACTTAGCTACACTAAAACTCAATATTTTCTTCTTTAAAATTGGGGGTAGGGGGTGTTACAACAGAACCTGCTATACAGGTAAAGGGTTGTTGGGAAATGGAATGAGGTAATACAAAGAAAGTGCTTAGTACACAAATCAAAAGCATCTAAAATATGACTGGAAACCAATTCCTGGCCTCAAATCCTTGAAGTAGTGTATAAACAGAATGGGAAATAAGAGGTAAGGCAGATATGAGGTGAGAAGAACCAGGAGGGATTTCTTATTTTCATGAGCAGGACAGAAATGAGTGAGTGGTGTTTGAACTTAAGGCATAGGCCCAGAGAAGATCCTACAATGTGTCAAGACATTGGGAGATGTTGGGATAGATAATGTCTACAATGCAGGCAAGGACTGCACCATTTATTCTCTATAAAAATCTCAGCAGGCTGTGTACTTTTCCTTAGAAAAAAAAACTAACTGGTAAATAGATATCATTATACATACCATGTAACCAGAGGATATAATTATCGACTGCACTCATCCACACATCACAGAGAAAATGGAACTAGTTTTGGCACAACCTTCTCAGCCCACCAAGCTTGTGTGTGAACTTAGTGCATCTCTTTTGATGCCACTGGCTGACAGTTTAACTTACGCATCTTCTACAAATATTGAGAGCCCTTGATCAGCAGATCTCAGTTGAAATAATAGTTAGAAGTAACTTTTTTTACAAAACAGAAATTTTATTTTTTCTGGTTAGATAAGGATGGGCTTAGTTCCCAGATGGTAATATCTTGGTGGGTAAAAAAAGCAAACTTGAGAGTAGACGGTCTGGGTTTAAACATGGCCACATAATTTTACCATCAGTGTGTCCCTGGAAAAGCAACTCCATCTCTCTGAACCTCAGTTTCCTCATCTGACAAAAAGTGATAACATTCCCTAACTTCATTGTGGTTTTGATAATAAAATGAGTTTTGGTGTGCAAAAGCTACATAGTGCAATAATTGGCATATGGGAGGGAGGCCAATGAATAAGCGTTCTGCTTCATTTTGTTTGTTTTATTGTAAGCGTGAAAACAAAATGCAACACATTAAAAAATTCTCAAGGTCTGTGTGTTTGCAGTCTGTGATTTGCAGAACAATGTTAACTGGCATTGAGCAAAATTAGAAATGATAGAAGAAAAGGAGGAAAGAGGAAGAAAAGAAATGAAAGAGGAAGGAAGTTGTTTCTATTTTATTTTTGTTATTCTTATTTACTATGGTTTCATAGTAAAATAAGTTTAGAAAAACATGAACATTTAGAATAAAAAATTTTTAAGAAAGGTTTTATTTATTGCAGGATTTTTCAGAAGCTTTGCAAATTTGCATGTGACTCTTCAAGAGAACGATAAAGTGTGTGATGTTTTTATAATTTATTTCAACACAGAAACTCTTTTTTTCTCCCTAGAATTCATATTAACATATTACTGAAACCTGTTTTAGGGGACATACTTTAGAAACCATTGCTGTGGGATTATCACAGCCTAATCATACATTCTCCACTAGAAATTTCTGGTCATTTGTAGCAATGTTTCTCATAACCAGAGCAGTAAATAGAATCTGTTCTGTGATCTGCTTTATTCTCTTTCTATACTTTCAGTCCTATAAAAGCCATCTAAATTTTTGGACCACCAGATAGCCTGTTTTTGTTAACTTTTCTCCTGGCCCTGCAGCAGAAAGTCTGAATTTCCACTTTGATTTTTGCATTTACTGCATCAAATCTCCCTGCCACCCTCTCCCCTCTCCCTTAACAGGGCTCTCAGTGCTAAGTGGGCAGTTTGCTCAGGGTTCTGACTTGAGGATAAAAGGCATCCACACTCCTGGTCTCTGTCCTTGTGTGATACAATAAAACTTGAAACAGCTGAGTCCTCAAAACTTTGGTCCTCCTAGACATTGATCCAGAGTGTCACTCTGGTTGAACACCTTCAACAGCAAGATTCCAGCTATGTCAAGTTCTGGTCCTTAGACAGCAGGGACTAGTGGCCCAGAATGAAATGCATGCATTTCTTCGTGAAGACAGAGATTATTCCTCCAGCTAAGTGTCTCTCCTCCAGAATAAAATGGAGGCTCCAAAATGTCAGCCAGTTGCTTCAACAATAGCTGACAGCAGAAACCAGAATTGCCCCTTGTAGAACGGGTCCATGGCTGAACCCAATAAATATTCCTGCCGTAGCCTCAGATTCCCTTTTTTCTCCTGAGGCTTTCATCTCCCTATATTCTGATCCACCCTGAGATGTTTTCCTGTATCTCCTCTCAGCTGACTGTCAGCTAATCCCTAAAAATGTTAAGCTGCTTGCTTTAGTGTAAACTGATTTAAAAGAAAAGATGCTAGCTAAACAGGCTAAACATTATCAGAGAATCATATTAGATAGGGTACTCCAAGACAGCTAAACCTTAGACCTCCCATAAAGCCATAAGTGTGGCACAGAAGAAAGAGAGGAAAACAGTGATAAGTTGAAATCCTGGTTCTGCCAATTTATTTCTTCTGTGTGCATTTATTCACTAAATACGTACTGAAAACAAGCCTTGTACCCTGGTTGGGTACTATGTTGGGTGCTTAGAGCGGTGAACAAAACATCCTGCCACCAACCCTGTCATGGTAGGCTTTACCAAGCTAAATAATTATTGTATGACCATAAACTTGTAATAAAGCTATGATGGTAAATAATAGGATTTAGTGATAGGGAATATGTAGAATATCTTAATGCAGACAGAATGGTCAAGGAAGTTCTCTCTGAGGAGGTGGCACTGAAGCTGAAACTTCAAGGATGACAAAGGAAGAGCTATGCAGCTGTGCAGAAAGAGTGGGGAGGAGTGCATTCGAGGTGAAGCAGCATATTTGCAAATGAAATACGGAGAGAAAGAGATTGGCTTGTCTGAGGGAGTGAAAGAAGCCCAGTATGGATATAATAAACTTAGTGAGAGAGAGAGTGCCAGAAGATGAACTTTGTGTTTCAGCTATTGTTGATAGAACAATGCTGCATAACAAACAACTACAAGTTCCAGTGGTTTTTAACATTATATTTATTGTTCATGTATCTGGGGTCAGCTTGGGATCAGCTCTAAGTTCTGTTTCACAGGTCTCTTATCTTCTGGCAGTGTAGTCCAGACATGTTCTCCAGAAATGTCAAAGGCACAAGGATGCAAAAAAGCATGCAATGCCCCTTGCAGGCTTAGGTTTGGAACCAGCATACCATTATATTTTATTAGTAATGCACACAACAAGCCTGATCTCTGAGCCAGCATAGGCAGATATGGTATATTTACATGGCAAGGGATCTGAACACCAGGAAGGGTGGAGAACTGGGGCTATTGTTGCACCTTCCACAATTAGAGAAACAGGAAGATAGAAACTATTCCAATTAAGTCTTTGAAGGCCAATGTATGAAGTTGGATTTTATTCTAAGTACTATGGGAAGATATAAACCTGGTCTTCTATTGACCATGTGACCTTGGACAGATCCTCGGTGCTCTTGAATATTTGTCTCCTCGTCTATAAAATGTGTGTGTATTGGGGATGAGGGAGGGGTTGATTCTCAAGTAAGATACTCAAATTCTTTGAACCTTGTAATATTTATGTATAAAGAAATGAACTAATCATATATATAATATATATATATGATTATTGTGAGATTTAAATAAGATTATGAAAGTGAAAGTGCTATGTAAACTGTGAAATGCTCTGCACTCATCATTTCATATACTGTTTATAGCAATTCTGCAAAATGAGGTTAACATTTCATAGATGAGGAAGCTGAAACTTGGGGTTGTTAAATAACCCGTATTTCGTTCCACAGTGAGGAAAAAGAGGAGGAGCCAGGGTGAAACACTCATCTGTCTGATTCCAAAGCTCCAAGTCTTCAATTAACTATAAATTAAATAAGTTGCTTCCCTGTATGAGGAATTGGCCGCAGTAGTGCCTTTAACAGAGATTACTGGCTTTGCAGGAAGCGATGGGTGTGATTTAGACCTTTACCAGACGCTGCTGAGCTCAGCAATAGCTTCTTATCCCAGGCAGGCCAGTGGCCAAGATCTAATTCACCAGGGGCCATCCCAGCTGATTGGTTCATCAATAACCCATTATCTCTGCCATTGTAAATATCTCGGAAAGAATGTGACTTTCGGGGAAGAATACCCAAGCACACCCAGGCTGCAGCCTGTCCATAGCATGGATGTCCGGGAAAGAAAAAAAATATATAAGCGTTTCCTGGCTTTACATGGCAAAATGTTACAAAATCCCCCTGCAGTCTCTGACAAGAGGGAACTGGTTGGAACCATCTGAACATAGGGTCTTTCCTTAAGGAATAGGTCATATTTGCCACTCCAGGACACTGGCAGGATAAAAATGATTGTCATAAAATAAAGCGATGGCTTCCATCTCCTGGACCATAGAGCAGCAGAGGGCTGGATGCATAAGAAACAACCAGTGATCTTGTCTGTAAAACTGATTCTCCGGTTTTGTCCCTAGACATTCTCATTTAGGAGATCTGGACTTAAGCCCAGAAATGTAGGGTTATATTTTCACCCAGTGACTCTGATGTTCTGATGCAGAGCCAGGTTTGGAGACCACTAATAAAATCCAGTTTTCATTTAACAAACACGGCCTGAAAATCTATTGTGAATCAGACCCTCCTGTTGAATGCTTAGGCAGAGATGAATTAAACACAGCCTCTGACCTCAAGGATCTCACAGATCAGTTGGCAAGACGAATACATGGGTATATAGTGAAAAGGCATCATCGGAGATTACTTAGGTTTATTACACCAACAAGACACCCCAGCTGCACAAAAAGACAGCCCATTGGTGGTCTGTTTCTCCCACACCCTCCCCAGCTCAGCTTTCATTTTCATTAAATGCTTTCCTCTTCACTGCTTTGCCTTATCCTTCATACCTGATTCCACGGTTCTGACCATGGCTTCTCACTCCAATGGTAATTTGGAAATTCTCACTCTACAATCTCACTCTGGCTGACTGGGACAGACATTCTAGTCAGTCCCAATCAATACAGAGGAGTGTTCTACCACCGTGCTTCCCACTCCACTTCTCTGCAGGGAGGAAATCCCAAGATACCCTTGAGCCCTAAAACAGGTAGGAATAAATGGCACAGAAGCACATGAAAGGCGTTGGCTCCTTCTCTCTTACCCAGATGTAGAGAAAGCCATTATCCCTCACTCAACACTAAGAGGATTATGGACATGAACACAATCATACCCAGGAAAAAGAGAGGGAACAGTGATGACAGTCCATTTTGTTAACTAAAAAGAGGCTTTGTTTTATCCAAGCTGGAGGATAATTTGGGAGATGAGGTTGACGTTTTTCTTTGGAACCAAGTGGGTTTCTGTCTAGGCATTCAACATTCTCAAAAATAAGGCTCTTTGCAACCTTTAAAAATTATTACCCTGTGCTTAGAAGCCATGTAGGAGCTGAGCTCGGGGAAGAGAGGTGGTGGGGGTGCTGTCCGGATATGAAGGCAGGAACCAAACTGGAGAGGTCACTGAAGTCTTTTTTATTTATTTATTTATTTATTTATTTATTTATTTATTTATTTATTTTTTGAGACAGAGTCTTGCTCTGTCACCCAGGCTGGAGTGCAGCGACACAATCTCAACTTACTGCAACCTCTGCCTCCTGGTTTCAACCAATTCTCCTGCCTCAGCCTCCTGAGTAGCTAGGATTACAAGCATGCACCACCAAACCCGGCTAAGAAGTCATTTTTTTAACCGATGTTGGGTTTCCACCTGATGCCAAGTGTCAAGTACAAGGGTGCTTACTGTAATAACTTTGTAACATTAAAAATTTGGATGGAAGCTGTCTAAAGCAGACTTATCTAAGGCAGATTTATTAATATCTGCTACATACAGAGAGTGAAATAAATGCATGCCACTATTTAAAAATAATGAGATCTCTTAGGTTTACTAACTGGAAAAAAAAAGATTGGCTGGCTGTGGTGGCTCACACCTGTAATCCCAGCACTTTGGGAGGCTGGGGTGGGAGGATCACTTGAGGTCAGGAGTTCAAAGATGTGGTGGTGTGTGCCTGCAGTCCCAGGCCGAGGTTGGAGAATCACTTGAGCCCAGGAGTTTGAGGCTGCAGAGAACTATGATTATGCCACTGCACTCCAGCTTGCAAGACAGAGCAAGATTCTGTCTCAAAAAAGATAAATAATATTTTTTTAAAAAGATAAAGAAAAAATATTAAAAACACTACATATAGAATGCTTCTATTTGTAGTGAAAAAATCACACACACACACACACATAAAAAAAAACCTATTGACAGTAATTTATTTCTTAAGAGGAACTGTGAAAAGGAGCTGAAGGTGGTGTTCACTTTTTAAATTTTTTATATGTAGTACTAACTTGTTAAAAAATAATGGTTATGGGCATTACTTAAGTGGAAAGGTTATAGAGTTTTGTTTTTAACTTTATAATTATATATAATATGTCTGTGTATTTTAATAATGAATATATTATTATGTACATACACCAAATAAAATATCTGCCTATATATACTACTACATTGCATACCAAACTATATTGAACTTATCAGTTTATTTATCTTATTCTTTGGAAATATTATTATTATGTTAGTATAATTAGCTTATTATAATTAGCCATGTGGAAATTATCAGCTTATGTATTTATTAACTGATAAGATTATTATTCATTGATCATTTATTGATAACTGGAGCATGTAATATAGTGCTGGAACTTAGCAGATTACCCAGCAAATGTCTATTATTGCTGAGTCAAAGAGACAGCAGCTCCATTATTTTTTAACAGATCAACTCTCAATGTCACTTTTACGGAGCAAGATTCTTATTTCTTCACATGCTTTTTCTACCATTTCAAGCAGACAAGACCTTTATTCAAGGATTCATTCATCCATCCAAAAGACATTTATCATGCTATTCAGGAACAACAAGAAATGAACAATAAAGACAGCACAATGAAGTCTCCTGCCTTGCTCCTACACTTGAGCTTCTGGGTTTATGTTCTTTTGAAGAGAAAAAAATACATTGTAGAAGAAGATTTTGTGTCCCCATAAAAGTGATCCCACACCCAGAGATGACCCCACACTGGTCTAAGCCTGGTATTTGCAACGTCAACTCATGCCACTCACATGGAGACACCAATTAGGGCTTCTCAGATGAAAGCTGAGTATTTAAATGTTATTTTGGGGGAAATGCCATTAACCATGCACACCTCTCCTTTCTACTCAAAAGACATAATAAAGTGACAGTAAAGATTGACAAGGTGTTAACAAAAAGGACGAGAATGTGGGCTAGAAGAAAGTAGAAGATGGGAAATAAAAATGAAGGAAGTTGCAACCTAAATGTTTGAAGTGGGGATACCTGAGCAGCTAATTCCTCCTATAAAACCCCTGAGAGCCGGGTGCGGTGGCTTGCACTTGTGATCCCAGCATTTTGGAAGGCTGAGGCGGGTTATCACCTTAGGTCAAGAGCTCGAGACCAGTCTGACCAACATGGTGAAACCCCATCTCTACTTAAAATACAAAAATTAGCCAGGCATGGTGGCACATGCCTGTAGTCCCAGCTACTTGGGAGGCTGAGGCAGGGGAATTGCTTGAACCCAGGAGGTGGAGGTTGCAATGAGCCAAGATCTCACCATCGCACTCCAGCCTGGGCAACAAGAGTGAAACTCTGTCAAAAAAAAAAAAAAAAAAAAAACACCTGAGGACTGAGGCTGAAAGGAGACAGCTTTTATAGACCATGATTAGACAGTCTGTTTATGCCATGGATCTTCATGGCCACTACTAGAGTTTGAAGACTGATTTACTGAAGAAATTTTACAGAGAGCCTCTAGAGGCAGGGACATAGGGCACAGTTGAGAGCTGAGTTTCTCTACCTCCAGAATACCAGCCATCAGGCACTCACCTTCCAGGGCAGAAAAATGGAAGGCTTATTTCTGGAGAATTCCAGGGAAGCAAATCCCTGATCTCTATTATTGACATTTTGGGTGCTTTAATAAAAAGTATGCAACACTGAATGGTTAAAGTGAAACATACCAGATAACCACCATCCTCTCGCCATCATTCATGCAGAGGTGTTTTTTTTGATTGTTTGTTTGAGATGGACTCTTACTCTGTCACCCAACCTGGAGTGCAGGGGCACTGTGTCGGCTCAGTGCAACCTCTGTCTCCTGCGTTCAAGCAATTCTCCTGCCTCAGCCTCCTGAGTAGCTGGGATTACAGGCACCCACCACCACAGCTGGCTAATTTTTAAATTTTTAGTAGAGATGGACTTCTTCATGTTTGTCAGTCTGGTCTTGAACTCCCGACCTCAGGTGATCCACCCACCTCGGTGATCCACCCACCCAATCCCAAAGGGTTGGGATTACAGGCGTGAGCCACTGAGTCTGGCCAGAGGTTTTTTAATGCATTCCTAAACATATGAACAGTCTTTCAAGGACCAACAGACATTAGGAGGAAGCCTTTGGGATGAAAGAGTGACGCCCTAATAAAAGGACTCAGAGAGAAAAAGGACCAAATAATCCAGAGAGAAGAAGAAATTTACAAATAAGTTATCTCCAAAAGATAAGAGCAAGACATCACATTTGTAAAACAAGAAAAAAAATAGGTGAGTGCAGGGAGCAGAATCAAAGAACACAAATAAGGTGAAAATTTTTTTAATATTGTAGAAAAATTTTTAGAAGTCAGGAGTGTTTAGAGAACAAATTCAAATAAATTTCCAGAATATAAAATAAAAAGACAGAAAATAGACAATTAGTTAAGTGTATGCTTAAAAAATCAGAAGGAAGTCTTATACTCAAATAATAGATGTTTCAAAAATAAAGAACAGAAAATAAAAATGGGAGGGGATTATCAAAAAAACAACAAAACACACTTTCTAGAACTGAAAGATGTGAGTTTTCATGTCAAGTGTGTTCATCTTCAGCTAAGGAAGGAAGGAAAAAAGGAGAGACAAAAGGAGTAAGGGAGAGAGAGAAGAAGAATTCCACACCCCACACCATGATGTATTATTACGGAATTTCAGAACATTTAAGACACAGGATGGTCATTAAAATATTTTAGGAATGGGATAGAAGTGGGAAGAGAAGGAACAGGTCACATACAAAAGAATAAGAATCAGAATGGCATTAGAAATCTCAATGGAAACATCACAGGCTAGAAGACAGTGGATCAATGTCATCAAAATTTTAAATAAAAAATGATTTTCAACTTAAGTTTCTATACCCAGGCAAATTATCAATCCAGTGAAAAGGTAAAATAGAAAATTTTCCAATATGTAAGTACAAAAAAACCTTCTGTTCATGTACCTTTATTCAGGAAACTCCCAGAAGATGAGCTTTAACACGATGGAGTAGTAAATCAAGAAAGATAAATATACAAGATCCAGTACACAAAAGACCCAACACAGGACTAAAGAAGAAAACAGATAAGAGAAGGTAGCTGTGCCCAGGCTAGAGACCAAACAGAGGAAGAAGGGTGTTTATGGACTGTTTTTTGTGTCTGGGTATGAGCATTGGGTAAAAGTGTTTATGCTTCACCTATCAGTTGCAGTATGTGTCAGACGTTATGCTAATCACTGAAATTATATACTTTAATTATCATATTATATGGAATATAATTATTGTACGTTTACTATTACAAAATTGCTATTATTTATGTTATTATTAAGTTACTGTTACCTCACCAGAGGAAAACATCTAAATGGGTTTCCACCCTATTTTAAAGATTTTGAATAAAAATACAAACTCTAAGATTAGCATAAATTTTGCTTTGAAGACCAAGAGGAAGTTATCAGCTGGAACTGATCCGCAATGAGAGATGTAACTGCCTGACAAGAGACATAAGCCATGGAAGAAAAGAAAGAAAATAAACAAACCTCAAACATGGATCCAAAATAAAAAGGAGCAAGAAAGATGATTCAATTATAGGAATTGATGTATGACTGTGCTACTTCCCACAAGGGCAAATCTACCTGTCCCTGGGTGAATAACAGCAGGGATTCATGTATATGGTGAAAGCTAACAATTCTCCCCTGAATACCAGAATTCCCTGTCCACAAACAGCTCAAATGTCATGGGTGGACCCATAAACAGAAATGCGAGGCTGTGGTTTGACAAGGACAGAAGTAGCAGCATATAAAATTGTTGTCCGGAAGAGTGGTCCATCCACCCTCCCTGAAGAACTAGGATCTTTCTACCGAAGGAGTCCCATGGGAAAACTAGGAATTGGCGAGGTGGGAGGAGCTGACACGGTATCTGTGGTGGATGGGAGTGCAAATTTGAATACACACGATCATAAAACAGGAGAGACAGGAAAAGAGATGAAAATTGGGCTGTAGACAGACTGCAAAGGATTTCAATTTTCACATTTCATAAAGGTAACTGCTAAAGTTTATTCCAATCATACTACAGGGCAGGTATTAGGCTAAGCACTTATTTTATTTAATATTCGTTCCTGAGTTATCTGCCTAAGTCCACTTTATAGACTGAGAAACTGCCATGCAGAGACAAATATGTATTCTGTAAGAGGTAAGAAAGCCAGAATAATTCCTAATTGCAAGATGGGTTATTTGACGAGAGCAGGAAATATTTGGAATTTAAAACTGGATTTTGAGGCTGAGTGCTGTGGCTCACACCTGTAATCCCAGCACTTTGGGAAGCGGAGGTGGGCAGATCATTTGAAGTCAGGAGTTCAAGACCAGCCTTGCCAACATGGTGAAACCCCATCTCTACTAAAAATACAAAAATTAGCCGGGCATGGTGGCCCATGCCTGTAGTCCCAGGGAGGCTACTCGGGAGGCTGAGGCTAGAGAATCACTTGAACCTGGGAGGCAGAGGTTACAATGAGCCGAGATCGTGCCACTGCACTCCAGCCTGGGTGATAGAGTGAGAATCAGTCTAAATAAAATAAAATAAAATAAAATAAAATAAAATAAAATAAAATAAAATAAAATAAACTGGATTTCAGGAAGGACAGTTGTACCGCTGCTGCCACTCTCAGTAGCAGTCTAGAATGCATAGTCCTGCATGGCATTTCACTAGCCTGACACTTGTTAATTACTGTGCAAGTTAATTTCATCTTATTTCCTGACACATGGAAAAGACGGGAAATGGATGCGGCTCTCAGTTTCACAAGCCTGGATTTGAGCTTCCTGACAGATAGTACACTGCAGGAAGTGAACTGGACAGATTGACTCTCTGGTCTGTTGAAGCTGGAGAAAGTTCAATAAGTCAGCTGTCAGTGTAGGGTCCCTTGCAGTCTCAGGAATTTCAATTTCAAAGTGCAAGAGATTGAAGTTTCAAAACACAAGATCATCAAAAGCTAATGATTCCTGAATTCTGCCAGGGGTGTGGAAGCAGGTGAGAAACAGTGGCTATCAGAAGGGTGTGCAGGAGCTGAGACACTTCTTGCACAAGATTAATTCTGCAGGCGTTGTGAGGAGAGAAGAGAGCTTGAATGTGAGGGGTGGGCCCCCTGAGATATTTCAAAGGCATGGGAAGGGCCTTGTATTCATATCTGCTCTCATCTCTGTTGCTCCCTGGCCAAATAGGTGAATCTCCAAAGAGAAAGCCGAATCACTGAAAAGGCAGGTGACCCTCAGCAGGAATAGAGCTCAAGTTGTCTATTAAAGAACAAAGCCTTATTGCATGAGAGGGTTTTCCAGACACTGTACTTTTGTATGGTACAGGCTTGAGGTTTTTATATTCTAAAGATAAGGTGAACATTCATCTTGATTCCCCAGAACAGCCCCCCTTTTTTGCCTGCTGTCCCACTCATGTCAATAGTGAACCTCACTCTCAAATGGATTCCAGTTTGTTTCGCTCAATATGATGTTTCTGAGAGTCAACCTTTTTGTTGAAAGTAGTTCTTCCTTTGCTATTGCTGAGTACATATAAAAAAATACATACTGCATGATTTCATTTAGATGAAGTTCATGAGCAGGCAATGTTAATTTACGATGACAGAAATGAGAAAAATGGTTACCTTTAGGTAAGTAGGGAAGGTGGCCAGTGACTACGAAGGGTCTTGTTAGAGCTTTCTGGACTGATGAGAATTGTTTTCTTTATTGCTCTCGGTGGTGGTTACATGGGTTAATATATATGCAAAAATGTATCAAGATATACAGATAAGATTTATACATTTACTTTGTAGAAATTTCACCTGAATAAAAAGCGTCCTGGTTTAGTCAATAAATTATATGGCCACTTAATTTAACAGAGTCTCCTTTCAGCCGAAAACTTGAGTGGGTTTCTATGCTTGCCAGCTGTTTCTTTAGCTCAGAGGGTGGAGTTTTTCCTATAAAATGGGCTGTACAGTGCTTCCAGGACTTATACATAGCGACTTCAGGCTTACTCATCGCTGGGGCATTCCCTGATTTTGCATTCAAGTTTTGTGTGTGGGACCTACGGCTTGACCAAAAACTTGCAGAAAGGGTTTTTAGTTCTGTTCTTTAGGGCAAAGTGTCGGTGATGTCACCTCCTAACTCATGGTCTTGTTCTCCTAATATTTCCTTGACTGCTGCAAGATACCAAGTGAGTGCAGAGCTCAGCATCTGAGAGTAGATCACTGCCAGGGTCCTGAATCTGGACTGAATATATCTAAAATGCCACCTAATAGTCATATATGGAATGAGCTCGCATCTCCAAGATCAATATCCAAGGCAACTATTGAAACAGGAATAACAATGGGTTTCAGCCAATGCTTAGGTCACTTGAGGGTTAAGAAATGCCACCCCTTCCATTTTTACAGCTAACCCTATTCTCTTACCCTATGCAGAAGGCAGGCACTATTCTCCCTAAAGGTTCAGGGAAATCCAGGTATTGGAATGAAATTGAGACCTGCACTATCAATAAGAGAAAAGGAATTGCCAATTTCCTAGACTCTGAAACCTCTGCACCTAAGCGTCCACAAGAGGAAAGAGATTAGGGACTTTTCATTTCAAGAAACAGCGAGATGAACACAGAATAAAGGCAGGACTTCCAAACAGTACTGGGAGCGGAGGAGGAGACAGTGGAAGAAGGCGAGGCTTGTCAAAAAAGATTGAAAGCCAGAAGAGTCTAGAAGATTCAAAGCAGACCAGAATGTCTGCATCCATTTAAGGTTGGGAGTCTGCAAAGTTAGTTAAAGAAAGTCATCCTTAGGCATTGGGAAAATTCAATTTTCATCACAGGTCCTGATGACATTTCCTTTAAACGCCAGATTCAATAGGGAGATACACCTTCAGGGGGAAAAATTCTCTACAGTAAGAAGGCCAGATAAGGAAACGAGTTAAAAGCTCTTTTTCCTGCTATGCAAATACTCTCCAGTAACACTAATAAGATAAATATATTTCTGCAAGATACCAAGTTTTCTCAGTCACAGGTTTATTTGGGAAGATTTCTATCCACTCTTTGCTTCTAAATTGAACACCTTGTGACTGAAAATATAAAGGTATTTTTCTCCAATGGAAAGATCTGTGTTCGACGTTCAAAATCCAAGGGACAGAACACAGGTGGCAATTCGGTCTCTGTTGTGTCCGCAGATCTGGATGAACTGGAAATATCATACCAAGGTCTCACAGAGATGAACGAATGAGTAAATGTCACTTTGCCCACACCTTCTGCCCACATAGATGAAGAGACAGACCAAGAAAAAAGGGACTCGTGAAAGGTCACTCCACTGGGGACAATACCTGATTATCCATCATCCATTTCTGCAATCGTTCCACCATGCCATGAGTCAACAGCAGAGGAAATATTGAGAGATCACCCCTTGGTAAATGTCAGTTCTTGAGCAAACCACTCAGGACGGAGATTTCTTACTATGGTGGAGCCGTATGGTAAGAACATAAACCCTGGAGTCGGACAGACTCGGACTGAAACTCTGTAACTTTTCTCTCTGCGTCTCATTCGTAAAATGGAAATGATAATTCCTTACTTACCAGGGGATTATGCATGTAAATCAGATAACATGGGCAGAGCACTTAGCACAGAGCCAGAAACAGGAGATACTTGGATGTGCCGTCAGCGGTATGAGTTTCCTGTGGTTGCTGTGAAAAATTATGACCAATTTAGTGGCTTAAAACTGCAGAAATTTATCATCTGACATTTGTGGCGGTCAGAAGTACGCAGTGCCTAAACTCAGTGTTGGCAGGGCTGTGTTCCTTCTGCAGGCGCTAAGAAAAAATTCATTTCTTTGCTTTTTCCTTCCAGTTTCTGGAAGTTCCTGTATTCCTTGGCTCATGGCCTCTTCCCCTATCTTCAAACCATCAAAGTGGCATCCTCAAATTTCTCTCTCTCTCTCTCTCTCCTCATCTCTCTTTTAGTCATACTTACACACACACACACACACACACACACACACACACACACATGTTCTTTCTATTATCACATCTCCTTTCCTCTAATTGTGATCCTCCCCATCCCTCCTTCTGATAAAGACCCTGTGATCACATTGGATCCCAGTTAATCCAGGATAATGTCCCCATCTCAAGATCTTTAACTTAATCACACCTGCTAAGTTCCCTTTCCCACATGAAACAATAATATATTCACAGGTTCTGGGGATGAAGACATGAATGTATCTGAGGGGGATGTTATTCAGCCTCTCACAACTGTTATTGCTTTTATTGGTGATATGGCTTGACTCTGTGTTCGCTCACATCTCACCTTGAATTGTTATCCCCATAATCCCCATGTGTAAAGGGCGGGACCAGGTGGAGGTAAGTGGATCACAGGTGTGGTTTCCCCCATGCTGTGCTTGTGATGGTGAGTGAGTCTCACAAGATCTGATGGTTTTATAAGTGTCTGACAGTTCCCTGCTTGTGCTCACTCCATCCTGCCACCCTGTGAAGAAGGTGCCCGCTTCTCCTTTGCTTTCCACCATGATTGTAAGCCTCCTGAGGCCTCCCCAGAAATGTGGAACTGTGAGTCAATTAACTTCCTTCCTTTATAAATTACCCAGTCTCAGGTATTTCTTCACAGCAGCATGAAAACAAACTAATACAATTGGGTTGGTAACTTTTCAAGCAATACCACTCAAGAAATCTGGATTCAATATGCTGAGATTAATTTTTCAAATTTATGTTGTTTTTAACTGTTGGTATTTAGTTATTCATTTTTTTTTTCAGTCTATTGATGTGTCACCTAAAATAGACCTCTGTTCCACAAGTGGCCCCCATGCAACATTTTGGGAGACTAGCGATACCAGCTGTTGCTCTTCATAGTGGAGGAAAATATTCAAAGTCCATAATTTTTGGTTCTCAGTCGCTTCAAATTAGGAAAGAGGGGTTGGTGATATGTAAAGCAGTAGTTGTAAAGAGATGGAGATAAAGAAGACGGAGGCATGGCTGAGCATGGTGGCTCACTCCTGAAATCCCAGCACTTTGGGAGGTGGAGGTGGGTGGATCATTTGAGGCCAGGAGTTTGAAATCAGCCAGGCCAACATGGCAAACCCCCTCTCTACTAAAAATACAAAAATTAGTCAGGCATGGTGGTGTATGCCTGTAATCCCAGCTACTCAGGAGGCTGAGGCAGGAGAATTGCTTGAACCTAGGAGGCAGAGGTTGCAGTGAGCTGAGATCCTGCCACTGCACTCCAGCATGGACAACAGAGCAAGACTCCGTCTCAGAAAAAAAAAAAAAGAAGAAGAAGAAGAAGACGGAGGCATAAAGGGCTGCAGAGAAAGGAAGCCAGGAAGCTCAGATCCAAGAGAGAGGTTTTGTCAAAAACCAGTAATTCGGTCACAAAAAAATTGAAATGCCACATTTCACCTGACTACTTAGTTGGCACAAAGAAGTTTTTTAGTGAAGGATTATAATAACGCCTTTCTGCCATCCTCTCCACAGTAAACTTGGGGAAGAGAAAATTAGCTCTGCCAGAAAGTGTCCCTGAAATCCTCTCTCCTTATTCTATTTTGAGCCCTCGCACCAGTTGCCTCCTCCAAAGATAATTTCCCGAGGGCAGCCTCAAACCAGAAGAAAATAATTGCATTTTTGCTGGGGTCCGTGTTTCTCTGAGTGGATTTGTACTCTCGCCTGTATTTTCATACTTCTGTTCAGAGCTGTACGTGGACCATCGAACCCTTTTACAAAGAAAAAAAACGCTAAAACCTGAACAGAATTAAACCATAAAGGCAACCTTCAGTTTTGGAATCCAGGGAACAAATGGCCTTTATGTCAACGGGTTGTTCCTTTCAACCAGGGTTTACCGATTTTTTTTTCCATAAAGAATCAAATAATCTTTTAGACTGCCTGAGAGTCAATCTAATCCTTTAGACTCTGTGGATCATATGGTCTCTATCACAGCTACTCAGCCCTGCCTTTGTAGTCTAAAAGCAGCTGTAGACAACATGTACATGAATGGGCATGGCTGTGTTCTAATAAAACTATTTACAAAAAACAGGCAGCATATGAGTTTGGCCTGCACATTATGGTTTACCAACTCTTGCTTTAAACTTTTGCAACACTTAAGGGTGAAAAGAGAAGAAAGCAAAAATGAACACAGAGTGGGAGAGAGGAGGAGACCCAGGCTGAAAAGGAACTGGAACATTTGTTGGCCTTCCCAGGAGCCAAATAAGTGACTAAAAATTTGGAAAATTTCATTCTTTTCCTCCTAGCTGAGGCCTGGCCCCAGGCAAAATGATGAAACTGGAGCACCTCAATTCTGCCCGCGCTTTCAGCCTTCCACATCACACTATGCACCCTCATGCTCGTGGAGCGTTACAGTCAGGAGGCGCCTAAGAGCTCATTTCCACTCTTGATGTGAAGAACCCTCCGTTGGTCATTCTGAACAGATGGCCAGTGAGCCACAGCATGAACATCTCAAGTGATGGGGATCTCATTTCTCCAGAAGCTGACTGATTCCAGCAGGTGGAATATGATATGGTAGGAAAAAAAAATGGATCTTCGAAGAAAAAAAACAACCAACCAAACAAACAAAAAACCCAGAATTCTGAGCCTATAACTGTCCACCTTGTCACCTGACCCATGCCTTTAACCTGGGACCTTAAACTTTGTAACAATGAAACCCTGACAAAATGTCTTAACCATGGTTATTCTCCCCAAATATCTAGTCTGTATGGACTAGATGGAGTTCCAATTTTAAAAAACACCAACAGAGAAAAAAAAAGTATGAGTTATTCTCAGAGCTTGGAGCTTGACAATATGATTCTAAAACTTTTATGACCAATAATTATCAGGATAAGGGAGGCAGGAGGTTCATCCTACTAGTGTATCAAGAATTAGGATAAACCTAGAACATGTCTACCTTTCATCAAATCTAAGATGCCTCTGATTGTAAGACACATACAATCTTTTGTTTTTCATTTTTTTTTATTATTACACTTTAAGTTCTAGGGTACATGTGCACAACAGGCAGGTTTGTTACATATGTATACATGTGCCATGTTGGTGTGCTGCACCCATTAACTCGTCATTTACATTAGGTATATCTCCTAATGCTATCCCTCCCCCGTCCCCCAACCCCTTCTTATGTCCAGGTGTTCTCATTGTTCAATTCCCACCTATGAGTGAGAACATGCAGTGTTTGGTTTTTTGTCCTTGCGATAGTTTGCTGAGAATGGTGGTTTCTAGCCTCATCCATGTCCCTACAAAGGACATGAACTCATCATTTTTTATGGCTGCATAGTATTCTGTGGTGTATATGTGTGACATTTTTCTTAATCCAGTCTATCATTGATGGACATTTGGGTTGGTTCCAAGTCTTTGCTATTGTGAATAGTGCCGCAATAAACACACGTGTGCATGTGTCTTTATAGCAGCATGATTTATAGTCCTTTGGGTATATACCCAGTAATGGGATGGCTGGATCAAATGGTGTTTCTAGTTAGATCCTTGAGGAATCACCACACTGTTTTCCACAATGGTTGAACTAGTTTACAGTCCCACCAACAGTGTAAAAGTGTTCCTATTTCTCCACATCCTCTCCAGCACCTGTTGTTTCCTGACTTTTTAAAGATCGCCATTCTAACTGGTATAAGATGGTATCCCATTGTGGTTTTGATTTGCATTTTTCTGATGGCCAGTGATGATGAGCATTTTTTCATGTGTCTTTTGGCTGCATAAATGTCTTCTTTTGAGAAGTGTCTGTTCATATCCTTCACCCACTTTTTGATGGGGTTGTTTGTTTTTTTCTTGTAAATTTGTTTGAGCTCTTTGTAGATTCTGGATATTAGCCCTTTGTTAGATGAGTAGGTTGTGAAAATTTTCTCCCATTCTGTAGGTTGCCTGTTCACTCCGATGGTAGTTTCTTTTGCTGTGCAGAAGCTCTTGAGTTTAATTAGATTCCATTTGTCAATTTTGGCTTTTGTTGCCATTGCTTTTGGTGTTTTAGACATGAAGTCCTTGCCCATGCCTACGTCCTGAATGGTATTGCCTAGGTTTTCTTCTAGGGTTTTTATGGTTTTAGGTCTAACATTTAATTCTTTAATCCATCTTGAATTAATTTTTGTATAAGGTGTAAGGAAGGGATCCAGTTTCAGCTTTCTACATATGGCTAGCAAGTTTTCCCAGCACCATTTATTAAGTAGGGAATCATTTCCCCATTTCTTGTTTTTGTCAGATTTGTCAAAGATCAGATGGTTGTAGATAAGTGGCGTTATTTCTGAGGGCTCTGTTCTGTTCCATTGGTCTATATCTCTGTTTTGGTACCAGTACCATGCTGTTTTGGTTTACTGTAGCCTTGTAGCATAGTTTGAAGTCACGTAGCGTGATGCCTCCAGCTTTGTTCTTTTGGCTTAGGATTGACTTGGCAATGAGGGCTCTTTTTTGGTTCCATATGAACTTTAAAGTAGTTTTTTCCAATTCTGTGAAGAAAGTCATTGGTAGCTTGATGGGGATGGCATTCAATCTATAAATTACCTTGGGCAGTATGGCCATTTTCACGATATTGATTCTTCCTACCCATAAGCATGGATTGTTCTTCCATTTGTTTGTATCCTCTTTTATTTCGTTGAGCAGTGCTTTGTAATTCTCCTTGAAGAGGTCCTTCACATCCCTTGTAAGTTGGATTCCTAGGTATTTTATTCTCTTTGAAGCAGCTGTGAATGGGAGTTCACTCATGATTTGGCTCTCTGTTTGTCTGTTACTGGTATATAAAAATGCTTGTGATTTTTGCACATTGATTTTGTATCCTGAGACTTTGCTGAAGTTGCTTATCAGCTTAAGGAGATTTTGGCTGAGATGATGGGGTTTTCTAAATATACAATCATGTCATCTGCAAACAGAGACAATTTGACTTCCTCTTTTCCTAATTGAATACCCTTTATTTCTTTCTCCTGCCTGATTGCCCTGGCCAGAACTTCCAACGCTATGTTGAATAGGAGTGGTGAAAGAGGGCATCCCTGTGTGGTGTCAGTTTTCAGAGGGGATACTTCCAGATTTTGCCCATTCAGTATGATATTGGCTATGGGTTTGTCATAAATAGCTCTTTTTATTTTGAGATACGTCCAAAGGAGGAGCTGGTACCATTCCTTCTGAAACTATTCCAATCAATAGAAAAAGAGAGAATCCTCTCTAACTCATTTTATGAGGCCAGCATCATCCTGATACCAAAGCCTGGCAGAAACACAACAAAAAAAGAGAATTTTAGACCAATATCCCGGATGAACATCAATGCAAAAACACTCAGTAAAATACTGGCAAACCGAATCCAGCAACACATCAAAAAGCTTATCCACCATGATCAAGTGGGCTTCCTCCCTGGGATGCAAGGTTGGTTCAACATATGCAAATCAATAAATGTAATCCAGCATATGAAGAGAACCAAAGACAAAAACCACATGATTATCTCAATAGATGCAGAAAAGACCTTTGACAAAATTCAACAGACCTTCATGCTAAACATTCTCAATAAATTAAGACACATACTATCTTACACACAGTAACGAGAAAAACCATGTCGTGAGTTGCATTGATAGTAACACGCATCACAATTTGAGACATGGCAAAGTATGGGGGAGTAAAAGTACATCTTAGAATCAATGATATATAGTACAAACAGTGCGGAACACAAATAAAATTAGATCCGTCACTCCCACCATATAAAAATTATATTCTGAATGGATTAAGGTCCTATCTGTGAAAAAAATCTTTAAAATATTTTGTATGACAAAAAAATTAAAAAAAATACCAAAAGAAAAGTTAAAAGACAAGCCACAGCTGGGAGAAGATATTTGCAACACATAAAATGAAAAGTGGATTTGTTCCCAGAATATAAAGGAGATCTACAGATCAATAAGAAAAGACAAACAAGCTAACATGAGAAGCAGCAATTCACAGAGGAGGAATCTTGCATGGCCAGTAAATGTGTGAAAAAGAGCACATCCTGCTCTGTAAGCAGAACAATGCAGATTGAAACAATAAGATATAGAACCACCAGAGGAGCAAAATAATATCAAGTGTTGTCAAGAATGTGTACAAACACAAGCTCTACAACTTATGGGAGTAGAAACTACATGACCACTTTGGAGAGGAATTTGATAATGCTTAAAATATTTGAAGATGTTCATCCTACATCCCAACATCCAGTGCTTTGAGAAATATACTCCAGAGAAGCTCTTGACCATGTACATTTGGATTCAGATAAAAAGATGTCGAATTTTGGCATTGTTTGAAACTGAAAAAATTTGAAATCAATTGTCAACTGAAGAATGAATAAACATATTATAGTACATTCTAACAATGGAATACTACACAGCTGTCAAAAGGAATGGGTAAATCTACATAGTGCTGAAGGTTGCACAACAATATGAATGTCCTTAAAATGTCACTGATCTGTACACTTAAAAATGGTTAAAATTATAAATTTTATGTTATACATATTTTACAACAATAAAAATTTTTTTAAATGATCCTTGAATAAATGGCTGATTCAAGATCTGAGGCAAGGAAAATACAAGATGAGATGGAGTATCTTGTAGTACCAGAAAGTAAGGAAGCAGTAAAAAATGTAAAAAGATGAGGTACTGTCAAAGAGACAGGAGTTAACTTGAAACAGTTCCTGGTTGCAAAAGCTGAAATAATTCAGGCAATGAGACAAACATCATGGTACTGGATTATAACTCAAAGTATAAATAAATATCCATGAGTCTCCGCTGATATAAATAAATGATTGAGTAAATAAATAAGTGGGGGAAATAGACAAATCTGCCTTATAGAAGAATTTTATTTAATACACATTGATACGCCCCTCTCCAGAAGGTGAAGTTTAAAAGTCCCACCCCTTAAGTATGGGCTAGATTTAGTTACTTGCTTCCAAGCAATAGAGAATGGAAAGGTGGAAAAGAATAACTTTACAACGGAGAAATCTGGCAGATTCACCTTAACCAAGTGATGAAGGTTAACATCATCAGGGAAGTCATGTTGGCATCATGTCTACCCTGATAGGATGAGATGAGAAGGACAATTAATCTCTATGGTATTCTTTCCAAAAACCCATCACCCCAGTGTCATCAGGAGCAAATATCAGACACACCCAGATTAGGGGACATTCTGGCAGATACCTGGACAATACTTCCTCAACCCTGTCCCAGGTCATGAAAAGCAAAGGAAAAAGACTGAGAAACAACCAAGAAGAGACTGGGGAGAGAAGTAAATGCAATAAGGTGCTCTCATTGGACCCTGGAACAGAAAGAAGACACTGACAGAAAAACTAGAAAAATTCTAATGAAGTCTGGAATTTAATTAATAATATTTTACCAACGTTGGTTTCGTTGTGTCTCCGTTTTGACCATAAACTGTGTTAATATACGATGTTATGAATAAGAAAACTGAGTGAAGCATTGATGGCAACTCTTTGTACTGTCTGCTTGACTTTTCTGTAAATGTAATTGCCAAATCAGAAAGTTTTAGATGTTTAAAATAAAGTGAATAAGCTAAAAACAAAGGGACACAGTATTATTCCATTTTTTTGTAAATATCTAAAACACTCAAAAATACTATTTTTTATTAAGGGGTATATACTCAAGTAGTGAAAATATAAAAACTGAAAAATGAAATAAAAGCATAAAAGGGGTAATACAAACTAGCTTCAGGAGACTGGTCATCTCTGGAGAAAAGGAGGGCATTTGACTGGGGTGTAAAACTGCCAATTTTTAAAAATATGCTAAGAGCTGTCAAAATGGGTTTGATAAGTTTATGAGTATTTACTATTCTCTATACTTTCCTGAATACATAAAGCTCCCCATAATTTATAAATAAATATTTATACAGCCAAAAGGGGGAGGAAAAGGGAAACTCCAGAAGCAGATGGACTGGTGTGAATCGTGAGCCTGTCATGTAGTTGCTATATAACCTTTCTAAGCCTCAGTTCCCTCATCCATTAAATGGGGGATAATAGTTGCCATATTGCTATCGCTATGTGGATTCAATGAGATGATATAAGAAAAGTTCTTAGCATAATGACTTGCACGGTCAGCACACACAGTACATACTAGCCAGCATACTTATTTTTGGTGCCCTTAAACCTTGAAGTATTTTGACTCTGGGAGCCAGACTTCATCTCTTACTTTTCCTAATGTTATGCCCTTACTTGTCTCTCCCTACATATATTAGTCTCAATTGCTGTTTTTAGGGGATATTTATTTACGCCTTCATTTTATGTGTGTGTGTGTGTTTCATTATATATGTATTTCATTATATACAAATTATATTATATTTTATAATATATATATATTTCTTTAACAAATATGTGAGCTTCTTCTATGTGCAAGGCAACATCCTGGGTTTGGAGGATACATAGATAATAGACCAAATTTGCAAATAATAGAAATATGCCTATCAGGAAAGAGGGAATGCAGAGGGTAATTGAATCACAGAGTGGGGTAATTCCACTCAACCTTGAGGAGAAAGGAATGCTTTCCTAGTGCAGAAATAGCTGAGCCAAGTCTTAAGCAAGGAGTAAAAATTACCTAAGTGAAAAAAAGTGAGGTTTTTTGGTGCAAACCAAAGACCACAAACTTTGGGATCCCTGAAATGTAGAATAGAGTTGGAGAGTATGGGGGGACAGGAGCACAGGGATCAGGAAATAAAAGTGGATTATAAGCCAGAGCTAGATCACAAAAGATCCCGAATGCCAGGCTACAATATTTTTAAACTTAATCCTAAGGGCATGGGGAAGCTCTGAAGGATTCAAGTGAAGAAATGAGTTGACCAGACTGGGGAAAAGAGCGTGGAATATATTAAGGCTGTGAATTGGAAGACTGGTGGTTCTATTGATAGATTCACAGCCAGAAACAAAAGAGTGGAACATTTTTCTTTACTTCATACCCTTTCACTCCACCACTCCCATGAGTCTCCTGAGGAGGCAGAACACATGGGGAACAGTGTGACAATGGATCTCAGGTTTATCAATACTTTGTCAGTAGCAGCACAGGGGCCCTAATCTCCATGATAAAGACAGGTTTAGAGCATGAGTCCACCACTCCAGGCGTGAGCGAGTCCTATGACTCTCCCTGGCTCTGTGGGTTCAAGAAGAAGGAAGTGTCATATGTTGTCCAACCCGTTCTCATGGGCTGAACTTTGGCAGGATGCAAGAAAAAGAGGACGCAGCCTGGATACAGAGACGCCATCCTCATCCCCTAGTGGAGTGAGGCCCATTGTCTGTCTTGGATGCGGAGGTTGGGTGTCCTTCCAAGGGGCTAATGCAAAGTGAGGGAGATCTAATTGTTTCTTATCTTTTTACTGTGTGATCACTCTCCTGCCCTGCCCTGAACCCCATCTCAATTTGCCAAGGAAATTCACTTTGCAGAATGTGTGTTTCTGAAAATACTTGGCCTTATCTATTTTTCTACAAAGAATCCTAATGGTATTCCTTAGGAAGAGTTTAGGTATCTAAAGTTATGCGAGGGCGGAGGATGTCTTTAAGTGTGTTTGCATTTGCTTGCATAAAGGCAACACACTGACAAACAAAACATTCTTCCATGTTTAAAGGGCTTGGAGGTGGGAGCAGAGATGGGGTGGTAGGCAGAGACAGGCTTGGAGTGTGGAGAAGGGAGTCTGTTTCTCCTCCTATGGAATGCAGCTGACTATAGAAGTAATGGGCTTTTGGAAAGGTTAGCATTGCTCCTTACAGAAGCCACAGACTCGCCTTGCTATGCACCATCCCCATCTCTCCCCGCCAAATGTCTTCCAGACTTTTCCTGTACAATCCAGGAAGCACCAGAAAAGAGAGACATCACAGCTTCCACAAGCAATACAAAATTAACCTGCTTTTCAGTCAAGGGAGAATGAACCTCCAAACAAACAAACAAAAAAGCCCTGGGGTTGGGGAGGAATTTTCAAATATATATGCATCCCCTTCCCTCCACTGAAGATTTTTCTGTCATTTACATGAACTAAACAGGGTCCACCTGCCTTGGATGCTCACCACCTGCTTTTGTGTCCAATCGGGCACCGGATCCAAGTCTTTCTCCAAAGCCCGCTCCCCACCTTTGTTTTTTTTATATACCTCTTTAAAAAAAATACCCTTTGAGTATGGTTATTTTATCTGGGGTCAGTGCTCAGTCAACTGTTAAATAAATTGCAAATTCTACAAAACACAGCCAGCAGAGCCATTTCTAACTGTAATGCCACAACTTTGAGCAAAATTACATCTGGCCACAATACTATTCATATGCATAAATTATACCGCCTCTGATTATCTTAAAGTAAATTCAGCCATTAAACTTATTTTATAGGCACAGAACCAGGGGGAGCACCAGGAAGACTCTGCATCTCCTAAAAGTCACGGGGAAAGCAGAAAGAAACAAAAACATAATTGGCAAACCTTATCCGCCTACAGTTCTGTCTAATGGGCTCTGTCTCTCCTGATTTTCCATCACCACCCACCACTGTCATACACGCCACAGCAGGGGAAAGGAGAAGGGGATGGCACTAAGCTGCATGTGGTTAGGACAGATTAAGGATGCATTCTAGCTCTGCACGTGTCCCCAGAGGGGAAAGGCTCTCTGGGTGTACCTCAATGGGAAATTCAGATTTAGTGCAGACATAAATCTAAACCTTGCCCAGGAGAATGGACAAGATGGTTTCTGAGGCTGATGTAGAATCTATTTGCAGTATTAGTCCAAAATGTGTCCTAGCTTATGCTATGGAATTGCCTTTCTCAGCTACATCATTTTAATCATAACAGGAAAAATAAGAGTAATCGGTAAATGCTTACCGATTGGGTTACATGTGGCACATAAGCAATTGGTGATTGCTTATGTGCCACATGTATCCCATTCAACCAAAAGAATAACCCCAATGAAGTGGGAATTTCTTTATTTTATTTCACACTAAGTTCCAGGATATAAGGGCAGGACACGTAGGTTTGTTACATAGGTATACGTGTGCCATGGTGGTTAGCTGCACCTATCAACCTGTCATCTAGGTTTTGAGGCCCACATAGATTAGCTATTTGTCTTATGCTCTCCTTCTCCTCGCTCCCCCATCCCCTGACTGGCCCCACTGTGTGTTTTTCCCCTCCCTCTGACCATGTGTTCTTATTGTTCAACTCCCACTTATGAGTGAGAACAAGAGGTGTTTGGTTTTCTGTTCCTGTGTTAGTTTGCTGAGGATGATGGCTTCTGGCTTCATCCATGTTCCTGCAAAGAACATGATCTCATTCCTTGTTATGGCTGCATGGTATTCTCCGGTGTATATGTACCACATTTTCTTTATCCAGCCTATCATTGATGGGCATTTGGGTTGGTGCCATGTCTTTGCTATGGTAAATAGTGCTGCAATAAACATACATATGCATGTGTCTTTATAGTAGAATGATTTATAGTCCTTTGGGTATATACCCAGTAATGGGATTGCTAGGTCAAATGGTATTTCTGGTTCTAGATCTTTGAGGAATCACCATGCTGTCTTCCACAATGGTTGAACTAATTTACATTCTGAGGTGGGAATTTCTATCATACATCTCTTCTACATGAGGAAACTGAGGAGCAGAGAAATTAAGTTACTTTCTCAAGCACACAGATTTAGGAAATGGTAAAACTGGGACTGGAACCCAGACAGTCTGACTCTAGAGCTTGTGATCTTAACCACCATGTTGCTCTTCCATCTGGATTATTAAGGTGTTAGAGTTCTGAGCTGTCAGCAGAGGTCATCATTTAACCATGAACCTCAATCATTGATATTTTTTTTTCTGGGATTTGAGATTGAGTTAGGGGTAGACAGCTGAACTTGGAAATCGGATTATTTTTTCTCGGTATTTGAAGTAGGACACCTTCCCCTAGGTAGTTGGCAGTGGGTGCCACTTTGAGACAATCACAATGGGTCATGTTAATGGAGCAGAAACAGAGATGGTTAATCACCCAGGAAGGGAGAATAAAGTAGATGAAATCGATAAAAAATGATGATAGTAGAAAGAGATTGTGATTCAGCACCTTGGTTCCAGCATAGCTTTTCCCAGAGTCAATAAGTTCTTACTAAAACATGGCAGCACTTGCTGTCCTTTAATTCTGTGCACAGAAGACCCTTAATCATCATAATTTGTGACAATGTTTGTTTACTGGAGCTCACTCAGTGGGTTTTGTACAATCAAATCAAGCCTAAGTTCTTGCTATGTACCAGGCACTGTGCTTGATGGCACTGTATTTGATGGCATTAGTTCATGTAACCCTCAGGAACCCTACAAAGGTGTATCTTGTCATTGTCCCCATTTCTAAGATGAGGAAGTTCAGCTGGATAAAGTAACTCACCTAAAGTGCTAGAGTGGCAAAGCCTAAATTTGAAGCCAAGCAGAGAGGCGCCAAAGCCTGTGCCTTAAACTCCGTACTTCTCCCTACCTGCCATTTGCCCCTCTCTCTGGTCTCTGCTGTGCAGAAGAAAAGGTAGTCCTTAGTCCTTATTTTATACCTGTCAGTTGCCTCACCCAATGCACCCCTCTACCCTCTGCCACCCACCTTCCTCTGCCTCTGTCTCTCTCCCACTCTTCAAGAATATTAAAGATGATAAATCTAAGTTGAAAACATGCATTTTTTGTGTGAGACTGTAGACTTTATCCCTTTTTGTGGAGACAGACACGACAATTTATAAACTCTAACGGAGCTCTGATGGAATGGAAAGAGGCCTTTTCAACCCACCTCGTGGTGGACAGCTTATCACCCCTTTTTCTGACCTCTAGTATGTGATTTAGGAGAAAATAGAGTCAGGAGGGGGGAGCCCTCTAGTGAGTGATTAGAAAAACTCTCCCACAAATTCTGTAAGCAGTGGATTAGATCCTATCAGCCCTCATCTGCCCCTCCCCATGCTTCACTCCAGGTAGTGCGTCCTGGGTGAGGGAAGGCTAAGACTGTCAATTTGTTAGTTGAAAACAGTTTGAAAATCCATTTCTCCCTGTGAAATGTGTCAGCCACAGAGAATTATCTTTTTCCTTTGACGTTGCTTTATGTATGTCCTTTAAGATAACAATGAAAAAGGCTCCAGGAGGCGGAGGTTGGGTGTTCTTCCAAGGTGCTAATGCAAAGTGAGGAAGAACTGTTTCTTATTTTTTCACTGCTTGATCACTCTCCTGCCCTGCCCTGAACCCCATCCCAATTTGCCAATGGGATTCACTTTACAGAATGAGTGTTTCTGAAAATACTTGGCCTTATTTATTTTTCTACAAACATTCCTAATGGTATTCCTCAGGAAGGGTTTAGGTATCTGAAGTTATGCCAGAGTGGAGGATGTCTTTAAGGGTGTTTGCATTGGCTTGCACGAAGGGAATGCATTGAGATACTCCCCATAGCTTAATACTCAACAAATAACAACAATAATAACTCTATGGGCCGGACACAGTCCTGGCTGTTTCACATCTATCGCCTCTCAATTGAAACCTCTTCACCAGGGTGTGGGTATCATCTCTGTCCTGGAAGAAACACTGGAGCCAATAAGCCAGTCATGAATGGACACTCAGTCTAGTGGCTGATAAATGCCGTGTCTCTACTTTTCTGTCAAAGCTCCTTTGAGTCCTTAGGAAATCAGTCTGCAAGGGGTATCCCATTTGCCCCTTTCTTTTTCCCCCTTTTTCTATCTCCAGGCCAAGATACTGACTACTTCACTATCATATCCCAAGAGATCAAAGCTGGGGAGGGCTTTATTCCAAGGAGGTGGTTCTTGTTAGAAATGGAGCTTCTCAAAGTCATCTGTGGGAGTATGGTTGGGTCTTTCAGATTCTTCACAGGCGAGATGCTATTAGCAAACAAAGTTTCATCTTTTTAGAGCTAACCACCTCTCATAACTTGGCTTCATGCATTATAATGCTAAAAGATCTTTCCTCCTCCCCACCAATTTGTCAGGAATAAAGCAATTTTGTGTGTATATATGATTAGGTGCCATTTGTATCCCCCTTGTTTGCAGAGGAGGAAACTGCAGCTCAGAGAGGTTAGAGGAGTTGTCCCCCAGGCTATTAGACTCCAAAGTACAGCACCTAGCAACATATTCATTTATTCCACACACATTAAGTACCTACTATCTACTGTCCTTTGTGTCTGGGATACAATGGATAGTTTGTGTTTGTTTGTTTTCTGTTTTTTTTTAGACAGAGTCTCACTCTGTCACTGGAGTGCAATGGTGCAATCTCAACTCACTGCAAACTCCATCTCCCCGGTTCTAGCAATTCTCCTGCCTCAGCCTCCTGAGTAGCTGGGACTACAGGCAAGCACCACCACGCCCAGCTAATTTGTGTATTTTTAGTAGACATGGGGTTTCACCATGTTGGCCAGATGGTCTCGATCTCTTGACCTTGTGATCCACCCACCTCGGCCTCCCAAAGTGCTGGCATTACAGGCGTAAGCTACTGTGCCCAGCCCAGTGGATAGTTTTTAAATGGTCCTAATTCTCAAAGTGCCTGCAGATGAATAGAAGGCTCGAGTAACCACAGAACAATTGATCTTAAAAGTCTATTGAATGGGCAGGGCACAGTGGCTCACCCCTGTAATCCGAGAACTTTGGGAGGTTGAGGTGGGTGGATCACCTGAGGTCAGGAGTTCGAGACCAGCCTGACCACCATGGTGAAACCCCATCTCTACTAAAAAATACAAATTTAGCGGGGCATGGTGGTGCATGCCAGTAATCTCAGCTACTCGGGAGGCTGAGGCAGAAGAATCGCTTGAACCCCAGAGGCGAAGCTTCTAATGAGCTGCAATGGCGCCGTGGCACTCAAGCCTGGGCAACAAGAGTAAAACTCAGTCTCAAAAAAAAAAAAGTCTATTGAATAAAGAATGAATGGATGAGCAAATTCTATGATAGGAGTGTGTTGGAGGTGCACTGAGAGCAAAGAGAGAGGAGTATAGCACTGACCATATAGCCAGGATCAGTAAATGCTGTTCTCTTTTCTCCCTCCCACCTCCCCATTTAATGAATAAGGCTTGAATGACTTGCGCAAGGTCACAGGTGTACTGAGTGACTTTCCCACCACCCTGGGGCTCTTTCCTGTGTTTACCACTCCGTCTTCCCAGTCTTGAAAAAGCTTTAGGGCCTTTGCTTCCAAACTGATGATAAAGAAGAGCCCACGCTAATCCCAGGGAACAATTTCTATTGACAGAGAGTTCGCCTTATAACCAGAGGAGTCAAGGAAATAAATTAAAAAGCAAAGACACCACTTAAGAAAATGGTGAGATCAGCCAGGCTGATCAGAGCAGCAGTGATATGATGAGTGGTGTCAGTTCAGCACTGTGAGAGCAAGAGGGGCCTTGAAATCTGCAGATAACAGCACAGGACGAGGCCTTTCTAGCAGCAGTGGGGAATACCAGGCCAGCCAAAGCCTAAGGCGTGCAAGGTGGTAGAGAAGAGGGACCCGCAGCTGTACGGAATCCACCTGCATCTCCCAAGCGCTTTTTCCTGCTGCTGCAGGTAGGAATAGAGCGGCCAGGAATTCAGAGTATTGACTCTACTCCCAGCCTCAAATCTGTCCTCTCTGCCCCTCTCCCTGGTGTCTTGTAAGTACTGAATAGAGCAAGTGACCCCAAAAGGCCAAAGGCCCACTCTTTTTCTTTATTCCATTCAGTCCCATACTGGATACCCACCACTCCTGATAGTATCCATAAACACAGATATCATTCTCTGGGACCTTATCAACAGCATCCAAACTGGTCTTCCTGCTCCTACATCTACCCTTCCGCAAAGAACTTCACATGGAGAAACTATTTCCAGAATCATCTTTTTAAAACCCTCTGTATTAGTCTGTTTTCACACTGCTATAAAGAATACTACCTGAGACTGTAATTATAAAGGAAAGAGGTTTAATTGACTCACAGTTCTGCAGGCTTAACAGGAAGCATGGCTAGGGGGCCTCAGGAAACTTACAATCATGGCAGAAAGTGAAGGGGAAGCAGGCATCTTCTTAAATGGCGACAGGCAGGCAAGCAAGAGAGTGAAGGAGGAAGCGCCAGACACTTATCAAACAACCAGATCTCATTAGACTCACTCACCATCATGAGAACAGCATGGGGAAACTCACTCCATGATCCAATTACTTTCCAACAGGTCCCTCCCACAACACGTGGGGATTACAGTTCAAGATGAGATGTGGGTGGGGACACAGAACCAAACTATACTAGTCCATTTTCATACTGCTAATAAAGACATACCCGAGACTGGGTAATTTATTTTAATGGATTCACAGTTCCACGTGGCTGAGGAGGCTTCATAATGATGATAGAAGACAAGGAGGACCAAGTCACGTCTTACACAGTGGCAGGGAAGAGAGAGCTTGTGCAGGGGAACTCCCGCCCCCATGATTCAATTACCGTCCACTGGGTCCCTCTCATGACAGGTGGGAATTGTGGGAGCTACAATTCAAGATGAGATCTGGGTGGGGACACAGACGCAGACTATACACCCTCCCTATTTAGAATCCTTCCTGGCTCCCCATGGACCTCTGGGTAACCCCTAGTCCTTTACCACAGGCCTATCCTTCATATTCCTCTACCTACCTCTCCAGACTCATCTCTTCCCTCTTTCTCTCCTGAAGTTTAAACCCTAGGCCCAACTTAACCTCGTTTAGTTCCCCTAACTTTTCCATCTGTTTGGAACAATCATCCAAACCCTCTGATTCCCTCTACACCCCCAAACTGAGCCCACACACTTACAAATCTCATTTCCCTGCTGACTCCTACTCACCCTTATGGTATCAGCAATTAAATGTCACCTCCTTCAAGGAGGACTCCCTACATTCCCATCCAGCCCTCAACCTGGATGAATTGCACCTCCTGGGAGCTCCCAAGGCACTCTGCATTTATTTCAGTTAAAGTATTCAGCAAAGTGCAACATCATTAGTAGTTGACTCATGTCTCCGCCAACTAAAGGGCAGGAACAAGGTGTCGCTCACCATTTTGTCTTACCACATTCATTCACGATCATATATTTGCACAATAATTACTTAGCACTTACTATGCCAGAACCCCATTCTAGGTCTAAGGAATATAGAAGTAAGATAGACACAGACTTAGTAGACCCTCAATAAGTACCTGTTGGGTCCCACTTTTTTTTTCTTTTTTAGAAAATATCTAGTGTAACCTCATTGTCCAGAAGGAAAAGCAGAAGCTCAGCAAATAGGACTCACAAGCTCAGATGTATGTGATGTGGCTGCCTCCAGAATCCAGGCCACCTGACCAAATCCAAAGGTTTCTCCGTAATGCAAAGCTCATCCATATCTCCAAAGACCAGACCAACACTGAGCTCCCTCTAAAACAGTGGTGGGAGGTTCAGGGAGGTCTCTCTGGCTGCAGTGACCTGATGTGATTACTCCTCTGATTGTTCTAAGCATCTCCCACTGTGTGTTTCCACATCAGTGACTCCATGAGTGACCTTGAGCAAATCGCTTACCCCTGCTGTGTCCTGTTGTTTCATCAACAGAGCAAAGTCTCATGTGAAGATCAAAGGATGTCATGACTGGAAAATCTACTGAAAAGAGTGAAAGGGATTCATGCTTTCTGAATCCACTTGGGCAGCTCCCACTGATTTAAACAAGGATATACAATAGGCAAATTAAGCTGGGCGCAGTGGCTCTTGCCTGTAATCCCAGCACTTTGGGAGGCAGAGGGGAGCGGATCTCGTGAAGTCAGGAGTTCAGGACCAGCCTGATCAACATGGTGAAACCCTGTCTCTACTAAAAATACAAAAATTAGCCGGGCGTGGTGGCAGATGCCTGTAATCCCAGCTACTCAGGAGGCTGAGGCAGGAGAATCACCTGAACCTGGGAGGTGGAGGTTGCAATGAACCAAGATTGTGCCACTGCACTCGAGCCTGGGCGACAGAGCAAGACTCTGTCGCAAAAAAAAAAAAACAAAAAATAAAAAATACACAAATTACCCAAGCCCTGAAGGCATGTTCACTTCCACTGTCCGCCATCTTTGGAGCGAAGGCGTCACCCTAATGGTGAAAAACCGGGGCTTGGAGTCAAATGACTGAGTCCCAATCCTGACTATGTTCTTTCTACACATGTAACCTCCTTGGGTTACTATACCTCCCTATGTACCAATTTCTTAATTAGGAAATAGGGATGATGACAATAGTGTGTAGGGTATGAGGTTGCTGTGAGATGACAGGAATAAAGAACTTAGCATAGTGCAGGGTGCTATGAACTACTGAATTCATCTTAATTGTCCAATCATTCCTTCATTCAATATTTATCTACCACTTACTGTGTATCAAAAACTGTTCTAGGTATGAGGAAAAGAGAGGTGAGCAAGACAGCCATAGCTCTACTCAGCAACTTATAATCTACTGAAGAGAAAAAATACCACAAAATTAACTCCACAAAATAGTATAAATTAAAATTCTGCTAGGTGACAAAAGAAAAATACAATCAGCTAGGAGAATGCAGAGTTGGATATACGATGGACTTGGAGAGATTGACAGGAGAAATAAAGTGCACCGTCCTTAAAATACTGCAGAAGTACAAATGTGTAAGAGACATCAATATGGGCAGGTAGGAAAGCGAAGGGAAAATAAGAACTTTATTAGACACCTTCTACAAGGCAGGCACTGAGCTAAGCATATTGAAAAAGTATCTTATTTAACCCTCACCTCTATCCCATAAGGTGATATTATCATCATTTTCCAGATGAGTAAACTGAGGCTCACCCAATAAGCATTTTTTTTCCTATGGTCATATGTCCTGTATGTGGTAGAATCACAATTTGGACCCAAGTCTGTTGTTTTTTTAATGCTTGCTGTATTCCAGTTTCTGCAGTTCAGAAACACAATAAAACTTACCTGAAAAATAACTAGGAGATCAGTCTGAATGGAGTAGACGATATTTATAGGAAATAGTAAAAATAATGGGGAATGCAATGCTTGGTGTCATACTGTGAAAGTCAGGCTAAGGGGTTTAAGTTTTTCTACACGTAATTGGGTGGGAATCATTAAAGGTTTTTGAAGATGAGTATCCGATAACCCCCATTCCACATCACAAAAGTATTGCAGAGATAGCCTGATGACTAAACCCTAGAACTTAGCTTTATCCCCAAAGTATACGTGGAACCAATTAAATAAGAAACTGAGAGCATATGGTTGGATTATGAGGATTCTAAAATAAAATAAAAATTATTTTCCTCCTTTCAAACAGGGTACTGAACTCAGCCATTCGTTCCTAAATAAAGTACCTCCTGCTGATAGGTTTTGCAGACAAGGAAAAGGGAGCTTTGCACAGAATATCTGAAGAGGTGTTGATTAGTCTTGAACACTGGGCTCTGCAACCTCCCTGGCCAGTTATACATCACTATGGGAGACACAAAGCTTGCCTAAGGCTCTGAATGCTAGAGCTGCTTGTCAGAAATGCTTTGGCAAGATATATATGACTTTTCATTTGCAAGAGGTAAAGTGTGTGTATGTGTGCATATGTAATATGTTGGGGGAAGGATTTACAGTTCAGAATTCCAGGCTGGGAAACCGTGTGAATTTCTATGCGTAAATCTACCAGCTGTTTCACAGGAGTTGTTTCTTGGGGGATCAACAGGTGATTTTATTATGTTTTTGTCCTTTCAGAAGCCCTAGTCATCAGCCAAAAGTTAGTGTCCAACAAAGGATGGAGGTAAAGAGAGAACATGTAATGAGCATCAGCTCTATAAAAGGCTCTGTCCTTGGTATTTTGCATACATCCTTTAATTAAGTAAATCACCTTATGATGTGAGTGTTTATTCACAAACAAAGTCTGTTTCTGGGATTCTGAGAAAGACAAGCCAGCTTCCCTGCTTTGGACAGGAACAAGGGCGGGTTGTGCCGATTGCTGCTGTCAGCCTTCTGTGGCTATGAACCAGCTTTGGGATGAGTGAAGGCTGAGCAAAGTGGAGAGGAAGAGAATCAGGGGTCTCCATGCCACGGGTCAGTGTCTTAATCAACCAGCCCTATATCCTGGCCTTTCTTTTGATTTCCAGTTAAGTGAGATGATAAATGTATGTAACATGTAAGCCAGTTTGAGGTCATTTTCTGTTACTTGCAGCTGAAAGCATTCTTCTAATGTAATAGATAAAAGGTGTGAAATTAACAGGAGACTTTCACCTTTATGAAAACCAGAGCTTCTCAATCTTGGCACTATTGGCATTATGGGCTAGATATTTCTTTTTTTTTTTTTTTTGTTGGGGTGGGACCGGTGCTGTGATATGCATTGTAAGGTGTTCAATTGCATCCCTGACTTGTATCCCCTAGATGCCAGTGACACCCTCTCCCCTAGTTGTGATAACCAAATATGTCTCCATATATTGCTAAGTGTCCCTGAAGGATAAAATTGTCCCCCATGAAGAGCCACTGATGAAAACCAAACTTTTAGTCCTTCATTAGTTAGATAATTTTAAAGAGATAATGTTTTTAATCAACCAGGCACCAGCAAGCATCTGTAGGACACTCAGCCTGTGCTTAGTAAAGGCCAGTCACAAATGTTACTTGTATAATGATCCTTATAATCATCAAAGAAAGATGCACTATGTCACTCGAACCTAATTAAATATGCTTATGGGCTTGGAATTGTTTTACACATTGCAAGGCATTTGGTAAACTACAAAGCTCTTTGTAATAATAAGAGGGCATTATAAAATGTCAAATACTTTTAAGATGATAAAGTGGCTTATTCAAAGAAATGGGTAAGCCACAAAAGGCTGTGTAAACTGTTAAGTACTTTGGAAAGAGGACAGCATCTTTTAAACTAATATAATAAGGTATATTGTAAACTGTGTTTGTAAACTATAAAGTGCTTTGTGAAACGGAAAGTACTTTGTAAATTACAAAGAAAAAGCTAAGATGGAGCACTTCAGATTGGTGTCACTCAGATGGAAAATGAATGCAGGCATTTTAGAAAGATTTTCAACTTAGGAATAAAGGCACCCTTCTTTTTTATAGCACCAAGAAAGACCAAAAAACAAAATTTAATTAGCCAGAAAGTTCTTTCCTCAAAACATTTACTTAGTTCTTTCACTTTTGTAGCAGATGAGTCATATCAGTCATACCCAGGTATTGGACGATTCAGACATTATGTTTTCGCATTGTTTCATTTGGAAAAGGACCGACCCTATAGGCCTTTCTGGAATGTGGGATTGATAAACACTAATCAATACTCCCTTAGCAAGTGGTGCATGCCTCTTTTCATTCCAAATTTCTGGAGATAAATATTTGGATTATAACTCTCATCTGAATGTTTGAAGCTGCTCCCAGCACTCTATTGTCCTTTTCATTTTTCTGTCTTAGCCAAGCAGGGGAATGTACCTGTTGAGATTCAGCCATTATGCCTTTGGAACCTGGCATTTTTCAGGAGGAGCCATGCACCACTATCACGGGGGCAAAGAGCACTAGGCAAGGCTGGCAGAGTATTCTCATAGCCTCAGTTAATTGTTTTAGGAGCAGGTCAGTCACACCACCGTGGGTATTCAAACTGGAAGGAACCTTACAAAGAACTCAGTCTAGTAATTTCCATAGTATGTTCCCTGAGGCCCTAGAGTTCTACCGAGTGAACTGAGGGTCCCCAGAAGGTGGGGGAAAACTAAACTAGAAGAAGCACTCTGTTTTCACTAGAGAAGTTCCTCTTTGATTTGTCCTGTATAATGCAATTTTATATAAAGTTTGGCCTGAAATGAAGTATTTTGCAGAAATAATTGGAAGGAAAATGTTGCTCGTTCAAATAAACTATTTTACAGATGAGGAAAGTGAAGCTCAGGGTTCTTACCTGTTTTGCCAAAGATTACACAGGTTTTAAAGATGTGAAGCTGGATTCTGGATCCCTAACTCTTGTCCAGCCTTCTCTCCAAAGCTGTTATCATTTTCCTGCTCTGCAAACCTTTGATGGAGTTGGTGAAGAGTCATGTTTTCACGGTCACTGCCTGGTCCAATACAACTAACAAACAAACTGGTGGCTTTGTGGTTGCCAAAGTTTTTCTTTCCTGTTGCTACTCCCCTTCTGTGTTGAAAGGCAAATTTGCCTAGGATATTTACAAAGCCTCATGGAAATATTCAGAATCGGCAAAAGACTCGTGTCCATATTTGGGGATGCTTCTCGAATTGTGGGATCCAGAGAGGATAGAAAATTTGTGTCCCAGGGAAGAAAAATAAGAGCAATACGTTGTCAGATTTGTGCAGCCTCACGGGGATCCACACCTGCCCCTATTCACTAGAGATTTTCATCCTGCCTCTGTGGCATGTGTTCAGCAAGTCAGGATATGTTTTAAATGGGTCTGCTGTCTTTCCACCAATCCAGTGACAGATATGAACGAATAATATAAATTCTCTACCCATTCCTTGGCATTTATTTCAATGTAAGTGTATTTTTTTCCCCAAGAATAAAGCCCAATAGTAATTTATCAAGAAACAAATCATTTTTTCTTGGCAGTGAAGTCTGCAAAATTCCCATTTTTAGGGCCTTAAATCTCCCTATTTTGACAGGAGTAAGAAAGCATTAGAAGCTTTGATTTCACTGGATCATACAAAATAGTTTCTCATAATTATCCTTTTGGATGATATATGTGTGTCTTTTCCCCCTTCTTATTAAACCCGAGGTCTCCATTTTTCAGCCAGCTGTATTACTAAATTAAATTGCCTTTTGTTGTATTCAAGTTAAGCACTTTGCCGAAAGCTTTTCTTGTTCAGGAAAATAACATTTACCCAATATGTGCCCATGTTTTAATGTTGGAATTTACTGTTCACGATTGTTTAGTTTGCCAGGTAATTTGAGGATATTGTTTGTTTTAATAGGAATAATGAATCACTGTAATTTAGTATAGTATCTTGAAGTACAGTATCAAGGAGGTAGGAAGGGGAATATTGAGGACCCATCACATGGAGAAAATGATTTTTCCCACTGCAAAAGCAGATGGGGAAAAGGTTAGAAAAAGTTACTGGAAGACATAAACGGCTGTGAGGATGTTCTATGGTCTTGCCTGCTTTTCTCAAGTGGAAAACAATCTAGGAACAGGGTGGGTTAGGGTTGAACTTGTCTAGTTTGCTGCTTGTCAAGGTTTTGGAGATCTTCGTAATGAAATTATCTCCTTCCCCTGCCTCCACTCAACAAATTGGGTTCTGTTCTGAAGTCTCTATTAATGTGGATTTAGAAGTCCTGAGTTCGAGCCCAGACACCACCATTTATGAGGACATGAGCTTGTCATTTCTTTTCTCAGGGTCTTAGTACCCGCATCATAAACTAAGGGTAATGATGGCAGCCATACTCATGCCACATGGTTCTTGTGAGAAACAGAATATGCATGTATGCAACCAAGAATGTAACCACTTAATGTGTTCACCTTACCTGCTGCGTAGACAGAGCCGATTCATCAAGACAAGGGAGTTACAATAGAGAAACAGTAATGCTTTTTGGTTCCATTATATTTTTAATGAAATAATAAAATTTTGGTGAGTAGTTAAGGGAACAAATTGAAATGTCTAATTACACCAATATCTCTAATACTAAACAAAAAGGCTAGAAGTGCTTCCCAAACTTGATTGTATACAAAAATAACCTAGGGCCTTCTCATTTTATTTACTTATTTTATGGAGATGGGGCCTGGTTCTGTCACCCAGGTTAGAGCACAATGGCATGATCATAGCTCACTAGAGCCTCAAACCCCTGAGCTCAAGCGATCCTCCCACCTCAGCCTCCCCAGTAGCTGAGAATACAGGTATGTACCACCACCATGCTGGGCAAATTAAAACAGTTTTTAGTAGAGATGAGTTCTCTCACTGTGTTGCCCAGGCTGGTCTCAAACTCCTAGCCCAAATTCAAGCTGAGCACGGTGTGTGGGAGACCAGAGTTTTGTTATTACTCAAATCTGTCTCCCTGAGCATTCAGGGATCAGAGTTTTTAAGGACAACTCGGTGGGTGAGGGGAAGGCAGTGAGCCAGGGGTGCTGATTGGTCAGGGATGAAGTCATAGAAAGTCAAAACTGTCTTCTTGCGCTGAGACTGTTCCTGGGTGGAGTCCACAAGATCAGATGAGCCAGTTTATCCATCTGGTTGGTGCCAGCTGATCCATCAAGTGCAGCGTCTGCAAAATATCTCAAGCACTGATCTTAGGAGCAGTTTAGGGAGGGTTAGAATCTTGTAGCCTCCAGCTGCATGACTCCTAAACCATGATTTCTAATCTAGTGGCTAATGTTAGTCCTACAAAGGCAATCTAGTCCCCAGGAAAGAAGGAGGTCGGCTTTGGGAAAGGGCTGTTATCATCTTTGTTTTAAACTATAAGCTGAGTTTCTCCCAAAGTTAGTTGAGCCTACGCCCCAGAAAGTACAAGACAGCTCGGAGGTTAGAAGCAAGATGGAGTCAATTAAGGTAGATCCCTTTCATTGTCTCAGTTATAATTTTGCAAAGGTGGTTTCAAGAGCGTCCACTTGAATGTAAGGGACCACCATTTTTTTCTTTTTTTCGACGGAGTCTCGCTCTGTTGCCTAGGCTGGAGTGCAGTGGCGTGATCTCGGCTCACTGCAACCTCCTCCCGAGTTCACGCCATTCTCCTGCCTCAGCCTCCTGAGTAGCTGAGAATACAGGTGACCACCACCACGCCTGGCTAATTTTTTGTGTTTTTGGTAGAGAAGGGGTTTCACCGTGTTAGCCAGGATGGTCTCGATCTCCTGACCTCGTGATCCGTCGCCTTGGCCTCCCAAAGTGCTGGGATTACAGGCGTGAGCCACTGGGCCTGGCCCATGATTTTTAACATTATTAGCCTCCATATCGGATACCCCCAAGGCAAGAGAGGAGGGCCTCTGTCTGAAGCCTCAGTTTCTTTATCTACATGTGTAAAGAAGAAGCTAAACTAGATGACTTCACATTTCCTCCACATTTGATTTGCTCTGACACAGTGATGGCATAAATTTCTTTAGGAAACTATTCTGATGATCAACTACCCTTGTCATCTCTCCTTCCTCTCCTGAGAATGTGTGGTCAGTACCTTTAGAACATTAGAAACGAATCGCTGTGTCTCAAAGATGCCCCAACAGTCTCCTGTGTGAGGGGAAAATGAGTCCCTTGGTATTCTTTGATTATTTGGCTCTCTGTCTTTATTGTGTGGGAGTCAGATGAACCTGGGTTCAAATTCCAGTTCTGCCACTTACTAGCTGATGAAACTGGGTAAATCAGTTAAGCCCTCTGAGGTTGAATGTGTTCTGTGATAAAAAAGATATGGACTTCTTAAGACTCCCAGACCTAGGGCATCAAGTTTAAATTAAGCTTTTTGAATTTATGTAAAATGCAAGCTCTCCACACTATGAGTCGTGGAATTTCATCTCTTTCTGCCTTTAAAGAAGCTCTTTAAAGAAGATGAGTCACTCAATGAATTCATGAGGCCTTAACATCAAAGATGTCTGCTTTGCGTGTAGAGCAGAAAAACTTAAGTAGTGGTCAAGATAATGGGATATGCAGTTTTAAAAAGAATACCTAATATTGAATCCTAGGTTTATTACAGTATGACAAAGACACCTCAACTTCTTAGTTCCATTTGTCTATTTTTAAATGGCTATAAATAGTAGGTATCTCATAGACTACTATGTGAACTACATGATGTAATATCTATAATTCTCCCAGCCTAGTGTAGCACCTGGTAGTCTCAATGAATGGTTACTACTAACAGGTGAAGCAAAGGCATGTAATAATTTACACTGGGCTTTGGAGCCAAGCAGGGCTGAGTCTGAATCTCACCTATGCTGTGGGACTAAGACAAATAACTTAGAATCACAGTTCCTTTTCTAAACCTAAAAAAAAGAAAATGACAATAATATGCTATCATGTGGATTTGTAAAGACTAAATGTGATAACACAAAACAAATGCTTACAATGGGCCATCCAGGGACTCTCTGATACTCTTTCTAGCCCAGAAGGCAAAGTGGGTTAAGGCTGTCAAGCCAGGGCCAGAGGCGCAGAGACTGGCTCTCACCTCCACCTGCAAAGAATAAGCTGAGGGCAAGAGTCATACGGGATCACTTCTGGAGGGAGCGCTGGGTCAACCATAGCAGGCTTTCTTTCAGCACAGTAGAAGAAAGGCAGAAAATCAATGGCCTATACTTCTACATCAAGAAGTCAGAAAAGGGAGAGGAAATTAAATACAAAAGAAGCAGAAGAAATTTAAAAAAAAAGAAAAAAATTAAGCAATCAGTAAAATAGAAAACATTAAAAAAAAGAAAATCAACACAACCCAAAATTGAGCTTTGAAAGAGATAATAAAAATGGATAATCCTCTAGCAAGTCCGATCAAGCATAAAAAGAAAACACAAATTATCAATATTAAGAATTTTAAAAGGGAAAACTAAATGAAAAACCAAAAACGAGAATCCAACATAAGACAAAAGAAACTCATTTACTTAATTTTTTAGAAAAAAAACTTTTAAAATCATGATTGGATTAAAGAAGGGCACATGAAAATCCATGGAATTGAATCAAATCACTAAAGAGAAAATATATAAACTTAAATGAATTTATTACGATAACAAAGAAGATTGAAAATAGTTTGAATAATTTCTAATTCAGGAAGGTAGAAAAAGAAGCAAAAAAGAGAAATCTTTTAGGAAATGTAAGAATAAAATGTTTTAAATTAAAAATTAATAAAATTGAAAACAAAAAAATTTTTTGATCATAAAAGTAAAAATGTTGGTTTTCTAAAAAGGCCACAGGCTAGGCAAGCATTTGGACCCTGACTCAGCAATAGAGGGAGAGATTTACAAAAGTAATCATGAAAAACAAAAAAAAGAAACCCTACACGCGTCTAAAGGGAAACAATATTAAGAGAATACTGCGAATAACTATACATAAACAAAATTTAAATATATAAAAGCATTTGCTTTAAAATTATAAATGACCAAGATTGCCCTAGAAGGAAAAAAAAATTAACAGCACAAAATTTAAGTAGCTGTCAAAGACCTACTCCTTAAAAATAAAGAAACAAACAAAACAAAGCAACAAACAAACAAAGCAACAACAACAAAAAAACACAAGGCCCTGTCAGTATTCAGGTCACTATTCTTTTCCCTTCAAAAATGCACATAAATTTCACATTCTGCTTCATAATAGAAACAGCTGATTAAACAGTTTGATTAGATGTAAAACGATCTTTTAAACGATTTAATTTATATACAATTAGTCATGCTTTAGAAAGATGTATTGAAGTTATTCTGGAGTCCTGCATAGCCTCAGCAAAACACCAATTCTCCTCCATGAACATGAAGACCCAGCATGATTATCATGACGTATAGAAGATATTGGGGACTTTCAGCCCCTCAAGCCTTGCTAAGTCCTCACTAAGTTTCCTAGAAGGGCATTCTGGTCTTCACACCACAAAGTATGCGTGCCAGGCATGTGAATTCACCTGTGCAGGACATGGTAAACAGAGCGGAGTCATGCTCCTGTTTGTCCTGATGAATCCAATAAATGGATGTTGATGCAACACTCTATATCAGCAAGGTGATTTTTAAAAAAGGACTGTTTCTCTAGAACTCTGCAGGAAGAGGTGCCCATTGACTCTCACCAGCATGAAACCCACATTGGGCATGCCAGCCTTCCACATCTCATTAGCAGGCTTGGCCAGTGCTGGGAAAGGTGTTTGATCAATGCTGTATGTGGTATTGTTCATGAATGTGGCTGGGTGTGCAAATGTGTGATTTCGTTTGCCATGTACAATGGAGGAGTGTGTGGGCACGTGGTGTATATCCATGTGTATTTATGTTGGTGCATGTATAACATGGTTTATGCATGTGTGTATTCATATGTATGCATGTAGTGTTCCTGTTTGTGTACGTGCACATGTGTGTGTTTGTAACAGGTGCACAGGCTTAGCAGAAGTCCAGTTATTCCAGATCAATGCTCAGCGGTCCCATCACTAACAGGGTGCCTGCCTTTCTTCCCGTCACTCTCTCAGGGGCTGTGGCTGTCTCTTTGTCCTGATGGTGATAGATAAGTCCTCCGAGAACATTTTTCACAGCCTCCGTGAAAGCAATGGAATAATCTGCACCAAACTGCGGGAAAAATGGGCTCCTCTTCACATACGGTGGTTTCCTCAAGCTGATAAGCTGGCACTCAGGGGTGTTGACTTAAAAATCAGCAGATTTTTATATTTCACGATGTGTTTGAGCTTTATCAATGTCTGCTCACCCTTTGTTCTTGAGGTTTTATTACACTTGCCATCAGTTCTGACAGCCTAAACAGAACATGATCCGGACAGTTTATTCTTTAAATGAATGATCCTTACATCTTCTGACATCCTTTTACATTCTCCCTGAAATGTGCTCTTCAACATCTGGCAGAGTCCGTTGTAGCTGCCAGAACTTTCTTAATTCAATAATCAAAACAGGTGCCAAAGAAGTAAATCTATGACTGTCAATTTTGCAAGTCCTGCTCTTCCTTTCCACCTACCTAAATTGTTTGAAAATGAATGTCAGCTCCCTGCTCAGCCTATTAGAGGCTTCAGGAAAAAAGGGGGAGGAGGACCCCCACCACCCCAACCGTGATGCTCAGAGAGAATATTTTAAAACTTCTTCTAGAAACGAAGCTTGGTTTTATTCTGTTTTTTGTTTAGAATGAACAAAGGTTAGGCAGGGCTCACAGAAGAAGTCCATTTTTATTTCCTACAAGACTGTGATTCTCAGGGCATGTTGGAAGATTTCCCTGCATCAGAATTACCTGAAAATCTTTAAAATTATATATTTCCCAGTCTTGACACAGATGCACTGATTCAAAACCTGGGGTGGGAGAGCAAAAATGTGCATTTTTAACCAGCCCCCTGGGTGATTCTAGACCTTGTAAAGTTTAAGGTCAACTGATCTAAACATTTTTACCCAAAAAAAAGAAATAAACAAAAATCTAAGAGGGGTCACTTACAAAAGGCAATTCAATTTAGTCTCTCCTTCTCTCCCCCTTTGAGGAATGTAAAACAGTCAAGTGAGTTGATTTAAAATGAGGATTGGGGGCCATAAAACTTTATTCAGCAAAGACAATAAATCCTGAAAAATAAATTCCAGTTTTATTTTATGTTCAGTTAGGGAGTGAGTGAAAGAAAAAGGGAAACGGTGAAGAAGGAAAGAAAAAAAGGAGAGAATAAGAACAGGGGAACTAGCTTTTTTGAATAATTTTTATGTAATAGAAATTACAGGCACTGTTCTAAACATTTTATATAGGTTATCAAGTTTTATCCAAGGATGAGAAAGAGAGAGACAGAAATGAGGAAAAATGGAGAAGAAAGATAGTATACGACAAACAGATATAGACAAAGAAAGGGACAGACAGAGAGAGAAAAACAAAGTTACAGAGTCAGAGAAAAATGCACAGAGATACCCAGAGAGATACAGAGAGAAAATGAGAACCACAGAGACACAGGGAAAAAGTTAAATACTGAATTCGTTTGCTAGGTCTGCCATAATAAAGATTCACAAACTGGTGGCTTAAACAACAGAAATTCATTTCGTCATAGTTCTGGAAGCTAGAAGGTGTTGGCAGGGTTGGTTTCTTCTGAGGCCCGTCTCCTTGGTTTGTAAATAGCCATATTCCCCTTGTGTCTCACATGTTCTTCCCCCTGTATATGCCTGTGTCCAAATTTTCTCCTCATCAGGACATCAGTTATATATTATCCGTGGAGGGTCTTGACTTCAAGTCATTCAGGTTCTTGGCATTTTGAACAAAGAATTGGACAAAACACACAAACAAAGCAATGAAAGCACAGATTTATTGAAATGAAAATACACTCTACAGAGTGGGAGCAGGCTTGAGCGAGCAGTGGTTACAGAATTTCCTGGGGTTGAAATACCCACTAGAAGTTTCCCATTGTTTACTTGCTTTGTACCCTATGTAAATGAAGAGGTGGCCCACAAAAGAAGTGGTAAAAGGCAACCAATCAGAGGCACAAGTGAAGTTACAAAGTTACACCTCTATGCAAATGAAAACTACGCCTGTCATCAGCAATTGGTTGCAAGAGGGGATGAATCAGAGATACTTTCCTTTTCTCATCTGCAATGCAGAAGGTGGAGGGGGGTGGTGCAATGGGGGAAACCTCTGTCCTCTTGTTACTGGGGCATGATTATATTTTATTTAGTTCTAGGAAGTCAATGTAGACTATTACAAAGAATAATGTAAAGCCTTAGGTTCTCTGCCTCCAGACCCTATAGTACTACCTGAGTACTGGATAAGAGCCCATCCCAGTGACCTCACTTTAATTTCATTAACTGTAAAAACCCTGTCTCCAAATACAGTCACATTCTGGGGTACTGAGGGTTAGAACGTTAGCATATGAATTTTGGAGAGCAAAATTTATTCCTTAACAGATACCAAGAAACAGAAGAAAAGATAGACCAAACTAAGGGATTGAGATAAGACTACTCAAAGAGGGAAAGATAGGAGGAGAGGCAGACCTGAAAGGAGAATCCTTGAATAAATTTTGAAGTCACTCTTAGTTGGGATCCCACTCTTTCGTCTGCTTAAGCAAAAGATTTCACAGTGTGAAACAATTTTGCTTCAAAGCAGTCCTAAAGAACTCCCTATTCTTTTGAAATTTACCTTCGAGTTATAATATTTTCAGTGATTTATAGGAGATTTCCTGTAGCACCACACACAATGAATATTTAGAGGTTTTTCAGACAGTGTGTAATAGGGCCACTAATATTATATTATTAATAAGCCTCCAGTGTAGAAAAAAAGAAAATCTGTACCTGTTTTCCATTTTCTAGAGTTAGAGGAAAAAGAACAATAACTGAAAATCCTAAGGAATTCTTCCACTTCCTAGACATGTAAGCACAAATTTGGAATGCTGGGTAGAAGACTCCCCAACAGGTAAGAAAGTGTCATGCAGTAATTATTAAACATTTATGTGTACAAGAATCTTCTGAGGAGTTTACTAGAAATGTAGTTTGGTGTTAGAAATCCTTAATGAATAAAAATACTGTAGTGTGTGTTATTCTGCATTTTTACTAGCAATCCAGGGTATTTGTACCAGTGGTCACCAAATAAAATGTTGAGAAACCCAAGATAAATAGAATGAAAAGGCAACCTACAAACTTTTTTAAAAATTGCAAACTATATGTTTCATAAAATGTTAATCTAAAGAATATACGAGAACCTCCTATAACTCAATAGGAAAAAAAAACCCAAAAACTAACAACCAGATTTTAGAATTAAGGACTTGAATAGACATTTGTCCGAAGAAGACAGACATACAAATAGCCAGCAGGTATATGAAAGGAGGTTCAGTGTGACTAATCGTTAGGAAAATGCAAATCAAAACCACAGTGAGAAACCTCACACCTTTCAGGATGACTATTAGAAAGAAAAAGATAAATGTTGGTGATAACATAGAGAAGTTGGAGTTCTTGCACACTGTTGGTTGGAATTCAAAATGGTACAACTGTGAAATGGTAGTTACAGGGCTGGCAAGAGGAATAAATGGGGGATTATTAATCAGCAGACACAGAGATTTCAGTCAAGCCAGGGGAAAAAGCTCTAGAAATCTGTTGAACAACATTCTACCTATAAACCTTAATACTTAACAATGAATACTTAAAAATGTAAGAGGGTAGATGTCCTGTTAAGTGTTCTTACCACAGTAAAATAAAATTAAACAAAAATAAATATAGGAATGCTGGAAAGGCTGAGAGCTTGGGGATTGGTCAGACTTTGACTCTGACAGTCATCATCCCTGTAACTCAGTGACTCCTGCTCAGTTCCTTATCTGCACCGTGGGGATATGGATGTGGCTCAAAGGACTGTTGAAATGATTATATAAAACTGAGTAAAACGAGGTGCTTAGCACACAGACACACAGTAAATACAAGACACTCTAAAATTCTAATAAATTAATGCACCTGCCCACTACAACCCTTGTTCAATCAGACATTTTATTTAAAACATATAATAAAATCGTATTACCTTTTTGTGCCCTAATGTAAATGCTGAAAAAAAAAACAATTTTTAAAAAATTATATGGCCTTCATTTTATACAGACCAAAAAAGAAAACCTCATGAGTGGAATTTTCCAAGACCAGAGTCCACTCTTCTAGTTGACATGTGAGTTGCTCTGAGCCATGTCCTCTCCCAGAATATCCACACATAGACCCATCCATGTCATGCAGGCAGACTGCATGTCCTCTCTGCTACTCACTTAGGACCATAGTTCATGATTTATTTTCTTTGTACTCCCAGGAAGTCAACCGGCAGTCTTTGGGATCCCTTCCTTGTCTCCATGTTGTGTTATGAATCAATATATTCATATTTGATTTAAAATTCATCGTGCTTGTGGCATTCTTCTAGTAATGCAGTGCTGCACAAGGAGTGGAATTATACTTCACTGTTCTTCTCTAAAGCACAGATTTCAGAATAATAGTTAAGGACTTTGAGAAACATCTCATGACACTAGGGTTCTGTGTTCAAATGTTCAAGAGAAGAGGATATTTAGAAAAGTTACAGTAGATTGGTGGAGTTTCATTCAAGTCACCAATTGTCAGGAAAATCACCAATGACACATTGCTACTCTCATTACTTTAAGTAGCTGTCACTATTGTCAGTATTTATTACCATTCCTACTATTATTGCTGCTACTATAGTAATAACTATTAATATTAGTAATCTCAAAAATAATAGTGAACATTAACATGTGCTTCCTACATGTCAAGCACTGCATTGATTGCTTTGTCCATATTCTCCTTGTTGAGTCCTCAAAATAAAATTAGGAACTGCTTCTATTTCTCTGATGGAAAATGGAGGGTGAAAGAAGGTGGATAACTTGACCGTAGGTCACAGAGCTAAGAAAGTGTTGGATTTCCAATCCAGGTTTGCCTGACTTCCATTGCACTAGCTCTCTTACAATGCCTGGAGTGGGAGCACCCTCTTTCACATTAAAAACTAGGCAGACTGTCATGTACTAGTAGTTGCACTTTTAGTGTCTGTCAGTTCAGAAGATTCACAGTCCCAGAAAGCTACTGTGAATTCTGAACATGTGTAAATGACTTTGCATTTTGCTAATCATAGCAACATCTGTATACACCTATCCACGTGGCATGTTTACTAGAGCCAAATCATCACTGTAATGGCTGCAGATGAATTCAGGGAAATGTTTCCATGATGCCAAAGCCTTCAGCTTCAAATGGGCAAAAGGATGCTGTAGCCAGGGATAGACTTTTTAAACTTTATTCAGGCATATTTGGCAATTAAAAATTGTATATATTTAAAGTGTACAATTTGATGATTTGATATGCATATACAAGCTAAATAACTTGTTTGTTACCTCAAATAGTTACCATTTCCATGTGAATGTCTCACACGCACACACACACAAGCACACACACTCTTAAGATCTACCCTTTTTGCAAATTTTAAGCATGCAGTAAAGTTTTGTTAACTGCAATCACTAGAATTCAGCTAATACAACTCCCCTGGTGCCATTGGAGCAGACTGAACCAGAGAGGTGAAGGCCATGAAATAAATTAATGGCAGAGAAGAGTCTGGAAGTCAGTCTCCTGATTCCTAATTCAACACTCTTTCTAGTATTATCACAAATGATCAAATCTTACATGCGTGTTTCAGGATCCTAACTACTCAGTGTCCTCTTCTGTGCCTGTCCCATGGGGTTGCTATGATTATTACTAAGGGCAGAGGTCAAAACAAAAGCTATAGCCCAAAGGCCAAATCCAGCCTGCCACCTGTTTCGTAAATGAAATTTTATTGGAACACAGCCACGCCCATCCACTTATAAGTTGTCTATGGCTGCTTTCCCACTACAATGTCAAGGTTGAGTAGTTGCTACAAAGACCAAGTGGCATCCGAAGCTGGAAATATTTTTGATTTAGCCCTTTGCAGAAAGTTTAATGAGCAGTGATGAAAGGTGCTGTGAGAAAAATTGCGTTTGCATCCCCTGATCTGCCAGCAAACACTCCAGAATGTGTGGGGACCTTGTTGCATTAGATATTTACAACAAAAAGGTATCCAGAATATCCAAAAACTTGTATGGAGGGGGAAGAAGAAGAATAAAAGTAACCTTTCTGAGAATGGAAAAGTGGGGTTTTCATGCTGCCAGAGTCCCCTGAAGAAAACTCTTGAGGGTCTTGGGAATCCGTAACACCCTCTGAAGAGAAATTGTTATCTTCTTCTCAATGCCTCATCTCCATGAGTTCCCATAACTTTACCATTCAAGAAACTCTATGTGGTCTATTCATTGCTCTACATGAAATAACAACTACTGAAGTTTCAATAATAAAAGACAGAATACATGTGATAGTACCATATAATCCTACAATATCAGGATTTATCCAGACAACATTGGGAAACAAGCCCTGGGAAGATAAGATATGGAAAGAGTCCCTGACTTAGGGTCAAAGTCTCAGTGTAGAATCTCCGGCAGACCCTTCGCTCCGCTGTGTGACCTTGGATGAGTCACTCAATCTGTCTGAGAGTTCCCAGCTGTGTTGTCTCTGCCTGGAACAGGATAGCTGGATCAATCCAAGTCTTTCTAGCCTCCCATGGCTGCGTCTTCCTAACTTTCAAGTATAAGGTCAAATTGTACCTCCTCAGAGAGGCCCTCACTGCCTCCCCACAATCATCTACTTCTCCGCTGGCCAGTGATCACCTCATACCATCCACGTTATTACATGTTGAGAGTTACCTCGTTTACTTGCTTGTTTGTTTTCATTGTCTGCCCCACCTAGAATTTTAGTTCCACAAGGACAAGGACCTTTGTGTTATATGTACCCTATTATCAAAACTTAAAAATATACCTGGCATGTAGTAAGCACTCAAAGAGTACTTGTCAAATGAGTAAGTGAATGAAGGTGTGCATTAATGAATTACTTACCTCACTAGACTGTCAGGAACATCTTACAAGAGAGTGCTTTGTGAGCTGTTAAATGGATATAACCAAGAAATTATTATTTCATCCCAGTGCCCATTTGAGAATTAAATATTCCTACCCAAGCAAAAGAAATTGGAACCAAAATACTCACTAGATCTTAAATATGACAATATACTGTTCATGTACTATATTTAATCCTTTCCAAGGCTACAGAGATTTCTGAAAGTGTAAGTCAAGAATTTATATTTATAGGCTTAATACACATGTGTGCGCACACACACACACACACACTGGCTTTAGCCTTCACAATTACACTAAATTATCTTACCTCTTGTAACCCTTAAGCACGGAGGAGCTAATTGATGGAAGACATCCTCCCCTACCTTGAACACCAGTGTATCTGTCCTTACATAGAACCTGATTTGTAGAATGGGAGGAGTTGAACGTGGGCTGAAAGGCAAGCTGTATGTTTCTGTGTTTGTGTTCAAAGTTCCTAGAATGGCCATTTCTCCTCTGCATACTACATCTGGGCTTCTTTTGCTTGTATCACCCCTTCCCAGCCCTGTTTCCCCTCCCCTAATTCTTACTCATTCACTTCATTTTGGTTAACAGCCCAGTCATCAGAAAGCCCCTTCTGACCTTTACTCTCAGGTGGAGTCAGACTCCTCATTGTTTTTTTTTTTAATTTTTTAACTTTTAATTTTTGTGAGTACACAGTAGGTGTCTGTATTTATGGGATACATGAGATGTTTTGGTACAGGCATGCAATGTGAAATAAGCACATTATGGAGAATGGGGTATCCACATCCACCCCCTCAAACATTGATCCTTTGTGTGACAAATAATTCAATTACACTTTTAAAGTCATTACAATTAAGTTATTATTGACTATAGTCATCCTCTTCTGCTATCAAGTAGTCTTATTCATTCTTTCTAACTATTAGAACCTTCATTATACATAATTTGTCACTGGTTTTAATCACAGTTCTCCAGTAAAAACACAAGCAATAGGATATATGGAAGAGGAGATTGATTACAGGAATTGGCTCATGCAATCACGGAGGTTGAGAAGTCCCAGAATATGCTGTCTGCCAACTGGAGAACCAGGAAACCTGATGGTATAATTCAATCTGAATCCAGAGGTCCAGTATCCGAGGGCAGGAGAAGATGGATGTCCCAGCTCACAAAAAGAGCAAATTCACCCTTCCTCCACCTTTTTGTTCTATTTGGACCCTCAACAGATTGAATGATGCTCAATCACATTGGTGAAGACGACGTTCTTTACTCAGTCTACTGATTCAAATGCTAATCTCTTCTGGAAATACCTCACAGCCATGCCCAGAAATAAGGTTTTACCAGATATCTGGGTATCCCTTAGCCAAGTCAAGTTGACTCAAAAAACTAATGATGACACCTCCCTACTATGCTTTAAAATAATAATGAACTTAATAATTTCTGTAACTTCAACATTCCAGTCTCTGTTGGAATCTCTTTTCAACAATCCCTCAGGAAAGGAATATATTTGAATGGATTTCCAACATCATAACCTATGATGGTCCGAAGTTCTCTCCCCCGGATTTCTGAGAGTCCCAGAACTCATTTCTTGGTGCTTTTCTCTGTTTCTCTCATGCATGAACTTGAACAACCGCAAACTAATGTACTCTGCACTCATCCTGCACAAAAGTCAGCCTCTCTTGTGGCTAACACAAGAGGCCAATGCACTACCAGCAGCCCATGCTAGTTACTGGTATAAGTTATGGAAGGCTTGGGAGACACACAAGGAAGGTCTGTTAATCACCATTTCTGTTTGTGATAATAAGCAGACCCTCCATTACCTCATTGTGTCCCCCCCACCAACCTACCCTATCCACCCCCCTCTCATCTTGGCATAAACAGAAATTCTTTTCTTATGGGAAGGGCAGTTAATCCAACTCCTAGGTGATTCCTGCCCTCAAACCGGAGTCATCAAGTTTTTTTAAGTAAATATAATACTCATTTTTTTTAAGCCCAAAACTCCTTTCAGAGTTGCTTTGCTCTGGGATTTTTTTTTTCCTCAAGACAGAGTCTTGCTCTCACTCTGTCACCCAGGCTGGGGTGCAGTGGCCCAATCTCAGCTCACTGAAACCTCTGCCACCCAGGTTCAAGTGATTCTCATGCCTCAGCCTCCCAAGTAGCTGGGATTACAGGTGTCTGTCACCACACCCAACTAATTTTTGTCTTTTTTGTAGAGACAGGGTTTCACATGTTGGCCAAGCTGGTCTCAAACTCCTGACCTCAAGTAATTGGCCTGCCTCAGCCTCCTAAAGTGCTAGGATTACAGGCATGAGTCACCATGCTTGGCCTGCTCTGGTTTTAATGGTTTTTCCAAAAAGTGATGGGCAAAGATGTTCCTACTTGTTTGCGAAAGAGACAGTTTTCTCTCCAGAGTGATTGGTAAGAGGTCTGTGGAAGACTCCTGGCCTTCCAAGTGCTACATCAATTTGAAAGTGCCAGAAGCTATCCCCTACCCTACCCAACATTTCAAATCTACATGGGGCAAGTTAACTAACCTCTCTAGGCCTCAGTTTCCTCATTTCTCAAAAGGGGATGATGATGCCAGCCTTATGAGGATTACATTCCATTTCCTTTTCCCAGAGACCTCATTTTATTCTCTACACAAAGACAGATGGTAAGAGTGTGAGGCTGGAAATTGTCCCTGAGTGCTGTGAAAGGCCACGTGCCAAGATTAACCTGAATTTTTCTTTGCAAATGGCTTTGACTCAATGGGACAGGGTGCACCAACTCAGAGCCCAGGAACCTGGGGGGAAGACAGTTGAAAAGACAATGATCTTCATGGTGCTAACCCTTCAAAGAAAAAGAAACCATTGCAGACAGCAAAGTGTCCTGCCCCTCATTTCCCCTGCGGCGTATGATTTGAGCAATGATGCAAGCTGCCATCTTCTCTATCAGAACCCATTCACCCGTTGCTAAGTCTGAAAAAGATGTCTTTAACCTTCAGTTTTAAGAAGCAGCTTGGTGCTCCATCCTCCCACGCGGAATACAAGTTTATTCTGCTTTTGAAAAGAACAGAATGGTGGCCACACTAACTGGGTTTATGGCTCCTCCAGCCCTCCCAGTAAGCCCAGAAACACTGTGAATTTTCTGCCTCCTGCTCCAGCCCCTTCCAAACCACCAGGATTTGAGTACTGCTGCTGTCCCTCAGGAAACAGTCTTTCAGCCTCAAGCATGAATTATTAATTTCACTGCTTTGGCAGGGTCATTTATCAAAATTCCCTCAAAAGTTCAATTAGGAATGGCCTGCCTCCCAAATTGGGGTTGGTGTTCTCATCTCCTGTAGCCAGCTTGTGGTCTGCAGAGTTGCCTTGACCACCCTCAGTTTGGGGAGTACCAGATGAAATCAATCACACCTCCCACTTATCGACTTCACAATTTTCACTGCAAGAAAGCACCACCGAGGAGATGGGGCAGATAAATGTTTTCCCTTTTCCACAGCACACCTGATTTTTGCTCCTACAGAACCAAAGGATGGGACTTCACCCCTACACCCACAGTGCCCCCAACCGCCCTGCATCCCAGATCCAGCTCACCTTGGGAAATCAGGGGCGCGCGGAGACCTTACTCCCGGTTCAAGCCCATATCATGTTTTTTGGTTACTAGTGACTCTGCCTCCCTCCTCCATGCCGCCCCCTCCAAACTCATTTGCATTCAGCAGCCTGAGGAATAGTTTTAAATGCAAATTGGATCTTGCTGCTTTCCTGCCTAAACATCAATGACTCCTTCTTGCCTGAATGAGAAGACCCAAACACCTAAACACCGGGGTCAAGCCTCTTTGGATTCTAAGCTCCACAATATCTCCATTTCTTAGAACAGCACATGGCCCGAAAGAACATCTCCAGACTGAATAAACCTGGTCTCTGTTCTCTCCTCACCTCTCTCTCTTTCTACTTCTCATTTTATTCTCAGCAACACCACCTGCTTACCATTCCTCCCACAAACCATACTGATTCTCACCCACTCCTTCTTTTTCATATTTTTTTCCAAATTTTTATTGTGTTAAAATACACATAATATAAAATGCACCTTCCTAGCCATTTGCAAGGATGCAGTTCAGTGGTATTAAATACATTCACGTTGTTGGGCAACCAATTTCCAGAACTCTGAACTCTTTTCATCTTGTAACACTGAAACTCTATATCTCCTAAGCAGTAACTTCCCTTTCCCCACTCCCTCCAGCTCCTGGCAACCTTCATTCTACTCTCTGCCTCTATGAATGTGACTATTCCAAGTATCCCCGTGTAGGTGGACTCATACAGTGTGTGTCACTTATTTCCCTTAGCATAATGACCTCGAGGTTCAACCATGTTGTAACATGTCAGAATTCCCTTCCTTTTTAAAGCTGAATTTCATTCCATCAATGGGATAAACAATATATTGCTAATCCATTCATCTGTCAGTGGACGCTTATATTGATTCCACATTTTAGCTATCATGAATGATGCTGCTATGACAACCCTCTTTAAAAAAAAAAATCGAAACTTCCTGCTTGAAGTGTCTCCTCTTCAGATAGCACCTGCTTATCATTTCATTCCTGGCCATCACCTCTTTCAGAAGGTTCCTCCTGCAGTCCACCCACCATATTGAACTAGGGACCTCTCATTCCACAACACTCTGAGCACAGCCTGATGATACTGACATGGACAGGACGCAGGGAAATACTAAGTAGAAAAAGATGGTTCCCTGGCAAAAGCCCCACTCTCAAGCCTGGAAACCACAGCCCTAAATAATAACAGTTATACCTGTTTTCCTACCCAAATGTTGCCTTTTATGGCCCACCCCACCCGCCTATCCTGTGTCCATATAAACCCCAGACCTCAGCTAGCAAGTGGCTAAACGTCAAGAGAAGAAGGAGCAACTGAGCGTTGGAGACTACAGATAGATACGGCTTAACTACAGACAGCGTGACTTCAGAGAGGAGAAGGCCAGGCTTCAGGGAAAGATCACCTTCCTCCCACACCATTCCCTTTTCAGCTCCCTTTCTGCTGAGAGCCACTTCCACTGCTTAATAAAATCCTTTGCATTCATCACCTTTCAAACATTTGTGTGACCTGATTCTTCCTGGATGCCAAACAAGAGGAAGGCAAGGTGTAAAAGGCTGTCACCCTGACTTTCCACTGAGCTGGTTAACACTTAGCTGTGCAGGGACAGCAACTGCTAAAACAGCATTAATTGTAACACACCCCTAGATGCTGCCGTGGGGCTGGAGCCCAGAAGCACTCACCCTGGCCCTGGCACCTGCTCAGTTGCATGCCTTCGTTTCTGCAAGAAGTTTGAGCATGGCAGTGGTGGCAGCTGAGTAAGCGAGCCCCATCCCTGTCACAAGTGCCATGAAGGGGACAAGGGAACACTCCTCTCTCAATATCAGGGCCACAGCAGAGAGCAAGGACCACTGTGCCTCATGCAGTTCTGTTTCCCAGCACTTTGTACAGTGCTGATGTGCAGAGTTTCCACCAAAGCCTTCAAGTCCACCCGTGCCTCTGCAGTACTTCTCTCAAGGACTTTGGGACTAATGTTCCTTAGGTGCTACTTCAGTTTTCCACCTTCTTTTCAAATACAAACGACACCATTTTCTTTGTTTCATAGAACTATGTTCTTATGGATGGTGTGCTTTAATTTTCTTCTTTGTAAAATAAGTTGGCATGACAAGGAGCTGTTTGAATTGTAGGGAGGGAGGCAAGATTTCCAAACTCATGGAATGAAATGAGATGGGGGGTCGTGAAAACAGAGTGCACAGGATGGTGAAATGGCTCTATAGAGTGCTCTAGCTGACTGCGTGTTTTTATTTATTTATTTATCTAATTTTAAGTTCAGAGGTGCATGCACAGGTTTGTTATATAGGTAAACTTGTGTCATGGTGGTGTGTTGAACAGATTATTTCATCACCCAGGCACTAAGCCTAATACCCATGAGTTATTTTTTCTGATCCTCTCCTTCTTCCCACCCTCCACCCTCCAATAGGCCCCAGTGTGTGTTGTTCCCCTCAATGTGTGTTCATGTGTTCTCATCATTTAGCTGCCACTTAAAAGTGAGTACGTTATCCTTAGCAAGCTAAAGCAGGAACAATCCTCCACTTTTATAGAGACGGCCAAGGAGAAGAAAGTCTCCTCTCAAATTACTTGTATTTATTTTCTCCTCCAAAAGGCAGCCTGAGTCCTGCTATGTCATAGTTTTCTTTCTCAGAAGAAACACGGACCGTGTTCCCTAGGAAGGAAAAACTCTTAAAAATGCACCCTCAGCCGGACACAGTGGCTTACTCCTGTAATCCCAACACTTTGGGAGGCCAAGGCAGGAGGATCACGAGGTCAAGAGTTTGATACCAGCCTGAACAACATGGTGAAACCCCATATCCTAAAAATACAAAAATTAGCTGGGCATGGTGGCACGCACCTGTAATCCCAGCTACTCAGGAGGCTGAGGCAGAAGAATAGCTTGAACCTGGGAGGCAGAGATTGCATGAGCTGAGATTGTGCCATTTTACTCCAGCCTGGGTGGCAGAGTGAGACTCCATCTCAAAAAAATAAAATAAATAAAATAAATGCACACTCTGCCTCTCCACTGACCACAAATGGTGTCAGACTTCTTCCAATCTTCTTCAACCCCAGCATGAGTGTTCATCCCTTCACTTAACTCTACCCCAGGAGTTTGGGGGCCTTTGGTTCTCTTTCTCAGACTGGTGTTAATTAGCCATTTAGGAAATCTAGATGTTGGCTCCAAAATTTCTGTACCCCTTTCTCCAGGAGGCCCTGTGAGAGTCCTACATAAACAGGGCTCTGAATGACTTGTCCAGATAATCTCACCATGCAGATTAAGCCCCACAGTGATTCTCATAATGATAGTAATACTCCACACTTCCATGTTATTGCACTCTTAGTTCATTCATCCTTTCAACAGCTGTTTATTACTTATGGAGTGCTTACCCCAAGCAAGGCACTGACATTGATGATAGGGAAGCAGCAACTTTACAAAAAGCAAAAGTGTTGATGCATGGACTCCCCTGCTGTTATGAGCTGGTTTAAAGTCCTTGGTCTAGAAGCATCTCTTAACTAGTATCATCTTGACCCTTTGAACTTATTGACCAATTCAGATTCTTTAACCTGACCCTATGTGGGGCTCTGTAGACAAGTTTCCAGTGCTTGAATCCTAGGTCAATCTACTCTGGGGAATTAATTTCCCCACTTCATACAGGCTAGCCTTTGAAATCTGACTTTACCATTGACCTTGATAAACAGTGAGAAGAGACCAAATCTTCAAGAAATCAGTATATGAATTCGCTGTAATTAAATAGCAATTTGTACATGAAATTCTTAAATCCTTGTGTTATCTGCTTGAGGGCAGACACCAGGTCTCTCTTATGCACCGTCATAGCCTAGCACTGCACAAAGTAAGTCTTCAGTAAATATTTACTGAATGACCAAGCAAAGGAATGAATCAGTGTGTTCTGGGGCCCCCGCCATCTTAGCTTGACTCTGATGTATCTCTTCTCCGATAGAGTTTATTCCATTTTGACCCTGACAGCAAAGATCCCCACAAGTTTATTCATTGCAGTTCAAGTCACAGGGCTGGTGCAAGCAGCAATGACCTGTTTGTTGGCAATGCCACTGCACACTGATGGACTTCCATAGTAATTCAACATTATTATGTGTCAAATATGATTTATGGTTTAATACAATGCCAGTTTTATAACTGCATTATTGCTATATATTTACATCTGGAAAAAAAATAAATCACAGTGAAATTTTCCACTTTGAAGGACTTCATCTGAGTCCTAAGTGGTGAGACAACCCAGGTTGTATTTTCTCAAGCTGAAATTCTGGGGCAGCTCCACGCTTGAAAATCGAGCAAAATCAGTTAATTGTTTTCGATTGCATACAGTTTTGCAATCTATTTGTTATCCTTTTATCTTAAATTTCCTCAGTGTGCAATGGGCATTAATCCTCTACCTTGAGGAATTCAGGAGTCCTTGGAAAGCCAGCAGTACTTCAGAGAAAGCCATTGTCTCCTCAGTCATCACCCTTAGTACTAGAAAACATTCAAGAAATGCCGAAAACATTATATAAAGGCCTCATTCATACCACTCAGGCTCTTCTGTTAGCTGGGCTTTGTTGTTGCTGCTGCTGCTGTTGTTATTGTTGTTGATTTGCTTATTTTTCAGCCAAAAATTTACCAGGGATACCTTTTCATCACAATAGAGGTATATTTATTTTAATGTAGGTATTTGATTTATGTGCATTCTGTAATGTATACATATTCCTGTCCCTTATTATGGACACTCTACATTGTTTGTAATTTCTCATTATAAACAACACTGCAAAGAACATCTTTGGACAACTGTTTGCACACTTGTGCATTTTTATTTCATTCAGGAAAACCCCTAAATACATTTCAGAGTCAAGGGGTGAAACTTTTTTTTAAAATAACATTTTTTAAAGGGCATAGTATGCATCAGTATTGATTGACACAAAAACTTCTATTAAATTCTGATGCCCACTTAGATGTCACCTCCTCTACACAGCCCCCCTTGATTTCTCCACTGCTATGCCATTGGCAGAATTAACTACTACTACTATTTAGCTATCTTAATATGTTATAAGTCTTTATGTAGAAGGCTTGTTCTCCAGAATAAATTAGTCACTTGCACATCTATCCACACTATTGGGCTATGAACTCTTACAGGGAAGATGTGTTGCACCTTGTTTATCTATGTAATCCAAATGTCTGATACATAATAGGTGTCATATGCAATCAAAATGCTGTTAGGGAATTATTGGAAGAGCTACCAAATTCTAAGTTTCCAATGCACAGTCTTTTAGGTGATAGAAAAGCTCCCTATGAGAAGCCACTAAAAGGTTTTAAGCAGGTTGTTCTCTGAGATAATTCCTGTGTGTGTGTGTGTGTGTGTGTGTGTGTGTGTGTATGTGTTTCATAATTGATTGAATTATTTCCTCCCTTCCTTTCCTTTCTTTTCTCCCCCTCTGCCTTTAAGAACTAGTTGTCTGACCTCTTGAAATGAGGTAACAATTCTCAAAAGAGGGGAGAACCAGAAGGTAGTTCCCAAGGTAGCCCCATGCTACAGAGGATCCCTCAGCAGGGACTGGATTCCACAGAGTGGCCAGCATAGAGGTGGAAGTGGAGGGGGCTCCTGAGACTCCTCAAATGTCCTGGGTCCCAGCAGTGAAAGCTCACCTTGGCCTCTGGGACGGGTAACAGCCGTTTGACTTTGACACCCTTTCTCTCTCTTACTTCCCTCTTTCCATATCTAATCCATCACCAAGTGCTCCCAATGTAATCTTAAAATGGCTCAAATCCATCCACTTCTCTTCAACTCCACTGCTACTTCCCCCATCCAAGCTGCCATCATCTTTCACCTGAATGTCTTTCATAGGCTCTTAATTGGTCTTCCTGCTTGCCCACTTGCCCCTCCAGTTAGTTCCACATCATGGCATCAGAGTAAATTGACAGAAGAGAAGAAGAAGTGGGAGTGGAGTGGAGGGGAGGGAAGAGCAGAGGAGAGGAGAAGAGGTGAGAAACCCTGGAGTTAGCAAAATAATTTTAAAATGTATCTGCTACCTACTGGGTACAATGTACACTATTCAGATCATGGATACACGAAAAGCCAGACTTCACCACTGTGCAGTATATCCAAGTAACACAACTCAATTTTACCCCTAAATCCATAAAAATAACTTAATTTTTAAAAAATTAAAATAAAATAAAATGTAGCTTCTCACCTGCATTTTTTGTTCCTTCTTCATGAACCCTATTTAACTTAACCCTTAAGTTAACTTAACCCTATTAACCTTTAAGTTAACTTAACCCTATTAAGGGTTAAGTTAAATAGGGTATATGGTTTATTGACTATTAAATAGTTAACCCTATTTAACTCCATGTACCCTATTTAGCCATGTTATCCACAAAGAAACACACCACTACGTTGGGAAGTTCAGTTTCATGCTTACCTTTCAATAAATAACTAGGATAACCTACCATAACAATTTTAAGTATTTTTACTGACTAAAAACATCCAACCGTAGAATTTTTTATCTTGCTTTTCAGAATTGATGTGTTCCCAGAAAATATCTTTGGGTAAATCCATTCTCTCATCAACTTCCACTAAGAAATTGAAGAGGAATTCCCAAATGGAGATGGAGAAACCTTCAAAAGACAAAGTTGAAAACTTTCATAAAGGAGGGGTTTCTAATAATGGGCAACTTTGTGGCACGGAGCTCCTTCCTTTACTCCAGGATGGTTCTGAGCTGGGTATGGGCACTTCTCTTTCCTCTGTGGCCTCGTAGAGGGGAGTCCGGAAACCATGGCTGGCTCAGCAATTCCACTTCCTATGCTACAGATTAAAGACATAAAAAGAACTAGGATTCATAAGTTATGGAAATGTAAGGTCTCAATTCCACAAAGAACAAGTCTAGAGAAGGCAGAAGCTAGAAATAGATGTTGACATTACAGATCAAGTTTTTGGAGAAAATAAAATCATGATGGGATCAAACAGGGTCTGGTTCTCAAATACAACTTGGCTTCGCTTATCAGCCAATTTATTTTTAACTTTTTTACTCTTTTTCAAAAAATATTTTTAGTTTCCATAGCTTTAGGGATACAAGTAGTTTTTGTTTACATAAATGAATTGTACAGTGGTGAAGTCTAAGATTTTAGTGCACCTGTCACCTGAGTCATGTACATCGTACCAAATAGGTAGATTTTGATCCCTCACCCCCTTCCCACCCTTCCCCCTTCTGAGTCTCCAATGTCCATTATACCACTCTGTGTGCCTGTGGCTACCCATAGCTTAGCTACTATTTATGAGTGAGAACATGCAGTATCTGGTTTTTCATTCCTGAGTTACTTCACTTAAAATAATGGCTTTCTGTTCCATCCAAGTTGCTACAAAAGACATTATCTTGTTCTTTATTTTAATGGCTGAGTAGTATTCCATTATATATATTTAACATTTTCTTTATCCACTAATTGGTTAATAGGCACTTAAGTTGATTCCGTATCTTTGCAACTGTGGATTACGCTGCAGTAAACATATGCGTCCAGGTGTCTTTTTTATATAGTGACTTCTTTTTGGGGGGAGGTAGATACCCAGTAGTGGGATTGCTGGATCAAATGGTAAATCTACTTTTAGTTCTTTGGGAAATCTCCGTACTGTTTTCCACAGAGCTTGTACTAATTTACATTGCTACCAGCTGTGTATAATTGTTTCCTTTTCACAACATGCGTGTCAATATCGATTGTTTTTTGACTTTTTAATAATGGCCATTCTGGCTGGGGTAAGGTGGTATCTTATTGTGGTTTTAATTTGCATTTCCCTGATGATTAGTGACTGATATGGTTTGGCTCTGTGCCCTCACTCAAATCTCGTGTCGAATTGTAATTCCCAGTATTGGAGGATGGTCCTGGTGGGAGGGGATTGGATCATGGGGATGGGTTTCCTCCTTGCTGTTCTCATGACAGTGAGTGACTTCTCAGCAGATGTGGTTGTTTGAAAGTGGGAAGCATTTCCCCTTTGCTCTCTCTCTCTCCAGCTCCACCATGTGAAGATGTGCTGGCTTCCCCTTCACCTTCTGCCATGATTGTAAGTTTCCTGAGGCCTCCCAGCCATGCCTCCTATACAGCCTGCAAAACTGTAAGTCAATTAAACCTCTTTTCATTATAAGTTACCCAGTCTTAGTGAATTCCTTATAGCAGTGTGAGAATGGACTAATACAGTAACAGACATTGTTTTTCATATATTTGTTGGCCATTTGTATATCTTCTTTGGAGAAAGGTCTGTTCATGTCCTTTGCCCACTTTTTAATGAGATTATTTGTTTTTTCTTACTGATTTGATTTCTTTGAGTTCCTTGTAGATTCTGGATATTAGTCGTTTGTCAGCTGCATAGTTTGCAAATATTTTCTCCCATTCTGTAGGTTGTCTGTTTACTCTGATGGTTATTTCCTTTGCTAAGCATAAGCGTTTTAGTTTAATTATATCCCATGTATTTGTTTTGTTTTATTTATTTTATTTTATATCAAAAATGAAAGTGAAGTTCTCTGTACTGGTTTTGACCATTTTTTAAAATTATTACTATTTCAATAGTTTTTGGGGAATAGCTAGTGTTTGGTTACATGGATGAATTATTTAGTAGTGATTTCTGAGATTTGGGTGCCCCCATCACCTGAACAGTGTACACTGTACTAAATGTGTAGTCTCTTATCCCTCACCTCTTCCCACTATTCACCCAGAGTCCCCCAAGTCCATTCTTATGCCTTTGCATCATCATAGCTTAGCTCCCACTTACAAGTGAGAACATACAATGTTTGGTTTTCCATTTCTGAGTTACTTCACTTAGAATAATGGACTCCAATTCCATCCAGGTTGCTGCAAATGCCATTATTTTGTTCTGTTTTATGGCTGAGTAGTATTCCATGGTATATATGTACCACATTTTCTTTATCCACTCGTTGATTGATGGGCACTTGGGCTGTTTCCACATATTTGCAATTGCAAATTGTTCTGCTGTAATCATGCATATGCAAGTGTCTTTTTTCATATAATGACTTCTTTTCCTCTACATTGATGCCCAGTAGTGGGATTGCTGGATCAAATGGTGAATCAACTTTTAGTTCTTCAAGGAATCACCATACTGCTTTCCATAGTGATTGTACCACTTTACATTCCCACAAGCAGTGCAACCATGTTCCCTTTTCACCACATCTGTGCCAATATTTATTATTTTTTTATTTTTAAATTATGACCATTCTTGTAGAGGTAAGGTGATATCACATTATTTATTTTTATTTTTTGTTGCATTTGCTCTTGAGGTCTTAGTCATAAATTATTTGTGTAGGCCAATACCCAGAAGAGTTTTTCCTAGGTTTTCTCAAAGAATTTTTACAGTTTCTCACATCTTAGATTTAGGTCTTTAATCCACCTTAAGTTTTATATGTGGTTGGTGATAGGAATCCAATTTCATTCTTCTACACATGATTATCTAGTTTTCCCAGCACCACTTATTGAATACAGTGTCTTTTCCCTAATTTATGTTTTTGTATGCTTTGTCAAATATCAATTTGTTGTAAGTATTTGGCTTTATTTCCAGATTCCCTATTCTGTTCCATTGGTCTATGTAACTACTTTCATACCAGTACCATGCCGTTTTAGTTACTATAGCCTTGTAGTATAATCTGAAGTCAGGTAATGTAAACCCTTCAGATTTATTCTTTTTGCTTATAATTGCTCTGGCTATTCGGGCTTTTGGTTCCATATGAATTGTTTTTTTCTAATTCTGTGGAAAAATATCATTGGTATTTTGATAGGAATTGGACTGAATCTGTAGATTGCTTTTGGCAATATGGTCATTTTCATATTGATTCTTCCAATCCATGAGCATGGGATGTATTTCCATTTGTTTGTGCCATCTATGATTTCTTTTAGCAGTGTTCTGTAGTTGTTTTTACAGAGATCTTTACTTCCTTAGTTAAGCATATTCCTAGGTATTTTATTATTTTTGGAGCTATTGTAAAAGGAATCAGGTTATTGATTTGATTCTCAATTTGGTCATTGTTGGTGGATAGCAGTGTTACAGATTTTTTGTTTTGTTTTGTTTCAGACAGAGTCTCACTCTGTTGCCCAGGCTGGAATGTGGGATCTCAGCTCACTGCAACCTCCACCAACTGGGTTCAAGCAATTCTCCCTGCCTCAGCCTCCCGAATAGCTGGGATTACAGGTGTCCGCCACCATGCCCAGCTAATTTTTGTATTTTTTAGTAGAGAAGGAGTTTCACCATGTTGGCCAGGCTGGTCTCAAACTCCTGACCTCAGGTGATCTGCTCGCCTTGGCATCTGAAAGTGCTAGGATTACAGACGTGAGCCACCGTGCCCGGCCCTGGTTTTTGTGTATTGATTTTGTAACCTGAGACTTTACTGAATTCATTTATCAAATCTATAAATAGATAGAAGTCTTTGGGAAGAGTCTTTAGACTTTTCTAGGTATACCAGTCTGTTCTTATGCTGCTAATAAAGTCATTCCCAAGATTGGATAATTTACAAAGGAAAGAGATTTAGCTGACTCACAGTCCCACATGACTGGGGAGGCCTCACAATCATGGAAGAAGGTAAAGGAGGAGCAAAGTCACATCTTATATGGTGGCAGGCAAGAGAACATCTGCAGGGGAACTCTCCTTTATAAAACTATCAGATCTCGTAAGACTTATTCACTATCACAAGAACAGCATGGGAAAGACCCACACCCCCATGATTCAATTACCTCCCGCTGGGTCCCTACCATGACATGTGGGAATTACGGGAGCTGCAATTCAAGATGAGATTTGGGTAGGGACACAGCCAAACCGTATCACCATTATATCACTAGCAAACAGCAACAGTTTGACTTTCCCTTTACTGATTTGGATGCCCTTTATTTCTTTCTCTTGTCTGATTGCTCTGGCTAGGACTCCCAACACTATGGTGAATAGAAGTGGTGAAAGTGGGCATCCTTGTTTTATTCCAGTTCTCAGAGGCAATATTTTCAACTTTTCCCTCTTCAGCAGGATGTTGGCTGTGCATTTGTCATATATGGCTTTTATTATTTTTAGGTATATTCTTTTTATGCCTAGCTTGTTGAGAGTTTTTAATCATAAAAGGATGCTGGACTTTATCAAATGCTTTTTCTGCCCTCTACTGAGAGGTTTTTGTTTTTAATTCTGTTTATGTGATTAGTCAAATTTATTGACTTGTGTATGTTGAACCATCCATGAATCCCTGAAAGGAAACACACTTGATCATAGTGAATTGTTATTATTTTTTATGTACTGTTGGATTCAGTCCGCTAGTATTTTGTGGAGGATCTTTGCATCTATATTCATCAGGGATATCGTTCTGTAGTTTTCTTTTATTTTGTTTTGTGCTTTCCTGGCTTTGTTATCAGACTGATACTGGCTTCGTAGAATGAGTTAGAGAGGATTCCCTCTTTCTCATTTTTTTTGGAATAGTTTCAGTAGAATTGGTACTAATTCCTCTTTGAATGTTTGATAGAATTCATCTGTGAATCTATCTGGCCCTAAACTTTTTTGTTAGCAGGGTTTTATTATTATTATTACTGATTCAATCTCATAACTTGTTATTGGTCTGTTCATGATTTCTATTTCTTCCTGATGCATGCTAGAGGAGATGTATGCTTTTAGGAATTTATCCATTTCCTCTAGATTTTCTAGTTTGTGTGCATAGATGTGTTTGTAGAAGTCTTAAATGATCTTTTTTATTTCTGTGGTGTCAGTTTTAATGTCTTTATTTCATTTCTAAGTGAACTTATTTAAACCTTCTCTCTTTGTTTTTGGTTACTCTAGCTAGTGATCTATCAATTTTGTTTGTCTTTTCAAAAAACCAGTTTTTTGTTTCATTGATCTTTTGTATTTGTTTGCTTGTTTGTTTCAGTTTTGGTTAGTTCTGCTCTGATCTTAGTTACTTCTTTTCTTCTTCTAGCCTTGGGTTTGGTTTGTTCTTGTTTCTCTAGTTCCTTGAGGTATGATATTCGGTTGTCAATTTGTGATCTTTCAGACTTTTTCATGTAGGTGATGAGTGCAATAAACTTCCTTATGAGCCAGTTTAACAGTTCTCAGGCTGAATTGCACCATTGAAAACATTCCACATTCTATTCTATGGTCAACCTTCTTCATTCTAGAAAGGAATGCACTTAGCCAACTATATAATAAAATGTTTCTAACCAGGCATGGTGGCTCAGATCCTTTAACCCCCGCACTTTGGGAGGCCGATGTGGAAGGATGACTTGAGGCCAGGAGTTCAAGACCATCCTGGCAACATAGTGAAACCTCATCTTTATAAAAACTAAAAAAATAAAAAATCAGGTAGGCATGATCATGTGCACATATGGTATCAGCTACTCAAAGGCTGAGGTAGAAGGATAACTTGAGCCTGGAGGTCAAGGCAGCAGTGAGCCATGATCATACCACTGCACTCCAGCCTAGGTGACAGAGCGAGACCCTGTCTCAAGAAAAAAGGAAAAGAAAAGCTTCCTTTTCCTAGCTTCCCTTTAATGACCTCAAGTAATAAAAACCACACAATATATTTTGGGAAGGTATTCAATGGCTTAACCCCCCTTAAAATTGCCAATAAGACAATCTTTCTTCTCTAGCTCAAATTTCCCATGCTGTTATTTAAACCTGTTTTATTATTTATTATGATTATAAGTTAGAGGAAATTCAAATGTATCACCTTATTTCAGAACATATAAAAAATAATCTGCCCTGCGAGAAATGTAAGGTTTGATCATTTAATAGTCTTTTCTGCAGTGTCACAAATGAATTTTACTTAATATCCTGGAATTTGAAAGTAGGAAAACACTTGAAAAAAAATTTCTGATGCATCATACTTTTTTCAAATGAGGATACAGGATCAGAGAGGGAGAAACACAGACTTAAGGACACACAGCATCAGCATAACAGAAACTCATTCAAGTCTGCCTCATAGCACACCATTGCTTTTCCCTTCTTTGTCTCATTTCTTTGATAGACACCTAATTGCTACCGCTGATTAAAAGAAGTATCAATCTCATTTTATGACAAAAAAGGACAGAAAGGATACTCATTGTCATTGTACAATTTATGAGGTCGTGGTTAAATTCATTACTTGAAGATCAGTGGGTATAATTAGTGACCCAAATTCAAGTAGATAAAACAGTTGGGCCCTTGTTTAAAATCTTGTCTTAAAATTGAGTAATTTCTCCTGCTCTAGATGCAGTGCCTCTGAGGGTCATATTTAATGATCATACATCCCTGTGTGAGGTGACCCCAGGAGAACAAGAAAAGGCTTTATAAATTGTACTCTAACTAATTTGCTCATAAGCTGGCATTTCCTCTTCACCTTGCACTTTATATCAAGAGCCGTTCATAAAGTTTCCTATATTTATACAATATTTTGTACTAATCAAAATGTTTCTCAGTGAGTTCATGCCTGAGACATGACACTCAATCAATAAATATTTGTTAAAATGACTTGAATTGAACTATGTGAGTGACATCTCATTTTATCTTAATAGCAAGTTGGAGTGGTGGTGGATAGAGTAGATGTTAAATTCCCCATTTTACATAAAAACAGGAATTGAAGAGTCCTTGGGTTCCTGAATCTTGATTTTCAGATTTTAATTCCAGCTTCTACTTTCTCTTCCTCATTTTCTCCTGAGTAGTGAGGTTGAGTTCAGGCTTTTGAATTTTAGAAGAAAAAAATGTGAAACAATGCTTTCTCCAAAGAAAGAACTTATAACCCGTGCACTCAAAGTTGTTCTGCAGGACAAAAAACTTTTCAAAATAATTTTTTAGGGTCAAGCCATCTGTAAGTGAGGAACCTGTCACAGTCTCTCTCTCAAACAATCTACAAGCAAGACTGAAAACAGATTTCTAGAGATGATGAGAAGAAGATGATGAGAAGACCTTGGGGGCAGTTGCGAATTCATAACATTTTGAATGGAAAGAGCATTGGAGATCTTCTGTCTCCAGTCTTGTGATGGGTGAGAACCCCAAGGTCCACCGAAGTTCAGTGACTTAGCCAAAAATCACACTGCAAGGAAATGTCAGAGCTGGACTAGAATCCTGTCTCGAGACATACTTCTTTAATATACCACCCCTTCTTTCGCAGATGTATCTTTAGACCAGAGTTTCTCAAACTTAGCACTGCTGACATTTGGGGCCAGAAATACTGCATTGTCGGGGGCTGCCCTGCGCATTGTAGAATGTTTAACAGCATTCCTGTTCTCTACCCAGTAGATGCCAGAAGGACTGTCACCCCAGCTGTGACAACCAAAAATGCCTGCAGACTTTGCCAAATCTTCCTTAGGGAAGGCAAAATAGCCTGCAGTTGAAAACCACTGGGACAGATCAGAGCATCCCCTAGGGTATGTCCCTTTACTCTGAGCATTGTTTCTCTTTCTTTCTTTCTTTTCTTTCTTTCCTTTCTTTCTTTCTTTTTCTTTCTTTCCCTCCCTCCCTCTCTTTCTTTCTTTCCTTTCTTTCTTTTTTCTTCTTTTTCTGTTTTTTTCTTTTTCTTTCTTTCTCTTTCTTTCTTTCTTTTGAAAGGCTACATAATATCTATTCTTTGTTAATGGAAATTCGGGTTGCTTATAATTTTTTAACATTTATTTTAAGTTCAAGGGTACATGTGCAGGCTTCTTATGTAGGTAAACTTATGTCATGGGGGTTTGTTGTACAGATTATTTCATCACCCAAATATTAAGCCTAGTGCCGATTAGTTATTTTTATTTTTCCTGTTCCTCTCCCCACTTCCCCCTCCACCCTCCATTGGGCCCCAGTGTGTGTTGTTTCCCTCCATGTTATTACTGCCATTTCTTAACTCTGTCTTTCATGGGTCCCCAATGGGCTGGTTGGTTGATGTAATCTTTGCTTCAGAGCTGCAAAGTGTGTCTATTATCACTCGTTCCATTTGAATCTTACAGTAGTAACAGATATAGGTTACAGTGCAGAGACCAATTAACTAGTCAATTAGATAGCACCTGGTATCTAACTGACTAGTTAGGCAGTCTCTTCATTGTAAACTATATCTGTTACTTTTCAATGGCAAGAACCACAACTACTTTTGCACCAACCTAATATTTTTAGGTCCAAAAGCTCAACTGTGAGACCCACAGATGCCTCGTCTGCAAATGACCAGACTCTTTGGGGTTTGATGTAGAAACCAGACGTCAGTATGTTCACGTGTAATGAGGAGTAAAACTTTCCATACCCCAGCACTAAGTGCTTATTAATAAGCAAAATTAAAAATCAGAAATCTGTTTAATAAATACTGAGTTGAAGAGGGGCAGATTATTAAAAGTCATCTTAATTCTTTGTGTTACTGAACTATGACAGCTTGACACTTTCAACTCCAATCTAAAATCTGCCTACTCGTGGCCTCAACATTTATTCATTCATGGATTTACTACATATGTGTTGCACTCTTACAAGATGCAGAAAATAAATATAGTTATTAGCAAGACAGCCATAGCCCCTTGCCTTATGATGTCCATCAAGTTTTGTTAATTTTTTTTTTTTTTGTAAGACAGTCTCACTGTTGCCCAGGCTGGAGTGCAATGCCATGATCTCAGCTCACTGCAACCTCTGCTTCCTGGGTTCAAGCGATTCTCCTGCCTCAGCCTGCCGAATGGCTGGGAAGAGAGGCGTGCACCACCACACCTGGCTATTTTTTGTATTTTTAGTAGAGATGTGGTTTCACCATGTAGGCCAGGCTGGTCTCGAACTCCTGACCTCAAGTGATCCACCTGCCTCGACCTCCCAAAGTGCTGGGATTACAGGCGTGAGTCACCATGCCCAGCCAAGTCTTGTTAATTTTAAGCAGCAAAATCTGTCTCAACTCCCCTCATCTTTCCTATCCCCACTCTCTTTACTCTTGCTGATACTTCTCTCACCTCTAATAGATTCTCTTGGGACTCCTTTCCCCACCCTCTCCAGTCTTCCCCCACACTAGTTCCTGAATAACCAACACAATGATCTTTCTGCAACGCGAGACCTGATCATAGAACGTCACTCCTTTAAACCAGCAGATGGCTTCCCCTTGCCTGTCTAAAGACACAACTCTTGAGCTTCCATAAACACTGCTCCATCTTCCTCAAACACCCCTCCATGTCTCCATGACTTATAGAAGTCTATACTTCCAGACCTGACTCAGCATCACCTGCCCCTCCAGTAGTATAGCTAACCCCACAGCTGGCTTACGTGTCCCTAGTCCGTCTTTCCAGTGAACCTTCTGCTTACCTCTCGGATAGCATTTATCACACCGACATTTATTCCTCAGATTCAGCCCTAGGAATGGCTCTTTTCAAGCCAGCCGATATATACGCAGAATCTTTGCTAAAGAGCCACGAGCTGGTCACTTTAAAAGCCTGGAAAATAGATTTATTTTAGAATTTTTTACACCTCCTATTTCTTCTTCATTCCACCCAAGGTTTCTCCTTTTGTTAGGAGACCCTACTAGCAGTGAGGCTCTTTCCATAATTCAGTGTGGCCAAACCTATAAGGAGACTTAGCACTTATTTCTGCCACAATGTTGCTGTGATGCAGGCTATCACCTGCAAATTTTGGCCCCACCTAGGGAAACCAGAAAAATGAAAACCAGGAGAAAAAGAGAAAGCAACTCAAGTTCCTAGGTAAGCAACCATTAAACAAGAATCTTCTAGGTTCCCATTGACAGTAATGAGTTAGACATTGTTCCAGTTAGTTACCCATATGGAGAAAACAAGAAGGGAGATGTGTTTGAGAAAGAGAATTATTCTCTATATATGTAACTTTATTGTTCCGGCTTATCAATTTAGTAAATGTGTTGTGTTCTGTTGCTAATATATGCCACTGCCGGCTGGCCTCTACCAGAAAGGAGAGCTCAACTCACAGTTACCTCTATGGTTACCTCTATCAACATGGACAAGTAAGAGGCCAAGAAAGTGCACACAAGAGGGGAGGAGCAGTCTCTCTGTAACCTATTCTTACAAATAACTTTCCATCACTGTAGAACCAGTATTTTACTAGTTAGAGATGAGACACTAGGCTGAGTTAACACACAGGGGAGGAAATTACATGAAGACATGAATACCCACATATCCACCCCAGTGATATGTACAGAACAGGCACCCACCCAATGTATATTGAGATTTGGAAATAAACTAGTGTATTAGTTTGTTTTCACACTGCTATAAATAAATACCCAAGACTGGTTAATTTATAGAGGAAGGAGGTTTAATTGACTCACAGTTCCACATGGCTGGAGAGACCTCAGGAAACTTACAGTCATGGCAGAAGTGAAGGAGAAGCAGGCAACCTCTTCACAAGGTGGCAGGAGAGAGAGAGAGAGAGAGAGAGAGATAATGCAAGGAAGTGCCACACTTTAAAACCATCAACTCTGCTGAGAACTCACTCACTGTCATGAGAACAGCCTGGGGGAAACTGCCCCCATGATCCAGTCACCTCCCACCAGGCCCTTCCCTTGACACATGGGGTTTACAATTCAAGATGCGATTTGGGTGGGGACACAGAGCCAAATCTTACCAATTAGTTAGAGGTGCCATGTTCACACATGTCTAGTCAACTGTAGTTGGTTCTGGGTTGGCCTGCTAAAGGTTTGGCTTTTGGTAGTTATTATTTGGCTTCTATCTGTGACATTTCAGCCGAGAATTCCTCTTGCAAGTTCCTCTTCATAAGATAAAGGTCTTCATAAGAAACCATACTCTATCAGGGGATTATTCTTCACAGGAACTCTTTAAATGATATGCCTCAAAGTCCTTGCCTGAACAAAGATATCTGCCACAGGTCAAGTTTTTATTCATATCAAGGGGATAAGGTAAATGATGAGCAACTTCCTTAAAAGTGACACCCATCTTTGGACACCTGGAGCAGCATGCTGGGAGAAGGGAGGAGAAGGAGAAAAGACGCCGCCTAGCTCAGTGGTTCTGGAGCTTGGCTTGGATTCTGAGTTTGCCACTTACTAACTATAGAATATGGAACAAGTGAATTTCTGAGACTCAATTTTCTCATAACCATAGTACCTAGCATACAGTAAGAGTTCAGATTCTAGTTTCATTTCTTAGTGGAGAGGATGCCAGTTGTAATTTAAGACAGTAGTCCCCAGTCTTTTTGCCACCAAGAACCGATTTCATGAAAGAATTTTTCCATGAATGAGGTGGGAAGGAGATGGTTTCAAGGTGAAATTGTTCTACCTCAGACCATCAGGCATTATATTCTCATAAGGAGTGTGCAACCCAGATCCCTCACATGCGCAGTTCACAACAGGGTTCACACTCCTATAAAAATTGTAATGCCACTGCTGATCTGACAGGAGGTGGAGCTCAGGTGGCAATGCTCACTCACCCACTACTTACCTCCTGCTTTGTGGCCTGGTTCTTAACAGGACACGGACCGGTACCTGTCTGCGTTCCAGGGATTAGGGACTCCTGATTTGAGACACTAAGTTTCACTTTCTGAAATGAGAGATTCATATGCTTCCCAATTCTGGCTACAGCATGAAATGGAAAAAACACTGAAAAGAAATGGTCAATGAGTCAGTGTCTTTATGTACAAAGCATTAAAATTGGGACAACACCTTTCCCTCCACCAGAAAAATAAGTAAATAAATAAAGATGGTAGATCTTAGCTCTTCTATTTACTAATTGTGTAGCCATAGAAAGGCTCCTTAACCTCTATTATTTCCAGTTTCCTCACTTTTAAATGGAGGACCAAAATGTCTACTTCATGGGGATGAGATGAAGATTTAACAAGGGCACAAAATAGAGTATCAGGCAAATAATAGCATCTCGGCCAATAATAGTCCTGCCTGCTATATAATATTGAGCAAGTTGCTTCGCTTCTCTGAGCCTCAGTTTTTGTGAGATGGGAAGCATCTCTATCTGAAAAAGATATCACTTGATAGATGATAGGAAACTAGATAAACAGATAGATAGATGCAATCAATTTTGACATAGCAAATTATCCCAAAACGTAGTGGCTTAAAACAACAAACATTTGCAATCTCAGTTTCTCAATGCCATTTTGCTGGGTGCTTCTGCCTCCAGACTTCTCATAAGGTTTCAATGTATTGGCCTGGGCTATGGTCTCATCTAAAGGCTCAACAGAGGGAGGATCCACTTCCAGGGTCTCTAAAATGACTGTTGCCAGGATTCAGTCCTTAACAGCTTGTTGGACCTGAGGCTGTCAGGCCCCCACTGGCTGTTTGCAGAGCCTGTCTTCGGTTGCTAGTCATGTGGGTCTCTCTATAGGGCAGCTCATCACCTGGTTGCAATGGTTACCTCTATCAACATGGACAAGTAAGAGGCCAAGAAAGGGCACACAAGAGGGGAGGAGCAGTCTCTCTGTAACCTATTCTTACGAATAATTTTCCATCACTGTAGAACCAGTATTTTACTAGTTAGAGACGAGACACTAGGCTGAGTCAACACACAGGGGAGGAAATTACATAAAGACATGAATATCAGGAGGTGGAGATCACCAGGGAATAACCTAATAGTGGCAGGTTGCCTGCCACTATTCCAGGAAATATGTAAAAGCGTTTGTTACTTCATCAAACCCATCGAGTAATCTATTAACAGGAGGCAGTTCATTCTTCTACATCTTCCCATTTTAATTGGGTATTTGATTTTTTTATCTACCTATGCTCATTTCCTATGATTTTGGGGTGAGGTGGGTGAGATAGGATTGGGAGAATGTGCATAGCAAGAAGTAAGGGAGAGCAGTGAGCAAGTGAACCTCTTATATCATCACCTTGGCATTTCACACTGCATACTTTCTCCATGCATAGCTGCAAGATAGAGTCACCACCTTGGAAAATTAAATTTAATAGAAAGATGGCCATGGTTCCACTTCCCTCTCCTTATGGTAGCAAAAGATGGAAAGATCCCCAACATATCACAACTGCTGAATCATTTTTAAACAAGGTTTTAGAGGAGCCTGAGTCCTTTCTTTAGAGATGTTTCAAAATGCAAGGCCTTAAAAGCAGCTGAAAGGAGGTTAAAAGCTTTGTAGGGTAAAGTGATAAAATATCCAAGAGATCTGTACAAAGTGGAAATAAAGACACACACAGAGACACATAAAGGAAGAGACAGAAATTAAATGTTTTCCAGAAATTAGGGGCAGATACTTACCAGAGGGAAGTCTCCCCCAGTGAGGAGAGAATTTAGTACCCTGACCCTGCCATCAGCCCTCTTCAGTGGATTTCTCCGTTGCTTTATTGAAATGCTCATAAAATAAAGGTTAGTTCCATCCTAAGGATATCTTCCACCTTTTCCAAACCATACCATTAAGTTGTATTAGCTCCTTGGGGTTAGGCCACAATAGCAGGAAGAATGTATGCTAATGTGGCTCGCCTGAAGTTAAGCTCATTTAAAATCTGAAATACCATGGAGAACGTTCCCTGGGCTAAGATAAGGTTAACGAATCTAAATCTCAGCAATGAACTCACCTCCTAAGTTTCAGAAATAATTAGTTCTGAGAAGGACATCATTTGTTCATTCAACGTGATTACTCTAGCCCCTCTCCGCTGCAGTAACTTAGATGCTTGAGAACTGAAAGACAGAATGAGGAATGTGTACAAACTTTCTCAGTTCTGCACAATTGAAAGGTACGTCTCCTTACATGCTCAAAGGTATTTATACAACCATGTTGCCCAATGTAGAGGCTTTAAGAGCTTTATCTTTGGACTTTCTGTTTAGCCAATTTTTTTTTTCAATCCAACATCAATTTCTGCTTTTGGTAACAGTGCCCAATTCTTCTTTCAGGAGCCACATTTTGAGTATTCCATGTTATCCTACAGAAGCAGTTAATCATGATGTCCTTCCCTACCCACCCTACTCCTCCACTGTAATGCGGTCATGTGATCGAGGCTGACAAATCAAATCCAGAGAGAGTTTAGATCTAGAAAAGACATAGCTCAGGACAGAGTCTTTTTAAAATTTTAACATATAGATACTGGGAGAGAAGGGTTTTCCTTTCCTTTTGGGTCTTGAGCCATGAGGAAGTAAGCTTACAGTTTCCAGTGGCCTTTCTTACCACCTTATGAGGAGAGGCCTAGGAATAAAGCCCAGGGTACTGAAATGAGACAAACAGAATATTACTTAAACCCCCATATCCAGCCCCAGATGCCGCAGTTAAGAGTCAAGTTCTCTTGCTTTCTTAAATCAGTTGGAGTTAGATTTCTCCAGCCAACAATCAAGGCATCTTGATCAATACTATGATAAATATTAGAGGAATTATTAAGTGTTATGCACTGGGGAGATGAAGACAAGTAGCATGATCCTTGCCCTCAAAGATCTCTTGGTGGAGGATTTATGGTAAGTGGTTTAAAGCCACTGGAGTCAAACAGACCTGAATTTCAACTCCAGTTTCACTGTTTCCTACTGTGTGTCTCTGGTAGATAGAATTCTAAAATGACCCCAAATCCCCCTCCACATGCACACTACTGAGTATTGTCCCCACCCCTGAAGTGGAGGCAGTACCTGTGAATACGATGGGATGTCACCTCCATGATTAGGTTACCTTATATGGCAATGGTGAAGGGATTTTGAACATGCAATTAAGGTCCTAAATTAGTTGATCTTGAACTAATCAAAAGAGGATATTATCTTGGCCAGCTTGTGAAAGCTCTTAAGAGAGGGATGGAGCCTTTTCAAGAGAGAGAGGGGCTCTTTTGCTGGCTATGAAGAATCCAAGAACCATTATGTAAACTACCAATGGGGAGGGGCTACCTTTAAGAGTTGAGGGCCTCCATCCTACAACTGCAAAGAACCAGATTTTACCGACAACTTGAAGGAGCTTAGAAGACACCCCTGAGTCACAGGGGAGAATGCAGCTGGGACAATATTTTGATCATAACTTTGCAAAACCCTGTGCAAAAGACCTGGCCAAGTTTCTCCTGGACTCCTGATCCACAGGAACTGTGAAATAATAAATGTCAGTTGTTTTAAGCCACTAAACATGTGGTAATTTGTTATAGAGCAACAGAAAACTAATAGGATATCCCTGAGCAATATTAGGTTTTTTGAGCCTGCATTTTCTCATCTAGTAAATAGTGGTAGTAGAACCACCTACTTATATATTGGCTGCTGTGAGGATTAATTGTTAATTCTTATGTGATTCAGTGCCTGGCCTATAGTTCAACACCCCTTCATTGCTAGCTGGAGTCCACATTTTAAGTGTGGGTAGCTACGTGTGCACACACATGTATGTGTGCCTATGTGGGATAGTAGGTGTTTGTTACATCTGTGAGCCCTGAATATCTGAGACAGGTCTCAGTTAATTTAGAAAGTTTATTCTGCCAGCCGGGCGTGGTGGCTCACACCTGTGAGGCCGAGGCTGGTGGATCACGAGGTCAGGAGATTGAGACCATCCTGGCTAACAGGGTGAAACCCTGTCTCTACTAAAAATACAAAAAATTAGCCGGATGTGGCAGCGTGCGCCTGTAGTCCCAGCTACTCAGGAGGCTGAGGAAGGAGAATGGCATGAACCCAGGAGGCGGAGCTTGAGGTGAGGCGAGATCGTGCCACTACACTCCAGCCTGGGTGACAGAGTGAGACTCCGTCTCAAAAAAAAAAAAAAAAAAAAAAGCTTATTCTGCCAAGGTTGAAGATGCATGCCCATGACACAGCCTCAGGAGGTCCTGATGACATGTGCCCAATGTGGTAGTGACACAGCTTTGTTTTATACATTTTAGGGAGACATGAGACATCAATCAATATGTGTAAGATGGACTTTGGTTCAGTCTGGAAAGATGGGGCAACTTGAGGTGAAGACAGGACAACTTCAAGTGGTGAGGGGGTTTCCAGATCATAGGTAGATAAGAGACAAATGGTAGCATTCTTTTGAGCTTGTGATTAGTCTCTCCAAATGAGGCAATCAGATACGCATTTATCTCAGTGAGCAGAGAGAGGGCCCTGAATAGAATGGGAGGCAGGTTGACCCTAAGCAGTTCCCAGCTTGATTTTTCCCTTTAGCTTAGTGATTTGGGGGCCCCAAGATTTATTTTCCTTTCACATATCCACCAACAAACACCCAAGCAACAGGGAAGGGACTCTGGGTCCTTAAGCTTCTTTAGGCCAACCTTGTGCTTTTATAGCAAAGGAAAATAAAGTCCAAAAGGGAAAGTGACTTTCCCTAGTCCACAAAAGTTGTTGGTGACCACAATAAGGAGTTTCAAGTCCTAGACACATCCTGCCTCAGTCTCTACCCTCCAGATAATGAGCCCTTCTTGTCATACTTGTTATGGACATTCATACAAGGCTAAACTATTTGAATGACTTAACACTTTTCCTCTCCTGTATCTGTTATCTATTGCTGTATAATAAGTTACCCCAACACTTAGAACTGAAGTCAACTGGGTTAGACCATTCTTGCAATGCTATAAAGAAATACCTGAGACTAGGTAATTTATGAAGACAATAAGTTTAATTGGCTCACAGTTCTGCAGGCTGTACAGGAAGCATGGTGCCAACATCTGCTTCTGGTATGGCCACAACGAGCTGGCATCTCACATGGCAAGAGCCAGAGCAAGAGAGAGTGAGTGGCGGGGAGATGCCACACACTTTTAAACAACCAGATCTTGCAAGAACTCACTCTATTTTGAGGACAGCACCCAGAGGATGGAGCTAAGCCATTCATGAGAAATCAGTCTCCAGGACTCAATCTCCTCCCACCAGACCCCGCCTACAACATTAGGAATTGCAATTCAACATGAGCTTTAGAGGGGACAACGTCTAAACTATGTCACCAACAAATATTTATTATCTCACAGTTTCTGAGGCTCAGGAATCCACGTGTAGCTTGTCTGGCTGCCTCTAGTTTACGATTTCTCATGCATTTGCCCTTAAGCTGCTGAATGGGGTTGCCAATATCTGAAGGCTTGACTGAGGGTGGAACCCATGTCCAAGCCCCACTCACATGGCTGTTGGTAAGAGACTCCAGTTCCTTGTCATATGGGCCTCTCTGTAGAGTTGCTCACAACATAGAAGCCAGTTTCTTCCTGAGTGATCCCCGAGGGAGAGGTGACCAAGATGGAAGCTGCAGTATCTTTTATAACCTGATCTTGGAAATGACATGCCATCCCTTCTGCCCTATGCTGTTGGTCACACAGATCAACCTTGGCTTAATGTGGGAGGGGATTTCACAAGGGTACGAACAGCTGAGGTGCAATCCCTGCAGACCATCTCAAGGACTGGTTGTGTATTTCTCCTTATTGCCTAAATTACCACTTTGCTGACAGTCTGAAATGAAGACTTGCCTGCAGAAAGGTAGGATGACTTTGTCCCAGCCCTTGTGATTAATAGAAACAGGAAGATCGTGACTATGGTATTCCTGCCAAATAGCAATGAAAATGGCATTTGAAAACCGCAATTATTACTCCTTTCACCGAGAAGGTCTGTTCTGCTTAATGACCTACATATCATTGCATTCCAAGTGGAGATATTAAGTGCCTTAGAATATGCAGACATTCCGCAATGTTATAGCATCTTCAAAATGTATCAGCAAAATGATCACTACTTGAATTGGCTATAAGCAAAGCTTCAGAAGGTCCAGGTGGCCTTGAAATGCAGAGCCTCACAGCGGCAGGACGGAAGGGCTATGGTTTCCAGACATCTGTGTCCCTTATTTATTTATTTTTTGAGACAGGGTCTTGCTCTGTTGCACAGGCTGGAGTGCAATATGCCTTTATCGTTAACTGGCTCTGCACACAATCTGACACCAACCCAGCTTTCCAGCTTCCCCACTCATCTTTCCCCATGGGAACTCTGTGCTCCAGCACATTGGAGTAGTGTTTCCTGGAAACAAAAACATTCCCGAAGATGTGGATTCACTCAAGTGAGCAGCCTTGGCCTCAACATGGTGACCTCAGCCAACAACATTTAACCAAATCCCTGACTTTATAGGTGAGGCTGGCAAAAAAGAGAGAAAGAGTGAGAGTTTGTGTTAAAACAAAAATGATAAAGCTCTGCAGAAAGCTACTACTAAATCTAGCCTACTTGGATTTATTACTGCCCTCCCGTCTCTTCTCCAAACTGTAGCCAGAGAGATTGTTTTGAAACCTAAATCTACCAGTGTTGCTCTCCTGCTTTAAAACTGCAGAGAGTTTCCACTACCTCTCAAGGGAAGTTTAACATCCCTAGAAGCATCAGTCTCTGGATCTGACATCTCTGTCACCCTTCCTCTCTGGATGACGGTACCTGAGTCTTGAGTTGCCAAGTTCCTTTCCACTCAATACCACCCCACCCTGTTGCCCCTTCTGCTCAAAGGCCCATACTCTTCTTCCATCTCTCCACCTTCACTTCTCTAAGCTCCCGTTTCCCTGTTACTTGCTTCCATCACACCTTGCCTTTCTCCTTCAGAGCACTTCTAACAGTAGCAACTAGGCATTTAATTGCATCGTTAGTTCTTTACTATGTATTCCCCATAATGAAACTAAACTAATAATAAGTCCTACAGGCTCCATGAGAGCAGGTACTGGCACATGGGGATGCTCAATAAATATGTGTTGAATTAATGCATGGATAAAGATGGAGTAGACCAGGTGTTGCAAATTATAGTCCATGGACCAAATCTGTTTATGTGAATAAAGTTTGTTAAAACATGGCCATACCCACTTTTTTTTACCTATTGTCTGTGGTTGCTTTCTTGCTACATTGATGGAGGTGACTCATTGCTACCAAGAACATCTGAACTGCAATGGATTAAATATTTATTGTCTGGCCCTTGAGACAAAAGGTTTGCTGATGTCTCGGCTAGTTGTCAGTGTTTCTCAAGAGGTAAAAGAGATAACATGAAAACAGGAAAGTCTTATAACCAAAACTGCATCCTGTGTCTACCAGGATAATATAGGGAAGAAAGAGGACTACGTTTTGGATACTTCAGAAACTTAAGGTGTCAGGGGGTGGGGGGAGCTGCTGGACAGGTCTGTGGATGCATCATGGACCAAGCTGCAGTTAGTATTGAATGATATTCATGAGCCAATACATTGATTGAGACATAAGTGACTAGAAACATGAAAGTGATGACCAGCAGTGACAACAGCCTTTGTCAAAGTCACAGGCTGAACACTGTCTCGTTTCAGGAGCTGCAGATGAGGCTGGGCCTTGGCACCTTGTCATTCTGGGTCTTAAATGGCCATAATGGATCTGTTGCCTTCCAGGGCTAGGTGGACCCTCAGAGTGCTGTGATTGATGGTCAGTGTCATCTTAGGATTTCACAGCAACATCAGCACATTTGTTTTGCACTAAACGGGCAGGTGCTCATTGACATCCATGAATGAATTCATCGATGTGTGGGGCTAAATGTCAATCCAATGGTGCAAGGTAGACCAAGAGGCCGTTAGATATGAGAGCTCAGCTAAGCAGTGGCATTTAGGGAATGGTGCTAGGTGTCCTATAATGCACAGCGGAAAACAAAGGGCAAAGCATCAAAGAGCGAGAACACCACTGGCAACCAGGGTTAGCCTATGAACCTAGGGCAATGCCTCCAAAAATAAGGCCTGTGGATTTCCAGCCTTAGGTTCACAGAGCTTGTTAAAAATAAATAATTTTTTAAACCATGATTTCTAGGGCTATTCCACATCCACTGAACCAGAATCTCTTGGGAGAATCTGGAAATCTATATTTTAAGCAAAGTCCCCAGGTGATTTTTGTGCCCTTGAGGATTTGAAATCTACTGAACTAAGACCACACTATTTCTCCCTACTTTATTATACACCACCTGAACCTGCAGAAATAGTTGAGGAAGGAAGAGAATGTAGGAAAATACTTCTTTTCAGAACGAGGTAGGAAATGCTGGGATCAACTCACACTAGAGAAGATCAACTCACACTAGAGAAGACAGGTTTTCTTCACTTTTCAAGGTTTTCTTCACTTGAAAAATCATGGTGTGTCTGAATGAGCTGGCAGTGTGCTGGGTGCACTCAAAAGCATTACCTTAGTTAATTATTGCAACAATCTTGAGTCAGTGACAGTCTTTACTGAGGAAGAAGATGAGACTCAAGTTGTGCAAGTAGCAGTGTTCATAATTAAAGAGCTCAAAGAGGGCAGAGCTGGAATTCAAATGCAGAGCTATTGATCACAGATCAAGTATGTTTCCATTGTCCCTCAGTTGAATTTCTGCAGGGAAAGCATTTACCCTTCCTTCCTTCCTTCATTTCAGCCTCTCTCCCTCCCTCCTTCCTTCATTCCTTCCTTCCTCCCTTCCTTCCTTTTTTTCTTCCTTCTTTCCTTCATTCCATCCTCCCTCTCTTTTTACCTTCCTTTATCAGAAAAGGTCAATAGAGTGTCTCAAATCTGGTCTCTCAGAAGCAGACCCTGAACCAAGGATTCAGGTGCAAGTAATTCACTAAGGAAGAGGTCCAGGAGAAGTCAATGAGGGAGTGGAAAAATTAGAATAGGGAAGGACAAGAAGCTAACCAAGGGGCAGTTGCAGGTGAAGTTCCAAACTCAACCTGATCCCATGGACCAGAAATTATCCCTGGTTTGTCAGGCCATGAAACAAGGGACTAGACTTTTGTACATTCCCACCAGTCATTCATTGGTAGCAGCAGTTGAGGTGAGGAGTGAAACTGCCAGACACTTGAGCTTTCAGAGTGGGATCCTGGAAACTTCAGCACTCAAGGGCATTCTTCTGAAAGTAAAAAAATTAGAGATATTCCCCAATTCCCAGTCTGGGGCTCTTGTCCTAGCCTTTGCATGTGTCCATATTGGAGTCCAGGGTCCCCAGAATGTTGACATATATTATCAGATTCAAGATGATAATAAAATACAAAAAACTTATGGGCCAATAAGGACATCTCGTATTACCCCCACACCATTCCTCTTTACCACAAATGTGATGCTTTCCTTAAAGCAGAATGCTTTGAATGCCCATTCATTTGCATACAGATTTTCCTTTTGTTCCTTCCTTTGTCTAGCTCTAGCTAACTTAGGACATTCCTACTGATTTCCTGGTAACCTTCTTGCTTTCAGTCCTTTATGGCCTTGACAAGGACCTGAATTTCTTTCTGGTCTGGAAAAAAATTATTCAATTTGGGATTATCAAGGACGAAATGCACCAGATGATTCAGGAGATGATTTTATTCAGCTTTTGCAATAGGGAGAACATTCATGAATGAGGATGCCTCAATCGAAGGGAAGGGGGCCTGGAGTTTTACAGAGGCAAGGAAGTAATTCACAGTCTTAAGGGAATCATGAAAAGGGATAGACATTCTTATGGGAATTATTGAGGAAAAGTGGAGGTGGTCTTATCCTAGAATATGCAAGTGCAAGTGTTTGTTTGTGGTTAGTCATTTCCCTGGAAAATAAAATAGTGGGGGTATTTTTTTAAACAATAACTGTATTCCAGGGAATACAGGGCTTAGGTAAAATTCAGCACTGTTAGGATCTTCACCAACAGGATGCAGGAATTAGACCCACAAAGTTAGAAAAGGTAACAAAGAATATTCAGGAGAATTTTGCCATGGATATTCAGCCCAGAAAATATTGTCATATCAACATCCAAAGCCCTATTGCCCATTGAGAAGTGGTTCCTGTGATCCAGACAGACCTGAGCCAAAACTCTCCCCTTTGAGAAGAGTTCAAATTATCACTTGATTTCTTCCCCTGCAGACTCTTGTCTTGGAAAAGATAACAAAAGCTCCCCAGGTTGCAATAGCTCCCAAGTCTAACTGGGAACTGTAGAAGACCAAGGGAAAGAAACGCAGGGTCATGAAAGAGAAACCACCTATGAAGAGCCAAGAGTGCTCACAGTGCAAAACACCTTCAGAAATTGGCCTGCTACAGGTTTATGTTGGGTTTAGAAGGGAAGGTGAGGGTTAAAGAAAGACAAATAGAGAGAGGGTGGCTCAACAGCAAATGCAGGCATGTATGTCCAGCATAAACCTGCAGAGGTGAGGGACCAGCTTAATGCCAGTGCCCACTGCTGCTTACAGGCTGGGGTACTTACAGGTATGAGCGAAAGGGGTCTGGGCAGTCTGGCTTGCTACCCAGCTGGATATTGATAAGACAGTCCCGTGATGAGGCAGTTTGGCCCTGCTTTTGGTGGGATGTGATCAGCTGTTTTTTGGACCTTTGCCCAGCAGGATATGATAAGGATGTTCCTTCAGGTGGGCCTTTGCCCAATAGGGTATGATAAGAAAGTCAGGCAGATGGGCAGGATGTCTCTTACAGTCTGAACCCCCATGGAATGTTGCTCTTTCACCAGGTCTGCAAAATGGCTGGTGCAGTTTGAACTAATAGCTTGGACTCTGACTAAGTTGAGAGCTGGACCTCTTGTTTATAGCAGGTCAGTAGCCCCTTGTCGCTATTTAACAACCTAGACAAGGAGGACAGTGTCTGAGCAATTGGCAGAGTAAAATCCAAGGAAAGAATCTAAACCCCAACCTAACTTGGCATAACAGGTGTATTCATCCATTCTCATGCTGTTAATAAAGACATATCCAAGACTGGGTAATTTATAAAGGAAAGAGGTTTAATGGACTCACAGTTCCACATGGCCAGGGAGGCCTCACAATCATGGCAGAAGGTGAAGGAGAAGCAAAGTCATGTCTTACACAGTGGCAGGCAAGAGAGCTTGTGCGGGGGAAGTCCCATTTATACAACCATCAGATCTTGTGAGAGTTATTCACTACTACAGGAACAGTATGGGGGAAACTGCCCCCATGGTTCAATTATCGCTACCGGGCCCCGCCCTCAACACGTGGGGATTATTGCAATTCAAGGTGAGATTTGGGTGGAGACACAGCCAAACCATATCAACAGGCACCAGCCACCCCTCGTTTGCCAGAAAGTGGGCATCAATCAACCTGCATCTCCAGGTTGGCCTTCTTTATCATGTTGTTTCTCTCTCCCCCTAATTGCAGCCTCTTTCCCCTGCTCCTTTAGAGCCATAAGCTCAGTTTGGTGATTACAGTAGCATATAATTGAGGCACATTCAAGGGTTTTCTCAGCATTTCATCACACATGATTCTCATAGCAACAGAGGGAATGTCTACCTCCTGATGCCTATTCTTATTGAAGGAACCAAGTCGCAGGGTGACTTGCTCTGGGTCACACAGTTGGTGAGTGGCAGAGCCAGACGGAGACAGAAACTCCCAGGCCTCCTGGGAGGCATTCCTGAGCTCCTTCTGCATCTTCCCACATTCCTCCTTTGAGTTACTTGCATTAATAAGTGAGGCCCAGAGGCAGAAGAAATCTTCACCCTCATGTTGGACTTCTGCAACTCTGCAAGGGTGTATTCTGTGTTCCTCCATTTACCTCTCCTCCAGGGACAAAGGAGGCCCCATTAGGTTTTTCTAGCCAAGAATGTCGCCCTTATCTGGAGAAGATGCAGCCCATGGAGAAAACGTCTTTCCATTTTCCCCAAAGGTTAAAGAAAAAAAAAATCTAATTCTGCTTTCATTTAAATAGCCAGGAGAATTAGGAACTCAAGATAACCAATCAGTTATTTGCTAGTGGAATTTTCCTGGTAAGGAGAAACAGCACTTAGGCCCAAAATGTATACATTTCTTCCAAAATGTCATTCAACATCTATCTCTTTCCCAGATAGTGACAAACGCTCCATGTTCCTGTCAAAATGCCAGCTTTCAGCACCAGCCTTAATAATAAAAGCCAGATCCAAAATCCAACAGAGAAATTGCAACTTTGGCAGCAAAGAGCTTATCATCCTGTTTTATTTTAAGATGCCAGGCTAACTTTTCAAACATTTCTTTACTGTTTTCACTTAATTAAAATAAATCATCAGTTTACTCCATTCAGTTGAACTTCCTGGAAACCTTTCACTTATACATACTTACGTGTATTTGAAATAGGGGATCCATTTTTCTAATTTTTTTCTTGATTTTTCTTTCATCTCCTTGGGCTCCCTTTTCCATCTGGAGGAGGGTGGTGGAGAAGAGGGAGCTTATAGCCCAATAACACAGTGAGGTGAAGCTATGAACAATTATCAATATTAGTGAGATAGTTATTCATCTTATATTTGCACCTCTCTGAAGAAATTCTGAAAACCTGACAGCATTGGCATGAATTCAAGGTGTGGCAACAGGATAAAGTAAGGGGACCCTGGAGGGGTGGAGAGAAAGAAAAAGAGGTGAGAGATTGGGGGAAAGGGACTTCTGTAGAGGAATTATTGGGAATTTTTATGTAACATACAGTGTCCTAAGTGCTTTACACAAATTATCACATTTTAACCTCTCAAAAACACCATGAGATGAGAACAAATGAGTACACTTCCATTTTACAGATGGGGAAACTGAGGTCGATTGAAGTTAAGTGACGTACCAAGGTCACCCAGCCATCAGTGACAGAGCCAGGAGTCAAACCTGGATCATCTGACTCCAGTGCACAGGCTCTGAAGGATCCAGAATGCTCTGAAACATTCCAAGCCGTGTTGCATCCTCACTCAGAAACCCTTGTTCTTCCTGTCATCCCAGGGAGCCCTCCAAGCCCCACCAGAGTTCCAGAAATCCACACTTTTGGGGAGGCACCAAGCTATGGGGTAGAGTGTCCCACCCTCCTCCTTTTCTACCAGCATCTGGCAACCGTTCTGGGGAGAATGGAGACAGTGGCTCTTCCTGTGGCTTTCTTTGCTCACAGGGACCTGCTGCCTGGTTCTTGGCAATTCTGCATCTCCACAGCATCCAAGTTTTCATTGCCTAACACCAGAAATCCTGTGGTCATTGCCATGGCACCTCATAGGCTTCCCTGACCCCTTCCCACTGCCATGCAAGACCTACACAGAGATTCTCGTCTCTGGAAATATGCCACCTGGACCAGCCCATTATTTCTTTGGCTCAGACCCAAACTCACTCTTCAACCTCCTTCCCTACTGAACACAGGACTCCCTAGTACCAAAAACACTCACCACATGCTTATCATGTCTGGGATAGGCACTGCACTCTACAGTTACAAGCACTGCCTAATTCAATTCACCCAACTACTCTTTGGAGACACGTTATCTTCATTTACATATAGGAAAATACATAAGATGGTAATTGGCAGAGAAAGAACCCCAAAAGTTCTTAACACTCTTACAAGGGAATTTGCAATAATAACAGGAAAATAATAAGTTTTTGGCATTCTTTAGAAAAAGAAAATATTCAAAAAATTAATTCAACTATCTGGTAGTAGGTAAGCACCATGAGGGCATAGATTTTTGCCTGTTTTGTTCACTGACTTGTCTCAGTGCTAGAACTTGGTTCAGTACATAGTAGATGCTCAATAAAGAACTTTGAATGAATGCTTTGTAGACTCTCCTGGTTCATTTATTTTTTCAACAAAACATATATTATGTGTTAGGCTCTGGACTAGGAGCTGGAGTTACAAAGATGAACAAGACATGTTTCCATCCCACAAGGAGCTCAGTGTCCAATGTAGAAGATAGACAAATCCAATACAAGCCTCTAGGCTACAGGAAAGCCCAGAGGGGTGTACATATTGTATAAACATCAACACGCTGGTCTGCGTGGAAGAACAACAGGACATTGCTCAGTGATTCTCTAAGTCAAGCTTTGACTAGCCAAGGTTATCATTCCCCTAAGGAAGCTGATCCATCCCTTTGTCATGGACCGAGGGGCAAAGAACAGCTCCAGGAGTTCCAGATGTGTGAGATCCTGCATCCCAGACTGCTGTACCAAAGTCATCTGCATGGAGAATGGCTGTAAACCTCAAATTTAATGAATCAAGTAGATTGTTGTTTACAGGTGACCAAGAATTATTCAATGGCTGCAGCGGGCAGGAGCTGATAAACAGCCCTGGCTTCCCAGGCTGCAATAGTATGTCAGGGCTTTCCCACCTTGCAAATTATGGAAGAACTAAATGCAAATTAGCATAGATGACGAATAGATACACACAGACCCTGGATCTTTCCTTTTTCTTTAAGTACCTGCTCTGTAAGAACTTAGAAAAGAAGGCACACCACCAACTCCTGGAATACATAGAAAGGTGGCTGGAGGGGGAATCTTCCAGCTTACAAATTACTGCAGTGGGGAGACCATGCCTGGGGAGGCCAAGGAAATCCTAAGTAAGAGATTTCCTGTACCCCTATGTCCTTTACATAAGCCTTATTATTAGCTGTGCATTCAGACATCCCTTTATGCAGAAATCCATTCATTTCATCTGTTCAAAACATAGTTATGTTTACTGAGCTCCTTCTGTGCACCAGCCACTGTTCTACATGCAAAGGACAGAGCAATAAATTCCTTTGGGAACTTACATTTTGTTAGGAGAGACAGATAAAAATAAAAATAAACAACAATAGTAACAAGAGGAACAGGAAGTGATATGCATATGACGATATATGACGTGATATAGAAGGTATGGAGGGGAGTGGGTTTGCTGCTCTGGTTAGGGTGCCAGGAAAGGCTTTCTAGGGGCTGACTTGTGAGCTGGGAGGTTGCCCTCCAGACCTGTCCTGTCTAACACATCCACCACGAGCCACATGTGGCCACTGGGCACTTCAAACACGGCCAACCTGAATTGGGGTTGCCATCAGTGTAGAACACATGCGGAATTTTAAAACCTAATATGAAGGAAATAATGTAAAATATCTCATGAATAATGTTGAATACTGCTCCAATGTTGAGATGACAATATTTTGGATAACTGGGTTAAATAAAATATATTGTGAAAATTCATTTTTTAAAATATGGCCACTCCAAAATTTAAGATTGCCTCTGTGGCACACATTGGTGGGATGGATGTGTTATACTTTCACCAGATGGTGTTGCGCCAGTCAGAAGAAAAAAAAAAAAGCAAGTGCAAAAGCTTGACGTCTTAGAGAAACGGAAAGTGTTCATTCTGGCTCTGCCACTTATTGGCTGTGTGAACTTGGGAGGTTCAGAGTGAGCAAGCTTTGGCAGTGAAAAGCAGGGAAGGAATGTGTGAGACACCTGTTAGAATGGCTTTTACCAAAAGACAAATGATAACAAGCGTTGGCGAGGGTGTACAGAAAGGGGAATCCTTGCACGCTGTTGGTGGGAATGTAAATTAGTACAGCCATTATGTGAAACAGTATGGAGGTTCCTCAAAAAATTAAAAATAGAACTACCATATGATCCTTCAATCCCACTACTGGGTATATTCCCAAAGGAAATGAAATCAGTATATCAAAGAGATATCTGTACTCTGTGTTCTCTGCACTATTATTCACAATAACCAAGACATGGAAGCAAACCTAAGTGTCCATGAACAGATGAATAGATAAAGAAAATGTAATATATATTACACAATGGAATACTATGCAGCCTTAGAAAAGAAGAAAATTCTATCATTTACAACAGCATAGATGAGCCTGGAGATTATGTTAAGTAAAACAAGCCAGACACAGAAAAACAGGTACTTCCTGATCTCACTCATATGTAGAATTTTTAAAAGTTGAACCAATAGAAACAGAGTAAAATGGTGATTACCAGAAGCTGGGGGGTGGGGGAGTTGGGGAGATGTTGGTTATAGGATGCAAAAAAAGAAACAAATTAGTTAGACAGGTGGAATAAGTTCAAGAGATCTGTGGTGCATCGTGGACACTATAGTTCGTAATGATATACTGTATCCTTGAAAATTGCTAAGTGTTCTCAACACAAAAAAAGTGGTAAGTATGTGGGATCATGCATATGTTAAAAAATATGATTTAGCCATTCCCCAGTGTAGACATATACCAAAACATCACAGTTTACCCTGTAAATATAGACAATTATGACCTAATAATTTTAAAAAATAAATAAAGGAATGCATGAGAAAATGTGTGTGCATTAAGGACTCCATCTCACCTACAGTGTCATACTGAAATAAAGAGTGGAGGTGGTGGTGGCCCTCATGGCTGTGATGCACCCCTCGCTTCTGGAGACTACGAGACTTGTCTGAAGTCACTTGCTGGTCTTCCTTGGCTGCCAAGACTTCTCCCCCTCAGACCACAGGTGTGTGTGTCCGTTCCCTCCATCTTCCCCAGCACAGGCTCCTGACAGGAAAACCCCTGAGCTGACTCACCCAGCCCCACCCCTGATGCTGTTACAGCCTTTCTCGGCTGCTGTAGCTCTTTCTAGATGTGAGCTCATTGAAAAAGACTAAGGCCAATTTTCCTCATCAGAAACTTGGGCGGTTTTATTGCTGCATGGGTGTCTGGCTGGGAACAGAATGAACTTGTCCAGCCTTGCTTGAAAATGGCCTTCTGTCATGGAGATAGAGGGTAGAAGGATGAGTACCAGAAGCTGGGAAGGGTAGTGAGGGGGTGGGGAGGAGATGGGGATGGTTAATGGGTACAAAATAGATAGTTAGAAAGAATGAATTAAGACCTAGTATTTGATAGCACAATATGGGGACTATAGTAAATCGTAACTTAATTGTACATTCTAACATAACTAAAAGAGTATAACTGGATTGTTAACAGGAGGGACGAATGCTTGAGGGGATAGATACCGCATTTTCCATGATGCGAGTATTACACATTGCATGCCTGTATCAGAGCGTCTCATATACCCCATAAATATATGCACCTACTATGTATCCACAAAAATCAAAAATAAAAATAAATAAAAGTATGGCCATTCTGAACTAGCTGATATAAAAGGAAAAAGTTTCCCAGAGAGGCTTCCTGATGCCTCTCCAATAGGGGTGGAAGCGGGGATGGGCGACGTGGGCCCTCCATGGTGACTTTGCCATGGATTCAGAATCCCCTGCCAAGTCTCCTCTCCTTTTTGTGCTCAAGAGCTTTTGGTGTCTATGGCAGTCAGCAAAATAGGGATAATAATACAACTAACAGGGTTGTTGTGAGTTTTAAATGAGATGCTCAAAGGTGCCTAATGCACAGGAAATACTCAATACACTTTATTTTTATTTTATTTTAGCATTATCTTCTCCATTTCCTCTCTCTTGAGAGGAAGGTTAGACTCATCTCTGACCAATCCAGAGAGAGCTAACATAATTCCCCAGAAAATTAATATTATTCCTCCCCATGGCATCATGGATGTTGAGAGCTGCAGACAATGTGGAGGTCTCTGCCCCAGGCTGTCCCTCTTCATTCAGAAAATATCAAAGACCACCTGTCTCCAATGGCTTTCTATGGTGAGGATACTCTATCCTGCTCTTTATGGATATTATCTATTAATTTCCCCATTTGACAGAAGGGGAACCTAAGTCTAAGGGATCATGTGACTTGCCAAGATCCCATGAATAACTAACTTGTTACCAGAACTGGGACTCCAAAGTAAGCATTTTAAACATTCCATTCTTGAGATGGGTGCAGTGGCTCATGCCTGTAATCCCAGCATTTTAGGAGACCGAGGTGGGAAGATTGCTTGAGGCCAGGAGTTCAAGACCAGCCTGGCCAATGTGGCAAAATCCTACACTACAAAAATTTGCCAGGTGTGGTGGTGCATGCCTGTAATTCCAGCTACTTAGGAGGCTGAGGCACGAGAACCCCTGAACCCAGGAGGCAAAGGTTGCAGTGAGCCAATATCATGCCACTGCACTCCAGTTAGCATTTATTGGGTGTGTGTTGGCTGCCATACTTTCTTTGAAAAGCTCCCTGCATATTAACTCAGTCAATCCTGATTTTGATCTTGTGAGGGAGGTACTGTTACGTTCCCACTTCCTAGGTGAGGTATTGGAGACTCAGGTCACTACTTTGTCCCCACAAGCTAATAAATGAGAGACTGGTACCTATTATAACTGATGCCAAAGCCCTGGCATCCTCTTTCCTCTTAGGAATTGCATAATCTGTATTCCTACGAAGATCCATGAGCCTAGCGGGTGCAATGGTACATTCAGCCCTGTAACCAGTGGTTATGACTTGGACAGCTCTGTCCCTCTCCACTCAGCAGAGCCCACTGCCAATCCCTGGAGCTGAGGAGGCAAGCACACTATGGCTGTCACCCTGAAGATGCCCCAAAGTCTGTAGACAAGACAAACCCCAGTCTGGAACAAAAGCTGGCTGCGAATGATCCATCAGCATTCCTAAGTAGGCCACGCTGCGCCATTCACAGTTCCCTCCTACCGTACGTGATAAGCTGTGACATATGGTGTTCATTTACGCCTCCATTCCCGCAGAAATATGGCTGGCACCATCAATTTCCCTGTTTGTGCTGTGACCCACTGTTCCTGGGTTAAGCAGCCTGCCTTGTCTACATTTGTCAGTTGATACAAGCTTCTCCCTGCCATAGGCACCACTATTGATGAACGTCGTCAGAATATGGAACTTTGAACAATGTATAAAGGATTCCACATGCAAAGTCTCCCCAGGAAGAGGTGGGGTGGGTGGGGGTGGGGAGAGGGAGTGTTAGATGTTTTCTCTGTTGGAGTGCCTTCATTTACAAAGCATATTTTTCAAGTCTTTTGCTAAGAGTAATGCCATGGAGCAGCCTCCCATCATTCTTGTTAATAGGACTGTCTGTGTGTTACAGTAAACAGCTATAACTCTTCTGTTGGAGCCGTTGTGCAGCAGGCAGAGTTTGTTCAGTATCCAATTAAGGGTGTCTCCAATTTGCCAGCCAGGATCATGAGAGCTGTGACTCAGCCATCAGGCAACCTGGGCATTGTGGAGGCTTCTCAAAGTAGAGAGGGCTGATGCCCTTCCTCCTCCGCAGCAAGGGGACTGGAGCCTGGCTCTAGACGATCTCTGTTTTGTTTTGTTTTGTTTTGTTTTGTTTTGTTTTGTTTTGTTTTTACATGGAGTTTCGCTCTTGTTGCCCAGGCTGGAGCATAGTGGTGCGATCTTGGCTCACGGCAACCTCTGCCTCACGGGTTCAAGTGATTTTCCTGCCTCAGCCTCCCAAGTAGCTGGGATTACAAGAGTGTGCCACCACGCCTAGCTAATCTTGCATTTTCAGTGGAGACAGGGTTTCAACATGTTGGTCAGGCTGGTCTCAAACTCCTGACCTCAAGTGATTCAGCCGCCTCGCCTCCCAAAGTGCTGGGATTACAGGTGTGAGGCACCACATCCGACCTCTGCTCTTCCTCAAAGGCCACCAAATCATGCCAGCTAACTGTGCAAAGATGTTAGCCTGATAGTCAAAGCTCTTCCCAGACTCTTATAAACATAGAAGAACATAGCGGTTAAGAACATGAGCTCTGCAGCAGGATTACACGGATTCCAATCTCAGCTCAGCCACATACTAGCTGTGTGATGTTGGGTAAGTTACTTAACTTCTTTGAACCATGTTGTCTCACGTTTAAAAAGGGACAAATCATAGCACTGGCTTCATACAGTTGATTTGAGAATCAAATGATGCATGATACACATTTAAACCACCACTACCCTCACATCATCGTCATTTACTAGGCTTGGATACATCTCGTTCCTCACCTCTCTGTGTCCAGTTGATTAGTATTCATCTTTCAAGCTCCATCTCAAATTCCACCCCCTGATGACTGTAATCAACAGGGACTCTTCTCTCCATTAATAGCCATAGTGGAGGAGTGGGGACTTACCATGTACCACGTCCATACCTGACTCTTATAACTACCCTATAAAGTAGGTTCTATCTCCTTATTTTACAGATGAGAACATTGAGGCCTAGGGCATTTCAATAGCTTGCCAAAGGGCTCATCATTCTCGGGTAACAGGATGAGGCCAGACACCAAGGATCCCTGGATCCATGCCCTACTCTCCACACTTGTCTTGGGTCTATGAAGCCCCCAGTCCCAAGGTAAGTCATGTCATTGTGGAAATTAATTGCAACCTTTCATGATTGTCCGATCCCATCTATGGGTTTCAAGGAAGATTATGAAGTCCTTAGAACCACAATGTGTCTAATTTTTATTCTGTATTTTATTTATTTTTAAATGTCTGAGATGCTGAGAACCTGAGATATCACTCATCTCATCTTCCTGAATTTTATGAACTAAGAAGCGAAAGCTCACCCAAAGCCATTTATAGAGTCTATGGAAAAAGAAGGACTAGACCCTGGATTCCGTGATTTACAGGTTTTTCTTCTCCTAATTTTCAATCCACTCCAAAACATGCAGAGAGATGACCTTAGCAAAGATGTTTATTAGTGTACGTTGGTGCTGTTGTTTCGGGGAGGGGGTCGGAAGGTCTTGGAATCACTTCCTACTGTGTAATCTGCAAGCTTCCCACTGCGTCTTCCTCTTCCTCTTTGCTTTTTCCAGAGATATAAAGGGTGGCTGGTGCCATTCTTCCAAAAGGAAAGCTGTCATCTTTACTCACTCAGTCCTCAGCAAACTATCTGAGCACTATTTTTGTGCCTCATCTGGGAGCTGGGGAGTCAGTGATGGGCAAGATATGGTCTTTACTTGCAAAATTCCCATAGCACATTGGAGAAGAAAAAACAGCAATCAGGTATGTGCGCTACAGGGGGGTGCATGCTGCAACCACCAGCATCAACAACAACATGCATTGAATGCTTCATGTATATCAAGTGCTCTCTCTCCTAAGAGATATGAATGCATTAACCCCATTTACTCCTCAAGACTAGAAACAAACACTTTATAATTTGCTACGGACTGAAAATTTGTGTCCCCCTAAAATGTATATGTGGAAGTCTTAATCCCCAATGTGATGATATTTGGAGGCGGGGCCTTGGGACATAATTGGGGTAGGGTGAGGTCATGAGGGTGAAAACCCCATACTGGGATTGGTGCCCTTAGAAAGGTATAAAGGGACTGGAGCATGCAGTTTCTCTCTCTCTCTCTCTCTGTTTCTCTCTCTCTCTCTCTCCCTCCGCCGTATGAGCACGCAGCAAGAAAGCGGCTGTGTGGCAACCAGGAAGACAGCCTTTATCAGAATCCAGCCATATTGGTGCCCTGATCTCAGACTTTCCAGCCTCCAGAACTGTAAGAAATAGATGTTCACTGTTTAAGTGCCCCAGTCTATGGTATTCTATGATAGCAGCCCAAACTGACTAAGACATCATTTCTTTTATCAGATGAGGAAACCAATACATAGAAAGACTTTTAAATTTTCCCTAAACAATGGAAGTACATGCTAAGTGCAATAGGGGTATGTAGAAAAGAGTGTTCAGATTTTAGGGAGATTTCCAGAAAAGGCCTCTTCATGCTGGAGATGGCTTTTTTTAAATAATGGAAGGGAGTTCCCAAGGCAATGGTTGAGCAGTGGAGTGGGAGCCCAGGTAAGAGTATGCAGGTGGTAGAAACAAAATATTCTAAGACAGACGGGCACAAAACAGCATGGCTTATTTGGGGAACTACAAGTACCTCTATGTTGCTGATGCCTGATGTTCTAGAGGACACATTTCAAGGCAGGAACAAGCTGAGGGCATATCTCAACCTCCCCTTCCTCAGGGGCACTCATCCTTCATCCCTTTAGCAGTTTTACTCAGCATTTGTTCTAGGATGCCAGGCTGTGAGGTAAGACAGGTAAGTGAGACTCAGCCTCTACCCTCAGAGTTCACAATCTAATGGGAAAACTAAATTATCATAAAGATAGCATTACAAATGCAGTGCTTGACATATGCCTGGAGCACTATGAGACTGTAGGTGAGAAGCAACGAAAAGAGGACAATCCGGAGAAGGTAGCAGCTGTGCTGTCTCTTAAAGTCTGACCAGGTAGTCCAGGTGTTCCCTGTGTTTGAGGTCAAGGGGCAGCAGGAGAAGATGCAACAGAAAAGCACACAGCACGAGCAAAGCCACATAGCTGAAAAACAGCTATCACCTGCAACAGCTTCTGCTGCTACAATACCTGTACTCCTCTTAGATTTTATTCCAGTATCAGCCAACAACGTGATCTGACAGGACAGTCCCAGCCCTAGGAAATGAACTATGATTCGTGCAGACCGATCGAAGTCATACCATACAGCGATGGATTTGGGCATGTGGGCCAGTTGGGATCAAGGGAAAGGAAGCATTTCCATTTTGATCAATGGGGGGATTCTGGGAAAGTCTTCTGCCCGTAAAAAGAAACAAGCCAGGAAAAACGTCCCCTTCCTCCCTGTAGACATGGCTATGAACGGCAGGATGCCTGAAACTGTCCAGGCTTGTTATGATGGAGAGACACACTGCACAGGGTGGGGGAAAGGGGAAATATACCCTAAGAATGGTAGACCAGAAAGATGTAAAGCATCTGTATCCTTGTTGAAATTATAGTGCCTCCCAATTAACATACCTAGAACTGTTTACCTCTGGACATTTCATTATGTGAGATATTAAAGACCTGTGTATTTGAAGCCTCTGTTGGTCTGAGTCATCGCTTCCTTGCAGCCCAAAGTGCCGTGTCAGTGAGAAACTACAACCAGCAGAGGGTGGCTAAAAACGAAGGTGGTTGTGGCTGGTGGGGTTAGGCTGGGTATAAGGAAAGTTCATACTTTAAAAAAAGTTTTCTTACAAGGTCAGCAGAGAGAATTTTGCAGGGGAGTGCGGGGCTGCAGGAAATGGAGGTTTAATGTTTGCGTAAATTGAAAGAAGGAATCTACTTGGAAATGAGAAAAAGCAAGATTAAAATGGAAAACACAGCCCCAAAGCTATTAATACCCAACAGATCTAAATTGAAAAATAAAAGCGATGGGTGAAGCATATAGTTCTCAAAATGAATTCGTGTCATAAACCATTAACATCAGCCCTACCTTATTACCTGTAATTCCTGAGAGACGGGTTGCAAGCAGTGCCCAGCGGACATCTAGCTGGAGATCGGCAAGAGCTCTGCTCCCAGGCCAGCCCAGGTCTCTCTTCTCATGACACCTGCTCTGAGCATCATTCCCTCACCCCATTCTGGGGCCCAGTGGAACCCCAATGCTGCCGTTGGCCCAGAGAAGACCTCAAACGTCAGCAAGTGCTATCGCTAAGAAATTCTGAAATCAAGATCAAGAGAACTCTTTTTTTTTTTTTTTAAGAAGGAGTCTTGCTCTGTTGCCCAGGCTGGAGTGCAGCGGCATGACCTCGGCTCACTGCAACCTCTGCCTCCTGGGTTCTAGCAATTTTCCTGCCTCAGCCTCCTTAGTAGCTGGGATTACAGGCGTCCACCACCACACCTGCCTAATTTTTGTATTTTTAGTAGAGATGAGGTTTCACCATGTTGGCCAGGCTGGGCTCGAACTCCTGAGCTCATGATCCACCTACCTCGGCTTCCCAAAGTGCTGGGATTACAGGCGTGAGCCACCGCTCCTGGCCTTTTTTTTTTTTTAATATACCCCCCAGCAGCACTTCAAAGGTGTTCTGTCCGTATTAATGCACATTAGTGTTGATGCTCCGGCCTACCACTGGGTCTTAGTAAATGTCACCTAAACCTGGGCCACTTGAAGTGGAGATGTGGGCTGGCGTGCTTCCTAATGATCCCCAAGGCCTCGCTCCACCAGCACCCACACACATCAGCATGTTAGAGCCCTTAGCCTCGGGTATATCACTATATGCTGTGATAATAACGATCTGCACTTTGGACACAGATGCAGATTTAAATCTCAGCTCTGCCACTTACCTGCTGTATGACTATGGCAGTGTCTCAGAATCCCTGAGCCTCACCTTCATGGTCCACACAATCCCAGAGTGTGGAGAATTAAATGAGAAGCTCTACGAACATGTCCAGCTCAGTATGTAGCATGCAGTAGGAGCCCAGTCAATGTTGATTTTCCACCACTAGTCTCCCAAACCCTCCTGACCCCTTCTCAGCTTACTCCTCCTGCTCTAGAAAGCGTTTGGGGTCAGTAGAGTGCTCAAGAAGAGATCTGACATTCAAATGTGACGAATTACCAACCTTGAAGGTTTATGCTCTTTGTAAGTTGGGAGGATTCCTTGTAGAGGGGCATCTCCAGCAGGTTTGGAAGACCGTGTGTCATCTGCACAGGAGACTCAGGGTGTGTCCACAGTATAGTCATGACTTTCGCTCATCAGTTGAAGGCTGGCCCTTCTTATGTGCTCAACTTTATTTGCCCAGTGAACAATTCCGGAGTATTCTTCAACTGGGAGGAACTTCCATTAGCAATCTACCTCCACAATACATCCCAAACTCCTTCACCACCGCTGTGCTAATCCTAGGCACTCTCTTGCCTCATGTGCAGTACTAAATAGCTCTTTAACTGGTCTCTGCTTCTACTATTTCCCCTACTACGATTCACTACTACGCAGCAGCCAAAGCCACACTTTGTCAACCCACTGCTCATAACTCTGCAACAGTGTCCCCTTGCATTTAACAGGAAATCCGAAATCTTCAATTGGCCCAAACATTCTTGAATGGTCTCAGCCAATCTTGTCTCTTGCTATTCTTCTAGACGGCACTTCTTGGTCTCTTTAAGTTGCAATTTCCTCGTCTGTAAAATAAAAAATGATGCTGGCTAATGCTGATAGCAGATTAAACAGGATAAAACACAAAGCATATTGCATGGAGCTAAACTTCCCCCCTTAGGCTGGGGGTTTTCAAAAAGCAGCTCTTTAGCCAGCAAATGGGCTTTGTTTTCCATAGATGGGCACCCTCTCCTCCACTCAAATGGGGCTCTTGGCCAACTTGTTTCTCCCTGTCTCTGCCATTCATGCTTCTACACACACACACACACACACACACACACACACACACTAATAGCCAGGCATGCTAGATTAGCTCCAGGAGACTTAAGTGTACCCTAAGCACCAAGCCATCAGCAGCAAATGGATGTCCCTTGCACAGATCTGCAGTGCATATTAACAGGCCACCACCTCCCTCAATGTTCCAGGATGTGTCTCCTTACAAGACTTCTACTTGGAGTACCAGCGCCTTCTCCCACAAGGTACCCCTAGCAGCCAGCACAAGACCACACACTGCTCACCTGCTGGCCCCACCGTATCCTCCAGGATACTAAACCAGGTCTGTCTGTGTTGCCCAGAGTGACCACAAAAAAAGGTTCATGCACCTCTTTGCCTACATCTGGAACCTGAATCCCCGATTTTTTGGCTCAGGGCCCAGGAAGTGCCTCAAACAAGCACAGTTAATCTATCACCGATCTTGGGGTTGGGAGAGCTCTTAAATTCTTTCTTCAACCTCTCTACCAAATGTGAAGTTCAGTGAATTCTTGAAGACGAAAGCCCCATGTTCAGAGTACTCAGTCCAGCTTTAGGCATTTCTATCCATTAGGTAATGGGTTTTGGGGGTTTGGGTTTTTGGGGTTTGTTTGTTTGTTTGAGACAGGGTCTTGCTCTCCTGCCCAGGTTAGAGTGCAGTGGTATGGTCCCGGCTCACTGCAACCTCGACTTCTTGAGCTCAAGAGATCCTACCTCCTCAGCCTCCTAAGTAGCTGGGACCATAGGTGCATGCCACCACACCCTGCTAATTTTTAAAATTTCTGTAGAGACAGAGTCTTCATGTGTTGCCTGTAGGCCATTCTTGACAATACCTAAAATTTGCTTCTTGTCCGGGAACGGTGGCTTATGCCTGTAATCCCAGCACTTTGGTAGGCCAAGGTGGGTGAAACACCTGAGGTCAGAAGTTTAAGACCAGCATGGCCAACATAGTGAAACCCCGTCTCTACTAAAAATACAAAATTAGCCAGGCATGGTGGTGGGCACCTATAATCCCAGGCAGAGGCTGCAGTGAGCCGAGATCGTGCCACCACAATCCAGCCTGGGTGACAGAGCAAGACTCTGTCTCAAAAGAAAAAAAAAAATTGCTTCTCACTGGGGCAACAGAAGCGATCTTAGAGTGAGATCAAATGCCTCTCGACTTCGTGTCTCTCTCTCACTGGGTTTAAGCCTCGTTGATTTAGATCCCTTGTATCATCTCATATTATGCTACCTTGTTTATGTTGTCATGCATGCTGATTCTAGCAAACTTTGAGCTCTGTGTCTTAATCTGTTGTCCTATAAGTGGTTTAAAAACAGAAACAAAACAAAAAAAAAAACCTGAGCTATGGAACCTCACACAAATGAATTCACAGGTATGAGCTCAAACATGGTAGCTGTACCTCTCAGAAAAAAAGGACTTTATTTCTTTGGGCCGCCTTTTGTGTGTATAAAATGGAGGCATTGGGCGGGGTGCAGTGGCTCACACCTGTAGTCCCAGCACTTTGTGAGGCCAAGGCGGGTGGATCGCCTGAGGACAGGAGTTTGAGACCAGTCTGGCCAACGTGGTGAAACCCCGCCTCTACTAAAAATACAAAAATTAGCCAGGCATGATGGCAGGCACCTATAATCCCAGCTACTCAGGAAGCTGAAGCATGAGAATCACTTGAACCTTGGAGGCAGAGGTTGCAGTGAGCTGAGGCTACACCACTGCATTCCAGCCTGGGCGAGAGAGCACGACTCTGTTAAAAAAAAAAAAAAAAAAAAAAAGGAGGCATTAATCCCATGTTGTTTTGTTTAATAAAGTGGCACACATAATAAGAGAAAAAAAAGAAATGAGCCATTGCTGAGTATCTACTGTTACTGCAGACACACCGCAGATGTTCTGTCAATGTTCATTCCTTCCTATCTTTGCCCAGTGCTCACTCACTCCCTCCTGTACTTCAGAAATACTCCATCCTCCATTCATTCCACTCCATTCATTGACCTTCCTTCTATGCCATGAGTCACACCGAGTACTAGGGATGCAATGGTGAAGCCGGTACACTTCCTGTCTTCAAGATCCTTGCAGTTTAGTGCAGGACAGAGCAAAGAACACAGATAGGTCATTGTTAGCATTAGAGACAGGATACCATGCTGTGGACGGACAGAGATAGGACCTCTTCCACACTGGAAGTTCAGAGAAAGCACCTCAGAAAAGGTAAGAGCAAAGTGACAATTGAAGGTTGAGCTGGACTTTGTCACATCAAGGGAAGAGCCGAGGCATGTTTAGGGAGCTTTAAAAAAGTGGAGGATATGAGAATGCAAAGATTAGCAGAAGCCTAATTATGGTAGGCCTTATAAACCACGTTTATTGGCCAGGAGCATTTTGGTTCCTATGACAAAAACTAAACTCTGACTAAGGCAAACCAGGAAAGTCATGTGTTTACCTAGCTTGCAACAATAGTAAGGTAGCTACCAAACTCGAAGAAATAGCTTCAGAACCATGGCCCCAAACACCTAAATGATGACTCAAAGTTACCAAGGCACTTTCTCCCCATCCATCTTTGCTTACTTCATTCTTCAAAAGACCTGTGTCCACGTGGGAGGGGAGGGTCCTCCAGGCTCTCCAAATCCTTATTCTCCCAGTTTATCAATCCCAGCAGAAAAATATATATGTTTTCAGTGTCTATATATCTTATCCAGGGCAGGACTCTCTTTGGCTCCACTTGGGTGACAAGCCTTGTCATTGCAGCACTTTTTTTTGTGGCTTGGAGTCCACAAGATATCTGAGTGGCCAAGTCCAGGTCATGCACTCACCGCTGTGCAGGTAAGACTGGAGTAGCACACAGAGCCACCAAACCACGTTAAGGAGTATAGTAAGTATTTGGTGGCAGAATAAAACTTTTAAAGTCTGTGACAGCTCAAGATACCATGGTTGAATCAGGCAAGAAACAAAATACGGGAAAAACAATACACAGCTCAGGGCCTATCTGGAATCTAAAACGAAAACATGCCTGAACTCTGATTTTTCATTTACTCTTTTGAAGGCCTTTTCCATGGGGGATTCAAGGCTGGCTCTCTGACCTTAGAAAATCCAGCTTCTAAGAGATTTTCTGTTTCTATGACTTAGGAAACGGGGAGAGGGGGTACACTCTTCTCTAGACCCCAGATATTAGGAGACTGTGTTTTGATTCAAATCACTCTCAAGGTTGGGAAAGGACAGGTAGGTCACCTTTACCTGCGTCGTATCCTGAGTAAATCACAAGCTTTCCTTCTTCCCTTTGCCAAGAGAAGAAAAGATATTTATGCTCTACCCTGCCACGTGGCCAAATTCCAAGGGCTGCTTGTCACTTTTATAAATTTTCTTTTTTTTTTTTTCTTCAAGCCATCTGGGGCACAAAAAAGGAGACTTACTCAGTTTCAAGTGTTTTTGCTTAAGGCAAAGGATGAGTGCCCTGGGTAAGAACCTTGCCTGGCTTCTTGAGGTCACAGGAGGTTGAGATTCTAGGTTCCTGTGGCTTCAATAGTAAAAATTCAGTGGATGATCCTGGTGTACACTATAATGTGCATGTGGAGATGGGCAGAGAGAGGACTGCATGCACCCCAGTATCCCACCCGAACCCCTCAACAACAACCCCAATATCTTCCCTTTACTCTCTTCTAGCCCAGATCATTTTGGACAAAAATCCAGACATGTAGATTCTAACTGTGGGGTCGAACAGGATTCATTTATTCTGTGATCTCAGATGAGCCTCTTAACCTCTTTGAGTCTATTTCCATAACTGTAAAATGCAGAAGAAGAATAACTCCATGTCATTTAGGGGCTTCTCTATGATCAAACACTGCATGCAGCCTTCCATCATTAAACATTTACTGAACACCTACTTTCTGCCAGAAATGGTGGATACCAATGATGGCCAGCAAGTATTGTGCTATTACATTTCAGGCACATGATTCTAATTGATTTACATGGTTGAATGCGTCGAATTCCCATCAACAACCCAGTCATGAGCATGTCACCCTAGTACTCATTTTACAGGAAAGAAAATGGAAGCAGTGGTTAAGCAAGGTGCCCACAAGAACACAACTATGAAGCAGCAGACTGGGGATTACATAGATTTCCTGGTTCCAGAGCCCGTAATTATAAATACCAAAATGTCTCTTGACTAGGGTTATAGAAAAATAAAACACAGCTACATAGCTTCTGCCTTTGAGCTTCTGTCATCTAAGAAGCAGAAAGGCTTGCGAACCATCCTCATTGTGTGAAGGAAACTTATCAGAGCATCTGTTTGGAGTGGAGATACCATGGAAACAGGTGAAAGCTGCATGGTCTGTCCTGTTTTGACTCTATTTTAATTTGGATGACTGGATATAAAGAAGAGTTTCCCAGTTGACAGCCCACAACTATTAGGACAAACAACAGAGATTCCGAGAGGTTAAAAGTCTTGCTCAGGGTCACCAACCAGGGCAGAGGTTAACCAAGGAATTGAACTCAGGTATTCCTGGCTGCAAAATTTGTGTGATTTATGCATTGGATATAATGTGCTGTAACCAGCAAAGCACTTTCACATATATCAGGAGGTCTCGAATTTGCAGTTCACAAACTAGCTGCATCAGAGTCTCATGGGAAGCTTTTAAAAGCTCGGATTCCTTTGACTCATCTCTGAGATTTTGATTCTCTTTGTCTGGATCAATTCCTGTAAATAGAAAGTTTTTGTTGTTATTGTTGGTGTTGAGCTCCTCAGGTATTTGGGAAGCACAAACATAGGGGGAGATTTCAGGTTATGTATAAATTCCTTAATACACAGATACCTGTGACCCAGCAAATTTGCTTCTAGATTTTACCTAGAAAGAAACTCAAGTAAGTGCAAAAAAGGAGCGCTTTTAAGAATAATCAATTGCCCCACCCCTCCCCGCTGGCAAAAAAAAGGAAACAACCTAAAACCTAAATGTTGGCTAGTTAAATAAACACCAATATTTTCAATATTTCAATTTTCATGAACTGACATGAAAACATGCCTCAGATATATTGTTGAGGGGAAAAGCAAGTTATAAACTAGCATATGCTTTTGATTTTATATATGTATAAAAACATGTGTATACACATATATCCTATATTTAAATGAAAAGACAAATTCCGCAATGGTAATTCATGAAACTGATAACAGTCTTTCCCTCTGGGAAACAGCCTAGGCCTAGGGACATTGATGATCAATGAGAATATTTCTCTATAGGAGATGAATCCTCTTACTGCAATAATATATTCATGTTCACAGTTGCAAATTGTGGTCTCCTTATCATTAAAGTCTTTCATTCCCTGGAAGAATCAGAAAGCTTGAGTTTATCTTTCAGTAGTTACAGTCTGTGCTAATGGGGGAATATTTTTTATTCACTCAAGTATACCAAGATTGACAAAGCGCATCTAAGGTATCAGGTACGCTAGTAGGTACCAAGAGAAGTAAATGAAAAGCTCTCTTTATTTGGAAGAGCTCACCATCTTGGGTGGTGGGAGGTAAGACATTTACACAATTAAATAGTTCAATCTATGCAACAAATGCTATTATTTCTAGTTTTTCATCCAACAAATATTTCCTGAGCACCTGCAGGGCCCAGGCTTTGAGTCATGCACTAAGGATGTGCATGGTTAAATACTTTTCTGCCCTTGAGAAACTCACCTATGTTGCTTGTCTGGTGCATGGCCCAGGGCAAAAACCATATCTTACTTACCTCTTTACCCACTGGAGCATCCAGTACCATGCTTTGTGCATATCAATGGCAGAAGGTGCACTGCCAGGGTGGGGGTGAATGGAGGAGGTGAATGAGAGGGAAGAGACACGAAGGCGTATAGAATTTCTAACTCGAGTGGCTACAGGAAAGTTCAACTTTGTTCATTTTTAATGTGACGCATGTGCCTGGTAAACAAGTAGTTAGAAAAATAAGTTTGGGTGTCATCTTAGGGCAAGAATTTAGAAATAAAGACTGGGGAGTCCTAAGCATGGTGTTGCAGCCATGGAAGTGAATGTGAATCCTAAGGAGTGAGGGAGAGAAGGGCTATTGATGAAGCCTTGTAGAAAACGGGATGACATTAAGTGGGAAAGTGGGACAAGATAAGGCTCAGAAGAACAACCAAAGAAGGAGGAGAAGAAATATGAAAGATAGCTTTATAAAGCCAATGAAAAAAGCTTCAAATAGAATAAAATACTGAATAGAGGTCAAACATATAGAAAGGTAAATTAGAACTGGAGACAGCCTAGAATACTTGTTAAAAGTACACACTCTGAAGTCGGACTGCCTGGGTTTGACAACCATCTCTTGAAGTTTCAGATGCCCCATCTGTTACATAGGGAGGAGGGGAACAATACCCATATCTTAGGAGTTTCCATAGATTCCATAGCCTACAGTGTACACAGTGCTTGGAACTTAGTTGGCCCTCAATAAATGATAGAAAAATGATTATCATCACTATCAATTAGAAAATCCTGGGTGACTTAGGCAAGACCAGGTTTAATGAAGCAAAGAGGTGTAGCAGACATACCTATAACCCCTACTGATCCATGCCCTTGTATAATCCCCCCACCTTGAGTGAAGATAGACCTGTTGCTTGCTTCTAGCCAATAGAACATGACTTGATGAGGTTACCTTCCAAGGCAAAGGAGATGGGATGTCATATTGTGATTATATTTTATCACATAAGACTCTAACTTCAGAGACAACAGAAAGATACTCTCCTGGTAGCACTGAAGAAACAGACCCATTATGAACTGCCTAGGGAGAATGACATATGGCAAGGCCCTGCAGTCAGCCTCTAAGACTTGAGGGTGACCTTCAGTCAACAGCCAGAAAGAAGCCTCAGTCATACAGCTGCAAAGGAAATAATTCTGTCGGCAACATGAAAAAGCACGCAAGCAGATTCTTCCCCATTTGAGCCTCCAGATGAGAATACAGCCCCATAGACACCTTGACTGCAAGCTGCAGAAAACCTAAGCAAGAGATCTGTCTAAATTCTTCCAAGACTCCTGAACCACAAAAACTGAAAGAATACATAGGTGTGCTGTTTTACATCACTAACACTAACTCACTGAGGCAAAAAGCCACAATACAGAAGGAAGATGCCTTCTCTAGTGAAAAGAAGATGAGATAATCAAGTTAGAGAACAAAAAATGCTGTTTCAATAGAAAGAGTCAAGGGTGGTAGTCTGAGAAAAGGGAGAATAGAGAAAATCCAGAGCAAACACGATATTTCAAATATGTCTGAAAATTGGTTTCTATTAGACCACAGAGCACTCTGGCTGATTGGCTGAGAGCCTATGAGTGAAGCATCTTCACTTCGAAGCTACTTGTGACCTCCTGGTAGTGGGATGTCAAGAGAGAAGGTGGTGAGCAACCAGTGCTAGGGAGCTGTCCACTATCTTGGTTCTAACAGCCCTTGAATGCCAGAGATTGACTTCATGAGACACATGGGGATCCCCAGTGGAACAGAGAGAACAAAGATTTGCAACGTATTAGGTTGGTGCAAAAGTAATTGCAGTTTTAGCCATTAAAAGTACAAAAGCCATTTGCCATTAAAACTCATGGCAAAAACTGCAATTACTTTTCCACCAACCTAATAGCATCCCCAGTTTTCTCTTGCAGCAGGTTGCTGGATATTGGGCAGCTTCATTACTTAACAGCATTGCGATCTTACTTGAGTTTCAAGAGCTCTCTACACTTCAGACCCCTCATCTTCAAAAATGAGAATCACTGCCCATGACAACCCGTGGAATTCTTATGTAACCTAGGGAAATGATGAATGTGGAGTAGGTTACTAGGGTTGGAATTGTAATTTCGTTATTGTCTCTGTCCTAAGAGGACTGTGTGGGCGTTGCTTTGCCCAGAGGAGAGGGTCACAGATTTTGCTGGCATCACATTCTCTGTGTCTAACCTGAGAACCTATTACCACCACCCAGTGTCCTCAGAAGTCATGATAGTCACCATGATGCAGCTAGAGTTATAAGGACCAGAGTTTGACTCCCAGGTGAGACACACGCTACATGGTCTTGTTCACATTGTTCTCTCTGGGCTTCCTTTATCCTCAACGTTAAAAATAAATATGAAATAATTTATTTATTGTCATCACTTTAGTAATTCAATGAAATATTGTCTGTGGAAGTCATGTCTTTCATCTTCTTTTAAATCTCAGACTTTAATCACCTGTGCTATTATTGTTGCAATAATTCAAATATTTCAGGAGCTTAAAAATGAAACCCCCCAACCATCATCTGACTCCTGGAGCACAGCCCCAGCCCAGAGACTTCCCCAGCTCAGAGCACTTTTCCTACATTCCCATTTTCATTCCAAAAAGTCAAACTTGTTGCATTGTGGAATCAGGCATCCCCGAGTCAGCCGCACACAGACCAGCTATTTCTGTGGGCTGTGAGCCAGCCTGGCTCCCAGCAAACTCCCTCAGCTGTCGGAACAACTCTCACTGTCAAAACTTGCCGAGAAGAGTCATTAGTTTCAGAGAGATGGGAGAGGAAGAATGTTTGCCTGGGGCATCTCTTTGAAAAGGTCTAACTTTCTAAAATGGTAAATAAGCCAGATTTCTTTTCTGGGGGTGCATGAAGGGCAGAAGGAGCTCAGTCAGGGTATGACCTCCGGGAGCCAGCTGGCGTCTGAGACATCATTACTTCCCAAAGTTTATCCCTTCCTTTTCTATGCTTCTGCACTGCAGCCTGGGAAACGAGCTCTGAGATCAGTCTGCACAGTTCTGATTACACAGGCAAGCACCGCACGGAGGGTTTTATTAGGAGAAAAAGAGAAAAAAAAAAAAAAGCAGAACACTAGCTGGGGGGAGAAAAGCCCTTCTGCCTTTAAATAAAGGGGAAAATTATTTTATAAGCGTCTGGAGCAGCAAAGCCTGTGAAAGGTGAATATACCATTCAGCGCTACTCCTAATCTTCAGCTTGCAGTACCCACATTTCTGAGTCAGCGTGTGTAGATAGCAATGTGATCAGCGAAAGTCAGATTAGGCCTAACAAGATATGACTGAAAGTCTTAGATTGGCTGTGACAGCCTCAAGTTCAGATTCCCTGCCTCTCTGCTCTGTTGTCTAAGTTTTAGGGTCTAGTTCATTCTTAGTGAAATCCCATGAACTCCTGTTCCCCGGCATTCATCTCTTCTCCTCCTGTTCTCTTGGAATAAAATGCTCTGGAGCCCAACATCTTCACCCTTAGTGGCTTAAGATGAACTACCAGCTGGTAATAGTCTATCCTTTTAAGAAAGAGAGGCTAGGAGAAGGGGAAGTGGGGGAATAGTTGAGCAGGAGAATCCTGCCTTGCTGGAATTGTAAAAGGTGAAAGCAGGGCACTGCTTGTGAATTCAGACCTAGTAGGCAGATCATGCATCTCAGCTTCTCCTTTCTATAGGTATGGGTGCAGCAAGCACTCACAGTTGATTACATACAGTGACAATTAAGCTGAATCGATTCTGAGTCTCCATTTCTCTCACCCTCAGCAATCGAATCTCCAAACTCAATTCACTCTGCCCCCATATTCTCTCTAAAACCCACATTTGTTTCATCCTCCCCACTGCCATTGCCTCAAGAAGTTCCATTGTCACCTCTCATCCCAAGAACTGGAATTCTTGCCCACTGTCTCCTTGCATCTGTCCTCCCCCACAACACAATTCAAGGCCATTTCTCCAGAGCTGCTGCAACAGAATCTTGTCTTCCTCAAATATTTATTGAGCATCTACTATATGTCAGGCCCTGTGCTTGGCATTGGAAGAAGAAATGGAAATAAAAGACAGACACTATCCATTGTGGCTGCATTATGCCCCTCCCAACACAACAAATTCGTATGTTGAGGGCCAAACCCCCAGTGCCTCAGAATATAATCATGTTTAGAGAAAGGGTCTTTAGGTAATTACAGAAAAATGAGGTCACAGGAATGAGCCCTATGGAAGGTGATGTGAAGATGCAGGAGGGGACGGTTATCAACAAATCAAGGAGAGAGGCCTCAGAAGAAACCAACCCTTGATCTCGGACCTCCAGCCTCTAGAACTGCTAGAAAACAGAATTCTGTTGTTTAAGCTGACAAGTCCATGGTACTTTGTTGTGGCAGCCATAGTAAACTAGTACACGGTCTCAGAGAGCTTAAGGTTTAGTGTGGGAGATAGGAATTAGTCAAATTTACTATAAACCTAAATTCAAGGCTGGGCACAGTGGCTCATGCTTGTAGTTCCAGCACTTTGAGAAGCCAACGCAGGTGCATCACTTGAACCTAGAGTTTGAGACCAATCTAGGCAACATGGTGAAACTCTATCTCTACAATAAAAATACAGAAATTAGCCAAGTGTGGTGGCATACACCCATAGCTCCAGCTACGTGGGAGGTTGAGGTAGGTGGATCGTTTGAGCCCAGGAGTTGGAGGTTGCAGTGAGCCGAGATAGCACCACTGCACTCCAGCCTGGGTGACAGAGAAAGACCTTGTCTCAAAAATAAATAAATAAATAAAATCTAAGTGTAAAAGTAAATACAACGGTGCTGAGTGCTATGGAAGACTGTAAATGGTGAGCTATAGACATAGATATGGATACAGATATAGTGACATTGATTAGAAATTTGCATACAGGTTGAGATATGCATATAGATATGGATACAGATATAGACAGTGATATCAATATAAAAATATGGATATAGGCCCGGCGCAGTGGCTCACACCTGCAATCCCAGCACTTTGGGAGGCCGCGGCAGGTGAATTGTGAGGTCAGGAAATCGAGACCATTCTGGCTAACATGGTGAAACCCCATCTGTAGTAAAAATACAAAAAATTAGCCAGACATGGTGGCACGCACCTGTAGTCCCAGCTACTTAGGAGGCTGAGGCAGGAAAATCGCTTGAACCCGGAAGGCAGAGGTTGCAGTGAGCTGAGATTGCGCCACTGCACTCCAGCCTGGGGGACAGAGTGAGACTGTCTCTCTCTCTCTCTCTCTCTCTCCATATATATATATATACACATATATACATACACATACATATATACATATATATATGATATGATATATATATGTGTATATATATACATATATACATATATGTATATATATATGATATAGATATGGACAAAAATTAAGATAGGGATATAGATAGGTATATGAGGAAGACCAGCTCTAGTCTAGAGATGAAGTCACAAATGGCTTCCCTGAAAAAACCACAATAGAGGCAAAATAAAGGAAAATGTAGGTCACCTAAAAATATATATGGGGCAGAGATTTCAAATAGAGAAAAGCACATGAAAAGTACCCAGGATTGGAAGGAGCAAGGTCTTTCGCAAAAGCCCACCTGAGAACTCTCGAGTGGAATGAGTAAGGAGACAGGATAGGGGGTGGCACAAGGGGTTGTGAAGGTGAATGCAGAGGCCAAATTCCCTGGTGGCCCCACACTTCCTCTAGAATTTTGTTATAAGTCTTTGACATAGCTTAGAAGGTCTTTTAGGACCTGGCTTCAGTCCATTACCCTTTCATCTCATCCTACTGGTATCCCATAGAGCCAAACCAAGTTATATAAAGGTCCTCAAATGTTTCATGTTCTCTTTTGTATTTCAGCCTTTGAAAACGATGTTCCTTGGGGGTAGGAGCATGCTCTCACCCTTGTCTTCTATCTCTCTCATCCTTTAAGACTCAGTTCAGAACTTGACTCTTCAGGCGGAGGCTTCTCTGAGTCCTGAAGGTAAAGTTCCTTCTTTGTTTATTCAACAAGTTTGTAGCACTCCTGTCATGGAGAGAAGCCTGTGCTGTCTTGGAGCAAGGGCTACAATGATGGTTTTTTAAAAAAGTGAGTGCAATCTCTTTCCTTGAAAACTCCCACTCTCAGGCTTCTCTTCTTTCTCCCCATCATGGTATTCTGCATCTGTGTTGATACTGCATTGCCACATTACGGTAGACTTGTTTACGTGATGGTCTCCCCTACTGGACCACCACGTTTGTTTTGCCGTCTCCTTCAAGAGTTCTTGAAATTTTAGTAGGCACCCAATAGATATTTGATGAATTGGTGAGTGAAAGTGCATTGAACTCCATTTTTTAAATGGGAGGTACAATTATCTCTCATTCTTTACAGCAGGGGTTGGCAAACTTTTTACAAAGGGTCAGATAGTAAACAATGTAAACTTTGTGGAGCAAAAAGCAAAATAAATACTATTAAATACAACCAATTAAAAATATAAAAACCATTCTTCGTCCATAGGCCACAGTTTTATAAAACCCCAGCTTTAGAGTCCTACATCCAGTAGTCAATCAATCAATCACGATGTATGCATGATATAATCAGATGCCAGAGAGGGTAAGGGACCTGGATAAAGTGTCACCTCATGTTTGCACCTTTAGTTTCCCTGCCTCCTAATAATCCTATTATCTCTGTGACTCAGCCTGCCTGGTTTCAATCACCAGTTTTACTGCTTTTCAGATGTGTGACTGTGAAAATTACATAACCTCTCTTTGCCTTAATCTGTCCACCAGTAAAATTGGGATGATGATAATTGTATTCATTTCCAAGGACTGCCCTAACAAATTATCACAAACTGGGTGGCTTAAAACAACAGAAACTAATTCTTTTACAGTTCTGGAGGCCAGAAATCTGAAACCATGATTTTGGCAGGGTGGTACTCCCTTCAAAAGCTCTTGGAGAGAATCCTTCCTTGCCTCTTCCAGCTTCTGGTGGCTCAAGGCATTCCTTGGCTCTAGGGGCTTCATGGTGGCACTCTCTGCCTCCATCTTCACTCCATCTGGCCTGTTCTGTGTGTCTTTTCCATCTATGTCCTCACCTCTTCTGTAAGGACACCTGTCATTGGATTTAGGGCCCAGCCAGAGAATCCAGGATGACCTCATTTTTTTTTTTTTTTTTTTGAGACAGAGTCTTGCTCTGTTGCCCAGCCTGGAGTACAATGGCACCATCTCAGCTCACTGCAACCTCCACCTCGTGGGTTCTAGTGACTCTCCTGCCTCAGCCTCCCTAGTAACTGGGATTACAGGTGCCTGCTCCATGCCTGGCTAATTTTTGTATTTTTATTAGAAGCAGGGGTTCACCATGTTGGCCAGGCTGGTCTCAAACTCCTGACCTCAAGGGATCCACCCACCTTGGCCTCCCAAAGTGCTGGGATTACAGGCATGAGACAACATGCCTGGCCTGCAGATCTTTAGCTTACTTACATCTGCAAAGACCCTTTTTTTCAAATAAAGTCACATTCCCCGGTACTGGGTGGTTTTATCTTCGGGGCCACCACTCAATGCACTGCAATAATTATATACACCTTAGAGGGCTGATGCAAGGATTCTATTAGTTCATTTGGATCAGCACAGTGTCTTGCATATTTGAAGCAATCAATAACACTAAGTATCATAAATAAAAGCATTTACTGAGCATTTACTATGTACCAGCCCAGCACTGGTCATTTTGCATGCCTTCTTTCATGAATGTTCACAATAACCTCATGGAATGGTGTGCCATAGCTCCATCTTATAGAAAGAGCACCTCTCGGCCGGGAGCGGTGGCTCACGCCTGTAATCCCAGCACTTTGGGAGGCTAAGATGGGCAGAACACGGGGTTAGGAGATCGAGACCATCCTGGCTAATACAGTGAAACCCCGTCTCTACTAAAAATACAAAAATTAGCTGGGCGTGGTAATGGGTGCCTGTAATCCCAGCTACTCGGGAGGCTGAGGCAGGAGAATCAGTTGAACGTGGGAGGCAGAGGTTGCAGTGAGCCGAGATCACGCCACTGCACTACAGCCTGGCAACAGAGTGAGACTCTGTCAAAAAAAAAAAAAAAAGAAAGAAAAAGAAAGAGCACCTCTCAGAGCAGTTCTGCTGCACCATGCTTTCTCCTGTTGTCTTTGATCATCTGTCTGTCACTCAGGCATTGCCCTTCCTTGAATACAGTCACCAGGCTTCTCAGGCACAGCTTTTGGGAGGGGTGCACTTAATGTCATCTCCAGGAGGCTTTGGCAGCCAGGTAGGGGTGAGTTAAAACTCTGCTTATCTCATTTTATTTATTTGTATTTTGGGGAGTCTTGCGCTGTCACCCAGACCAGAGTGCAGTGCCGTAATCTCAGCTAACTGCAACCTCTGCCTCCCAGGTTCAAGTGATTCTCCTGCCTTAGCCTCCCGAGTAGCTGGGATTACAGGTGCCCACCACCACACCCAGCTAATGCTTGTATTTTTTTTTTTTTTTATTTTGAGATGGAGTCTTGCTCTGTTCCCCAGGCTGGAGTGCAGTGGCGCAATCTCGGCTCATTGCAAGCTCCTCCTCTCAGGTTCACGCCATTCTCCTGCCTCTGCCTCCCAAGGAGCCGGGACTACAGGCACCCACCAGCACGCCTGGCTAATTTTTTTGTATTTTTAGTAGAGAGGGGGTTTCACTATGTTAGCCAGGATGGTCTCGATCTCCTGACCTCGTGATCCACCCACCTCTGCCTCCCAAAGTGCTGGGATTACAAGCGTGAGCCACCACGCCTGGCCCAATGCTTGTATTTTTAGTAGAGAGGGGATTTCACCAAGTTGGCCATGCTGGTCTCAAACTCCTGACCTTGGCCTCCCAAAGTGTTGGGATTACAGGCGTGAGCCACCGAGCCCGGCCTCCATCTCACTTTAAAACTCTCCTCATTTGCCATTGTTTTTTGTAAGAAGCTATGGAGGGAAAAGAAAAAAAAATAGACTTTTGAAAGTTTTAATTGCTCAAAGATGCCATTGCTGCAAGCACTCACATGTATTTTTCCACACAGGCTCAGGAAAGAAAGTGGTGAAAGTCCATGAACCTCACAAAGCCCTGCTCCCGGTAGCCCATCACACAAGAATATTAATTTAACTAAGCTCATAATGACAGATTTTGCCAGAGAGCTCTGAGAGAACTTGAGGTGCTTCCTCTGAATTTTAGCACCCATCCCGGAAAAACTAAAAAGATATTGCCTCCACCAACCGCCATATCTAGGTGGGTTATTAGAGATTCAGGCTTGAGAGATAGAGACCTCATTGATGAAAGTGGATCTTTATTCTAAAGCCCTAAATGTAGATAAAAAGGCATAGAAGACCAGGATCCAAGTCCTAGGGATGCTTCTTGCTAGCTACATGTTATTAGCCAGTTGCTCTGAGCCTCAGTTATTGCATCTGTGAAATGGGAATAACAACAACAGCCTCACTGACACGCACTTAGGATTAAATGGTACAATGTATAAGAAAATTACCTGTAACGTAAATATTTAATAATTTTAATATGTTTCTCAAATGTTTAATTTCCCTTGATCTTTCATGTTTTCTTTTTCTTTTTTTTTTTTTTTTTTTTTTTTTTTTTTTTTTTTTTTTTTTGAGACAGACGCTCACTCTGTCACCCTGTCTATTCTCCTGCCTCAGCCTCCTGAGTAGCTGGGACTACGGGCACCCGCCACCACGGCCGGCTAATTTTTTGTATTTTTAGTAGAGACGGGGTTTCACTGTGTTAGCCAGGATGGTCTCGATCTCCTGACCTCATGATCTGCCTGCCTCGACCTCCCAAAGTGCTGGGATTACAGGCGTGAGCCACCGCGCCTGGCCATGTTTTCTTTTTTTTTTTTGAGATGGAGTTTCACTCTTGTTGCCCAGGCTGGAGTGCAATGGCACAATCTCGGCTCACCGCAACCTCTGCCTCCCGGGTTCAAGCGATTCTCCTGCCTCAGCCTCCCAAGTAGCTGAGATTACAGGCGTGTGCCACCATGCCTGGCTAATTTTTTTGTATTTTTAGTAGAGACAGGGTTTCACCGTGTTAGCCAGGATGGTCTTGATCTCCTGACCTCGTGATCCACCCGCCTTGGCCTCCCAAAGTTCTGGGATTACAGGCGTGAGCCACTGTGCCCGGCCCATATTTTCTTATATAAAAATTGAAGGAGTTGGAGTTTGTGCTACCTCTGGGTAGCATTCCAGATTTTACCGGTCTGAAAGACAGAAGGACATCATTAGGTCTTAACTCATTCTTTGCCCAGAAATAAAAGCCCCAAAGCATGAATGTGGAAAACCCACCCTGGCCGTCGTCCCCTCCTTCTTTGTCTTCTAGAGTCTCTGTGGCCATTTGTTTCTTATTTGCCAGCCACATTGAACAAACAGATTTCTCTCAGTTAAGTAGACATTTCTGAGCACCTCCTTCATGCCCACCCCAATATAAAGGAGAGGAAGATAAAACCATCTCAGATCATCCCATGTGAAGGAATTAGACAGAAAACCGATGCAAGTTCCCAGTCATTGTTAATTTTTTTTATGAAACAGAGTTTCACTCTTGTTGCCTAGACTAGAGTGCAGTGGCACGACGTCGGCTCACTGCAACCTCTGCCTCCTGAGTTTGGGCGATTCTCCTGCCTCAGCCTCCCAAGTAGCTACAGGCAACCACCACCAGGCCTGGCTAATTTTTTTGTATTTTCAGTACAGACAGAGTTTCACTATGCTGGCCAGGCTGGTCTTGAACTCCCGACCTCAGGCGATCTGCCCATGTTGGCCTTCCAAAGTGCTGGGATTACAGGTGTGAGCCACCGTGCCTGGCCTCGTTGTTAGTTTTTTTAAAAAAACTTTTATTTTAGGTTAAGGGGTACATGAGAAGGTTTGCTACGTAGGTGAACTTGTGGCACAGGGATGTGTTGTCCAGATTATTTCATCATTCAAGTATTAAGTCCGGTACCCCATAGTTATTTTTTTCTTCCCCTCTCCCTCCTCCCACCCTCTATTCTGAAGTACACCCCAGTGTCTTTTGTTCCCTTCTTTGTGTCTAGTGTTCTCATCATTTAGTTCCCACTTATAAGTGAGAACAATCGGTGTTTGGTTTTCTGTTCCTGTGTTAGTTTGCTGAGGATAATGGCCTCTGGCTCCATCCATGCTCCCAAAAAAGACATGAACCCATTCTTTTTTACGGCTGCATAGTATTCCATGGTGTATATGTACCACGTTTTCTTTATCCAATCTGTCAAGGTTGATTCCTAATGTCTTCGCTATTGTGAATAGTGTTGCAATGAACATTCATGTTCATGTGTTTTTATGGTAGAATGATTTATATTATTCTGGTTATATATGAAGTAATGGGATTGCTGGGTTGAACGGTGGTTCTTCTTTTAGCTTTTTGAGGAATCAAGATACTACTTTCCACAATGGTTGAACTAATTTACATTCCCACCAATCATGGAGTAGGTAAAATTAACATGTACAAGGACAACACTGGAATTCTTCCTAGAGGAAGAAAAATCTGGGATTTTATGGTAAGGGTAACTAACTAATTCAGTAGTCATCTGCTGGTTACCTACTGTGTACTAGGAACTATTCTATACTTGAGTGGTACACAGCAACAAAAAAAGTCAGAGCTCCTGATATCATGGACCTTACATTCCAGTACAGGAAAGAGGAAAGGATGTACACATAGTTTACACAATACTATGTGTACAAGTACACAATAGTGTAATTGGCTAATCTCACGTAGTGATAAGAAAGTAAAATAGGACCGTGCTTTTATGAGAGTAAAAAATAGGATCCTCTCAGAACACATGAATAGCTTCCCTGGGCTTATAAATATGGGAGAATGATACAGTCACTTCCTTCTGGTTCTGGAATGAGAGACAGAGGGCGTGATGCATGCTCTCTGTAACCTGGGGCCCCTGAGAAGGTAGGCTGCTCACAAGCAGCCCCTGCCCCTCCACATTCCCTCTGCTGAAGTAAAAACAGAAAACAAAAACAGAGTCTTCTCTTCCTGTCAGCCTCAGCCAGAAACATCACACCAAAAAAAAAAAAAAAATGAAAAAACAAAAACAAAAAAACACAAAAAACAGTTCAAACTCGTCAAAGGGAAAGACAAAAGACAAGCTGCCTCCAGCACCTCTGTTGGTTAGTTTGCTGTAAAGTGAAACAGCTGCTAAGAAATGACAGAGCTTATTGAAATAAATTCCAACATTTATAATCAATTACCTGGCCCTGTCTGGAAACCGCTGTTTGATTTAAGAACAATTTCAACAGAAGCTGAAGAGGCAGGTGTTCACCTCTCTTTAATTCCTCCCTACCAGAACTTTCTCACCTCTTTCTTTTCTTTCTTTGTCTCTCGGTAAAAAAAAAAAAAAAAAAAAAAAAAAAAAATTATCTCTCATAAAGGGTATATGTTCTTTTTCCTCTTTTTTTAAATGTTGTTCCAAATCCAGCAGATCATGTCACTGCTGTTTGACCTTCAGGAATGCAGGCGAGTGGTTGAATCTCCTCCAAAGGCCTTTCCTGACAGAAGGTCTTAAAATAAAGCCCTTAGGTTTTTCTCTGCACAAACTTCTGTCATCTCTGCCCAGAGGCTTAGTGGGCGGTTTGAGGACACTCATCTGAAGGAGGAACAGCCCATAGCCTAACTGTGCCTCTCCCCTTCCTTTCCCTCCACTGCGCATTTGAAATGCCCATTCCCCGCCTTTTTTTCAGTTTTAGTTTATTGTGATCAGAACACTTAACGTGAGATCTACCCTCTTAACAAATGTTTAAGTGCACAATACAACGTCGCTGACTATAGGTACAACATGGTACAGCAGATTTCTAGAACTTAATTATCCTGCTTCACTGAAACTTTACGCCCATGGATGAGCAAGTCTCCATTTGTGATGGTTAATTACATGTGTCAACATGATTGGGCCGAGGGATGCCCAGAGAGCTGGCAAAACATTGTTTCTGGGTGTGTCTGTGACGGATGGTGTTTTTGCGAGAGATTAGCATCAGTAGACTGGGTATAGAAGATTCCCCTCTCATCCATGTGGTGAGCATCATCCAGTTTGTGGAGGGCCTGAATAGAACAAAAAGATGGTGGAAGGGTGAATTCTGTCTCTCTCTGCTTGAGCTGGAACATTCATCTCTTCCTGGCATTGGACAGGTTCTCAGGCATTCGAGTTTGGACTGGAACTACATGAATGGCTGTCCTGCGTCTTCACCTTACAGATGGCAGATCATGGGACTTCTTGGCTCCCATAACTGCATAAGGCAATTCGTCATGATAAATAATAATAATAATAATATATGTATAGTGTGTGTGTGTATATATACATGTAAAATATGTATATATATGCACTGTCGGTAAAAACAAAAATGATCTCTCATAAACGGTACATGTTCTTCTTCTTCTTCCTCTTTTTAAAAGGTTTCCCCAAATCCAGCAGATCATGTTACTGCTGTTTGACCTTCAGAAATGCAGTCGAGTATATATATATATATACATATATATATATGTATATATATATATATATTTTTTTTTTTTTTTTTGAGACAGAGTCTCACTCTGTCACCCGGGCTGGAGTGCAGAGGTGCGATCCTGGCTTACTGCAACCTCCATCTCCCAGGTTCAAGCGATTCTCCTGCCTCAGCCCCGCAAGGAGTTGGAACCACAGGTGAGTGCCGCCACACCTGGCCAATTTTTGTATTTTTAGCAGAGGTGGGGTTTCGCCATGTTGGCCAGACTGGCCTCAAATTCCTGACCTCAAGTGATCCACCTACCTCAGCCTCACAAAGTGCTAGGATTACAGGCGTGAGCCACCACACCCGGCTATATATATATATATCTATCTTACCTCCTGTTGGTTCCATATAAATTATCTATCTATCTATCTATCTATCTATCTATCTATCTATCTATCTATCTATCCATCCAACCTGTTGGTTCTTTTCTCTGGAGAACCCTAGCTAATACGTCATATCCTCCCACCAGCCCCTGGCAACCACCGTTCTGCTCTTTGATTCCATTAATTTGGCTCTTTTGATACCTCATATAAGGGGCATCATGCAGTATTTGTCCTTTTTTGACTGCCTTATTTCATTTAGCATAATGCCTTCCAGATTCATCTCTGTTGCAGCAAACGGCAGAGTTTCCTACTTTGTAAAGGCTGAATGATATTACATTGTATGGATATGCCACATTTTCTTTCTTCATTCACCCACGAATGGACATTTAGGTTGCTTCCAGCTACACACATAGTCTCAGTGCCATCTTTGTCCTGCTGCAGGGGTTGCTGGTCCTGGGATGGGTCCAAGGCATTCCTAGCTGGAATTCTTCCAGAATCACATAAGCATAAACTGTGAATAGCGGGGAAAATTAAATGAAATACACTATTTTTTTCTTTTAATCTAAAGGAAATCAAAGTCAATAAAACAAGATGTGGAATAACCATAATGCTTATAAAAATGAATGTCCACTGAGTGCTTACTAAGTTCCAGACACTGCAATAAGCAAACTACATGGATTATCTCATTTTATCCATCCTGAAATGCTGGAGCTGAGACCCTACATAATCTAGCCTGTGCCACCCTCTCCCTCTTCAGCTCTGCTGCCCTTCTCACCCTGAGTCACTAAATCCTAGCCACACAGGTTTTTTCTTTCAGTTCCTTGGACTCTTCATGCTTGTTCTCACCTCACACCCTCGGTTTTCTCTGTCCGGAATTCTTCATCCCATCACCGTCAATATCTTCACCAATATCCCATCTCTAGCTCTTTCTCTTCCCTTTGAATTCAACATGGCTTATCTCAGAGGTCTTCCAGGACTACTTCTATCAAACAACCCCACCTTCTCTCCATCCCTTCATTGTGGTTTATCTTTCCCCTTTTATTTACAATACACTACAATTTTTCAGTGGTGGCTGTGTGTGTGTGCGTGTGTGTGTGTGTGTGTGTGTGTGTGTGTGTGTGTTGTCTGCCTCCCCTACTAATGGGGAAGCAATTCCAGAGCAGGACCTGTCTTTGATTTCTCCATCAAACTGCCTGGGTTGAAATCCCACCTCTTTCACATTATAAACGCATGACCTTGAGCTCATGTTTCCTCACCTAGAAAATGGCAATAATAATACCACCTACCCCATGGGCCTGAGTAAAGATTAAATGAGATCTTAGATGAGAGCTTGGTGCATAATGAGTGCTTTATACCTGTTTTTTTGGTTGTTGTCACATTTACAGCTATTTTTCCCTAGCTCCAGCCCCTGGCCTAGTATCCGTCATATAGTAGTCACTCAATAAATGTTTCTTGATGAATTCTATTCTTCTGTACATATTATCTATACTGAAAATGGCAGTGAAGTGAAACTTTCTTAATTGGCATTAATGGGGCCATAGAAAATGGCCAATGCAAACTAATATAAACACCAAATAATAATTGCCTCTGAGGGAGTCAGCCTCAATGAGTAGATAAGAATGACCTGTAATTCCCCTGATTTTCTTCTTTTGTATGGGAAAGAATAAATCTCAGGTGCTTCAAAATAATTTGCTCTCTTAAATAGTGTAAACATTGCCAGGGCCATCTGTGTGCATTATTGATTTTCCCATTTAGTTCATTCTTTTTAGACCATGCAAGGGAGTCTTGAGCTGAAAAATCCCCAACACCCAAAGTAAAGGAACCTTAGTGCAGATGGCCTTATACCCTTTCTGGGCACACCTTAACCAGCCACCATGCCCACCTTCAGAAGGTGGCTTTGTGGTACATCGGAAGCAAGGTGCTTTTTTAACTGGGCGTCAAAAGTAACAAGGAAATGGAGTTGGCTGTGTCTCTCGGTTTTAATGCCTGAAACCTGTGTGCAAATCCAGCCTCCACCATTTACTACCTGTATAATCACAAATTACTAAATTATTCTGTGCCTCAGTTTTCTCATTAATAAAAATGAAAATGAGATTTACCATGGTTTCTGCCTTACAAGGTAGGTATAAATTAATGCATGGGAAGTTTTTGGCACAATGCCCACATGAAATAAGCATTCAATATATGTTAGCTGATATTATTTCTGAAACAAATAAACTTAATAATACGTGACCTAGTGGGAAAAAATTGAAGTCCAAGCCCAGATCTGACATACACTTACTAGATATGTCTTTTGGCTAGCTGTCCAATATTGCTGGGCCATAGGATCATTCATTTGTGCCATGATAGTAGTCATGTCTACTGGAAAGAGTTGTCAGGAAGATGAAATAAAATGACATATGTAAGGGTACTTTGCTAACACACACTCAATGGGAGTTATTAACAACAGTAACATGTGCATTTCATAGACTATATTAAAGCAGACATTTCAGCCGTATTACAAAGAAAGCTACAAACTAAGTGACGTAAAAATTGAAGAACATGTGCCAGTACTTAGTAAACATCCATGGAGTAACACTGCAAATGCTTACATACGTGACCTAACTTCCATCTTTGTCGTGTCCCTGTAGATGAGTTAACAGGAAGTCAGCTGATATGGTTTGGCTGTGTCCCCACCCAAATCTCATCTTGAGTTGTAGCTCCCATACTTCCCATGTGTTGTGGGAGGGACCCAGAGGGAGGTAACTGAATCATGGGGGCAGGCCTTTGGCATGCTGTTCTCATGGTAATGAATAAGTCTCACAAGATCTGATGGTTTTATAAGGGGAGTTCCTCCAAACAAGCTCTCTTTCCTGCTGCCATGTAAGATGTGACTTTGCTCCTCCTTTGCCTTCCACCATGATTGTGAAATCTCCCCATGTGGAACTGACTCCTTGTGGAACTGTGAGTCCACTAAACCTTTTATTCTTTAAAAATTACCCAGTCTCAGGTGTATGTTTATTAGCAGCATGAGAACAGACTAATACATAAGCCTTTCTGAGAATGGTGAGGGGTGGCTAGAGACAGTGGAAGGAGGTTGGAAAGTGTAAAGAACCAGTGGTGAAAAGCAAGCAGGTAGCTGAAGCACAGTGGTTGGGTTTCATAGAAAGGAAGACTGCCAGAAACATTCAGGGTAGCATTTATAGGGACTTGGATGTCAAGCAATAAGTAGGGAAGAGAGCCGACAGCAATGCAAGCCACTGGGGATGTTTGAGTGGCATCGTTACAGCTGGACCCTGCCTTCAGCTTCAAGGCTCTTCATAGCTTGACCCTCTGCTGAATCTCATTTACCAGCATCTCTCCCTCACTCCAGATCTACCAAGGTGCAAGGGGAAAGTATAGAAATCCTAATCAAATCAGAGTAATTATCAAGAGAAAAGGAATAGATGCTAAGGAGACCACTGCAATGTTCCTGAAAGATAAGAAGTTTCATCCTCATTTTTCAGGTGAGAAAACTGAGATGCAGACATGCTAAGGTCCCTTATGGCCACAGCCATAGCAAAAGCCTGGACCCAAATCAATCTGCTTCTGTTCTAGAGCTCCAGCCACACTGACTTTCTTTTTGTTCTTTCAGAACTTTACCTATATTCCTACCACAGGGCCTCTGCCTGTGCTGACTCCACCACCTTGAACAGTCCTCATCTCCTACACCTTTCACTTAGTTAATTCCTACAGCACTGTCACCACCTCTTGAAGGATCAGGGACCCAACCAGGTCAAATCCTCCTGTTACACACAGTCCTCTTTTTATAGCGTTTCTCACAGTTGCAATTTTACATTTATCAATGTGATGATCTGATTGATGTCTTTGTCCCCCACCAGGAAGTAAGCTCTCAAAGACTGGGGCCCTGCTGGTTCTCAGCACAATGCTCTGTTCATAAAATGCATTTAATAAAAATGCATGGGAGAAGCAAACAGAAGAATAAATGAACAAGTGAACCAATGAATGAATGAATGAATGAATGAATGAATATAACACCTGTGAATGTGATTGGGATTTTTTCTTTTCTTTTTTTTTTTTTCTGCCTTTGAGGCAGTCTTGCTCTGTTGCCCAGGCTGGAGTGCAGTGACATGATCACAGCCCACTGCAACCTCAACCTCCTGGGCTCAATCAGTCCTCCCATTTCAGTCCCCCAAGTAGCTGGGACTATAGGTGCATACCACCATGCCGGGCTAACTTATGTAATATATGTGTATTTTTTTTTTTTTTTGTAGAGACGGGGTTTCGTCAATTTACCCAGGCTAGTCTCGAACTCCTGGGCTCAATCAATCCCCCCAATAATGCCCAGCCATGATTGAGATTTAAAAAAAAAGAAAAAAATAGAAACCTGGACACTGGACCCACCATGGATAGCTCCCCTCTTTGCCAGTGCTCAGCATATGTGTATGCACTGGGGTGCTGTGAACTGTTTCCTGGAACTCTGGGGGTTTGTACTGGGCCAGGCTAGGGGCAGGGAGGAAATGTGTCTGACAGCTTCCTCCTCTGGGAAGAGAGGGCTTGTAGGGTGGAGGGGAGAGGGAGAGGGGAGTCACAAACAATTTCTGCTTTAATTAGAGCTCTGTCGGCTTCAGTTAGCCCGGGTGTTTGTTCCCTTGTGTGTGTCAGGGAATTTGGAACTGACCTCAAGCTTGTGAAATAATTAGTACAATAGTGCCGATCTAGCCATTTCTGAAAAGAGTAGTTTACTCCCAGCGTAGCCTCATGGCAGAGCTGCTCATTAATCAAACCAGGCCGCGTACATCAAAGCAGGTCCCCCTTTCCACCGCGGCATCCATCATTTGTTGGTTAGGTGCTGCAGAAGCCTGAACCAATATACTGCCTTTGTAGGGCTGAGACTACCTCCTATTGTCACCAGTTGCCTAGGGGCGAGGCGGATGGTGAGTGCAGCAGCCAACACTAAGTGGGGAGGGCAGGGATCCGTGCCCCTCTGGGTTTATGAAAACCTCACCTATTTGGGATGTAGACCTAAGATGATTGCCTGCTAAGTGAGATGTCCACCTTGACCACCAGAAATAAAAAACCTACCCAGCTTTACTCTTCAGTTAATCACTTTCCCTCCTGCCACCTGTGTCTACTAGAAATTCTCTTGTTCATTAGTTTACTCTATTTTATTTTATTTTATTTTATTTTATTTTTGAGATAGAGTCTCGCTCTGTCACCTAGGCTGAAGGGCAGTGGCGCAATCTCGGCTCACTGCAACCTCTGCATCCCAGGTTGAAGTGATTTTCCTGGCTCAGTCTCCTGAGTAGCTGGGATTACAGGCATGTGCCACCATACCCAGCTGATTTTTATATTTTCAGTAGAGACTGGGTTTCACCATGTTGGCCAGACTGGTCTTGAACTCCTGACTTCAGGTGATCCGCTTGCCTCAGACTCCCAAAGCGCTGAGATTACAGGCATGAGCCACAGCACCCGGCCAGTTACTCTTTATTTTCTATCTCTGTCCCTAGAGAGCAAACATCAAGAGAACAAGCAGTTCGTCATCTTTGCCGTTTTAGTCTCTGAACCTAGCACAGTGCCTGGCACGTAGAAAAAGTTTAATAAATAATTTCTGAATAAATAAAGGAGCACCTTCTCAGACTTCCCAACCCTCTGAACTAAAGGTGCCTTATCATCCTAAGAAACCCTAAAGCTATTTTCCTAAAACTCTGCTGCCTCTTGTAACATCCTACCTTGTAGTAGATTTATTTGTTTACATGTCAGTTTCTCTATTTAATTGTTAGTTACTTGTATTTGTTCTCTATTGCTGTGTAACAAATTATACTAAAATGTAGGTGCTTTAAACAACAGATATTTATTATATCACAGTTTCTGTGGGTCAGGAACCTGAGTGCAGTTGAGCTGAGTCTTCTGTTCCACAGTCCCATGAGGCTGCAAAGTGTGGGCTCAGAGCTGGTGGTTTCATATGAAGGCTTGACTGGGGAAGAGGGCCTCAGTTCCTTACCACAGGGACCTCTCCAGCTAGCATCTTGCTTCAATATAGCACCTAAACTGAGAAGACAATAGAAATACTCCACTAGCCAGATGGAATTGAGAATCTTTTATAAACAAAATAACCAAATTGACATCCCCACAACATTGCCACATTTTATTGGTTAGAAGCAAGTTACTCAAGGGGAGGGGATGACACAAGTTCATGAGTACCAGAAGGAGATAAAGATTAGTGGGGACAATTCTAGAAGCTTCCTATTAGGGAATAATGATCATGTATGCCCAGGAACATTTATTACTTTCTGTTTACAATAGCCCCAGATTGGAAATAATCCAAGTGCCTTTCAGTAAGGAAAGAGTTGAAAGTAAATTATGAAATTTCCATTGTGATAGAATGATGAACATTGAAAAGGAAATGATAAATGAAGTATGCACTCTGATTCAAAATACATAAGCCTTTAAACATATATTTTTATGCATATATATGCAAAAAATGTTTCTTAGAATGTTTGTCAAAATGTTAGAAATGGGCTTCGTATTGGTGGGGTTTAGCAAGACCAAGGTTTGAGACCGTTGTTCAAACTGTAGACACCTTACCATTAAGGTTATTTGATTTGTACACTTTTGATCATATTCTCAGCGCAAATGGGATTTAAAACACATTCAGCATTATCTGTTTTTTGTAGTTTAACCAGGAAAAATAAAAAGAGATTCATAAATTATATAGACTCACTTTCACAGTGAAATAGTTCTATTTGGTTTCTGAATGGATGGATTTTTTTCTCCTTGTTGGATTCTAGCTTATTCCAAGAATCAATTTAACTTTGTCCTCTTGTGCCCTCTCTTTCAGCCTTCACCGTCCTTTCCTACCCGGGTGTCTGATGACCATAATCGTGACTTATTTCTTCCTCTTGTCTCCCTGTGGTCTACTACAGAATTTGGCACAATGTAATTAGACAAGTTGGAATCCAGCTTGATTTTGGTTGTGTTATAATTTCAGCCTGTGAGTTTTTAACCCCATTTTCTATTACTAAGTTAAAACTGAAGTTTACAATGTTTTAAATTGACATACTTCAGTGAGTACCCACCACAGCAATGTATTTTTTTCACTAAAGGAGGATGTTGTAGTATCTGTCTCTGAGGGGAAAAACAAGAAGGTGCAAAAAGTATTAATTATCTATTATACATAGCACCTTGTATGAAGTATTTATGAGCTTCCTTTCACTTATTGCACACACAATCGCAGTAATAGAAATATTGAAATGCCTCACCTTAAAGGTAAGAAAAAGTGAAGCTCAGAGAGATGAAGCAATTTGCCCAAGGACATCAGCTGGTAAAGGCAGAACAAGAGCTTTTTAAAACTCTAAATATCACCATTTTGTATTGTATGATAATATCACCATTTTGCATCTTAATGGTGGAGAGATGATTCCATTTCATGAAAAGAAAATCCCATGCTGACTCTGAGATGCTATGTTCAAGATTAAAATTGCTTTAGATGTGTTTAAACTAGGGTTTTTCAACCTTGGCACTATTGACATTTTGGGCCGGATAACTCTCTGTGGTGGGAGAGGCTGACCTGTGCGGTGTAGGCTGGTAGCAGCATCCCTTTACCCACTAGATGCCAGTAGCACCCCGGCCCCCAGTTGTCTATAAACATTGTCAAATGTTCTTTATAGGAGGAGGGGAGATGGGGGAGAACAAAATTGCCCCCAGTTGGGAACCACTGGTTTAAGAAAAAGGTTTTCTATAAAACTGAGCAGGATCTTAAGGAAAACGTAACTAAATATTCCAAAAGCTGTATATATTGTCTAACTTATTCTTCTATAGAGCATTAAAACAAGTCTCAGATATACCAATAATTGGTGTAGTTTGTTTGATTCATGAAGGAGACCTTTAATTTTGACCAAAACCATCATTTTCTCATTCTTAAAACATTATATATGGAGACAGTAAACGTATTCTGCCCCATTTTACAGATAATTAAACTGAAGTCAGAGCTGTTAAATGAGGTGTCGAATGTTACAATGAGGTGGTGGCAGAATCTACAGTTAGTGCATGATTAGGTCTTTGTATTTACCAGTGACCTCATCTGAGCAAAAACTGCATCCCGGTTTCCCAGACAGGAAGCCTCCACATGAGAGGTGGTGTGATACAACAGACTAAAACTCCAGAGACATGACTTGGATCCCCCAGCTGGCTCAGTGGCACCGGTATTTTCAGTGACATTTTTCAGACCTCCAAGTTTTCCTAGTATTCAGTGAGCTTATATTGGGGTAATTAATGCCACAAAATTGCCATGAATCCCAAATGATGGAAAGCCAGACATTAGCTCACTTTAGATAGCCAGTGAGTCTCTCCTACTCAATGCAAACCTCCACTGGATGCTATGACAAACCCACGTCTTCCTACTGCATGAATGAATACTGCAGTTTACTCTGTTCCACGCTAATATTTTGTATATAGGTGTGGCCTCACCAGAATGAAGTGATTCTTCTCAATGCCAAGATCCACAAAAGATACAAGACTTCCGAAATTAAACCATTCTCAGAAGGCAAATGATAATTAGGGTGGTGGAGGTGATTTTCCATTTTACCCCTAGTCTTGCTAAACTTCCAGATGTCCAGATAACCAGAACTTGAGCTTTGGGTCATAGGCGATAACTGTATGACTTTGGACTAGGTACTATGCTTCAGTTTTCTCACATATGAAATGAAAACATGTAGAGTACCTATGATATAGTGTTATGAAAATTGAATTAGAGTGCAAAGTTATTAACACAGTATATAGTAAGCACTTGATAAATGGTAGTTGTGATGATTGCTGTCTCTGTTCCTATTATCATAATTTTAGCCACATTAGGGGCCACCTAGAAGCTAAGACATAAAAAGATCCCTCTGGAACCAGAGGTTAAACCACATCTCAAAAGCCGTAGCAGCTGAAGTTATTATTACTATTGTTATTATTGTTGTTCTTACCTCATTTTTATCTTTTTATTTCATCTTGGTATTGCTGTGTTTTTAGTAGGATTCCCTTGGACATTCTGATGGGCCCAGCTGTATTAGGGATCATAAAAGAAGTGTGTTCTTTCTTCACTGCTGAGCCACTGTTCTTGGTTAAAAAAGAATAACTATGCCGCTACAGCACTTCTTTCCCAAACCTAACACTGTGATAACAGCAATGCTACAGGCAATATCGAACATTTATTGTTTACATTGCAATAAGCACTTTGCATACATTGGTTCATTTACCCATTACCATCATCCAGTGAGGAAGGTATGATTACCATTCCCACTTTATAAATTAGGAACCTTTGGCTCAGGGAGGTTAAATAACTTTCTCAAGGTCACAAAGCTAGCAAACATGCTTCCTAGTATCCAGAAGGCACTCAAAAATGCTGACTGGGCCAGGTGTGGTGGCTCGCATGTATAATCACAGTACTTTGAGAGGCCAAAGCCGAAGGATCACTTGAGACCAGGAGTTCGTGACCAGCCTGGGCAACATGGTTGAACCCGTCTTTACTAAAAATACAAAAATTAGCTGGGCATGGTGAGGCTCACCTGTGGTCCCAGCTACTCAGGTAGCTGAGGCACAAGCATCGCTAGAACCCAGGAGGTGGAGGTTGCAGTGAGCCGAGACTGTGCCACTGCACTTCAGCCTGAGCAACAGAGCAAGACTCTGTCTCAAAAAATGAACTGAATAAATAAATAAATAAATAAACAAACAAACAAATAAATAAATAAATAAACTGACGATGAACTGATCAGCAGGGCAGAGAACTGATCCAGGCATTTCAACTCCAGAGGTGAAACCTGTAATCACACTGCTATACTACTCCCTTCTCAGTGGGAAATATCCCAAGGGAAAGCTTATATTGTCATTCTTTAAATGTCTGTGTATTTTATTTATTTATTATTTATTTATTTATTTATTTTATTTTGAGATGGAGGCCCGCTGTGTCACCCAGGCTACAGTGCAGTGGTATGATCTCGGCTCGCTGTAATCTTCGCCTCCCGGGTTCAAGCAATTCTCCTGCCTCAACCTCCTGAGTAGCTGGGATTACAGGTGTCCACCACCATGCCTGGCTAATTTTTGAGGGGTTTCACCATGTTGGCCAGGCTGGTCTCCAACTCCTGACCTCATGATCCACCCGCCTCCACCTCCCAAAGTGCTGGGATTACAGGCGTGAGCCACCGCACCCGGCCGTATTATTTTTATTAAAGCAGCTACTTCCTCATGGCCATAGAAGTCTTTCTTTGCAGTGTTCCTGGTGCTGTCTTCATAAATGTTGAGCAGTGATGGTTATCTCCTCCTCAATGACAAATCTGTCATGGTTATCTAGGCCTTATTGATAATAGTCCAGGTGTTCTCTGACTGTTAGTGTCTCACCTCCTTCCCCTTCACCTCCCTCACTGCACAGTCTAATTGTCTGTTTCCCAAAACAAGCTCATTTTTCTCAAAAGCACTATCAGAGACACTGTCAATCAACAGGAAACACAATAGATTTTAAAAGACAGTGGCTAAGACTTCAGGATACAAGGTGAAGTGTAAAATTATGGGCTGCATTATTCCAGGTCAAGGAGAAGACACGCCTGTGTGGTCTCCGTTCCTCTCTCTTGGAATGCCCCTCTACTTCTAAGCTAGCCAGGTAACATCTGCATGTTACCAGGTAAACAAAACTTTGAGGGGAGCAGAGCTACCCAATTAAGGGCTCCAGGCGAAATGCAGGCGATAAAACGCTTCATTTCAGCAGGAGCGTCTTTACGGAAATGCCAGAGTTTGTTCACCAGTTGCATGTAAATGAGCTAGGCAGGCACCATAATTACATCACCTGGCTGTGTTGCAGCAGAGCAGAAACTGATGGGCCTTTGGTCTGTGGACGTTTTGAGGAAGGGACCCCGCTTTAGTCCCCAAACACCGAGAGACTGTGATCCCAACAGGGTAAACTTAGCTCAGCCTCTGAGCCTGCAAACAGTTCATTATAAACCCCAAACTGTCACATTGCTCCCCTAATGAGGGCGTACATCTTTGGCAGCCTCAGGACAGTAGTAACTTACTTAATGACACATTCTGGGAGTTTTATGTGCCTGCTCCATAAAAAAAAGAAATGCGCTGTTTCCATAGCAATGCGGGGTCTTTCGGGCAGCCCCGTTGTGACAGCTAGAGCCCCTGCGTTCTTCTGGGAACTGTTCTTTCTGTTTTTCTGGAAGCTCTTAAATTGTCCCCCAAGCACCCTCATCTCCCTCCATTTCAGAGAAGACCAAATAGCACATTCCCAGGTTTGCCATCCTGGTAATTTGGCTTAGCACTTCCTCAGAGTGCTCAGAACATCCATTGCAGACCCTGCTGAACCCAAAGATGAGACTCCTTGTTCTTCCTGGATTAGAATAAAGACAAAAGCATTACAAGGACTAACGCATTAAAGCAGCTGGCGATATCTGATCATGTCAATCTATGGCTTACAGAGCTACAGTGGAAACACACAAGGAGTCAGAGGAGCCAACCTCTAGTCCTGGCTCTGCCATCAGCTTTGAGCAAACAGTGAATGCTTCGGAGCCATGTTTTGAGAGTCACACTGACTTTGGGTTTGACAAGACCTACTGCTTTATGTCACTGGGTCATTGAAATGGTGAGAAGGGATAATATATGCAAGGCATAGGACCAATCACTTTATAAGCAACTCAAAAATGTTAGCTGTTATTATCCCACCATCTGAAACAGATTCAACAAAACCATCCTCCCTCCACCCATAACTCAGTACTATCAACTTTCCAACTTATTTCTCCAAACTTTGTTAATAGATTTGCATGTAGTTAGAGACAAATACAGGCCCAGGCATGAGCAGATAAGGGGGCAGCGGGGGCATGGGGGTGATTCTGTATGAAAGCTGTCAGTGACCAGAAAGGTAAATTGCCCTACTCACTTCACTCCCTTAATCTGCATGCTACAGCAACGCCAGCTAAGTCATGGGCTGCTCAGAATCTAGCAGGGATCTTATTGTGCCTCAATATACGGCAATATCCCAGAAGGAACATTCCAGCCACTTCCAAGATATGAACAGTGCATCTGATCAGAGGGTCACTCAGATTGGAACTGGTGCTCCACACTCAAGAGCAGAAGGCCCTTTATTGAGTCTACTTTAGACTACTGATATGGTTTGGCTCTGTGTCCCCACCCAAATCTCATCTCAAATTGTAACACTTGCTTGTCGAGGGCAGGACCTGGTGGGAGGCGCTTGGATCATAGGGGTGGTTTTTCCTATGCTGTTCTCATGATAATGAGGGAGTTTTCATGAGACCTGGTGGTTTAAAAGTGGCAGTTTCCCCTACTCTCTCTCTCACTCTCTCTTGCTCTCTCTCTCTCTCTCTGTCCTGCCACCTTGTGAAGAAAGTACTTACTTCTCCTTTGCCTTCCACCATGATTGTAAGTTGCCTGAGGCCTCCCCAGCCATGTGGAACTGTGAGTCAATTAAACCTCTTTTGTTTATAAATTACCCAGACTCAGGTAGTATCTTTATAGCAGTGTGAAAACAGACTAATACAACTATAAAGTAACCTGAAGATAGCAGCTTTATTCTCATCTGCCCTTGTTTGCTCATGTGGAACCGAGAATAGTTGTTCCTTGCCCTGAACTTATATTTACTACCCACTCTCCCTCTCCCTCCATCAGACTCTTATCATCTAACCTGGAGTATTTGGACAACTTCCTCAATGGAATATCCTCTTCCTCCCTTGCCTAACTCCCATCCATCCCAAACAGTACATCAGAATGTTCTAAAGTGCAAATCTGGTCATGTCACTCCCCAGCTAAAACTTTCTCAATATTTCCCCCAACAACTTCTGGAAAATAGTTCAAAGGCCTTACTCTAGCCTCGCCTCTCAGCCTCACCTCTTCCTTTCCCATTACAAACCTGCTGCCTCCTTGAAGCTCCTGGTGCTTACCTTGACCCAGGACATCTAACCCAGTCCTCCTGACTGTGACTGCACATTAGAATCACCTAGTAAGCTTCTAAAGATGGCAGCATCTGACCCGACCTCCTGGAGAGTCTTACTTCATTGATCAGGGAACGCAGGTGAAGATCATTAGCTGCCAGCATTGAATGTTAAACTCATCACCAGATTGGAATTGTCCCTTAATATATTGGTTCTCTAGACCCAGGGATTTTTGTTTCATTTTGTCATCTACGTTGTGGAACTTTAGGTGCAGAGATTGGCGTCATTCACCTTCCTCAGTTCCTGGCATTGTGTCATCCTTGTTCTAGAGCCAGCCTCTCTTTTGCTTCTTTTCTTCATTCCTTTCATTACAAACTGCAACATCAGTCCCTCCCTCTCCTTTGGCAATCATTCAGCTGTGTTTGCTGTGTATGCTTTCATTTGTTTATGGTCCTATACATTGCATATCACTGCTGTGTTTACATAATTTTTAGTTATATACATGAAGAGGGCTGTAGATTTTATTCTGTGCCTTTCCTTTTTGCACCCAGCACTGTTTTTTAAGAGTGCTCTGTGTTATTTAGAATACCTGATTGTTGTTTTAAAACTTTACAGAATTCCACAGTGTGCATCTCCCACATTTACCTGTCTCCTCCCCCCTTGATCACACCCATGCTGCCTCTAACTCCACCTCCTTGATGTCAGAGTGAATTTTGCTGGGCATGGTCTTTTGGGGGCCTGGGCAAGAATTTCTTCAAGATATGTACCCAGAAATACAATTTTCAGGAAAAATGGGGCATATATATTTTTATTTTAATGGACCAACTATTAGCTAACTGTCCTCCAGAATGGCTGCACCAATCTTTACTCTTAGGCCAGTATTTCAGTTGTTTATTCCAATATTCGGGGGATCAGCGATCTCTTTGAGAATCTGATAACACATTTGGAAACTCTACTTCAGAAAAAGTAAATATTATCATACAATACTTTTTTTACAAATGTTTATTAAGAAAAAATGTTTAAATTTATGTATCAAGGTGCATGTATTAGTTTACTTAATTTTTAGAATATTTTATGTTAGGTATTACTATTTTCATTGAGCTCAAGTTTACATAATGTGCAGTTAACAACTTTAAAGTACACATTTCAGGGGCATTTAGTGCCTTTACAATGTTATGCAAAGACTGACCACCGCTCTCTAGTTTCGAGATGTTTTCATCACCCCGGATGAACACCCTATAGCCTAAAAGTAATCACTCCCCATTTCCTCATTCCCCCATCCCCTGACAATCCATAGTCTACTTTCTTCCTCAATGGCTTTGCCTATTTTGCATATTTTACATACATGGAATCATAGAATGTGTGACCTTTTGTGTCTGGCTTCTTTGACATAGGATAATGTTTTCAAGGTTCATCCAAGCTGTAGCTGTTGCTGGTACATCATTCCCTTTTATAGCTAAATAATATTTCATTTTATGAACATACCACAATTTGTTAATCTATTCATCTGTTGATGGACATTCGACTTGTATCTGCTGTTTGTCTGTTATGAGTAATGCTTCTATAAACTTTGTTTACACATTACCATGTGGACCTATGTTTTCAATTCTCTTGGGTATATACCTAGGACTAGAATTGCTGAGTCATATGGTAATTCTATGTTTAACTCTGTTTGTTTGTTTGCTTGCTTGTTTTGAGAAAGAGTCTTGCTCTGTCGCCCAGGCTGGAGTGCAGTGGCGTGGTCTCGGCTCATTACAGCCTTTGCCTTCTGGGTTCAAGTGATTCTCCTGCCTCAGCCTCCCGGATAGCTGGGATTGTAGGTGTCCACCACCACACCCAGCTAATTTTTGTATTTTTAGTAGAGACAGGGTTTCAGCACGTTGGCCAGGCTGGTTTCAAACTCCTTACCTCAGTGATCCACCCGCCTTGGCTTCCCAAAATGCTGGGATTACGGACATGAGCCGCTGTGCCTGGCCTTGTTTAACTCTTTGAGGAATCATCAAACTGTTTTCCACAGTGGCTGCAGCATTTTGCATTCCTACCAGCAATACACAAGGGTTCCTATTTTCCCACATTTCTGTCAACCCTCATTACTTTCTGGGTTTATCATTATTATTATCACTGCCATCTTAATGGGTATGAAGTTGTATCTCATTGTGGCTTTGATTTATGTTTCCTTAGTGACCAATCACATGAATAACTTTTTTAATGTTTTTTTGGCCATTTGCATATTTTATTTGGAGAAATGTCTCTTCAAGCCATAAGGTGGGTATTAATATTAACTTTATTTTATAAATTAAGGACTTGAGACCAAACTGAGATCAGAATGAGGGTAACGAGGTGCCAGGGCCAGTGACTGGGAACGATGCCCCATTTTGCATTCATTTTGGAAAGGACAGGGATAAGGGAGTCACCGGCCATCCTCCCTCCAAGATTCCACAGACTTTAAGTGTGGAATCCCATGCTGGACTGTGAGTCTAGCAAAAGATCAGACATACTGATTCTCAGTATATACTTGAATAAATGAATAAAGTGAGCACAAATCCCTTCAGAGCTTCCTCCATCTCAAAATATACCATCTTCTCACACAATGAGCCCAGCATGTGTAATTCAGCTCTGGATGCTATGGGCACCCCCAGGGACACCTCCAGAGCACCCCCCTACGCCACCCTCCAGCAGAGAGACTGCCTGCATAGTGCCTGATGGACACTGAGTGAATTGGAAGCCTGGATGTCTTATCTGGGGTGTTATTACATCTGGATCAATTCTTAACCTTTCAGTTTAGCTTTGAGCTGCTTGGTGACCTCTGACAGATCAGATATAAATCATTCCACCCTGCACAGGTAAGAGGCATTTCGTCAGCTGTGGTCTCATGACATTTGAGGCTTTCCTGGAGGCTGGTACCCCTCGGAAGGCAGTGTGTGGCTCTCAGCCGTGACCAGTGCAAAGGCAGGCAGATTCAGGGGGCTTTAGCGAAAGGTGAAATAAACAACGGCGTGTCAATCCTGTCTTCACTCTAGGTAGAAAGGGGCCATACACATGCTCCACCAGCATAAGACCTCAGTTCTGGGAGTAACTTTCCAATACACCATGGGACTGATCTACTTTATTGAACTAGTCCAGCATTTGCTCTTTTAGAATTCAGGGAGGCAGTAAGTAAAAGGTGAAAGGGGAGAAATTACTACTGGGTGATCGCATCCTATGGGCTGGGCATTGAAAACAACACAAACATCATAAATCATTTAATCTCACCAGCAAGCCCATGCAGTGATTATTATTGTCACCATTCCACAAAGGAGGAATTATAGTTCCAAGACTTAAAATGCCTTACCAAGGTCACCTAGCAGGTAAAATGGAACACATCTAAGATGTACCCGATTTTCATTCTTATGCTCTTACTGCCTCAAAATCTCAAAAAGACTTCTGTCCTTCCCAGAACTTTCTATCCTCAAATCCCTGTAGAAGAATGGGAGAGGCTGTGTTGTTGAAAAAACCCAAGTTCAAGGCCTCCTTACGCCAATACCTAGGTGCCACTCACCTAACCTCTCTTCATCAGTTTCCTCAACTGCAAAATGGGATCGTTGTGAGGATTCACTGAGTTAAGAGAAATTAATATAATTTGAAAACTAAATGTCAGCCAGGTCTGGTGGCTGATGCTTGCAATCCCAGCACTTTGGGTGGCCAAGGTGGGTGCATCACCTGAGGTCAGGAGTTCGAGACCAGCCTGGCCAATGTGGTGAAACCCCATTTCTACAAAAATACAAAAATTAGCTGGGTATGTGGGCTTGTGCCTGTAATCCCAGCTACTCAAGAGACCGAGGCAGAAGAATCACTTGAACCTGGGAGGCAGAGGTTGCAGTGAGCCGAGATCACACCATTGCACTCCAGCCTGGGCAACAGAACTACACTCCATGACAAAAGAAAAAAAGAAAAGAAAAAAAAGAAAAAGAAAACTAATGTCTTATTGTTGAAAAAGTCTCTTTCAGGAAGTGTTCACATTCTAAAGGAAGTTCTTAAAGATTACAAAACTTCAACACCTAATGGGATTCAAAAGTAGTGGTAAAATTTTAGATCCTGGGATGGTTTTTTAAGCATATTGGGAGAATTCACCTTAAATTACACCTCATGGCCAGCTCCTATAATACATGGTTAGACAACCATATGATAAGGTCGGTAGGGTCTAATCATTGCAGAAAAGCAATTAGTATTTTGTATGGTAGGTCATCCAGTATCTCAGGGATGAAAGCTACTGAAGTCTCAGCACTTTATCTTCCAGGACTCATTACCAATGGAGAAGATTGTCTAATTTCCATCTGATTTGCTTATTTTGAAAGTTATTATTTGATCGCTCTGGCTCCTAGACACACAGAAACCTCCTTTTGGCCAACCATGGCTAAGAGAACCTGATCAGTGAAAATAGATCCACCTGCAATGCCTCGTCAGATCGAAAGTTCTCACTGAAGACAAGAAGGAGAGAGGTCAGCAGCACCTTATTTTTCTGAGACCATAACCCAAACTTAATTTTCTCTTTGATTCATAAACTCTTTTATTTTATCTTGGGCGAATTTCTCTTGATTTTTGATGTATGACTTGATTAGTCAACCAGCAAACCAATAAGTCTACAAGGAAGCAGCTCACGTAGTTGTAGCAGTAATGGTGGTATTAATAGTAGAGGTGGTAGTAGGAACATAGCGGTGGTAGTAACATAATAACTAGTCTCATCTGTGTGCTTACTATGTGCCAGGAACTATTCTAGTCTTTTAACACTTACATTTAATCATGACAATAATCCCATGACATACTATTGGTTCCTCATTTTCCAGATGAAGAACTTGAGGCATAAGAAAGTAGGTTATTTGCCAAAAGTCATAAAGCTACTGAGTATTGGTGCCTGGATTTAAACCCAGGCGATCTGATTCCACATCCTTTGCTCTTGGACAGGATTCTGTTCTGTTAATAATAATGGCAACCATAACTTAGTTTTTTAAAAAAAATTTTTCTCCAACTTTTATTTTAAGTTCAGGGGTATATGTGCAGGATGTGCAGGTTTGTTACACAGGTAAACGTGTGCCTTGGTGGTTTGCTGCACAGATCATCCCTTCACTTAGATATTAAGCCCAGCATCCATTAGCTCTTCTTCCTGATCCTCTCTCTCCCCCCACCACGCCCCAGACAGGCCCCAGTCTGTGTGGTTCCCTGCCATGTGTCCGTGTGTCCTCATCATTCAGCTCCCACTTATAAGTGAGAACATGCAGTGTTTGGTTTTCTGTTCCTGTGTTAGTTTGCTAACGATAAACTCAGTAAACTAGTTGGCTTCCAACTCTATCCATGTCCCTGCAAAGAACAAGATCATGTTCCTTTTTATGGCTGCATAGTATTCCATGATGTATATGTACCACATTTTCTTTATCCAGTTTATCATTGATGGGCATTTAGGTTAATTCCATGTCTTTGCTATTGCCACAGCTTACTATTACTGAGTGCCTATTATGTGCCTGGCACCCTCTCTCTTCTATGCCCACAAAGCCAACTTGATGCTTCTGGGCAATCACAAAGGACATCAAGAACTTACATGGCAGCAGACTTACCCATTTCTCTAGCCCCGGGCCAACTCACACGGGGCTCCAGGACAATGAGTGCTTCTGTACCACCATATAATATCCCTTTCAATAACAAGTTATGGACGTTCAGAACAAGTGAGGCAACAAGGGTTTATAAAAACTGGATTTATTGGCATTAACTGGGTCCAAACATCAAAAAAAACCACAGGATGCCCAAGAGCCACGAAAACCGAGTGCTGTGTTTTTGACCCAAGCCAAATCCACTCACTTGGGGTCCCATCCTTTGCTGGAACACAGATACCTCCCAAACTTCTTGGGTCTCCCCCAGCATGGGACTACCCAGCCACATCTTTCACCTTCCCCAATTATTATTCAATTCATTTGCATATGAATGTCTCATTATGATATTATTAAATAAAAAGGCAATACTGTTTGCTGAGTCATACAGCCGCTGTGTTCTTGGCTTACCCTATTTTCAAGACTGCAAGTGATTGAAAACAAGGACGTCTCTAACCTCTGTATTTTATTGTTGAGGGCAAACTTCACTACCCACTCATTTTACATTTATTAATGCATCATAAATCTTAACAATATCACTAGCCCTCATTATCTTTCTATTGAGCCACCTATGCAAAATACTTAAGACATAATCCTTAAACTTAAACACCTTAATTATGTTTTAAACTGTTTTTAAATAATGTTAGATTTATGGAAGTGTTATAAAGATGGTGCAAAGATTTTTTATATACCCTTCATTCAGGTTCCTCCAATGTTAACATCTTACTTACAAAACTAAGCTACTAACCTTGGTACCATGCTATTAGCCAAACCATAGACTTGGTTTCTTCACTTTTCCCACTGGTATTCTTTTTCTGTTCCAGGATCCAAGCCAGGATACCATATTGTACTTAGTTACCATACCTCCTTTGTCTTCTCCAACTTACTACAGTTTCTCAACTTTTTCTTTTCTTTTTTTCTGTTTTATCTCATATGACCTTGGCACTTTTGAAGAATACCAGTCATGAATTTCACAGGATGTCTCTCAAATGGGGTTTGTCTGATATTTTCTCATAATTGGATAGAGGTTATAGATTTGGGGGGAAAGAATGTCACAGAGGTGAAATGTCCTTCTCATCCCATTACATCAAGGAGTAGGTAACATCAGCATGACTTATTACTGGTGAGATTGACATTTATCACTTGATTAAAGTGGTACCTGCCAAGGTTCTCCACTCTAAAGTTACTATTTTTCCCTATTGATACTCTGTTCATAAGAAGCAAGTCACTAAATCCAGCCCACATTCAAAGGGAGGGAAATTGAAATCCATCTCCTTGAAGGATGAGTATCAAAGAATTTGTAGACCATCTATTTACCACCACTAGAATTAACAAATTTGAGGAGGGGAAGATATTTTAGGACTGGGCAACTCTCCTGTTTCTCCTCAAAGTTACCCACTAATTTTAGTGTTCGTCTGTGAATCTGGCAAGAAGCAATTATTATTACATTGTTGTTGCAATGGTGATTTTCTATTTCCTTTGTTCCTTCTAGTTTAATTGCTTGAATTATTCTCTAAGGAAGATTGGTCTCTTCTCCCACATTCATTTATTACTTCATGTATTTATTTATAACTGTGTGGACTTGTGGATATTTATTTTACCTCTGGGTTATAATTCAATATTATCATTGAATTATTTATTTTGTTGCCTGAACTGTTCCAACCTAGCCATCAGGAGTTCTGTCAGGTTGGTTCTTAGGTCCTTTTGACCTGCCCTCATCTTTTTATTATTATTTTTTCATTTTTGGCACTTTCTTACTTACACACACTGCAGGATACTTCAGGTTCAACTTCTATTATCCTTATCACAGCCGTAGACTCAAGCATCTCTCCAAAGAGCCTTAATGCCTTTAGTTGGAGAATAATATTTAGAATCTCAGATCTAGGTGTTAATTATATTTTATTTTCTGTTTCTATTAATAATCCCTGCTATACTTCCCTCTTCCAGTAAAATTAATTATCATTACTGCCTAAGACACTACTCAACATCAGGGCTGGTGCTAATCTTTTTATAAAAATATATACATTGGCTCAGTCAATCCTCAACAAATCCAGAAGGTAGATCCTAGTATTTATCCTTATTGTACCAAGCAAGGCTCAGAGACAATTATGTTTTTCCCTGTCACACAGCTGCTGGTAACTGGTGGAACTGGGTTTGAGCCCAAGTCTTCGTCTGTACCTCACACTCTTTTCTATGCACCTCTCCCGCCTTGGGATATAAGTTGAGTGGATTTGGAGTTAAACCAACCTGACATTGGTCCCTGGTTCTGCCATTTCCTAGCAATGTGACCTGTGTGAGTTTTAGCATCTGTAAAATGTCATTAATAAAACCTGCTCTGCAGGTTGCTGTCAGCATTAGGGAGTGTGTATATAGCACACCTAGCTCTGAGCACTTAGGTGAGGACCTGTGGCTCCTGTGGGGCAGTACAAGCTTAGCAGTTAAGGGATTAGCCTCCGAAGACAATATTTAAAGCTTAAATGCTGATCTTCCACATCTAGCTGCTTAATGTCCCTGGGCCGCAGTTTTCTCTTCTACAAATGGAGTCACTCTATAAGTGGGATTATAGGGAGTACCCAATGCAATAACATCCCTGCACAATTTACTAAAGTGTTTGATGCACAGGAAGAGCTAAAGTCATATTGATTGTTATCAGGATTATTATTTGAATCCCCAACACCTACAAGAGTGTCTAGTTTGATATATTTGAATGAGAGCTAAGCTCAGCAAGGGTAGCCCATCAAACACCCTTTTTTTGCTTTTGCTTCAGGATTAATATATGCATTCTTCCTATCTCTCTGAATGCCTCTCCGGTATTACATTCACCTGGCTGCTCAGTTCCCCACAGCTCCTCATTTCCCTAGGAAGAAGTCTCCATGTAGTGCCCCATGAAGAGGTTGCTATTGTGACAGATGGTTCTGTTGGAACTGCAGGGCATTGACAAACAACAACCCCATACATCACAGGGCCATCAGGACAGGCACTTTGGTAATGTATTATGTGAGTGCATCATCAGAACACTGTCACCTTCGTGACGGATTCATCAATACATGGGGCTGTCATAAAACAGAAGAGAACACGGTGTAAGAGGAAGGGAAATCCTCTTAATGAAGAGGAAGTACTAATAGTAAAATACAAGTTGCACAAATCCTCTTGCAAATAGATGCTAAGAGTGACATAGTGGCAGGGAGAGATGGCAGAGTACCCCAGTGGATGGATTGTTAACCTGGAGCCCTGGAGTTTCGTCCCAAGTCATCTCATGACTCCTGATAAGTCCTACTGGCATTTTTTTGTTTTTGAGATGGAGTCTCGCACTGTCGCCCAGGCTGGAGTGCATTGGCACTATCTCGGCTCACTGCAAGCTCTGCCTCCCAGGTTCACGCTATTCTCATGCCTCAGCCTCCCGAGTAGCTGGGACTACAGGCGCCCTCCACCACACCCAGCTAATTTTTGTATTTTTAGTAGAGACGAGGTTTCACCGTGTTAGCCAGGATGGTCTTGATCTCCTGACCTCATAATCTACCCGCCTTGGCCTCCCAAAGTGCTGGGATTACAGGCATAAGCCACCACACCCAGCCCTTCCTGGCATTTTTTCATCATCTACAAAGTGAGTTTGCTAGCCCCAATCAGTGCATCACAAAGCATGTTCCATAGGATGCTAGTCCTATGAGACCCTTCATGGAAATCCTGAGTTTAACATATTTACACAGGTTGATTTGCACTGAAACCTCATAGAGACTAAAATATGTCAGTGTTACCGCCAGATCCTCAATAGCATACAGAGTGAGTCCTCTTGCTCAAAATTACCTGGCCATGCAATGCTTACTTTTGATGTGATACATGTTAATCCACTCCTCTGTGATAACATCATATTCAGTGGTCTGTGAGATCCCTTTCAATTCCAGAAATGTAGTGACATGAGCACAGGTTTTGGGACTAGAGAGACTTGGAATCAAAACCTGGCACCACCACATATAAACCTGAGACTGGTTCACTTTTCTGTACCACTATGTTTCCATCTGTAATGCACAGGAGATAATACTCAATTCAGGGTTGCTGTGAGAAGCACACGAAAAGACATTGTAAATTACCTACTACCCTGCCGGAATGCAACTTCTGTTCACTAAGAGATAGCTCTTATTACTGATGATAAGAGCCAACACTTATTAAGTGCTGTTAAAAATGAGGCACTGTACTTTTTTCCATCAATCACCTTCCTTAATCTACAAAATTCCAATGAGTACTAAAATCATCAAATTATATATATTATATATAATATATAATTTATGTATATTATTATATAGAAATATATTTTATTATATAAGAAATATAAATCTAGTATGTATAAATTATATATAAATGTATTTATTTATATTTTATAATAAATATATTATTTATATATAATTTTTATATATTATATACATATAATATAAATATATAATTATATAAATATATAATATATACACTTATATAAATATATTATATAAATATATAATATATACACTTATATAAATATATAAATATATAATTAAATAATATATATTTGATATATTTATATATATTAATATTTAATATATTTATATATAATTTATATATAACATATATATTTCATATATATAAGAAACTGGGGAAAGATTAAATGACTTGCCTAAGAGCAAGTATGTGGCATGCCAGAATTCAAACCCCAGGTACCACACTCCAAAGTCTATAGGCTAAATCACTACGTTATTATGCATCCCTAACATAAATTAAGGAACACTACTATCAGTTTACAAGTTCACCCTGAGTATTAACTATTGACCTACAAAGTCTATTATGATATGCCTCAGTTCTAAAAGGGCAGGCTCTTGAAAACCTTGATTTTCTTGGAAGTTTTGCTCTGCAAGTACAAGGAATTCATGTGTCACCATGTTTTACAATGGTATTATTACGATGTCTTAGAATATCAACTTCAGCAAATCCTCCACAGCTTTCATGTCTGGCCTTGAATAGTGATGGCAATGAAGGAAGAGTATATTATTGTAGCTGGGGAAAATCTTTCTACAGTGTTCAAACATCTCACCTTCTAGTATGGTTTGGCTGTGTCCCCATTCAGATCTCATCTTGAACTGTAGTTCCCACAATTCCCACTTGTCATGAGAGGGATCCAGTGGGAGGTAACTGAATCATGGGTGTGGGTCTTTCCCATGCTGTTCTCGTGACAGTGAATAAGTCTCACGAGATCTGATGGTTTTATAAAGGGGAGTTGCCCTGCACAAGTTCTCTTCTTTTGTCTGCTGCCATGTGAGATGTGCCTTTCACCTTCCACTATGATTGTGAGGCCTCCCCCGCTGCGTGGAACTGTGAGTCCATTAAACCTCTTTCTTTTTTAAATTGTCTAGTCTTTGGTATGTCTTTATCAGCAGCATGAAAACGGATTAATACATCTCCCTTCAGACATGTTCAGCCAACCAGTTTGCTCTTACGTGAAGAAGGTATGGTTTGCCCAATTTCAATAGTAACCAAGCATAATACATGAATTAGAGCAACCTCCGTATTGCAACTATTTACCCATGAAGGATAGGAAAGGCAGAAGACTATATGATCTACAGAAAGATCATGAGACTCGAAGTCAGAATACCTGGGTTATTAATGTTCACTAACCAGCTCTCCGACTGTAGGCAACACATTTTTGCTTCTCAGAGCATTGTTCTCTTGGTATTTAAAAAGAAAATATATAAGCAGGATAATCTCTGAGGTTTCCTCCAGTTCTGTATTCTGTACTTCTCTGAATATTCGGCTGCATACTCACCTCATTTGCAAAGTCCCAGACTAGAACAAGGGATACCAAAACACTCATGGAGTGAAGTATCACATCAAGCCTCAGCCACTGGCATGCACAAAGTAAAAACGCTAACACTACAGATTTGGATATTCACCCTGGTAATGGTGAGATTTAACTTCAGTAGAGAGCTTCCATATCACATAACGGTGTATCATTGCACTACGTTTTACTTCCCCTAGCAAATAAAGTACCCAGGAAAAAAATTGAAAAGAGCATACATTGCTTTATCGTCTTGTGAAATTACTGGGTTTCAAGCCAATAGAATGCCTTAATGCTCAAGTTCTCAAGGGTGATACAAAGTGCAGAGCATCTCTGTTTGTGAAGCTAAATTTAATAAACAGAGTAATCCCCTGGCAGGCCCTGGGATTTTTCTAATATCCTGATAGTGTCAAGGGAGAGGGTCTTGATATGTGAAAAATAGCATAAGATCTTACAACCAAGCCTTACTAGAAAGAATGCACTTTAATTGCGGCATCTGCTTTCACATGTTGCGGTGCTGGATTGGACAGAATTTTGTGTGTGTGCTGTCCACAAGCCATGGGGTGCATGGGGTGCTGTCCAGATATAGTGGTGCTGAACCAGAAGCTTCTAAATCCAGTGTTGCCTAGACTAGCCTTGAGACACAAAGACCACGTTCCTTTACCAGCTATGAAAACATCCTTATTCTATACCCTCTCTCTTACAGGGTATTTTAACTACACACTGGAAAAAATTTCTGCTAGGATATCTTACAATATAACTGCAGCATAAACACTATCATCATCATCCTCATCATCTCCATCATTTGGGGGCACCCATTATGCCCCAGTCGGTGACAAGCATTTTATGAAATACACATTTTTTATATATGTGAATCCTATTGTGATACTTTTTATTAAAAAAAAAAACAACAAAAACAAAAAAAAAAACACTGTCTGTCTTAGGTCAAGTTTCCTAGAAGAAAAGCCTGAGTTGGGTGGAGGGAGTTCTTGTGCAAGTGATTCACTAATACAGTACTATCAGGAGAAGACGGATGAAGAAAGTGGTATAGAGAAGGGGGGTGGAATCTTAAGCAAGGATAAAGAGAGAAGATTAAATTTGGAGCACAAACTGCACCACGGAGCTGATTCCACCTTGAGACATTTTAGTATCCCTGTCAGTCATTGGCTGTAGACTTCCCAGGGAAAGGAACACCCTCCCAGTTGAGGTGGCTCCCATTAAGCCTGGATAAATTCTCTAAGGAAGGCTACAGTGAGCTGTTAGAAGCCAACATTCACAGGAACTGGGAGACTGATGCACCAATGGCAAAGAGAATCCGAACATGTACACAACAGCAACTACTACATTGTTAGAGCTCGACCCAGATTCTCAGATTCCTTTCACCATTTCCTTGTACCCTGTTCCAGTTACTGCTGAAGTCACCCCAAAAGCTTAGTTGTTAGTAATAAGGTATTTAATTATTTATTTTGCTCATGATCATGTAATTTGGGCAGGATTCAGCAAGGAAGGCTCATCTTGGTTCCATGCAGCCTTAGGTAAGACAGCTCAACTGGAAAATACACTTCCAAGAGGGCTCACTCACATGGTCAGCAAACTAGTACCAGCTGTCAGTGAGAGCTTAGCCAGGGCTGAGGGCTGGGATCCTTGGTCTCCCTACATGGTACTCTCCATGTGGCCTGATGTTCTTTAAAGCATTTGGTTGGGTTCTAAGCACAAATGTTCCAAGGGAGACAGTGAGCACCCTTCGTGACTCAGCCTCATATGTTAAATAGCATTTCTTCTGCTGTTTTCTATTCATCAACAAAGTCATGAAGACCTCAAGTCAATAGACTACACCTCCCAGTGGGAGAGAAACAAGGTCCTTGATGGAGCTTATAGGATGGGAAATATTGCTGTGGCCATTTTTGAAAAATACTGTCTTAGAACCTACATCTCCTCACCAGCTTTTGGGTCATTTTTTAGTAGCTGATGCTTGAGATTCTGTCTGAGAATCACAGAGAGACCCAGGAGTGCCTAGGAGTGCAGCCCTCCTATGGCAGCCCCAGCCAATTATTGACTGAGGGCTTTATACAAAAGTTCCTTGCTGCAAGTTGAAGCAAACTCAGAGACATACTTTATATTCCAGAGCTTCTCTACAGGATTAGGCCAGAGCTTGGACTTCCCTGAAACTCACCTTCTGTTTTGCTTCTTTCCCTGTCCTGCCCTAGTTTCTCCACTCCTTTACCAGTTTCTACTGGGAGCATTTTCTTAATCATTTGCACATGAATTATCATCTCAGAATCTACTGCTGGGAATCTCACCTAAGACAACCTCCCTCTTAGGAAGTCATAATGCTTATCCACTGTGTCACTTATCTAATGTTGAGACAAGATTCACCTTGTAATCTCCTGTTTTATATTGTTTCACAAACTTTGATATCATCATTTATCTTTATCTTTGATTTCCCACACACTGCATTGTGCAGTGTCTTATTTATCTCCATTTTTCCAATTTCTGAGAAGTAATGTGGGAAGAGAATGAATGCTGTTGAGCACTTACTGTATGCCGGGTACAGTTAACCTCTTTGCATTCATTATCTCAGCTAATTATGAAAGCAATTCTTTTGAAGATTATTTTATCAACCTCGTTATATAAATAAGGATGATGATGTTTGGAAACAGGGCCATTATTCTAGACAATGTCAGTAGGAGCCTTGAACAGAATATTCTATGTGAAAGCACCCCCCAGGAATTCAGGGTGACTGACGCCCTCTAGAGTTGTGCGATATACTAGTCCTTCTCAGAAGGACACAGAAAATTCCCTAAAGCTGCTCAGCTGGAGAGTAACAGAGCACAGGTTTAACTATCTGCTTGATTCTGCCTGTTAAGATTTATGGGTTATTTTTAATATCTTTCTTTTACCCCATGTAGGCTTTTTAATGGTTGTATTCTCTGTGTGATGATAAAAATATTTTAATAATAGTAAAATAAAATTTTAAGAACCTAAAAAGCCTGTCTTATTCTTTGGCTGAAGTCTGTAGGGTGGGGGGTGAGGGTAAGGTCTTCACCAGATTCAACGGCATAAGAAAGAGCTGTCTTCCAATGGGAATTGAATGGGAAGTTACTAGGAAATGGATCAGGGCCCTGGTAAGCTCAAGAGAACACGAATTTTCTGCCAAGAGCAGCCACGTTTTTCTTTTCTGATTTTCTAGCTGGCTGCCTCACTCACAGCTTTCTCTGCAACGGGTGCCTCCACAATTGTGATAGAGAATGACATGCCCCAGCATAATGCCTCAACCCAAGTGTCAACCTACCCTTGACAGAGAAGAGAACCCCAAATGAATCTCCCAAGGTAAGTGACAGGCCCTTCCAGACAATTAAGAGCCTGATTATTGAGGGCAGCCAGACATGAGTTTGAATCCCGGCTCCCACAACTGACCAGCTATGTCATTTGAACGTTGGAAGCCTCAGTTTCTTCATCTGTAAGATAAGGATTTATTTGATTATTATAAACATAAATAGAAGAATAAATTTAAATCACTTAAGCATTTGAAACACATTGAGCTACTGTTATTGTTGTTATTGCCAATCATCCTTATAATTAGTCATAAGGCTATTCTAGATTCACAATTATCAGCTACACCTTTACTTGAATGAAAAGCTTAAATTAATTTGATTATCCCTTAAACCCTTTGGTTTGGTTATAACTTTTCTTATGTCTAACATTCTCTCATCTTACAGTACCCTCCCCCTAGTAAACACATATACTCATATACATACATATACACATACGCCAAGCTCGTGGACATATTTAAATCATATTGTCCAAGTCAATTGCCACAGTAAATCCCAGGTTGCAGCCACCAGTGAGTGGCAGGGCTGGAGATAAAATTGCAAGGAAACTGTGGCCTAATAGGCAGCACATGACTTTTTTTTAAATAACTGCAATGCCTTACGTCTCTGTGACATGGTACCATTTGTCTTCTTCCTTGGGCATTCATTATATCACATGACCCTCTCCACCACGCTGCATGATAGGTATAACTACTAGCCAAAATGATTTGCCCAAGGTCACCTAGCCACTAAGTGGAAGAGCTCAGAGTCAGACCCAATTGCATTTGCCTCCAAGCCTGGTGCCCTTTCCATGTTACCTATTTGCCTCCCAGTATTGTTGGAGCATTTAATAGCAGACGCTTTTCCCATAGCTGGTTGATTCTAGGGCAGATAAGTAATAACCCAGCAGGGCCCACCAGGCATTGCTGAGTTTAAGATGTTGAAACAGAAAGAGTTTGAAGGAGACAGGCAAGTGTTCTCCCCACCGCCATTCCAGGAGTCTGACACATCCCTGTGCTTACAGATGTCACCATTAATGTCCTTTCCCCCAGAAGATTCAGGCAGGAGATCTGGGCAAATTCATCATGGCCCTGAACATAATGTTGATGAATGATCTCATTAACCAGGCAGCCTGTACCATGTCAACAGCAGCCCCAAACCCTTGCGTGAAGCCTCGCTCAGCATTCTCATTCTTCTTCTCCCATCCGCAGTCTTTCTCCCACCTCCCAGCCCTACAATACACTAAGCTATGGCATCCCATATAACTGCTCTTCCTTCACACAAACCTGGGAGCTGGTTAATACCAATTTCAATCATACAGATAAAGACACTGAGTCTCAAAGGAATTAGATGTTCTCAAGCTCCAAGAGGCTTCAACTCAGGCCTGGCCAACCCCAAAGTTCTGCTCTTATCTCAACACTGTACTAACTTTCCTAGACTTCTTAACAGTTTGCAAAGCCACTTTTATCCATTATCTCATTCATTCACCCAACCAATCCTGCGGGGTAAACTTTCTCACAGAAGGACTTTACCAGAAACTTGACAGACCAGTATAAAATGTGAATGTAAGAATAAAATTCAAAAAATAGCTAAGGCAATTTTGAAGGGAAAAAAAGGAGAGGGGAAAGGGCAGAGAGTGTAACTCACTCAACCAGATATTATGATGTGTCACAAAACCAAAGTTATAAAAACCAATGTGGTATTTGGAGCAAAAAGCAAATAGAACAGTAGAACAGAATAAGTAGGGTGGAACAGGGGGTGGGGGCACTTGACATACAATTGAAGTATACAAATCTGTAGAAAAAGCAATCGTTTTTAAAATGTTTTTGCATATTTGGCATGTATTACATGTATAATAAATTTGTTTAGAGATAAGATTTAATCCCTACCTCAAACCATGTATAAAAACAAACTCCAAATACATTAAAGGAAAGCTTTCAAGAGTAAACAAAAGAAAATGTTAAATAGCTTTTGACCTCAGGGTACAGAGTGATTTCCTAGATGGGACCTCAAAAGCACCAACTTTAGCAGAGGGGGTTAATGGATTTGTCTACTTTTTGACAAACGTAAGAAGCCTTTACAATGACAGATATCACTGATGAGTACCAGACTAGAAGAAGATATTTGGAATACCACAGAAGGAGAAAACAAATTCACTAGATTGTACATGACAATCAGCTCCAGTGTTGAGCATTTAGTGAAATAAAAATTAAAGCAACAATGAGATGCCACTTTATAACCTGCAGATGGGCAAAAATATTATCTGGAGAGGATATGGAAAAAAGGCAAGGTGTTTGTATTACAGATGACAATGTAAAACCCTACAAACTGTGTTAGAATAATTAGATGGGCTTTAGTTTCTTTTTTTTCTTGTTTTTTTTTTGTTTTGTTTTGTTTTTGTTTGTTTGTTTTTTGAGATGGAGTCTTGCTCTGTCACCCAGACTGGAGTGCAAAGGTGTGATCTCGGCTCACTGCAACCTCTGCCTCCTGGGTTCATGATTCTCATGCCTCAGTCTCCTGAGTACCTGAGATTACAGGCGCCTGCCACCATGCCTGGCTAATTTTTCTATCTTTAGTACAGACAAGGTTTCACCATGTTGGCCAGGCTGGTTTCAAACTCCTGACCTCAAGTGATCTGCCTGCCTTGGCCTCCCAAAATGCTGGGATTACAGGCGCCTGCCACCATGCCTGGCTAATTTTTGTATCTTTAGTAGAGACAAGATTTCACCATGTTGGCCAGGCTGGTCTTGAACTCCTGACCTCAAGTGATCCACCTGCCTTGGCCTCCCAAAGTGCTGGAATTACAGGTGTGAGCCACCATGCCCAGCCATGGTTTTTAATTTCTATGATTCTGCAAACTAACTGTTGCATACATATTCTGCAGAAATTCTCACATAGGCCCACGAAGAAACACATATGAGGAAAATCATCCCAGCCTTGTTTGTGGTCCCAAAGAGTTGGAGAAAACCTAGTTGTTTGTCACTAGGGGAAGAGGCGAATGTGGTGTAGAAGACTATAAAATACCATGAACCATTCAGAAGTATGAAGTAGATTTACATATGGCAACAAGGATGTCATATGACAGCACCGAGTGAAAACAGAAACGGAGAATCAAAACACAATACTGTTTATGCAAAATTTCATGAACACCCACCCAAAGCAATGCCCAAGGATGCACATATGTCTAAATAAACATATGGACAGTAGAGTGGAAATTCATACATTGAGACAGTACAGGCTGGGTGTGGTGGCTCATGCCTGTAATCCTAGCACTTTTAGAGGCAGCAGCAGGAGGATCGCTTGAGCTCAGGGGTTCAAGACCAGCCTGGGCAATGTGGCAAAACCCCATCTTTCCAAAAGATACAAAAACTGGACTGGGTGTGGTGGGCCATGACTTTAATCCCAGCACTTTGGGAGGCCGAGGCGGGCAGATCACCGGAGGTCAGGAGTTTGAGACCAGCCTGGCCAATATGGTGAAACCCCATCTCTACTAAAAATTGAAGAAAAAAAAAATATCCGGGTGTGGTGGTGGGTACCTGTAATCTCAGCTACTCTGAGGCTGAGTCAGGAGAAATGCTGAAACCTGGGAGGCAGAGGTTTCAGTGAGCCAAGATCGCTCCACTGCAATCCAGCCTAGGTGACAGAGCGAGACTCCATCTAAAACAAACAACAACAAAAAATTAGCCAGGCATGGTGGTGTGTGCCTATAGTCATAGCTACTAGTCATAGCTACTTGGGAGGCTGAGGTGGGAGGACGGCATTAGACTGGGAAGTTGAGGCTGCAGTGAGCTCTGTTTGTGCCACTGCACTGCAGCCTGGGCAATAGAGTGAAACCCTGTCACACACACAGAAAAAGGATAATACAGAGAGTGTCTCTGAGTTGTAGAAAAGAGAAGAAGGTGAAGATGGTAGATAAAGAAGAAAATAATACATTTTTAAAATAAAATAAGTGTAATGCACAGTCTAATTATGATAATATGTCATGGACTGAGGACCAAGATCAAGTGCATTATATACACATAAGCTGCAAGAATGAGGCAAAGAAGAGGAAGAGGCTCATGGGTAGAGAGACAAACAGGGACTATTAGATCTTTGCCCCCCAACCACCACCAAAAAAAAAAAAAAGAAAAAAGAAAGTAAAAATTAGGGAGTCAAGGGCTGAAATAAAGGAGGAAGAATCAAGACAGACAAAAAAAACTTTTCAATGCAGTTTTAGAGGTGTTAGAGAGGATCATAGCAGAGCTTTGGGAATCTCCCTTAAGCTGTACATGACTGAAGAGTACAAGGACAGGGATGAGAGCAAGGGATAGGGGTAGGGGGAGATGAAACCGCAAGTCCAGCAACCAACATTGCCATTCTGCATCTGTCCTTCTGACCCTCTCTTCCTTGTCCATCAGTCCCTTAGCTCAAACTCCACCAGGAGTTATGACTTTGGATAACCCCGTTTTGGCACTTACTGTCTGACCAAGGGGAGGTTCTTTCCTTTCAAGCTGAGCCTCAGTATACTTGTGTACACAATAAGAATATTAACAATTGGCTGGGCATGGTGGCTCACACCTGTAATCCCAGCACTTCAGGAGGCCGAGACAGGGATATCACCCAAGGTCAGGAGTTCAAGACCAGCCCAGCCAATATGGTGAAACCCTGTGTCTACTAAAAATACAAAAATTAGCTGGGCATGGTGGCAGACTTCTGTAATCCCAGCTACTTGGGAGGCTGAGGCAGGAGAATTGCTTGAACCCAGGAGGCGGAGGTTGCAGTGAACCGAGATCTTGCCACTGCACTCCTGCCTGGGTGACAAGAGTGAGACTCCATCTTAAAAAAAAAAATTAACCATTAACAAAGTGGCTATGAGGATTAATTGAGCATTAGTTTAGCACAATCCCTGGAACAAAATCAACACTCAACAAATGGAGGTAGGTGTTTCATCACCAGTGAAGAAAAGCAAGTAGGTATGATCACAAAAGACCCCAGTCTGCCTACCAATGGGACAACCAGTTTTTTCTCTCCCAGAAGGACAGATGCATTGAAAGCAGATCCTCAAAAAATTGAGAGATCCTCTTCTCCCCAATGCTTTCCCCCAAAACCCCAAAACCTAACCTCACCCAAGGCCACTAGGTGCACTGGCCACAAACTCCCTGCAGGGCTGGTCTTTATGTTCAAATAATCTGACATCAACTTCTGCTTTGTTTGTTCAACACCTTACTCTGTAAGAATGAGAGGTTCACAATTTCCTCTGAGCCACAATTTGTTGCTGCCTCCTGAGACTCAGTTCAACCTGATTTAAATGGCCAAACATCACTTACTACCATTGGGGCTAATTTTTACCTAGCTTTTGTTATGCACATGAAGCTGGGCTAAGAGCTTTATGCAATATTAACCTACTCATTTGATCTGCCATCTCAAGAGACCAATACTCTAGCTCTTTCCATTTTACAGATTAGCAAACTGAGTTTTGGAGAGGGGTAACTGGCCAAAGTTGAGGCAGCCTTTAAGGAGAAGCCACCCCAGCTGGCTGAAGCTGGCGCTTGTAACTAACTGTATAATTCAGGTACCCAGAAAGAATAGAAGTATCCCCAAATGGTTGTCAGGAACACCTCTGAGTTATAAACATTGTTCAGAAGAGAGAAGAAAAAAATTGGAGAGAGCTCGAAGATAAACCTATCACTGTGAAGTTTTCACATAGTCTAAGATTTTACATATTGTTCCTTCTGAGATGAGGTATGATTGGGTATGATGTGGGTAGTTCGAGTGTGAAATAGTGTGTGAGGGGCTTGTAGGTGTGTAGGAGAAGAGAGTGAATTAGTGGAAGGGTGTGGGGGAAATATAAAGAAGAAACAATGGGTAGCATGAGAAGACTTCAAGAGAGTGAGTGTTCACTATGATTGTGGTATGTGGTGATGGAATAGGGAATATGTGTTTGCAGTGGGTTTGTTCACTATGACTGTGGTATGTGGTGACTGAATAGGGAATTTGTGTTTGCGGTGGGTTGGCGATACACTTGGATGTGTGTTAGTCTGTGAACGGAGCCTTATAAGTGTGATGAGTGGGTTAGGTAGTGTATGAGGAGGTGTACGAGTGATGCAGGTATGTGATGAGAATGTGATAACACAGGAGATAAATGTGAAGACGTGGTCACAGGCAGAGCATAGGAGAGCCCAGGGTTGTAAGGGGCGTGTGTGTGTGTGTGTGTGTGTGTGCACATGCATGTGTACACTTGTGCAAAGAAGCCAACATCCCAGCCTCTTTGGCCAACATTGTGACACCACCAACCCCAAAAGCCAGCAACAATTCATCAAGGCTCTCTCCCAAGTTCACAATAAGTTTCATGCCTCAACTGGCTTCCATTGAAGGATTGATGCTGTCACTTTAAGTAGCTACTGCAGAAGAGAATGGAGCAAGGGAAAGCTGTTATCAGTCCCTGGGTGTGGGAAAACATTTGTGGCTTAAAAGAAGGCTTTGTTCGACCACCAATTACTCCTGCTTTTGAAAAATGCTTTTGCTTGCATTTGATTAGGACTTAAAAGTGCAGCTTAATATTTTCTGTCTTGCCCGGAACTATGATTTCTCTCTTGCTTCCAAATGAGTCTCTGTAAATTCAAGCATCATTTCTCTCGGCATTCTCTCACCTTTCAGGGGATTTGGGGCTGGGATTGCAACTGAATAAGCCTGCCCTCTACAGGGTGTTTTTTGTAAATGAGAACCCTCTTACTTGAATCCTTCAGAAAGCTGGAGTTGCTGAGTATCAACCACAGGCTAGAAGCCAAATGTGAGCGATCTGTCTAAAACACAGATCGAACTCCATCACTTCCCTGCTTACTTTCCATAATCCCCTGCTGCCCCCAAAATACAAGCACTGGCACAGCATCAATGCCATTCAAAATTCAACCTCAGTAAGCCTTGGAGGCATTGCTCCTATTTCTAACTCTACTCCATACATCCTTTGCTCCAGACACACTTTTTGACATGTTGCACCTTCACATAGCTTCAGTGACATACCTCTGCCGTTGCCCTCATCTACAATACCGCGTCTCAATCCCTTCTTCAGGAATTCCTTCCCCAAAACTCCCTATCACCTGAGCTGTATAAGCCTCCTCACCAACCAGAACAAACGCAATTCCTCCCTCATCTATATATCCAGAGCACTGTGGTCATTTCGCATTTGTTGTTTCCTAAATCATGTTCATCTGCAATTTATTCAAGTATGTCTCTTTCATTATATCATCATCTTCTTAAGTGCATAAACTGTGTTTTATTCATTCATTTTTGCGTCTAGAAAACCTAGCACAGGGCCTGGTACACAGGAGATATTCAAAATGCTGGTTTTATAGAGTAAATAGACACCATATATGATGGGAGAAAATACTTGCAAACTGTGCATTTAACAAAGGTCTAATATCCAGAATCCATAAGGAACTTAAACAGATCTGCAAGCAAAAAGAAAATCTAATTAAAAAGTGGGCAAAGGAAATGAACAGACACATCTCAAAAGAAGACACACACATGGCCAAAAGCATATGAAAAAATACTAAACATCACTAATCATTAGAGAAATGCAAATCAAAACCACAATGAGATACCATCTCACACTAGTCAGAATGACTATTATTTAAAAGTCAAAAAAAAAAAATAACAGATGCAAGTAAGGTTGCAGAGAAAAGGAACACTTATATACTGCTGGTGGAAGTGTAAATTAGTTCAGCCATCGTGGAAAGCAGTTTGGCAATTTCTCGAAGAAGTCAGAGCAGAATCACCATTCCACCCAGCAATCCTATTACTAGATATATACTCAAAGGAATATAAATCATCCTACATAAAGACATATGCATGCGTATGTTCACTGCAGCACTGTTCATAATAGCAAAGACATAGAATCCATCTAAATGCCCATCAGTGGTAGGCTGGATCAAGAAAATGGAATAGCACACAGCCATCAAAGAGAATGAGATCATGTCTTCTGCAGCAACTTGGGTGGAGCTGGAGGCCATTATCTTAAGCATACTAAAATGGGAAGAAAAAAGAAAATACTATGTGTTCTCCCTTATAACTGGGACCTAAATATTGAGTACACATGAACACAAAGAAGGGAACAACACACACTGGGGCCTACTTGAGGGTGGAGGTCTGGAGGAGGGTGAGGATCGAAAAACTACCTATTAGGTACTATGCTTATTACCTGGGTGATGAAACAATCTGTACACTAAACCCCACCATGACACATAATTTACCTATGTAGCAAACCTGCACATGTACCTCTGAAACTAAAATAAAATTATGAAAAAAAATGCTGGTTTTAGATGCGAAACACTGTTACTCTCACTGGTACATTGAATTCTAGGTTAATAATCATGAATCAAAGAGTCAGGCCATGGTCCTACAATATTTGGTATAAAAGGATGATTGAAAGAGAAGGGGCGATATGATAGAGGATAACAGAAATTCTGGGGATGGGGAGTCACTTCCCAGGTCCTCAGCACAGGTGGCAAAGAGTTTCCCCAAACTGTCCAATCAGCAACACAAGCTGACCCAACACAGCAAAGCGAGTCACCTTTGAAGAGAAAGAATGACGCTTATTTTCTCCTCCAAAGACCTACTTGGAAAGTAGACGTGGTTTACTGCAAATCTCTCCCTGCCTGCCCCAGGATGTTGTCAAGATGTATTAAACAGCAAAGGAGGTAAGTTTTAGTGACCTACACAGCTGCCATTCCGTATGTTCCCTCCTTTCTGCTAGGTGCATCCCTCTGTGGCTATAACACGTTCCTTGAAATGGGCTCTTTCTGGGCCGTGGCCAAAATCTAAGCAATGTGATTTAAGATCATTTCAATGACATCTAAGGATAAATACTTCGATATTTACCAGGTTTCTTTAGAAAAGTGTTGTTTTTTGTTTTCTGCTGGTACAGCTTGGTGTCTATTGCCTTCCAGGGGAGGAAAATAAGTTCTGGGAGATCTGCTGGTATAGAAAAGTGGGACAGTGTGCTGGGCCCTCGTCTTCCACCCCGGGAGGCTGACAGTATGGACCACATCCGTGGGATCTCTGGATTCTGGTTGAGTCTGCCAGAGAGAGTCAGGCTCCCTCCCTGATTCTCCCTGTGGAAAATCACATCGGACTGGCTCTGGCCCTTGACCAAAAGTCATTGTGTTTCTCAAAACAGCCTGCTTTATACAGCTTTCTCCAGGGTTCCAGTAACTGCATCCTTCCCCTGCCCTCCCGGTTCAGGGTGGTAAGGGCTCTGCTATTTCTCCTGAGTTGCAGTGTCATCTCCTATAGTTCCCTGCACCTCATTCTCTCTTGTGTAAAATGTCACTAATTAAATATCCTTCGATGCCCCTAACTTGAATGTGTCTTAAGACCCAAACTGATACAGACAAGGTGATTGCAAATGTCAGGTGAAGCTTTGACTCCTGGTTCCAGCACTGTCAAAAGCCTTGGGAAAGAACATTTCATGTCTCTGTATCTCAGTGGTCTCAACTGTAAAATGGGAAGAAAACAACACAACTATGACGGCCTACCTGAGCATCAGATGTGTCCATGTAAGGAAAGTACCCAGAGACGTCCTGGTTATACAGTAGGAGCACAAGGAATACAAGTCCTCCCCCTTTCATGCCATTTTTCCCCTCTCCAACACTTCCTCCTGTCTTGTAACAATGGGAGGCTTTGGACGATTTAAAGGCTCTTCTCCGTTGCATGAGTCAGAAACAAGTAACAAAACCAAGTGATAAATTTACGTGGACCACAGACAGACGCCTTTTTGTGCTTGTCAATAAAATGTTTAAAATAGAACTTGATTTGCTTTCGCTTTAAAGAAGGTTATTAACTTGCTTAGATTTACCCGAGGAACAGAGGCAGGTGTTGTTCCCCATTACTCACTAGGTCTTTAATCAGCATCCAGGGCTCAGCAAGCCGTCGTGGTGGGGACTGCAATGGCTCAGGGGGCTGTGTAGGTGACTGGAGGGGGTGACAATGACTCCTTGGTGAAGACGTTGATAAATGGGAGAATTCAGCTCCAGCCCCAGCTCTTCCTCAGCTGGTTTGCCTGTTTAATTGTGACCAGCTTCTAATCTCCTTCGCATTCCAATATCCCAGGTCTCAGCCTGCAAACAAGTAAAGAATCTAGGAAGATAGACTATGGCAATGCAGTAAGGGGCATTCAGAGCTATCCTTTGCACTTAAAACCAGCAAAAATGCATGCTGTTATGCCAAGCCTGGAGTACCACCACTAACGATTCATTTCCCTGATTGCATTTCCCAGAAAAATTTTTTAAATGAAAATACCAAGATCGTCTTCCTTTGAAGTTCAAATAAAAATAAAAAAGAGAGAGGGCCGGACGCGGTGGCTCACGCCTGTAATCCCAACACTTTGGGAGGCCACGGTGGGCGGATCATGAGGTCAGGAGATCGAGACCATCCTGGCTAACATGGTGAAACCCCATCTCTACTAAAAATACAAAAAATTAGCTGGGCGTGGTGGCGGGCGCCTGTTGTCCCGGCTACTCGGGAGGCTGAGGCAGGAGAATGGCGTGAACCTCGGAGGCGGAGCTTGCAGAGAGCCGAGATCGTGCCACTGCACTCCAGGCTGGGTGACAGAGCAAGACTCCGTCTCGAAATAAATAAATAAATAAATAAATAAATAAATAAATAAATAAATAAGAGGGTAAAAAGTCCAGGGTCAGACTCCTTCAGGGCAAGAAGAGAGGTAAACTCAACAGACCGAGGGTGCCTTTGCAAAGGTCAATTCGTAAGACCAGGAGGCACACAACAGCCTTCACCCAACTCCAGCGTCTTCACACCCTGGGCCAGTTGTGCACTTAACTCTTCAGAGATGTTTTCATGGAGGTGTTCTCTGCCCTTTAGGGAGTTTCGCTTTGGAGACGTATTTTGATTAAGTAATAGAATAATTACCATTTTGTTTATTCATTTATTCTACCAAGTGACCCTCTACCTACTTTGTGGACAACCACCCTGGTATCTGTGGAGTTCATGGTGGGAAGGCTAACAGAACAGTGACATTTCTTTTTTTTTTTTTTTAGACAGAGTCTCGCTTTGTCGCCTGGGCTGGAGTGCAATGGCGCAATCTCAGCTCACTGCACCTCCGCCTCCCAGGTTCACCTTCCTCTGCCCCCGCAGTAGCTGGGACTATAGGCGTGCACCATCATGCCCGGCTAATTTTTGTATTTTTAGTAGAGATGGGGTTTCAGCATGTTGGCCAGGTTGGTCTTGAAATCCTTACCTCGTGATCCACCCGCCTCGGCCTCCCAAAGTGCTGGGATTACAGGCGTGAGCCACCGTGCCTGGCCAATAGTGACATTTTTTTTAAAATTGTCTCATCAAGGGAAAGTGTAATGAAACATCTCAAGCCACATCGCAAAGGTAAATTTTCTCAAGAGTCTAGATGACTCATTTCCCAGCATCTCATACCCTAGTATCTTTCCCAATTCCTTCCCCATTTTTCCTTTTTTCCAGTACCTAAATATTCCACAGGCAGGATCATTATAGAGAAAAAGCCTGAACATATTACTAGGAGTCTCATTTCAAGACCCTTATATGATAAACCTGTGACTGAGCAACTTATTTAGCCTCTTTAGATATCAGTTTCCTCATCTGAAAAATCAAGACAATATTACCTACTTTGTAGACTTGTAGGTATTCATGAGATATACACAGAACGTTTCTCGTGCTGCCCAGAACAGAGCAAGCATGCAAAAAAGAAAATGCAAATTGTCTTTCCATTTCTAAATTGTCATTGTCATCATCATCAGCAGCATTATGCTTGTTTCCATTTTTGTGGCTTCTTCACAATTTGTGACATATAGGAGCAATGCATTAATGTGAAAAAATACATGTTTCAGACACCTCACCAATAGGCAACAGAGACCAAATTGCAAAAATCCTAAGAGTACTATTTAATTCCTTTGCAATCACACCCACCAAGAAGCTAAGAAATGCTACTAGAGAAAATGAACTCAGCATCTCATGACAATGAGGACAGTGACAATTTAGAAATGGCAAATAAATAAATAAATCACATGTGTTCCATGCTTGCTGTGTCCCAGGCAGCACAAGAAATGCTTTGTATATATTTCATGAATACTCACAAGTCTAGAAAGTGGGTAATATTGTTTTCATTGCATAGGTGAGAAAACTGATATTTAAAGAGGTTAAACAGGCAAATCAATGACCACCAAAACACTAAAGAGGAACAAGAGAAAGAAAATAAACCAAGGCAAGTTTGAGCATGCACCTCAGGTCCTCAGCCCCTTTAGGGAGTGAGTTCATAGCTCAGACCTCTAGCTGGCTCCCTTAAGAGAGGAGGAGTTACTAGTCTGATTGTTCTGGGCCCTATAAATCCACTGAGCCACGTTCACTACTGGATGTGGTTACTGTTTCTTAATGGTTTGCTTTCTCGAGTGGAACTTACTCTGCTTTCCACCCCCGTATTGTCAGCACATCTAGACAGGAAATAGCAACCAGGGGACCTCAATAAACCCTCCTCCAGCCTGAATCCACATTCCCCATCTAGTGTTTTACCGCCATGCACTGGGGAGTACTGGGTGCTTACCCGGCTATTTAAAAGCAGTACTTTCTTTCCCATTTAGCTGTTGCTTTTTGCACATACTGTACTTTTCCTCACTCAGGACTCTTTGGGATGGAAAGACTGAGTGTCAAGGCAGAATTGGAGCATGTCTTTGTTTGGGTTCTCCCAGAAGCAGACCCTTGAGACAATAATCTGAGCACAGGTTGTTTTTCAGAAAGTTCATGGAACAATGGAAGGAAAGAGAGGAAATCATACTGGGGGGAAGGCAGACAGTAAAAGGTAAATTAACAAGCCAATTTCCACAGCAGATAACTAAAGCTTAATTCCACAGGAAAACTTCAGGGAAAGGTGTGAACACATGCCTCAAAGTCATTTGAGCACACTGAAATGAGATGCTTCTTAGAAATCGGAGCATCTGTGGAGGTGGACCCCAAGAATATCTCATTTGCCTTCAAGTGTTCCCCTCTGGAAGCCTTCCCAGCCCTGCACACACAAAGCACACCTTAAGGGACCGTGGGCTCAGAGCAGGGTAACTCATCAAGTTGGCATAGCAGAGTGGTTAGAGCATGAACTCTAGTATGAGACGCTGTCCAGGTTGAAAGACTCTATCTCCACCAAAAACAATTTTATAAAAAAAAAAATAGCTAGGCATGGTGGTGTGTCCCTGTAGTCCCAGTTACTCGGGAGGGTGAAGCAGGATTGCTTGAGCCTGGGAAGTGGACAGTGCAGTGAGCTGTGATTGCTCCACTGCTCTCCAACTGTCCTCCAACAGGGAGGACAAAGCAAAACCCTGTCTCAAAAAGAAAAGAAAAAAAAACTCAGCTTTGCTACTTACTAGCTAAATTACTAACATGAGTAGTAAATTGCTTAACATCTTTGTTCTTCTGTCTCTTCATTTCACAAAGGCAGTGACAATATCTACTTGCAAGAGTGGGTATGAGTGTTGAGTGAGTTAATATCTGTAATGTGTCTAACACCTAGTCAATATTATATAAGTATTACATAAAATAAATGCATATGGAAAGAAGCCCAGTTAGTTTGAGAACCACCATGAGCCACTACCTGGTATAATCTTTGTGACAATCCTTTGAGCTATGGATGACTGTCATGATTTTACCTACATGGAGACTGACTCTCAGAAGCCACATACTTATTACTGGCTTATTTGATCAATTGCAATCCTACCATACCAAATACAGCACTTAAGAAAACAATCAGTGTTATGAGACCAAACAAATATTACTTTCCTAATCCTTCCTGCCCCCCATTGTAACTTAAGCAAAAATTACCCAGCCAACCAGAACGATTGCATAAATATGTTTCCCTGGATGATGAATTGGTTTGATAATAGCTTCTAAAGAGTCACTCTGAAGCCCACTGAAGAATCAGGTCTTTCTCAAGGAACTGGCCCAGGGCAAATTCACTCGTGTGTATCTCAGCACAATGTAAAGAAATTGAAAAAGCTTCGAGAAAAAGGAGTATCGTAGAAGAATGGCAGCATGAGTGCCTGGGTAATGCTTTCAAAGACACAGGCTGGTGGTTTTAATTCTCATCACATCTGGTAAGCTTCAGTCTTCCCTGGACCCTGGGCCACTGCATACGAACACATTTTCTTCCCATCTGGTCCCTGGTGTTCTGGCATCCTTTCTGACCATCCTTCCTTTCTCTGATATAGCTCTGATCATTTGCAGAGCAGCACTCTCTGCCCTCTGGGTGTATTGCCTTCATCAGAATTGAACTTGCCTTTTTAGACTTCCTGCTGATGGAGGAACCAGCCTTGGTGGCCACTGTGTTTACCCTGAGCTCTTAGGTATGCATGGCTTTTCACTCCCAGAGCCAAAGCACCGAGGCATCCCTGATGAGAGCCCAACTTAATTAAGACCAGATCTCTATCCACATTCCCTCGTGTTGGTGCTCAGGTACCTGGAGGTCCCGCACCTCCTCCAGAAATTGTCATGGAAGATAAATCACTTTGTATTTTTCTTACTCTGCAGGACATTGATTTTGGATCAGAGAGATTCTGTGGAGTAACAAACAGAGACCAGGATACAGAGTCGGATAAACCAAGATGTAAATCTCATAATTTACTAATTCTTATTTTGGTTGACTTCCTTAAATTCTCTGAGCTTCCCATTTTTAATCTATAAAGTGGGAAGAAAAACCTGGACTCATAAGGTCCTGTGGCCAGGCACGGTGGCTCACGCCTGTAATCCTAGCACTTTGGGAGGCTGAGGCGGTGGATCATGATTTCAGGAGATCGAGACCATCCTGGCTAACATGGTGAAATCCTGTCTCTACTAAAAATACAAAAAAATTAGCCAGGCGTGGTGGCAGGCACCTGTAGTCCCAGCTACTCGGGAGGATGAGGCAGGAGAATGGCGTGAATGTGGGGGGTGGAGCTTGCAGTGAGCCGAGATCGCACCACTGCACTCTAGCCTGGGTGACAGAGCGAGACTCCATCTCAAAAAAAAAAAAAAAAAAAAAAAAAAAAAAAAAAAAAAAAAAAAAAATATATATATATATATATATATATATATATATATATATATATATGCGCCTGGTATTAGAGCCTGGAGTACAGTAGTGCCTCATAAATAAATTCCTGTTTGTCTAATATACATACCTGCCACACTCCAGGCATGAGGGTAGACTGAGATTACAGTGGTGAACACAGTTCCTGTCGTCAAATACTTTTTTTTTATGCTGGGATTACAGGTGTGCACGACCATGTCTGAGTGATTTTTAAAAATTTTTTTTTTTGTAAATATGAGGGTCCCACTATGGTGCCCAGGCTGGTCTTGAATTCCCAGACTCAAGGGATCATCCCTCGGCCTCCCAAAGTGCTGGAATTACAGGCATGAATCACCATGCCCTGCCAAAGAATTTTTCCTCTCAAAGCATTCCCTAAGAGTAATACTTGACAACTGTCCACAAATTGCCATGTATCCCTAGGGTAAGAAACTAATTTTAAATTAATTTTATATTATGGTCCCACCCAAATGTCCCAGTTTCTCAGCTGATCATGGCTGGTTTTGAAGGGCCTCCTCCTCGGGCACCACATTTCTCAAGACACATTTCTATCGCAAAGAGGGGCGAATTTAAGCCAGCTATTTTCTTACCCCCTAACTCAGATATCATTAGGTCAGATCTAGTTAGAAATTGATGCAGTAGCCCTTGGTATTCACATTTGGGTGTGTTTTCCCCCCTCAATTTTTCCCTCAACTTTGGGAGCAGGGTTTCTGGCCACCATATTTATACTCAGCATCCTATCCCTCACCGCCTCAGGCAACTGGACATCAGACTAGCAAGGAACATCACAACCAATTTGAGAAGTTAGGCTTTCTCTCTGAAATTTGAAACTGGGACTTGAACCAAGATGGGAAAACTCTGGAGGTCATCCTATGTCCATAGAATGAGCAAAGAAGAGAAAAACGCAAAAAAAAAAAAAAAAAAAGATTTTCTCCCCTGTAAAGGGAGAAAAAATTAATCAGATATTCAGAGAGAGTCATAAACGGAAGATGATGGGAAAAAAACGTCAGTTGTTCTATTGATCTGTTACAAGGACCTTTCCTTCAGGAGATAGGACAAAAGAACTTAAAGGTATTTTTTAAGTGAATATTTTCTAAACATTTACTATGTGTCAAACAGTATTCTAAATGTGTTCTATGCATTTTCTTGCTGAATCTTTGCAACAACTCATTCTTTTCATGCCCATTTTAAATATGAGGAAGCTGAGTCGTGCTGTCTCTCCAAATCCCAGTTCCTGACTCAATGAGAGGTTACAATTCGGGACTCCCATGAGATATGCTGACAGTAACCTTCAGTAACCCTTTGCCTCTCACTTTGTATTTTCTTATTGCAATTCCACTAAGGTTGTCCCAACAACTAAGATGTCTCCTCAAAGGCCCTGGACCCTAAAAAATAATTCATGCTTTCAACTAGGAGTCCCTGTTTCAGTCACATCACTGCGGTGGTCTCCCTTGCGCCCGTTCATTGGACTAACACTTTGTCCAACATTTTCTGTTGGCATGGTCCTGAACTAAACTCAAGGGACTGAAGAGATGAATAACATCCCTCGTCAGACCAGAAGTCACCTCTATGAAGGATGTGGGGTGGGAGAAGAGTTAAGTGTCTCACATCAAGAGTCAGCATGCAGAGTCTAAAACAATTCTAATCTCTGGAGCTGAGTCAGTTTCCCGCACTTTCGAACTCCATAATTTCGTAGCTTTGGCAAGGTTGCTTTTTCTCACCAAGCCTCAGCTTCCTCATCTTTAAAATGGGCATGAAAAGAATGGGTTGTTGCAAAGATTCAGTGAGAGAATGCATAGAACACATTTAGAACACTGTTTGACACATAGTAAATGTTTAGAAAGTATTCACTTAAAAAAAAAATACCTGGATGGGGAAAAGATCCAGAAGCCCACTCCTGAGGCTGAGAAGTGTCAAGAGACTCCATCGGGGGCCCGTGGAAGTCAGAGGAGGGAGGAAAGAGAGCACAAGTTGCCAGTTATGTCCCCAGCTGAGTTTCCTGCTGCATAGAACAAACAGACCAACTTGCTGGAGTTTGTTAACATGGCAATTGGAGGGGGAGACTTAGAGGCATGAAATTTCCTCACTCAGTACCATGTTAGTGATAATTTAGGACTGTGCAGTTTGTAAAGGAATTGAAGTTGCCTCCTCTGAAAACTTTTGGAATCATAGCAAATACTCTGGTTTTGCTTGCCCTCGACATTTATGGAAGCCACATTATTTCCCAGGAGGTAGAGGCAGAACAAAAGCTTCTGACAGCCGGTATTGCTTCTTTGCCCACAGGCTGCAGCCCCTGTCTCAGTTACAACACACCAGCCTGGGTGGTGTCCCAGGTTTCCTAACTCCCATACTCAATGGCCAAATTATTAGACGATGCTAATGATACTATTATGTAGTAACATTATTTATCATCCACATTTGTTGAGGACTTACTATGTGTAAGATACGATGTTAAGCTCTTCAACTTCTGGTTCTCAACTCTCCTGTAAGAATGACATTATTATTACCTCTATCATGTGGATGAGGATTTTGAGACTTAGCCTGGGTTCTAGTTACTCTTGCTGCGTTACAAGCAACCCTAAAACAAATTGTGTGAAACAACCATTTTTCAATCCTCATAGATTTGATAGGTTAGAAATTCAAACAGGGCACAGCAGGCATGGTGTGTCTCTGTTCCATCACACTGAGGGATTCAGCTGGGAAGATGTGACTGGCTGAGGTGACTCCAGTGGCTGATATCTGGAAATAATTGGAGGATCTTCACTCACATCTGACACTTGGCTGGGGAGACTTGAAGGCCCAGATCAGCTGGAGCTGTCAAATGGAATAATGACAGGTGGTCTCTCCAAGTATCTGAGCCTCCTCACAGCATGGAGACCTTCGAGTAGGCCAGCAGCAGACACTTTGCCTGTTACAACTTCATCTTCATTGTTCACTCTGTATTGAGCTACACTATGAGCTCTTCCCAGAGGAAAGCACTGGGGCCACAAGGGTGAACAGAACACAACCCACTGCCTGCCCTCATGGAGCTTAAAGTCTCCTAGGAGAGACAGACACTAAATAATCATACAAGTAAATGTCAAAATGCAACTGTCACAGGTGTCAGGCAGAAGGATGCAGAGTATGATGAGAACTTACGATAAGAGATATGCTTCAATCAAAAAGATCAAGGAAGTCTTCACACAAGGAAACATCTCCTAAACCAACATCTACTTTAACCATTGGAAGTCTACCTAGATGCAAGGGAAAGGAACCTTGAGCACACACCTCAATGACATAGCATCAGAGAATTTGAAATCCTCATTCTAACCCTCCACAGACAGGTTAAGTTCTTGCCTACATTCACATACCTAAACAAAACCAGAGCCAAGATTCCAATGCAGGCTTTGCAATTCCAGAGCTCATCCTCTTAACCACTCCTGCACCTACCATGGTGGTAGGTTATTCAGACATAGGGCCTCAACTTTCATTAGATATAAAAAAGAAACAGCTTCTTCTGGGTCATCATAACAGCCCCGTATTATCAGCACCAGTCAGAGGAACAGAAAGAAATATAAAAACTGGGACCTGATGTTGAATCCCACATTCTCCCTGTGTGACCTTGAATGTGTGACCTTGAGCATGTCTCTTCAACCCACCTCTGAGTGTCCTCACATGTGTGCAAGGAGATAATTCATAGGAAGCACTTTTATTACCTGTGTTTCTATTTCTTATTTACACATGAAGATGCCGAAGGAAAACTGCATGGGTACTTTTTGTATAGGTTGCCCCAAAATTTCCACAAGGGTATGTTTTACTTCAAAGCTTCCTGCAAAGCAAGAAGGGCCAAATGGTTGATGACCCTCTTGAATGAGGCAGATGAACAAAACAGATTCTTGACTACAAGAAGCTAACATAAGGTAGGTATTATTACTAACTCCATCAGACAGATGAAGAACTGGGGTTCAGGGAGGTTAAGTAACTAAGTCAAGGTCACAGAGCATGTATCTATATATGGAAAACCCAGGCTTCTGGCTTTCAAAACTACCCTTCTAGTTTAGCTATAAATGTGTGATTGAGTAGTTCTCTTATGAAAATCAGAAATACCCTCTTTCTTCTGTATTTTTTTTTGTTTCTATTCCGGCTGAACAACCATATGACAAATTGCATATCTCATTAGGGCCAGTGAGATAAAGAGGTACATGGTGATCTTCACGGGCAGCGTTTGAGGTTAGGCCTTGAGAAGGTGATGAAACACCATCACTAATCAAGTTGATGAGGTCAGCAACAGTCATTCTCTGCATTCTTTTCTGTCTTATTAGGATAATTTTACTCTTCCTGTGCTCGGCAATTGAACAATGATTACTTTCCTAAATACTACATGAGTTTTGACAAAACAAACCCCCGAGGAATCAAAATAAGTAATTTCTATTCAGCAGAAATCATTCTCAGATTAGTCTGCATGCAATATTCTACAACCCAATTATCTCAATATGCAGACATGTATAATAAATAAAGAGCACACCAACTCTCATAGGCTGTGGTTGAGCAAGAGGTAGGGGTGGAGGCATGTCTAATTAGAAGCTGTCAATTTTTAGCCTGGTACCGCCAAGAAATGAGACAGAAAGAGGACTCAGACCTCCATCCTAGCAATGCTGAAAATCTTTGGTAGGTGACTTTCTACCTCCATATGTGTCATGAAGGTCCGTTTGCTCATTTATTTAAATTTTTAATGCAAGCAACATTCATTGGACCTAACATGTATGTTCAACATGGCTCTGGGGATACAAGATGAACACAACACAACTCCTGCCTCAAGGTGGTTTGTGTTGAAATTTAAATCTGTTGACCTAGGTAAAGCACATAGTACCATATCTGGTTTGTAGTATGATACGGTTTGGATCTGTGTCCCCACCAAATCTCATGTAGAACTGTAATCCCTAGTGTTAGAGGTGGGGCCTGGTGGGAGGTGAGTGGATCACGGGGGTGGAGTTCTCACGAATGGGTTAGCACCATCCCCTCAGTGCTGTTCTCATGACAGTGAGTGAGTTATTGTGGGATCTTGTTGTTTAAAAGCGTGTAGCACCTCCCCCTTCTCTCTTCCTCCATCTTTGGCCATATGAAGATGGCCGCTCCAGCTTTGGCTTCCAGTATAAGTAAAAGCTCCCTGAGGCCTTCCCAGAAGCTGGGCATATGCCAGCATCATGCTTCCTTTAATTGGAATCATGAGCCAATTAAATCTGTTTTCTTATAACTTACCCAGTCTCAGGTATTTATTTATAGCAATGTGTGAATGGAGTCATACATGGTAAATGTTGCTAGATGCTCAAGTTAGCACCTTCCTCTGTCTCCTCTGCAGATTCTGAGCAACACCATCCACATACCATCTTTATTCATTAATTACTGTTCACTCTATTTTGAGTTACACTATGAGCTCATCCCAGAGGAAAGCACTGAGGACACAAGGGAACAGAAGACAACCCAGTGCCTGCCCCCATGGAGTTTACAGTCTCCTGGGAGAGACAGATACTAAATAATCATACAACCAAATGTCAAAATGCAACTCTGACAGGTATCAGGGAGAAGGATGCAGAGTATGATGATGAAAATTTATGATAAGAGATATGCTTCAGTCAGAAAGATCAAGGAAGTCTTCACACAAGGAAACATATCCTAAACCAAGAGCTAAAGAGGGAGCAGAAAGAAGTCAACTAGGTAAATTGGGGGTGAAGAGGAGAAAAGGCATGTCTTAGTCTGTTTGGCCTTCTATAACAAAATGCCATAGACTGGGTGGCTTATCAACAGCAGACATCTATTTCTTACAGTTCTAGAGTCTGGGAAGTCCAAGATCAAGGCCCCAGCAGATTCAGTGTATGGTGAGGGCCTATGTTTTGATTCATAGATGGCCAACTTTTCACTGTGCCCTCACATGGTGGAAAGGGCATGGGAGTTCTCTGAGGTCTCTTTCATAAGGACACTAACAGCACCCATGAGAGCTCGACCCTCATGACCTACCTACTGCCCAAAGATCCGACCTCCAAATGCTATCATATTGTGGGTTAGGTTTCAACAAACAGATTTTGTAGAGGAAGTAAATATTCAGTCTATTCACAGATCACTGAACTTGTGAATAGACTTTGTGTGCAAAGGCACAATCTCAGTGATTTTACACTAATACTAAGGGAGGGGCTAAGAATGTCCCTACTTTATAAATGAGGAAATTGAAACTTGGAGACTTAAGAAAACTCTCCAAGGTCACACTGTGAATAACAATGAAGCCAGAATTTGAGCCCAAGATGGGAAACAGCATGGGGCTACTTTCAGATCATGGCCTCTTTATAATGGATATGGCTCACTGTTTTATACCCCTTTGATAGTTGCTACCTAATAATGTTCAATGCAGAAAAAGCAGGTGGATAAAAGTAACCAAAACTTCACAGATGGTCACTTAGACTTAACTCAGCCTTCCACGTCACACATTTTAGCCCACATGCAAGAGCCATGAGTCACCTGGTAGTGAGTCACCCGTTCATCCCTACACCAGTAGATTTACCCAATGCTGTCTGTGCCAAGCTAAGAGCAAGCCCAGAGAGCTCTAGAAAAAAAAAAATGCCCAATAAATGTGGGAGGAAATGGGGCAGTATACAACCTTCCTGAAATACCTGACAGATGCCTGACCTTCCAATGGCCTTGGCTATGCATGTGCTTCAGAGCTTCGCCAGTTCCATTTTCTAAGTAAATGCTAAGGCCAAGTTTGAGCCCCTGGCTTATTTATTAGGCAAAGTGAGGCATTTAAGTTTCCAGTCAGTGAACAAAGAGACTGCAGTGAGGAGCAGTTTCTGATTAGATGTGCTCAAAGGAAGCCTTGTAAAACGGGAGCTTGGCACTATAATTGAACAAGTGGCACCAAGCAAAGCCAAGACATTAGCAGTGAAGGAGAAAGGGCATTAGCACAGCCAACATTATCTTTACAGAAAAAGGCCCCTGAGATCCCACCTGCATTTGTTTAATTTTATTTATTTATTTTCAGAGGCCCATCTCAACTCCACAAAGATCTGAGACACCTACAGAAGTAAAACAACATGAACATAGGTAATGTTTAAAATTAGAAAAAAGGTAATATAAAAAGTAGAAATACAGCCAAGGATAAAGTAATACACAAAATGCATAACACAAGTTCTGTGCACTTGCTAGAAGTAGGGCCAACATTTGACTTTGAGCTTCCTGGCAGCCAAAGCAAAGAGGGAAACTGTTTCCAGAAAATTATAAATTAGCCAGCTGCTTGAGTGAGGTTCCAGTCTCCTGGTACTAAAGCCTGAGAGCAGTTTATCCTGATGGGAACACCATTTTATGACCTTAATCATATCCACAATAAATCCATTAGCTGGCTTTAATTTGAATATTAACTAATTTACTTTTATTATTTCATAATAAAGCTTATTAGCTTATTAACAAGAAATTTAGTACAACTAGTTAGAAGTAGCCAAAACAAGGCAAGCCATGTACAAAGCTCCATGGTCTGCCTTTATTTAGGACTTAGACTTTCAAATATAAACAGCATGCTTCTACAACTGGGTCATGTGGAGCAGCAGTTATCTTAAGAAGATCCACGACCAAAAAGCTCCCTGGTTAAAACTGGTTTGGCAATCGGTTTGGGGATATTCATGCTAAAGACTCTGAGTAGTTCTCTAGTCAGGAACTCTGCTCCTTTGCACAGATATTTGAGCAATGGACCCTTTTATTCACATCCCAATCCACAAGTTCTCAGGATGACCAGCTTGTGGATTGGGCTGTGAATAAAAGGTAAATAAGAAAGTGTCTATTAAGTGTCTGGTGTCTATCATCAGTGCTCCTCAATAAGTGGTTATTATACATATCATTATTTCCTTTAATCCTTGATAATGCCTGTGAGATGAGTAGTATGCCACCACTTCCACAGTTGAAGAAACTACAAAGCAGTGAAACTGAAAAGGACATTGCTCAGGCACACAGCCAGGATGCAACAGGGATTCGGCTCTCCACTTCCTGTGGTGCTGGAAGAGCTGCGAATCACACTCCCTAGGTGTGAGACCCGGACCAATCCCTGATCCCACCCACAGCTGTTGTGATTGGCTCAGGGTTGGCACATGATCCCAGGCAAGGCCAATCATTCTCCCCTGAGATGAATGTTGAGATAAGGGCATTTTCTACTCCATGGCTACTGGTAGCCATCTTGCCTACCATGGAGTGATTTCCTCTTTGAAGAAAATGGCAGGCTGTTATTTACAATAGCAAAGATATGGAACCAACCCAAATGCCCATCAGTGACAGACTGGATAAAGAAAATGTGGCACATATACCCCACGGAATACTATGCAACCATGAAAAGAATGAGATCATGTTCTTTGCAGAGACATGGATGAGGCTGGAAGCCATCATCCTCAGCAAACTAACACATGAACAGAAAATCAAACACCGTATGTTCCCACTCATAAGTGGGAATTGAACAATGAGGTCACATGGACACAGGGAGGGGAACAACACACACGAGTGCCCGTTGGGGGTGGGGAACAAGGGGAGGGAGAGCATTAGGACAAATACCTAACGCATGTGAGGCTTAAAACCTAGATGACGGGTTGATAGGTGCAGCAAACCACCATGGCACACGTATACCTATGTAACAAACCTGAACATTCTGCCCATGTATCCCGGTACTTAAAGTAAAATAAAAATTAAAAAAAAAAAAAAAAAAAAAAAAGAGGCTGAAGCAAGCAGAGGTGGGAGATGGAGAGCCAGAGAGACAAAGTCCTACCAACACAAAATCAGTCTGCAATTAGACCCGCCCTCAAACTTCTCACCTACACAAATCTCTAAATTTCCTTTTGACCAGTTTGATTTGTGTTTCTGTCACTTACAACTAAAACCATCTTGAACAAATACAGAATCCATGAGTGTTTGTTTTCTTATGAAAGAGTATGTGTGCATCTGTAATAAATATATTTACACCTGAGCCACACATGATGAGAGTGGCAATGAAGTTTATTTTGTCCAAATATCAGAACCTGTAATGGAGCTAGATTCAGAACTAGACAGAATAATAATAAGGATGAAAAAAGACATTTAAAGCAGATCTCAAAATCCCCAAAGAACTCGATTTTGTTGGGAAATGCTGACACAAGTCAAACCACAAAAGCTCAAATGTCCCCAGTATAACTAGTTTACCTTTCAATTTTATCCGAATTCAACTCCTGAGGACTTGGGCTGAGCATTTTGAGAGGAACAAAGTCATAGGCGTGGGTACCACATCAGAAGTCCCTGCAGAGGTCCTATTGACTTTGCTAAGTTTATTCTGCATAACCTCAGAGCAGCCTAAAAGATTGCTAACAGCAGCATGGAATTCCCTTATGGGCCCCAAACTCTGGATTGCACTCTGAGGGAGTCCATGTCAGCAGGCTCTGAAACATCCCAGGTGCAGGGTGTTTAATGAATGCAGAGCACAGAGCTAGTGGGGCGTTTGTTAATAGAGCAAAAGAGGAGATTCATGTACAAAGCAAGCCTGAGTACAGTTTATACTGCCGCTGTTTAATTACTTCAAGCTTCAGGCTCCTGAGTCCTTTGCTGGTGGAAAAGCACCAAAGTTTCCTGTGCACACACACACACACACCCCCCACACAAAGAATGAAAAGAAAGAGAAAAAAATCCATGCCAGGCATTCACAGTGCAGATCCTGATTGATTCGCTAGCATTCTCCAAACCCATTGATGCCAGCAACCCAGTCTCTGCAAGCTCTCAGCTTCTGTTTTAGGAAAAAGGAAAAAAAAAAAAGAAGATAAAAAAAGGAATGCTGGCTCTCTTCTACCTTTGAAATTGTTATGAAATAAAATTATAGGAAGATAAGAAAATACTCTAGCCTTATATGACAGAGTAGGGAGAATGAAAGGAGAGGGGACAGTCTACCACCACATGGCCAATGCAAGTGGTGCCCCCTAGAGTTGTGCAGTGCATGGCATTCCTAACGATGTGTGAGTGTCTGCCTCTGGAGAGAAGAGTCAAGGTTTAATGCCTAGCCATTTCCCTATTGCTCCCAATGTTATTCCTAATGCCGCCATCTTCATATATATTTATAAAAATCCCTGTTTTATTGCCCCAGTTTCTTTCTCTGCAAAATGGGGCGTTGGACCAGATACTGTCTAAGTAACTGTGAAACTTTATCAATTCTATCTTTGAGATGGAAAAGATCTAGAAAAGCTGCCTGATCCTGTTCCATATGTTTCAAACTCCTACGATGAACATAGTTTATTAGTTAAGGATATAGATTTTGAAGTCAAACAGAACTGAGATAGACTCATCTCTTCTAATTCATAGTTGTATGCAATTAGACAAATTATCCTCCCAAATCCGTATTTTTCTAGTCTGTAAAATGAGGTGATAACAGAATATCAGATCTATTGGTTGTTGTGAGCATTCAGTAAAATAGAGCACACAAGGCTCTGAGTCATGCCTGACCCATGCATGGGAAGCATCTAAAAAATGTACCTCTTGTTACTATTCATATAGTGATGATGCTCTTTTTTCACACGCGGTGAGATGAGTCCCACAGCTGGTAAGGAAGCAGAAGGTAGAGAACGTCTCTCGTTTTAGCATTTCTTATACTTATTGTTGACACCATGCAACAGCAGGAAGTAGAAAAGAAAAAACTTTATCCTGCATGGAAAAAGTGAAATGGTAACACATCATCTCCACCCCATCCCCAAAGATCCACAACATTAGCCTTGGAATCTAAAAGAATAAATAACTGCAGATGTAGTTGAATTTTCAGGGCTCTGAGAAGGCCCCGGGTTGCCAAAAACCTTCCCCATTTAATGGAAAGATCCGAAATATCACCATTAAGTGTTTTATCATTTGGATGAAGATTCTGATCTTTGTTAAAAGCCGAATATCCCTGGGCAAAGAATTGAGTTACTAGGATTGAAAAATGACCTGAGAAAAGTTTTTGATTGAGAGAAGGGAACTGTGAAATGCTAGAGAGGAGACAGAATGCAGCTCCGAGAGGTGGGAGTAGGGAATGGGAGCTTCAGCTTTGTCCAACTCCCCTTTTGCCAAAGGAATAATATGGGTCTGTAGAGGATACATAAGTAGTCACATTTTTTGGCCCTGAGCCAAAAGTAACATATAAAGAGTTTAAAGTAAACATATAAAGAGCTTAGAGAAATCTAATATTGTCCCCCAACCAAAGTAAGCCAAGCCCCAAAGAGGAGAAAATAATTGTTCAAGGTCCTATAGCAAGTTGGATAGAAGAGCTTTTTCCTCCAGTTGCCCAGCCCTGAATTCTTTGCATTAAATTATTCCACCCCGTCAACTAAAGGAGAAGTAAAGGGGTAATCTGGATTTATTCAAGTGTTATGGTGCTGGCAGAGAGTTAGGACTTCAGAACTATTCCCAAGAACCTGCACCCCTCCCTCACAAAACAGAAACAACTCCAATAACACAGGCCATGCTTTCATTGATGGTTCCTCAGATGTGGAGGTAGAGGTTTCAGATCCAAGCCGTGATCTCTGTGTGACCTTGGCCATGCTGAGAAACCTCAGTTCCTCCACCTGAGAAACAGAAATAATGGTCTCCCTGTTTCATAGAGTTGCTGGAAGATTAACGAAATTAAACATAAAAAATATTCTCTATGTGCTGGGTCAATATTTCCATTTTTTGTTTTTCCAAAATTCCTCTATATGCCTCTGAGTCCTGACCTTATATTTATAGTAATCCCACTTCCAACCCCCTCCCATTTCCCCTTTTTAAATTTTCCCAGATATCCAGTGCTCCAAAGTTCTGATTAAACGAGAAGACCCACACCTAAGTGTATTCGACAAATGAATCTATTTATTTTCATTTCTATTCCATACGACGCATACCAGTCTGCAACTATCTTTACAATCATATCCTGTGAAGAATACCTGAAGGTGCCTTTCTGATTGACTTCTTCAATCTATATGCAGATTTGTGCTAAGCCAGTAAATAATTTGTAACAATTTGCATTGAGTTTATGGTTTCTCTAATCCAACCCTGATCATTTGTAAATTGTTTCTGTTCATGTGCAGATCAACTGTAATAAGATTGCTAATAAAAGAGTGGTTAATAAAATTTATAATGGGAAGACAAAGCATAATTTAGAGGTGGGGATTTTTGACATAAGGGCTTTTCCAGGCCATAGGCAAAAATAGATTCATAAAATTCTATTTGTTTTTATTTTACTTTCTGAAGAATACCTCGTGGTGAAATGTGGTCTTAAATCCTATTTCTTCCTCCTAGCCTTCACTGCTGGTCTTGAGCAACAGTGTTTTCTCATGTCTTGAGAAACTTTCCCAGTAATGACTCAGTCTCTCTGCAACCCAGTATTGGTGGTTAGGAAGGATATAAATGGTTTGTATGCATTTGTCTATCCATTTATTCAAGAAACATTTTTTGAGTGCCCATTGTGCTCCAGATAACGTGACAGGTCATAGAAATACCAACATGCATGAAACAAGGCTAATTCCATCAATGAACTGACCAACTGCAACAATCAAGATTTTATATGTGTTACTGATCATTAAATCCTCAATGCCTGGAAAAGCACTAATTCATAGTATGTGATTAATGAATATTTTTGAAATAAATGAATGTACTGAAAGAGTTAGGCAAGTAAATTATGCTAAAGCCATCAAACCTCATCCCACCCATCCATTACTGTAGCCCTTCATGACCAGTGTCATGAAGTAAATGAAGGCAAAGTCCATTTGGCTGAAAGAAGCATAAAAGATTTTATTGGTCATATGACATGTATCAGATCACAGGAATCAGGTAAAGCCCTAGACCAAATCTGACTCCACAGGAGATGTTTTCATAAAATTTTATGAACTCTCCTAGTAAGTACCTGAGAAGTTGGAAGACTCTGGACTCTACTGTTTTATGAGTTATAGCATCCCTGCAAGTTTGGTGCTATTATTCTTATTTTGCAAATGAGAAAACCATGATTCGCTGAAATTAAGCAACTATCTGAGGTCCCAACCAGAAAGTGGCATACCTCTCTCAATTCAGAACCCACGTTTGTGAATAGCCATTCTCCTTTAGGTTTATAAAGAGAGATGCATCGATAGAGCAGGGAGAATGTCTAGGGGATTACACTAGCAAAGATTCTTTCATGAGAAAGGAAGCATTGTGAGGAAGGAAGATGTGTTCCCCTTCCCCACAAAAGTGTCTTCTGCTGTGCTTTGAACATGTTTCTTCTTATTTAGTTATCTGTTGCTTGGTCCAAAACGTAGTACTCCCCCCACACCAGGGAAGATAGCCACTCCCACCCCTGTACTTGTCATTCTAATCTTCCACTCTTCATACAAAACCAGTTCAGTTCTTCCTTTTAAATTATCGTCCATCAATTCCCCAAAAGGAAGGGTGGAATTCCCTATGGAGGAGAAGTCAAAGGATATATGCTTGAGACAGAAAGTCCATAACCAGCATGGGCCTAACATGTCAAATATTTCGTGGGACTACAGTCATGTGGTCCCAAGTGGTAGCTGTCAAAGGCCTGTTGTAGGAAGATGACCTCAATTTCCCCTTCTGTCAGTCAGGCCATCTTCCCAGGCCCCATGTCTAATTCAGAAACCTCCTCTACTCTTCAAATTCACCCTGCTTTACCCCTGGGGCTTAAGGACTGAAGTCAATGGCATCCACAGCTGCCTTTCTCTTTCAATAGTTTTCATAAAATAAGGAGTGATTGAGAGTGGGAATTGCAGATCAAAAGGAGATAGTGAAATGTCATCAGCATTACATAATTTGTACTATCACTTGTCAACATTGATCCCCTTAATACCATCCCTCTGACAGATGAACGAGTCAGTATTGTAGAATACTAACAAGTAAAGGAGAGGGATAAAAAGACAACCATGTTTGATTACCCTCTGCAGTCGAAAGGATTTGAAAGTCATGACACTGGTTATTACTACGGTCTTCAGAGATATGAACAGAAACTTAATCTATCTAATAAAATTGCCTTGAGAGATAAACTTAATCTAAACTTTCTTTCAGCTATCTCCAAGTATAATGTAATGGATTTTTCTTGGTCTCCATTGCAGCACAAGACAGTGAGGTAGAAGACAGACCCACCACGTTAATTAATCCACTTCTCTCTTGTCAAATGGACATGGCGTGTGGAATAGAAGTTGGTACTTCTGAATGGATGGGGGCCCATGTTTAATAGAACTCATCTGATGGGACAATCACAGTCTTTCAGACTAAGGAGACTGCCAGAATGGAGGTGGATGTGGCTTGCAGAACTATTGGAGGGGTACAATGGGGGAGGTGAGAGTGAAAGGGGAAGTCAGGGATATCCAATTGCATCCTTTTAAGAATTTCTGGGCCGGGCGCGGTGGCTCACGCCTGTAATCCCAGCACTTTGGGAGGCCGAGGCGGGCGGATCACGAGGTCAGGAGATCGAGACCATCCCGGCTAAAACGGTGAAACCCCGTCTCTACTAAAAATACAAAAAATTAGCCGGGCGTAGTGGCGGGCGCCTGTAGTCCCAGCTACTTGGGAGGCTGAGGCAGGAGAATGGCGTGAACCCGGGAGGCGGAGCTTGCAGTGAGCCGAGATCCCGCCACTGCACTCCAGCCTGGGCGACAGAGCGAGACTCCGTCTCAAAAAAAAAAAAAAAAAAAAAAAAAAAAGAATTTCTGACCTATCACTATAGAAAAGTGCTTGGGAGTGGAGAGAACTGAGTGGTTACTAAATGCTGGGAACGGGGCTAGACTTTGGGAAAACAATGGTGTATGTGACGGAAAGCCTGCCCTCACAAAGCTTACAGTCTAATGCAGAGATAATCGATTTAAAAAGCTCATCTCCTGGTGTGTAGTATATGCTAGTTGACACCTGGCTGGAAGAAGGACAGCTTGGGAAAGGATGTTGAATTGGGTCGGACAACTGTGTCCCCACCTTGACAAGAGAATACACCTTTCCCAGGAAGAGCTTGATCATCCTAAGTTCTCCAAGCTGTGTCAGATGCTGACTTCCTTTCACACGTCAGAAATAAAACAAGCCTGCATGCACTCGGACCAGTAGTGTGCAACCCAGAGGACTGGAGAGTCTCAGAATTTATGTGGCAGCATCTCTGCCCTCGAAGGTGAGCAACTTCCATTGGAATTTCTTCCTTAGATCCATTTCTTCCTCCGAAGGCTGAAGAGAGGTTCTTGAAACGGAATCAAATCTTATTTTAAAGCCTGCAGCCCCCACTGATGGGAATCATACAGGGATGAGTCACAACCGTTCATGTGCAAAGCAAGCAGTTTCCTTCTCCATCCTGGGGGAGAGGGTCACCACTGCTTTCTGACTCTTTCTCTAATATCTGTATCCCTTTGTCTTTATTTTTAACTTTTTTTCTTTGTAATATATGCTTTTATATATGAGATGAAGGAACCGATATTTATGCATACTTAATATATTCCAGACCCTAGGTGATTTGGATAATTATGTAAAATACTTTTTAGCAGAAGGAGTGAGCATTTATCTTAGAGAGAGACTTGCTTTCATTGACATTATCTGATAAACCTGCTATAGGTTAGAAGCAAGGCGTCTATATCCTGGTACCAGGTCTAACATAGAAGAGAGGAGATACTGTGTTTGATGGCGGGGGAAGATTTAATATTGAAAAGCAGGTGGAAAACATGGCACAGAACTGGTCACTCCATCGGGAATGGAAGGGATGAAGAAGAGGATCTCTCCTGATGGCCTCACCAGGGTGGAAATTGGGGATAAAAAGAAAAATCAAATGGGGAATTCATTGTGTGATACGTGCCATGCCAACACTCCACTACCTCCCTTAAAAATGTTCAGAAAAGGCAACGTTGCTCTTCAAAGCACCATAAAGAAGATTTACTGGGGAAAACACAATCAGAAATGGGGGAGTCCACCCTGCTTGTAAGGACACAGGAGGTAGGGAAGAAAAGCTTCATCAGACATCTCTGCTGTAAAAGCAAACATTTACTGACTAACTCCTCCCCATAATCCTGTAAGACAGATATTTCACGTTCATCTTATAGCTAAGGAAACTCATTTATTTATTTATTCATTCACTTATTCAAGAAACATTCCGGGACTATTAGATGCTAGAGAATGTGCTCAGTGCTGCGTTACAATTGAGCGAGCCAAGCTTTTGGTTTTAGTTTGTTTGTTTGCCTTGGGCTTTTCTCCCTTATTTAACTTACAGTCGAATGGAGATAATCCTCACTCCACGGTGGGGCCCACACACAGGCATGAACAATGGAGCTGGGCGTCACTAGGGTCATCTTTGGAAGCTGCTTCTCATATAGCTCATATAGGAAGTGACCCCTCCCACTCTCTATTTTGGTAGAAATCATGTGCACTCTAAAATCTGTGTTACTTCTCTATAAACTGGGAATGAGATGGAGTAAGATCCATCCAGCACAGTGCCTACTCAATAATAAGAACTCAGGAAGTGATAGCTACTTATGAATGGGCTGGGCTAAACCCCTTTCAGCTTTATGAATCTGACTTTCCTGGTTCTTTCTAACAGCTGCTTATCCTATAAACACCTTTCTTAGACCATTGGCTAATGATGTCCTGATCCTTTGGGTAACATTTCCTCAGCCCCTTTCCTAAAGTTATGCCTCTGCTATTGAAATAAACTCATGAGGTCACAAGAGACTGTTCATCTTTAAAGAAAACATTTCTAAGCAGATGAAGGCAATCCATTAGACAAATTCCCCTGCCCATGCTAATACAGCCCCTGAATCATCTCAACAGCCTGAGGTACTATAAAACACAGTCACACCTTCTTACTTTTGTAATGGAAACAGCAAGTGGGTTTGTATGCAACCCATTCAAAATCTCCAATTTCATCCACCATCTAATCTGTTAATTCCCTTTCAAATGCCCACTTTCTGATGTTTTTCTCCCTCAACATCCATAAGAGAACACACTCTGGGTCTCCCAAAGATGAAAAAAAAAAAGTCATTAAAGGCAAATCTCAAAGTTCACTTTTTTCGTGGAAAGCAGGCAGCTGATGGGACAACCAAATTGACTGGGCTCCCAAGACAGGGCTCTCTCAAAGACATGGAAGAGAAGTCAGTTTGGCAACAGGGAAGTTGTTGTTGCCAGGCGTAAAGATAACTTGCAGTAAACATGGAGAGGACACAGAACGAGACCAACAGGGGGAAATGCATGGAAAAGGGAAAGAAGATCCCACCAGTGGAAAATGACCACTAGGGACAGCAGCTCTAGACAGACCGACGTGCGAGTACATGGCTTGCTGGCTCATTCATTTATATAATTGTGCATTTTCCCCTTAAAAAAATATTTCTCATCAGTGTTATCAGCATGGCCTCAAAATGACTTTCCTACTATTGCTTATAAACAAATCTTTATCACAGATAGCTTGCCTGCTGAATTAAGACACTATGTTAAGCAGTATATTGCTTCTGTCTGGCAGATCAGCTGTTTGCAGGAAGATAATAATACCAAAAGCAACCACAACAATCAGCTACTGTAAATTAACTTAACTGTGTGAAATAATGCCTCCCCTATCAGATTAGCTTTCTGAATGACTTTATCCTTAAATTAAAGCTTGCTGGGGCTGAAGCGTAAATCATTTAAATGGTGCCGGGTTTTTCAGGTAATGTCTTCATATATTACCGTAATTTCAATCCGCCAAGGCATGCAGATGGCTTTGGTCTCTAGCTGCTTGTCTCCAGAAAACCTCTCCTGCACTGCCATTTTGTAATTACAGTGCGGCAGCCCAGTGCCTGCCGCTACTAGATTTCCCAGGGTGCACCAGCAGCCAAGGCAATGTATCTTAAAATTATTATTCTTGTGTGGCCCTCGTAACATAAATGTAAATCTTTTATGCTAACGCTGTCAGAGGGTTAGCTCTGGGGCTCCAAGGTGTGCTGATGTAGAAATCGCCCACCATCCATCAACCACGGACCATTTGGGATCTGGCAAATAACCCGCTTCTGGGGGAGGGGAAGGGACTGCAAGCTGAATATTACTTCGGAGTCTGGGTGGTATCAAACCAGTCACTGCTTTTTTGCGGGGAAAGGTGGCAGGGGTCAGCCTACAAAGCCATCTGTAGCAGGGAGTCTTACGGTTGAGCAGTGCACTCCTGGGAGGGTAGGAAAGTTTGGTGCAAATGTAGGTCACTCTCGTTTTGCAGCGATGTCTGCTGTAGATTACATTGTGGAGGAGAGATGGTAAGTAATATCTTCAGAAACCTTCCTGGAAAATAACCTCTTTGAGTTTCTGTCTTGGGTAGGCTAGCTTTAAGGAGTACCTCTCTCCTGCAATAAAAGCAAACTTATAGGTATCTGAACTTCTAATGTGTTTTGCTCGTTGTTGTTGTTTTTTGTTTGTTTTTTGTCTGCTTGTTTGCTTGTTTTTGAGACAGAGTCTCATTCTATCACCCAGGCTGAAGTGCAGTGGTGCAATCTCGGCTCACTGAATCCTCTGCCTTCCAGGTTCAAGTGATTCTTCTGCCTCAGCCTCTCAAGTAGCTGGGACCACAGGCACATGCCAACTCACCTGGCTAATTTTAGTAGAAATGGAGTTTCACCATGTTGGCCAGGCTGGTCTCAAATTCCTGACCTCAGGTGATCCACACACCTTGGCCTCTCAGAGTACTGGGATTACAGGTATGAGTCACCACAACTGGCCTGAACTTCTAACCTTTGTATCCCAATCCCCATACCCCTCCCCTCTAGGAGGGTCGAGAGACCATATGGAGGGATGGTTCCGGCAGGCTGGGATGGGAACGAGGAGAAAACGCAACAAAGAGGCCACAAAGGCAATGAAGCAACAGGAACAGATGTTCAGATACTAGAGACACAGGTGAGCACTAAATCCAGGGGGTCTTAAGACAGCAATCAGGGCAAGCACCTGGGAGGCAAAATGTTTTTTAAAAAGAAGAGGAACTAGAGGGAAAATGCACATCGTAAGACCTCGAGAGAAAATATAATAGTAATAATGATGATAGCAATAATAGTAACAATCATAATAGCAATACTTAAATAGTAATTATTATGTGCCAGGCACTGTTCTTAGAGATTTATGTACTGTATATTCTATCTTTACCAACTAGCTTTTGGGGCTTTTCTTTGTAAACTCAAGTGATAATGATAGGTGAGCAACTCACTCTAGTTTAAAGACAGACAAGAGGTGAACGTTTTGGCTTTCCATTTCTTTTAGCATTTAAATTGGACAGTAGAAACTGAGCTTCACCCACTATCTGGCACATGGAAAGCAGTAATTAAATAAGCATTGGATTGGGTTTGTAGCTTGCCCAAGACATTTCTAGCAAAAGTGTCCCCGGTTGGTTTGATGGACATGAAGGCAGTGGCCAAATTTCATCAGTGTGTGAATTCTTTATCCAAGAATTTATTTTTCCTAATTCACAAGTTTATTGATAATAGTAAAAATCATGGTTCGACAGCAGAGAATTTTATTTCTGCTAGTCACCCACAAAGTCTATTACAGAAATCATCTCATTTATTCCTTCCAACTACCCTATGGAAGAGAGACTAATTAACATCTTTGCTTTACAAATGAGAAGCTTGTAGCTAAAAGAGGTTAATTTTCTTGACCGGAGAGTAAGGGGTGGAGCCAGAATTTGAACCCTAGAAATTTGACTCTCAACCCTATTAACTTTAATCTATACAACCTTGGATCTGAAATATACCCAACGTGACACTTGCATAGTGAGGAAGGGGACTAACATTGGCAGAGTGCCTTCTAATGCCAAGCCTTATTTTAAATATTCATTATTTTCATTCAACTATATAAAAGCTCTACAAGAAAATGGTAGGTATCCGTATGAGACATGTTTGGGGGGTACCTATCCACACTTGTCCTCCTTCCTCCTTCCTGGGAATCTGACCCCCTCCACAGCCTCTGATATTTATGTAACACCCTTGTATGTATACAGGGATATATATAGGAGATAGATAGATAGATAGATAGATAGATAGATAGATAGATAGATAGATAGATAGATGATAGATAGATAGATAGATAGATAGATAGATAGATAGATAGATAGATATAGATAGATGATAGATAGATAGATAGATAGATAGATAGATAGATAGATAGATAAGTAGACTCCCCTATTGGTTCTGTTTCTCTGGAAAACCCTAAAACAGGCAGTGAGCATCTTACAATAATATCATCTATCCCCGATCCCCAGCCATGAGGGCTGCTATCCCCAGCTGCTTGGACTATGGGTAAGTACTCAATGCAAAGACAGTTCATCTCAGCTGAGGCCATGGAGATTCACCTCCTGGGAATTCAGAATAAGAATTTTGGAATAAGGAACTTGAAGCAGGAAGGTCATGCTGTAGACTGGAGAGGGTATGAACAGCCAAATATACTAGCGGACGAGGAAACAGGGGAAGTTCGTTTGCGGGACAAGGAGAATAAGACAGATACACGCACAGAAATAGAATCGGGAGACATCATGAAGCCCTGGAGGAAAGAGAACAGACTTCCTTTCAGGTGGTCTTTCAATTTGATTTTTAAGTTCTTCTAGAGTCACTGGTGTTGGTTTGAGTTTCTGCCTCTTACGAACAAAACTACAGCCTCAGAGAAGTTAAGTCACTCGCCTGTACTCAGCTTTTCAGTGGGAGGACCGGATTTCAAATCTCCATCTCTGAATAGGCCTTGGTTTTTGTATTTATTATGGAATGTCTTGACCACCAAAAAACATAATAATAGTAAAATAAATATCCATGCACCCATGACCCAGCCAAGAAAATAAAATTTTACCAGTGGAGCTGAAGCCTCTGTGTGCTGCGCCTGGACCCTGTTTAGCTTCCCCTCCACTGCCCCTGACCCAAGAGGTAACTACTCTTCTGCAATTGGTGTTTATCATTCCCCCACCTTTATTTATACATCTGCAAACAGTGTACATATGTTTGTGTGTTTTAAAGCATTATAAAATTGGTATCCTTCTGTATGTTTTCTTCTAAAGGTCTTTCCAACCCAAATGTGCTCATTTTCTCACACTCACTGGTGCATCAAGGTCTGTGTTAGGATGGATTCCCCAGGGAAACAGACTGAGATTTTCAGGCAGGAGGTTTGCTGCAGAGCACCTGCAGAATCAACCCTTGCTGCAGAAAGAGAAAACCAAGTTTGAGGAAGGGGAGGAGAGATGCAGTTGCAACAAAGACCTCAGCCAATCCCTGGGGAGTTCTGAAGAGCGCATGGCTTTTGGAATTGTCTCAGATTGAGGCAAGAGGGCCAGGCCTTTATTCCCCACCATGTTCACCGAATGCATTCAGGCTGCTCCTGGGAAGAGCACGTGGCCGTGGTCCATGTAGCTTCCTCAGGCCAAAAGCATGTCTGGGAGAGCATACTGGCTGAACTGTGTCAACCAACAGTCCCAGCAGCAGGAGGAACAAATTCCTCAATCCTGGAAGGGCACCTGGACAGTGCCACTCGCTGTCCATCACAGGTCCATGGACTGCGCAGCTCGTCTTTTGAGAGAAGTTGCTACATGTTCATTTTAAATGTAACTGGAAACTACCAGTTATTAATCCTCCCATCTCAATTGTAATGTGACAAAGGGAATGCCTTGCTTAAGATTTTTAGAGTAATAGGCCATTATTTCTAAGGAGAAAAAAATCATCCCTGAGGGCCACTGACCTGCAGAGCTTTTCCATTTTTCTCCTTTTTAAAGCTTTTGCGACCTGAAGTATCAGAGCTGCAGTATTATGTAAGAAGCTCCAAGCAAAGAGATTTGAACTTGACTTGAAGTCTTTCTTTACTATTCAATAAAAAGTTGGAGATTTATTGGCCTATGGCAGAGACCAATTTCCTGTTACATGGACCAGAGAGGAGATTAAAAAAAGATTTTTAGAGCAGCGCCCATATTTCTTAAGACAGGCAAAGAACGGAGCTCACCTAATTTTGCAGATCAGGCTGCTAGCATGGTTCTTTTCTCTAGACCGATCTGAAATTAGAAGGCTGGAACTAAAATCCTGCAGTCTCCCCACAGGGATCATTTCAATTTTCCTCTGAGTAACAGCCCCGTAAGGATCGTCTTCACAACTCTAAGGTCAAGGTTGCAAGAGGCTGAGTGTGGAAAGATTGAAGACCATGCCACAGGCTTTCAGTGATGTACATTGGCATGCTCTGTGCAGTCAGAGGAAGAAGGAGTGATTCTAGCAGTTTTCTGAATTTAAAAGCTCTGCTGCAAAGATCTGGGACAGGGCCATGGGAAATACGCCAGAAAGGCCTAACAACAGGTTGGTAGGAGCTATCAATTCCCAAAGTGCACCCAGCACAGGGTCAGACTCTGAGTTGGAATCCTGGTTCTGTCCCTTATTGGCTCTGTGAACTTGGGCAAGTTAATTAACATTTCTGTGCCTCATTTGTAAAATGTAGACACCTCTATCTTACAGAGTTGAAGTGATGCTGACACATAATAAGTGCTCAAAATGTCAGGTTATGACTATTATTATATTTGCCCATTGGAAAGCCCACTAAATATGCATTGAGGATGAACTATCCAGTGGTGGGCTCTGAATGGATATATCAGAGGAAGTCTCAGTGGACTTAGGAAGCAAGAGATTTAGTTCAGCCAGGCAAGTCTTTATTTATTTATTTATTTATTTATTTATTTATTTATTTATTTTGAGACAGAGTCTTACTCTGTTGCCCAGTTTGAAGTGCAGTGGCCAGATCTTGGCTACCTGCAACCTCCATCCACCCCCCAGATTCAAGTGATTCTTGTGCCTCAGCCTCCCAAGTAGCTGGGGTTACAGGTGTGCACCACCACACCTGGCTTCCCAAGTAACTGGGATTACAGGTGTGCACCACCACGCCTGGCTACTTTTTGTATTTTTAGTAGAGAAAGGATTTCAACTTGTTGGCCAGGCTGGTCTCAAACACCTGGTCTCAAGTGATATGCCTGCCTCAGCCCCCAAAAGTGCTGGAATTACAGGTAAAAACCACCGTGCCCAGCCCAGCCAGGCAAATCTTAGTGAACCCATGATATGCTGTACTCTGAGCTAGGCAATGGAGATACACATATACAGAAAACATGATCTCTGCATTCCAGGAATCTACAGTCCTGGATAGGAGGTAGATGCATGAAGAGCAACACACAGACACAGCTGCCACCCTATAAATTGTGTTCAAAGGACAGAGGAAGTGCAGAACATGGAGTCATTAAGCCTGTTCAAGAGTGGCCTGCAAAGGCATCCTAGAAGGGTGATATTGGAATAGAGTGTTGAATGATGAGTAGGAGTTTAACAAAGTTAACAAAATGGGAAGAAATGCCAGGCAAAATGATAGAGAGTGAAAATACACAGCAGCCTGAAAGAATATAACATATGTGGATTTAAAACTTGAAGTTTCACCATTAGACCCAGCAATCTCATTGCTGGGTATATACCCAAATTATAATAAATTGTTCTACCAAAAAAGATAAAGGGACTTACTTGTATGTTCATCACAGTACAATTCACAATAGCAAAGGCATGGAATTAACCTAGATGCCCATCAATGGTGGACTGGATAAAGAAGATGTGATACATACACAACATGGAATACTATGCAGCTATAAAAAAAGTATGGAATCATGTTCTTTGCAGCAACATGGATGTGCTGGATCTTAAGCAAATTAACTCAAGAATGAAAAACAAAATATTGAGTGTTCTCACTTATAAGTGAGAGCTAGAAATTGGGTACACATGGATATAAAGATGGAAACAATAGACACTGGGGTCACTGTGTGGGGCAAAGTCTGAAAAACTACCTACTGGGGGCTACACTCACTACTTGGGTGGGATCATTCGTACCCTAAGTCTCAGTGTCATGCAATAGTCCCATGTAACAAACATGCACATTTACAGCCTTGAATCTAAAATAAAATTTGAAATTATGCAAACAAAATAAGTAAAAAAAAAGCAAAACAAACAAAAAAAAACTTGAAGCTTCCAGTAGTGTGAGTTTGTGGTAAGAAACTTTAGGTAGAGAGGTTATCAGGGACAAGAGCAGGCAGGACCCAGTGAGGACTGTGAATATCCTGCAAATATCAGGAAAGTAGGGTTGTGTGTCTCCCTTGATTTCCCCTATGTGGCTCTGTTGCTCGTCTTGTCATTATCACCTATCTTTTCTTGTTGCACTCAATAGCACTTTTCATTCATTTTAATTGAAACTTTTCTTCAAGTCAGGTAGAGTGCCAACCACTGGGATGGTTTCAAAAATAAACAAGCCAGCATCTCTGTCCTGGGCAAGCTTAAAGTTGAGAAAGAAAGACACACACTCACCGTGCAACCTGATTGATCCCATGATACAGGTGTGGGATACTGCAGGAGCACAGAGGAGAAAGCCTGGAGATTTAAAAAAAAAAAAAAAGTGCCGGAGAGAGCTACAGAGAAGAAGTGGCATTTGCATGGGATCTTGAAGCATGAGTCAAAGTTCCATCAGCTAGAGAACATGGGAAACAACATTCAAGGCCTAAGGAAGAATTTATTCAACTGTTCAGGAGCGTGTAAATATTCAAGGTGGCTGAAATTGTTAAGTGTGCGTGAAATTTCTCCCAGAATCCCAGCTTCCTTTAAGATCCCATTGGTCAGAACTGCATCACATGTTCACCCCTAAACCAATCAAGAGCAAAGGGTCATTAGGTCCCTCATGATTGGCTTAGATCCCGTAATGGATCATCCACTAGGGATGGAGGAGTCATCCACTTTTCCTGAAGACATGCCCTGTCCCAACTTAAACCAAATGAAAATCTATTAACAGAGAAGGGAGGATAACTAACAAGTAGGAAGCCAATGGTCTCCACCACAGGGAATGGATGAGATCTCATCTAGGGAAAGTCCAGATAGAGTAGAAAACAGGACCCATGAGTGATGCCTGAGGAATGTCAGTATTTTGAAATTGGTAGGTGATGGGGAAGGAGATATCAGCAAAGAATCCTTAGAGGAAACAGCCAATGAGATGGGAAGAAAGCAAGCAGGTTGTCGTGTCATGTGGACACAAAGAGGAGGAGGTTTGAAGATGAGGGTATATGAGAATGTCAATCACAAGAAGGCATAAGTAACTTGAAATGACAAAGAGTTTAGGATATTTCTATGTTCCAAAAGGAGAAGCCAGGGGGAACAATGACAGCTGAAGACCTGCTGAATAACTTTTGACTGTTAGGATTTTGAGTACAGAGGCACCTAGCTGAAAATCCTTCCAATCTCAACACAGAAGCAGTGGCCTCCCTGTAAGTCAGCTCCAGCTGAAGCCAAGTCCAGGAGATTTCTGACCCAGAAGGGCCGGCAGTGAGTGGCTTCAGGGAAAATGCTTCTCTGGGAGGCAGGAAGTCTTTTATGTTTCCTGAGCAGAAAGAAGGCAATCTCTTCTGGCAGTGAGGTGACAAGGGTTCCGATGGATTCCCCTCTCCCAGATCAGAATTAAACTAGAGCCTGTCAGCCAACTCGCTGAACACTCAATCTTCCATCTTTATGGGTTTAGCTGTGATGTTATTGCAGGAGTCTTTCAGCATGTGAAAGGGAGGTCATCCTGGAAGAATATATGCACAGAGCCTTCTGTGTTCTCTTTCTATGGGCTCCGGACATTTACCTTGACTTGAAAGGTAACATCTTGGAAGGACAGATGAACAGACAGACAGATGGACAGTACTCGCCATGAATCCCAGCCACAGCCAAAGCCAACTCCATCCTTAGATACCCCATTCTCAAAAGCCAATACATTTTCTTTTGTGCCTCTGCTAGGTGGAGTTGGTTTCTGTCTTGTGTTTCAAAATAGTCCCATCTATTATGCTATCTCTGGCTTACTCTTTCTGAGCCTTGGTTATTTTCACTCACAAAATGGAAACAAATAGCATCAGTCCCGCCTTGCTCATATGGCTGGCATGAAATTGTTCTTGCAAAATGTCAAGTGTTATAAGGATATAAATTATTCCTGGATACATGGCCCTGGCTATGTAGAGGGCTAAAGAACTCTTGACCCAGCAAAACCTGCTCTTCTCTCTTTGTTCCTCATTTCAATGAATGACAGCACCCAGTTGCTCGATGTAAAATACATGGGGTCATTTTTGTGCCTCTTATTTTCCCAAACTCCACTTTCAATCTCTTAGCAAATTCTATTTACTCCGACTTCAAACTATGTACCCGAATAATATGTTTCTCACCTCCACAATGACCCTCGTCGTTGGGCACCCACAGTCGCTTCATCACTGGCCTCCTTGTTTCCACCTTTGCCATCCTACAATCTCCTCTCCATCAAGCAGTCAAGGCAGGAGGTCCTTATGAAATGAGAATCAGATCATGCTGCTGCCTTGCCTTGCCCTCAGTGCTCCAGTTGCTCCCCATCGGCTTCATAAATTCCAGGCTGCTTCCCTTGAATGGCTCCCTGGGATCCTGCATGAACACAACTCCCCGCCCTCTCCCTCAGCTCAGTCTAACCTCTTCACCTGGGATTCTCTGCTACTCTTTGAACACACCAAGTACCTCCCTATCCCAAGACCTTTGCATGTTGTCTTTCTTCTGATTAGAGCTATTCTATCGAAACGTCACCATGGTTCTATCTTTCTCCATCAAACTCTGCCTAGGCAGTACCCCCTTATAAGAGCTTTCCTGAAAGTCCTGTTTAATGTAACACAGGGACACCTGGACACCATACACAGAAACATACTGTTTTCCATGTCATATGAACCCTCTACCCTCCTCTGCTTTTTCCCCTCATTGAAGTTATCATAACCTAACATTATATTACCTATGTATTTGTTTATCTGTTGATGTCTATCCCCCTCCAGAAAGTAAGAGCATGGAATTTGTCTGTCTTATTTATCACCCTTTCCCCCAAATTCTACATCAGTGGCCTGGGATATAGAGAACTCAAATATTTGTTGAATAAATGGATGGAGTTACTCCCCAAAATTGACTGGCTTTGGAAGACAAAAACCAATACTGATATGTGATTGTGTCTACCTGTAAATCTCTAATTTTAACTTTGCTTAGTTTAACTTAGATTCTACTAAGCCCACTACTTCTATCAGAGGTAAAAACCCTGTCCTTCCCAGGGTAAACAAACAGTGTTACAGGCTGGGCTGCTGTGTATTTCTCTTCTTAACCTGTTGGGAAATACAAAGTATAGACAGTCCCTGAAACCTCGTCCTGAGTTTTGACATGTGCCCTGAACTCTGGAATTCTCACACACAGTAATAATGGCTGACTCATTGTTTACTTTACTGGAAAGATATGAATCCTTACAGAATTTCAATTATTCGGAAATCTGCTCAGGTTAATAGCATTGTGATCCCATCCAAACGCAGGAGTGACTGTGGGTTATGTAAGGATATGTAAGTTAGTAAGCTATGTGCTTAATAACACTAGCTCCAGGTCAGGAGGAATTTATTTTTTAAATGGTGTATCATCAAGCAGTTTTATTGGAATGACCATGTGGCTGAATTAGGCAAGGTAGATCATTAATCGGCTTTTGAATTATTTCCATGGTTCCACTTGATTCATAAGAAAAATAAGAATTGCTAAAATCTTTAATGGTATCTTATTCTGTGCCAGGCAGTATGCTAAGCACTTTACTTACCTTGTCATCTCACTTAGGAAGACAATCACTTTTTACAACCACAAGGGAAATAAAATTGATGGCAATTTCTGTTTCTTACACCTGTCTTGAGGTTCAAATCTACTTTTCCAGATGCTTAACTAGACACCCCCATCTCAATTCCTACAGGCACCCCTAATTCACCTGGCCCCGAATGAATTCATCATCTTATTTCCCAGTCTCTCCTTGGACCACCCATCTCAGTGAATGCCATCACCATGCACCAAAGCATCAGAGGCAGAAAACAAGGTACACCCCTAATATCTGCCCTCTCCTTCCTTCTTCCCACCCATTGTCTCTGTCTAATGTCAAGAGGCTCTGTCTCCTCATCTCTATTAATTTTGCTTCTGCCTGTGGTGCCCATCCCTATGGGAAGATTTTACAGTCCTGCCTCATTGAGCCCAGGAGTAACCATGGCACCTGCTTTGTCTAATGGAATATGAGTAGAAGCATTGTGTGTCTCTATCGGGCATAACCTATAAGAGCCAGCTTGTGACTTGCTATGTCTATTTTGCCCTCTCCCACAAAAGCTAAAATAGTTTAGATAAAGCCTTCTCTGTCAGTCTGGATTCTGAATGAGGATGGAAAGGAGCAGAACCCCAGTTAGCCTACAACAGACATGAATTGCCAGTGAGAAACCAGACTTGAAATCCAGTGAAATCTGTACTTGTTACTGCAGCACAATCTAGCATATCCTGACTGATACATTATCTTAATAAATATCTGGCTTGGACTAATAACAGTTTTCCACCTGTTATTTCTCAGCTTCCGGGTCATCTTCCAAACTGCTGCCATAGTGATTTTTGTAGTGTGATCACATTATTCTCAATTCTCTAACTCAGGCGTCAGCAAACTTTTTCTGTAAAGGGACAGATAGTAAATATTTTAGGCTTTGCAAGCCATGTGGTCTCTTGCCACAACCACTCAACTCCGCTGTTGGAGTGTGAAGGCAGCCACAGGCAAAAAATAAACAAATGAGTGTGGCTGTGTTCCAGTAAACTTTATTTACGGAAGCTGAAATTTGGATTACATATCATTTTCACATGTCACAAAATATTCTTCTTTCAATTTTTGTTTTCAACCTTTTAAAATCGGACAACCATTCTTAGCTAACGGGCCATCCAAAACCAAGCAATGGACCCGATTTGGTCCTTGGGCCGTAGTTTGCTGACCCCTGATCCTACTGAAGGTTCCTGAGTTCTGTACGGCATTGAAAGAGCTTTGCAATATCATCTCAGTGGACTTGTCTTGCTGTACCCCTGCCCCTCTTCTGCTCCACAGATGCTAAGCCTCAGCCTTATTGAAGCTATTATCATTCCCTAAATCCACCTTGCTCCTATATGCTGCTAGACCTTTGCACATGCTGGTCCCCATGCTATAAATGCCCTTCCCCTTCCTCCATAGCAAATAAGCTTTTATTAATCCATGAAGGCTGAGCTCAGATGTCACATTCTTCATAAAAACCTTTCCAATGCATGAGGCTGATTTAGTTGCTCTCTTTCTGGGCTTCCATAGAACCTTTTTGTGCCCTTATTATAGAACTCACTTAACCTAATATAAAATAGGGTTTCTCAGCCTTGGCACTATGCACCTTTGGGGCCAAATAATTCCTTGTTGTGGGACTGTCCGGTGCACTGTAGTATGTTTAACAGCATCCTTGGCCTCTACCTACTGGGTGCCAATAGCACTCTCTTCCCAGTTGTTTTTTGTTTGTTCGTTTGTTTTTGTTTTGTTTTGTTTTGTTTGAGACGGAGTCTCTGTCTGTCGCCTAGGCTGGAGTGCAGTGACGCGATCTCAGCTCACTGCAAGCTCCGCCTCCCAGATCCACGCCATTCTCCTGCCTCAGCCTCCCGAGTAGCTGGGACTACAGGCATCAGCCACCAAGCCCGGCTAATTTTGTTTTTGTATTTTTAGTAGAGACGGGGTTTCACCCCGTTAGCCAGGATGGTCTCGATCTCCTGACCTCTTGATCGGCCCGCCTCGGCCTCCGGAAGTGCTGGGATTACAGGCGTGAGCCACCGCGCCCGGCCCACAGTTGTTACAATGAAAAATGTCTCCAGATATTGCCAAATTCCCTTTTCACCCCACACCCCCAACCACGACCCAGTGAGAACCACTTCCCTAAATATCTACTTAGGCATTTAAACATGGAGCTCCTTGAAGACAATGGCTAGATATTCTGCTTTATGATCATAAACACTGAGCATGTGGTCTGGTATAGAGCAGACCTTCAGCAAATATTTGTCGAATGAAGAAAATGAATGACACATTGAAAGTCACTGGCCTCATTAGCATCAATCTAAATAATTTTTAGAAAGATCTCATTCTAGTAATTGTGCTGTGATTTTTTTCTTTACCTTTGCAGAGAAACCAGTTTTGTAAAATCTGAGCATCATAAAAGATTTTCTAGCACATCTATTGTTTTATTTACGCTACTCTCACAAGTGCAATTAACACTGCATCTGTTTTACTAACAACCCCCTTTGTTTTATATAGTGCTTTATATTTCTCTGAATGTGTGCAGGCCTGGGCTTTCCACAATCTGCAACTGGATAAATCGCTGCATATGGATGGGGAAAAAAGACAACAAAAAAATCTTCTAGAGTCATTTTTCCATTCTCTGGCCTATCTCAGGTTACATACGCTATTTAGTTTAGAAAGCCCATCCTACTTCAAGTAGAACACAGAAGAAGAGATAATGCTTTCCAGAAAGACCATGGTATCTGGGGTCCTGTTGAATCCTTCCTTTTTTTTTTTTTTTTTTTTTTTTCAGACGGAGTGTCACTCTATCACCCAGGCTGTAGTACAGTGGCTCTGTATCGGCTCATTGCAACCTCTATCTCCTGGGTTCAAGCAATTCTCCTTCCTCAGCCTCCCGAGTAGCTAGGATTACAGGCACCCACCACCATGCCCAGCTAATTTTTTTATATTTTTAGTAGAGACAGGGGTTTCACCATGTTGGCCAGGCTGGTCTCGAACTCCTGACCTCAGGTGATCCACCCACCTTGGCTTCCCAAAGTGCTGGGATTACACGTGTGAGCCACCACGCCTGGCCCCTGAATCTTCCCTTTAATTGATGTTTTGGTAAGTGCCACTAGAGAATCTTTCCTTTTAACCATCAGAGATGCTTAAGTAACAGCCACATGGAAAAGCAGTCAAAAAGCAGTCATAAGGAGATACCCAGTGTTCAAGGAATCTGAGGCCCATTTGATCAAAGGCGATCCAACTTTAGTTTGTAAACATGTTTCGGTCCAATATCCCAGACTGGCCAAGTTGATGCCAGAACAGATTTCCTCTTTGGTTTAGATATCAAAGAAGATCCAAGAGTGCTTGAACTAATATTAATGAGCATTTCACCTTTAGGATAATTAGGATAAAAAAAGTTTTAGAGGCACAGAGAAAAGTGAAATGGTGAGGAGCTTGGACTATAGTGCCTGGGCTTCAAACCTGGATCTGCCATTACTTGTGGGAACTTGGGGCATGTTCCCAACCTCTCTGTGCCATGATTTCCTCTTTGGTAAAACAAGGATCATCAGAGTACCTACATTCTACGATTGTTATGAAGATTTAAAGAATACATAAAAAGAGCTTAGCAAAGTGTTTGACACATAGTAAGCACCCAAAAAATGCCATCTATTATGAATACAATTCCCTGGTGCTTGGCACAATGAAAACCCTCGATTAATGGTAGCAATTATTATACCAAGTGTTTAAATTGTACTTTGGTGATCATTTGGTTCATATCTTTTCTTTAAGAGATATGCACCCTTAATCCCTGCACACACAGACACACATGCACACACATTGTTAATCCCTGCACACACAAATCCCCGCAGACACACACCCTTAATCCCTGCACACACACATTGTTTGAGCCCAGAGATGCTGTGACAGCCTTCAGTCAGATGAAAGAAATAAAGACAAACTTCATCTTTCATGTTGTGGGTACCTACTATGCACCAAGCATATTGTTTCACCCAAGAATGTAAGCTCCATGAAGTCAGAGATTGTGCCTGATTTATACCACACACTGTGATAACACTATGACATAGGAAGTCACAGGATGTTTGGCAAGAATAAAAATACCGAAGTTGGCCAGGCGCAGTGGCTCATGCCTGTAATCCCAGCACTTTGGGAGGCTGAGACAGACGGGTGGATCACCTGAGGTCAGGAGTTCAAGACCAGCCTGGCTAACATGGCAAGACCCCATCTCTACTAAAAATACAAAAATTAGCCAGGTGTGGTGGTGTACACCTGTAATCCTAGCTGCTCAGGAGGCTGAGGCAAGAGAATTTCTTGAACCCAGGAGATGGAGGCTGCAGTAAGCTGAGATCATGCCACTGCGCTTCAGCTTGGATGACAGAGAGAGGCTCAGTCTTAAAAAAAAAAAAAAAAAAAAGAAAGAAAACCAAAGTCCCATGGATGAAGTCCCTGACAGAGATAACAACTGAGTCAAGTCTTACAGAAAAAGTAGACAAGAAAGACAAGTGTGTGTTTGCACCGCTGTTTTACTTCTTTCTTTTTTTAAGCCCAAATCACCAAATCCTCCCTATACTTATGCCCTAAGGAAACATGAGCAAGACACAAATGTTAACATTGAAGACCATTTTTTATTAGTATTTCTTTACCTCTGCACTGAAGGGAAAATATGTTTATTCCAAACCTTAACAAAAGCTTGGTTCTAAGCCTTGGTGAAACGTTCCTCATTCCTCCATGAGTAACCCGTTTTGATAATCGTCCCCTAGAGATCAAACCAGCTCAAAGCACAATGATTGCCACATTCTAAATTTAACTGACCGCACAGATGCATTACTAGCAAGCAGGAAAGAGCCTTTGCTTTCCTGGCTTGGAGGAGCAGGATGTTTATGACCTGTTTATAAAGTCTGCATAAAATACAGCTTCAGAGTTCTATCTGTGAGTGGGCTACCTAGAGTCAAGTGTTTCTTTTAAAATATGATGTATCACTTACAAGAACGGTTTCTTAGTCTCTAGCCTTCCCCTCGTTGGCTCCCTCAAAACCCTTGCTCTCCCATAAATAACAATACGAAGTGATGCCTTGACCATGACTTTCATCGTGCCCCCACCTGTATGGGATGTCTTCCGTGGTGGATTTTTGTTAAGAAACAAAATACAACTTTTATTGAGATCAATAAAAGATTAAGGTGACAAAGTGATTTATTGACTATCGAGGAGGCTCATTTTTCCCTAACAACTGCTATAGCTACCAGAAAGGATGTATTTTTTACCCTGGGTCTTCAGGAAAGTTGTGAGAAGCCAAGACTCATTTATCAAGTCAAAAGAGAATGATTAAAAACCATAAAGAAACAGACAAAGAACACACATGAGAAAAAAAAAAAAAAGCCCTATCATGGACTATTTTGCTAAAACACCCAAGTTGTCGAGTGTGAAGAGATGGAGGAAATTCATGGGGTGTTTTGTGGAATGAGGCTCAGGAGGATGTGGGGAGCAATGGATCAGAACGGCTGGGGCTGAGGTCAGAGCAAGGAAAGAAGTGAGCATTGAGAAATGGGAAAACAGGCTGAAAGCTGTGGTGTCTGCCATTCACCACAGCGAGGGGCAGAGTACAGTCTGAGCACCAGCATGACATCCCTGTAGGAGGATTACCTACTATGATATGAACAAGATTCTTCCGTTGTGCAAACACCTTACTGTTCTTCCATCTCCTTGTCCTCTCCCATGGTTTCCCCTATGTCGATAAGGTCCCCACACCCCACCCTCTTCCTTTCCTGGAGCCTATGTCCTCATCCTTCAAGGCAAACTCAAATGCCTCCTCCTCCGCTCCAACTCTCCCAAATAGGAGGTGTCCCTTGCTACCCTCTGATGATGAAAAATGTGAGAAACCCCCAAGTAAAGGGACCCTATTATATTGCAGACACAATGCAAAGCTAATAATATCCATGGGGTCAAAAATTTTGTAGATTTTCTTTAGGTCTTCTTCCCTAAAGACTGGAATAGCTGCATACATGGATGGGGTTTCATAAATATGTTTTTAATAAATGAAGCATGAGCTAATGAAATCCCCAGAACAGACCCATGAGGGATAGGTGTTATCATCCCCATTTTGTTTTTTTTTGTTTGTTTGTTTTTGAGATGGAGTTTCACTCTGTCACCCAGGCTGGAGTACAATGGCGCGATCTCGGCTCACTGCAACCTCTGCCTCCCAGGTTCAAGTGATTCTCCTGCCTCAGCCTCCTGAGTAGCTGGGATTCCAGGCATGTGCAACCACGCCCAGCTAATTTTTGTATTTTTAGTAGAGACGGGGTTTCAGTATGTTGGGCAGGCTGGTCTTAAACCTCTGACCTTGTGATACACCCACCTCGGCCTCCCAAAGTGCTGGGATTATAGGCGTAAGCCACCGCGCCCGGCCTATCCTTCCCATTTTACAGAAAGGGAAATCATAATCACGTCCAGAACTTCACACAGCACTCAAACATAGCTAACATTTGAATTTCCCCTTCCTCTTGTCAGTCTGTCGCTGCAGAAAGCAACCCTACTAACCACACCCCACCCCCAAATCCAGCTGCCCAAAAAGAGGGACGATAACCTCTGGTGAGACAATAGGCAACGTGAAGTCTAGAGGCACGTATTAAAGAAGTTAACACCTGGCCTGTGGACCTTTAATGAAAATTAGGTCCCATGCTATTGGGAATAGAAAATCATCCCATGAAACCCTCTGCCTTTATAGACTCTGAGACCCATGGCACCTCCTCAAGGTGAGAAGGAAGAATGGTAGGGGCAGAGTTTCCAATATAGCAGCCATCAAAAGTCCCCATTAACTCTATAATGAGTTGACTTTTAATTTTGACGTAATGATACATAGCAGCATGGTTACCCTCTGGATCAGCATGTCATGAACACCTGTTTGGGAAAGCTGAACTTGCCAAGCATTGATTTTTTTTTTAAGTCAGCCAATACAGTTCCACATCTAGAAATCTACCCCGTAGATAAACTTGCATTTGTGAGAAATGACACAGTCATGTCTGCAAGAGTTAACTATTGGGAGCTGCCCAGAAATCCATCCATAGGAACTGGTGCAAAGATATATGCATGCTCACACAATTACATAATACACAGATATTTAAAAGATCAAAGTTGTTCTTCATGTCCTGATGTGAAATAATTGCCAAGATACTAAGTAAAGAAAGAAAGATGAGGCTGAGCGCAGTGGCTCACACCTGTAATCCCAGCACTTTGGAAGGCTGAGGCAGGCAGATCACTTGAGGTCAGGAGTTCGAGACTAGGCTGGCCAACATGGTGAAACCCTGTCTCTACAGAAAATACAAAAATCAGTTTGGCATGGTGGTGCACGCCTGTAGTCCCAGCTACTTGGGAGGCTGAGGAAAGAGAATCACTTGAACCCAGGAGATGGAGGTTGCAGTGAACCCAGATTTTGCCACTGCACTCCAGCCGGGGTGACAGAGTGAGACTCTATCTCAAAAAAGAAAAAGAGAAAGAAGAAAGAAGGAAAGAAAGAAAGAAGGAAGGAAGGAAGGAAGAAAGGAATGAGAAAGGGAGAGAGAGAGAGAAAGAAAAAAGAAAGAGGGAAAGAAAGAAAGAAAGAGAAAGAAAGACAGGGAGAGAAAGGAAGGAAGGAAGGAAGGAGAAAAACTATGTATGATACTGCTACAGATGCAGAGAGATCTAAATGTAGGTCATATAGATACAGATACATATACGCACTCATTTGTTTACCCAGAATATCTCTGGAAGGATACAGGGTAACCAGCCATAGCAGTTTCCTCATGGGAGTGAAGATATGTGGCCATAGGATAGTAGTAGGAAAGAACTTTTCCTCTTGTGCCTTTTGAATTTTGTATTACACACATTGTTGTCATATGTATGTCATTCAGCAGAGATAAACTTAGTGCCCGCTATGAGCTAAGTATATGGCAATTATCAACTCTCAGCAATTCCTATACCCCTGCTAGCAGGAAGATAGAAAATAAGCAAGATAATTATTAAAAAGTCAAAAAATAACATATGCCGGAAAGATTGTGGAGAAAAAGGAACACTTGCACACTGTTGGTGGGAGTGTAAATTAGTTCAAGTATTGTGGAAAGCAGTATGGTGATTCCTCAAAGAATTAAAAGCAGATCTATCATTCGACCCAGTAATCCCATTACTAGGTATATACTCAGAGGAATATCAATCATTCTACCATAAAGATACATGTATGTGAATGTTCATTGCAGCACTATTGACAATGGCAAAGACAAGGAATCCAGTTAAATGACCATCAATGACAGATTGGATAAAGAAAATGTGGTACATATACACCATGGAATACTGTGCAGCCATAAAAAAGAATGAGATCATGTCTTTTGAAGGAACATGGGTGGAGATAGAGGCTATTATCCTCAGTAAACTAACATATGACCAGAAAACAAAATAATGCCTGTTCTCACTTATAAGTGGGAGCTCAATGATGAGAAGTTATGAACACAAAGAAAGAAACAACCCACACTGGGGTCCACTTGAGGGGGGAGGATGGGAGGAGGAAGAGGAGCAGAAAAGATAACTACTGGGTACTAGGCTTAATTCCTGGGTGTTGAAATAACCCATACAACAAACTCCCATGGCATGAGTTTACCTATGTAACAAACCTTCTCATGTACCCTCAAACCTAAAATAAAAGTTAAAAAAAAAAGATAAATATACATATACATTTAGTATATTTTTTATTTTTATTTTTATTTTTTTGAGACAGAGCCTGTCACCAGGCTGGAGTGCAGTGGCACGATGTTGGCTCACTGCAATCTCTGCCTCACAGGTTCAAGCCATTCTCCTACCTCAGCCTCCTGAGTAGATGGGACTACAGGCACCTGCCACCACGCCCAGCTAATGTTTTGTATTTTAGTAGAGACAGGGTTTCACCATGTTGGCCAGGATGGTCTCAATCTCCTGGCCTCGTGATCCACCCACCTCAGGCTTCCAAAGTGCTGGGATTATAGGCGTGAGCCACCACGCCCAGCCCTACACTTACTACATTTTTAAATAAATTTTATTGTGTATATTTAAGGTATACAACATGATGTTATAAGATATATATGTAGTAAAATGGTTACGATAGTGGAACAAATTCACATATCCATCATCTCACATAGTTAGTCATAGTTTTTCCACGTGTGGCAAGAGCAGCTATAATCTACTCATTTAGCAGAAATCCTGACTGCAATATACTGTTATTCACTAAAGCCTTCATGATATACATTAGGTTTTTCAACAAGTATCAGTGTTAAGGAGAAAAAATTAGGGAAAATTAGTGGGCTGTGAATGGGTGAAGAGTGGTTGAAATTTTAGGGAGGGAAAGAGAGCTTAACTGAGAAAATGATTGGCCAGGAGAATGTAGAGGAAAGCATTCGAGCCCCAAGGAAGGGCTGGGACCACGGCATGTTTGAGGGTGAATAAAATCAGTGTGGTATGGCCAGGCGCGGTGGCTCATGCCTATAATCCCAGCACTTTGGGAGGCTGAGGCAGGCAAATCACTTGAGGCCAGGAGTTTGAGACCAGCCTGGCCAATATGGCAAAACCCTATCTCTACTAAAAATACAAAAATTAGCTGGGAGTGGTGGCGTGCGCCTGTAGTCCCAACTACTGAGGAGGCTGAGGCAGGAGAATCACTTGAACCTGGGAGGCGGAGGTTGCAGTGAGCCAAGATTGTGCCACCCCACCAGCCTGGGCAACAGAGCGAGCCTCTGACTCCAAGAGAGAAAAAAAAAAAATCAGTGTGGCCAGAGTGAACAATGAAGAGAGCAGTGGCCAAGGAGGTGACGGTGGGGCATATCATTTGGGTCTTCCAGGAAGGAGTTTGGCTTATACTGTGAGGGAGAGAGGAGCCACTGAAGACTTGGAGAAGATAAATAGCGTGAACAGCGTGAGTGTTAGTGGGCACTCTGGCTGGGTACCATGGCTAATGCTTGTAATCCTAGCTGTTGGGGAGGCTAAGGCAGGAGGATCACTTGAGCCCAGGAGTTCAAGACCAGCCTGGGCAACACAGAGAGACCCTATCTCTATTAAAAAAAGAATTTAAAAATAACAAGACCTCGTGACACATGCCTGTAATCCTATCTACTTGGGAAGCTGAGGCAGGAGGACCGCTTGAGCCCAGGAGGTCAAGGCTGCAGTGAGCCATCATGGCCCCACTGCACTCCAGACTGCGTGACAAAGTGAGACTCTGTCTTAAAAAAAAAAAGTCAATCTGGCTGCTGCATAGAGAATGGACAATCTAGGGAACTGCAGAACCAAAACAACCAGTTAGGAGGCTGTTGCAATAAGGGAGAAAACAGTGGCCTGCAGCAGGACAGTGGTGGCCACAGGGTGGAGAGAAGTTGTTGAATTCTGGATCTTTTAAAGATAGAGTTAGCCAGACTCAAGAGGGTATCACATGGGAAGTATGAGAAAATCAGAGGAGTCAAGGATGACACTGCCTTTTCAAAAGTTATTATTTTTTAAATTGGCAAGTTAAAATGTTTTATGTGTGTGTTTTATGCATGACCTCACGTGTTTATCTTTTTTGCGTGTGATAAAAACACTGAAAAGCCTACTCTCAGTGATTTTCAAGCATACTGTACATCGTGATTAGCTACAGTCACCATGATGTCCAATCGTTCTCTTGAATTTATTCCTCCTTTCTAACTGAAATGTTGAGTCATTTGACCAACATTTCCCCATTGTCCCTCAACAACTGCTCCATCCTGACATTGATATTCTCTGAGCCAGTGGCAGGACACGTGTGTGTGTGTGTGTGTGTGTGTGTGTGTGTGTGTGTGTGTGTGTGTGTGTTTTTACAGGTAAACCAACAGTCAATTTGGAAGAACAGGGAAGCATCTGAGAAGAGACTGTTTTGCTGAACCAGCAGCTTAAGCCACATCCAAAGCTCTAAGTCCATCCTCAGCACCACTGGTCCAAGGAGACTCAAGGAGGCAGACCACGCACAACTCTAGGAGCTTGGCCAGATCATAATCTCTCCACTCCATGGTGGCTAAGAATACGGGCTCCGCATCTAAAATGTCTGTGTTCTATTCCTCGCTCTGCCACTTACTGGCTGGGTGACCTCAGACAAAGTACTTAACCTCTCTCGGTATTTCCCTGTCTGTTAAATGAAGATAATAATAATATCTATTTCCTCGAGTTGTGCTGAGTATTAAGTAGTTTAATTCATATATAGGACTTAGCATCACGCCTGACTTGTTGTGATGGTTCAGTCAATAACAGCTGCTGCTGGGAAAATGGAAATTATTTTACTTGCGTCATGGGTTTCACTTTTGGATTCAAGGAGGTAATGTGTACAAAGCCCTAGACCTTTGTACTTTTTACAGTGCCATGTAAACCTAAGTGGTGAATTGATGATGGTGGTGATAATGATTAATGCTGCCACCAAAGTCTTGACTCTCAACAACATGATAAGGTAGAAGAATTGAGCCCTTCTAAGGAGCTCGGCGGGGTGGAGAGGTTGGGGGAATGGGGCTGGGATGCAGAGCACAGCAGAGGGCAAGCTGGTTAAAGATAAGAACTTGGTCGAAAGAACCAATAATGCTGCTTATCCTGGACACAAGAAAATTTCAGGGCAGGGAATCACCCAGAGCTGGCAGGAGAATAGATTGCTTTTGTCTCACTAGCTCTAAGCACCTTCCTTTGCAGGGACTAGAGAATGCGGTTGTGGAGATGCCTGTGTGTAATCCTTGCTAGCAGCAGACAGGAAGGAGGCATTGGTTTCAGCACAGATAATTCTGCCCCTTTCGAATGTTTTCCGCATGCAGCTGCACAGAGCTGAGAGTGGGGACAGTCTCAAGAGGCCCTGCAAGCCACACCTCAGACACATCGCAAGGATGGCTGCCTCTTGCCACAGAAGTCCAAGCCAATAATTCTCCTCAAGCTGGAAAATGGATGATCTAGCTCCATCCATGGAAGAAGGCAGGACGATGTGGAAAAGATAAGTATTCACCAAACATGCACATACACACACACGCTAAACCCACACACCAAGTTAGACCCACAGATAAGCCAGTCACAGGCACACACAAACACATACACAGACCTATACCAGCGCGGAGAGACACAAAGACACAAAGAGAGACATCCCAAATAAACACAGATAGGCGTACAGACACCAAAAGACCATGCAAAAGTGCGACCACAGAGAGGCATGCAGGAGATAATGTGTAACACAAATATACACAAATGCAAATTCAGACAGACAAGGTGACAAATACAAGACGCAGATATGCATAGACCCAAAGATGCACACATATGCATGCACACACACTTGCACGTACACATGCACACACACATGCACACACGCACATGCACACACGCACATGCACACATGCACACACACATGCACACACACATACACACATGCACATACACACACATGCATCACATAATGCAATAATGAAAAGCTAAATGACATCTAGGAATTAGCATTGAAAAGTAAAAAAGAACTGTGGTGAGAATTCTGTGAGTTCCCAATGTTCAAAGAGGGTGGGATAGTCTGCCCCCTCCCTCATATCCATCCGATGTGGCTCTCTGTCTGGTGCAGTTTGCTCTGAACGTAAGCAGTTCTGATTTACATGATAGATAGAAACCATTTATACAGTTAAACACGGTAGGGGTCTAAATGCTGTTCCCCGCAGAACACCAGATGTGAATAGATGAATATTTGATTGTCCTCGTGCCTGTTTCTGACAAGCTAACAGATAAGAAACCATCCCACTGAATTCCCAGAAAACTGGAGACCACGAATACAGATAGCAACATGCAGGAAGAGCTAGGATTTATTAAGGCAGATTTCTAAATATTAAAGAGATGGCAGCTGGCTGTGCTTTCCTCAGCAGACTTTGCAGGCGAGAAATCACCGGATAACAAAGATGAATGAGTAGAGCTCCTAACAGGGAATTTCAGATTCTAGAGCACTGGGAATGGCCTCATGCAGGCATTAAACAGGCACCGTGCCCACTTCTGGACTTTAGGGTATCTGAAACTGGGAGGTCCCACTGCCTAGAATCATCTCTTCCTTAGAGCTGCAATTCCATTGCTAAATGCAACCCATTCACTAGAAAGGCTTGGAGTCTCCCAAAATAATTTTATTAAAATATAAAGATAGCCAGGCATGGTGGCTCACACCTGTAATACCAGCACTTTGGGAGTCTGAGGCAGGAAGATCATTTGAGTCCATGGGTTCGAGACCAGAGCCTGGGCAAATCATAAAGAGACCCCATCTGTACAAAAAATAAAAAATAATTCGCTGGGCATGGTGGCATGCACCTGTAGTCCTACTTATGCAGCAGGCTGAGGTGGGAGGACCCCTTAACCCCTGAAGTTCAAGGCTGCCGTGAGCTATGAATGCACCACTGCTCTCCAGCCTGGGCAACAGAGTGAGGTGCTGTTTCTAAAAATAAATACATAAATAATTATATAAAATATGTACATATATAAATACACACATGAAGATATATTCAGCATCACCAGTCAATAGAGAAATGTGAATCAAAACCACAGTGAAATACTACTCACACCCATTGGCATGGCTAAGAAAAAAAGGAGAAAATAATAAATGTTGTCAAGGATGTGGAGAAACTGGAACCCCTGTGCACTGTTGGTGGGAATGTAAAATGATGCAGTCAGTCTGGAAAAGACTCTGGAGGTTCCTTAAAAAATTAAATATAGAATTACCATATAATCCAGCAATTTCACTTCTGGGTATATACCCAAAATAAATAAAAGCAGAGACTCAAAGAGATATTCACACACCCATGTTCATAACAGCAAACAGCAATCTTCACCACAGCCGAAAGGTAGAACAAACCCCAGTGTCCATTGGCAGACGAATGAGTAATCGTCAGGGGGTATATATATGCAACTGAATGTCATTTGGCCTTAAAAAGAAGTTGTAACACAGCTACAATGTGAATGAACCTTGAAGACAATGGGTTAGTGAAGCCAGTCACTAAAGGACAAATATTATATAATCCCCTTTACACTCGGTTACTAGAGTAGTTAAAGTCACAGAGAAAGTAGAGTAGTGGTTTCCAGGGGCTGGAGGAGAGCAGAGAGTGTTTAATGGGCACAGAGTCTCAGTCTGATAAAATGAAAAGTTCTAGAGACATATGGTGGTGATGGTTACAGAACATTGTGAATGTACTTAATGCCAAAGAACTGTACACTTAAAAATAAAGTGGTGTCGGGCGTGGTGGCTCATGCCTGTAATCCTAGCACTTTGAGAGGCCGAGGCGGGCGGATCACGAGGTCAGGAGATTGAGACCATCCTGGCTAACACAGTGAAACCACGTCTGTACTAAAAATACAAAAAAATTAGCCGGGCGTGGTGGCGGCCGCCTGTAGTCCCAGCTACTTGGGAGGCTGAGGCAGGAGAATGGTGTGAACCCGGGAGACAGAGCTTGCAGTGAGCCGAGATCGTACCACTGCACTCCAGCCTGGGTGACAGCGCGAGACTCTGTCTCTAAAAATAAATAAATAAATAAAGTGGTAAGTGTTATGTTATTTTACAACAATAAAATATGTGTTTGTGTGTGTATATATAACATGTACATACATATATGTGTATGTATGCATATATACATATATGTATGCATATATACACACATAAACACACACATACACTGCATTACGGATTAATGCATGAAAATACCCCCTTACAGACCACAAGACCCTAAGGACTAGTTTGCATCCAGTAGAGAGGAAGATCTCCTCGGAAGAAAAGAGAAAGATCTTAGAAATATAATCACAGAGAAATATCCCCAATGTTACAGGACATCTGAATACCTGCTGTGATGACCCCCCTCCCCAACCATGCCTACTCTCACAAAGCTGGCCTGTCCTACGTCCAAATGCCTCCAGTCATCTTCACCTAAGCAAGACAGCTGGACCTGCAGGTAAGACTCCTCTGTTCCTATTGTTCCATCCCCAAAAGATCATCAATCAAGAGAGAATAAAAGAAGACAACAGCCAACCTAAAATAGCCTAAACGACTAAATATTACAAGGGCAGTAAGAATAACTAACACATTGGGCACCTTCTTTTGCACATAGTCCCTGACCTAAGCATTTTGCATCTATCAGGTGTACTCACAACAGCTACTTGAGTTATTATCTCCATTTTGCAGATAAGGAGACCAAAGCAGTGACAGAGCTAGCAAGTGTCAGAGCCAGGATTCAAACACTAGAATCTCCACTTCCAAAGCCTCAAAGCCCATACTCTTAACCATCTATACTGGCTCCCAGCAAGAAGGGCATTCCATGAAACATTTCCAGTATTTGTAAAAGTGTAAACAATTGTATATTTGTTCTAGGTAAAATAACTTTAGCCACCTAAAAAAAAAATCAATGTCATTTACTTTGTGCTGGAATTACACCAGTGATTCTCAGCTGGAAGAGATTTTGCTCTCCTCTCTACAAAACATTTGGCAATGTCTGGAGAAGGAATGAGGGTATCCCTGACAATGAATGAGTAGAAGCTATGCAAGCTGCCAAACATCCCACAGCACACAGGACATCCCCCCACAACAAAGAATGATCGAGCCCCAAATTTCAATAGTGCCAAGGTTGAGAAACACTGAATTATATCAACTGTATGTGAGAATGCTGCTCGTGCATCTCCCGCCAATCCTGCTTTTACCTTTCCTCCTTTCCTCCTTCCAATTCATCTGCCCACTCATTCACCCAATATGGAAAACACCCACCCATGCTGAACATTTATTTAGAGTGTTGTCATGTTCTAATTGCTCATCAGAATTTCTGATCAAACTTAGGCAGAGTGGGCATACAGAAAATGACTGCTGAAAAGAAAGGCCATGTTTCATGGAAAAACCAATGATTCAAACAACATGGATTAGTAGACACCATTTCCCGTACCATGTACACGATGTAGAAATCATAATGATAATCATTCTGTTTTTGAGGTGCACATTAGCACCCCTGAACTCAGTGAATCTTATCAAATTGGCTTGGAGACCTAAAACTTACATCTTGTCCATTACCATATATATATATATATATATATATATATATATATATACAAGAAAAGAACTTCATTTCTCCTTTTGAAACTATTCTAAAACAGGACCACTGCTTTGTCCAAAGCATCCGATAAATAGACTTTTTCTTCCTTTCCCTTCCTTTCTCTCTTTCTTTCCTTTCTTTCTTTCTTTTCTTTCTTTCTTTCTTGCCTTCCTTCCTTCCTTTATTCCTCCATCCTTTCCTTTCTCCCTTTTTTCTTTTTTTTTTCCTTTTTCCTCCTTCCTTTCCTCCTTCATTCCTTCTCTCCTTCCTTCTTTTCCAGCAGCCCAGATTAAACAGAACTGACTTGATCAACCTATGGAAGTGGGTTAGGGGGATGCAGTAACAGACTCTAAGGTGACCCCAAGGATTTCTCACCTTCCACTATTCACACCCTTGTATTATTCCCTGTCCATGAGCGTGGACAAGACCCATGACTTGCTTCTAACCAACAGAGTGTGACAAAGGTGATGGGCTGGCCCTTCCATGACTATGTCATGTGTTACATAAGATTTCATCTAGCTGATAGACTCACTAGAGACTCTTCTTTCTGGCTGGATGAAGTAATTAGCCATGCTGGAAAAGTTCACGTAGCAAGAAACTGTAGGGTTAGGAGCTAAGGGACCACCTATGGCCAACAACAACAAATTTAAGATATGGTCAAAAGGAATTGAATACTGCCAACAACCATGCAGATAAGAAAATGGGTCCTTCCTCACTTGAGCCTCCAAATGGATACCCAGCCCTGGCTGACATCTTGATTACAACTTCATGAAATCCTAGGCCGAAGACCCAATTAAAATGTGCCTGGAACCCTGATCCATGAAACTGTAAGCTAATAAGTGTGAGTTGTTTTAAGTCTCTGCGTTTGTGGTCATTTGTTATGCAACAATAGAAAACTAATAGAACTATATTAGTAAGGCATTTCTTTACACCCTTAAATTTCTCCTATTAACACAGAGCCTTCCAGAAACACGGACATTTTCCTCGGCTCTGAACCCCATAAGATGAGAAGTTGTGGAACCACGATTCTGTCCAAGCAGCCCTAGATTTATGAATGGTTCCAACTTCCATTAGGTTGCAGGAAGGGGCTAGGGTATCTCTGTTCATGTTTAGAAGTCCATTTGTTTCCATTCCTTGTCAGCAGTTTGCATAAGTGAGTGGTTTTATTTCTTGTGAGAGAGGAGGGAAAATGCATGAGTTACCCCAGCAGTGGAAGATTTGTCAAATAAAGCTTTTAATAATGGGTCTGTTTGACAGTTTTATAGTTCTTCAACTTCCCGGCCATTTGAAGGTGGTAGGTTTTCAATAAAAATGAAGTCCTTTTCCAAGAGAAACTCGGTCCCCTGTTATTTTAAAACAACTAGTCCAGGGTGCACTGAAGCACCTTAATTCCACCACCGAAAGTAGATCTCCCTCCTTTTCCATATTAATAACTTGGGCAATCCATCAGCCTGAGACGGACTGTGAGCTTTTTGCACTAGTATATCCAGGTGGCCTGATGAACCACATCCGTAACTAGACTTGCTGGGTGATCATTAGGCTGTTCCCGAAAATAAATAGCCTGGACTTCTCTGCAGCTAACTTAAGTACACCAGGGAGGGGGGCAGCAGCCTGGACTTCATTCTTTAATTTCTTTGGATTCTTCAAAGGTTCTTCTGGGATCAAAGAAGTGGTTCCAAAATTAGTCCATTAGGAGGGAGGTAGCATGCTGGAAGGGACCCAGAATTGGAGCCTGAACACCTTGGTTCCTGAGCGAGCTCCATCACCCCTAATCGTCTGACCATGGGTTCACCCCCTGACTTCTCAGATTTGTAGTTTCTCCATTAGTCAATAGAAGGGTGGTAAAAAAGAAGGTGAAAGCATGGGCTTAGAAATCAGAGTTCTGGGGTTCAAATCCTGCCTCCATAATCTACCAGAACATTTGAGGGGTGTATATTTAGTCCCTCTGTGCCTCATTTTCCTCATATGAAAAATGTCATAGCACGGGGAAATGAAATTTAAAACCACAATGAGATATCACCTTTGCCCTGCAAGAATAGTCATTATTAAAAAGTAAAAGAACAACAGATATCAGTGTTGGCCAGGCACGGTGGCTCATGCCTATAATCTCAGCACTTTGGGAGGCCGAGACAGGAAGTTCACCTGCACTCAGGAGTTCAAGACCAGCCTGGCCAACATGGAAAAACCCTGTCTCTACTAATAATACAAAAATTAGCCGGGTGTGGTGGCATACGCTTGTAGTCCCAGCTACTCAGGAGGATGAGGCAGGAGAATCGCTTGAACTTGGGAGGCAGAGGTTACAGTAAGCCAAGATTGCGCCACTGCACTCCCACCTGGGCAACAGAGGAAGACTCCATCTCAAAAATAACAAAAACAAACGAGCAAAAAACTAGATATTGGTGTGGATGTTGTGAAAAGGAAATGCTTATACACTGCTGGTGGGAATGTAAATTAGTAAAACCTCTATGAAAAACAGTACGAAGAGCTAGAAGTAGATCTACCATTTGATCCAGCAATCCCACTACTGGATATCTACCAAAAGGAAAAGTAGCTATTTCATCAAAAAGACTGCTGCACACATATGTTTCTTGCAGCACAATTCACAATTGCAAAGATATGGAACCAACCTAAGTGCCCAGAGACCACTGAGTAGATAAAGAAAATATGGTATATATACACCATGGAATACTACTCAGCCATAAAAGAAGAATGAAATAATGTCTTTTGCAGCAACTTGAATGGAACTGGAGACCATTATTCTAAGTGAAGTAACTCAGGAATGGAAAACTAAATGCCATATGTTCTCACTTAAAAGTGGAAGCTAAGCCGTGAGTACACAGAGACATATACAGTGGTATGATGTACATTGGAGACTCAGAAGCAGAGAGGGTGGGAGGAGGGTGACAGATTAAAAGCTGCATATTGGTACAATGTACACTACTGGGGTAATGGGCACACTAAAATCTCAGACTTCACCACTATGCAATTCATCCAAGTAACTAAAAACCACTTGTACCCCAAAAGATATTAAAATTTTTCAAAATGTGATAACAGCTTCTAGCAGTCCTTGGAGATCAAGAAGACTCATCTCTGTACAGTTTTCTTGATTCATCCTAAGTGTCCATTCAAGCCTCGTTGTTCTATTATTATACTTATTACTCTTATGATTATTGGGTATGTCATTTACCATCACAAAATTTTATTAAGCCCAGAAACCAGAAATTCAGATTAAGTGGGAGCTCTTGCTCTGCCACAGCCCATTCTCTCTGCCCCATCAGAGAAAACATCCAGCATTCCATGGGTCCCTTGTGGGTCCCAGTGTTCCCATACAATCAGTGCCCTTGCAGATGGCATCTGTGAATGTCCAATGCTGCTCCAGACCCAGGGGAAACAGCCAAAGGCTCTGAGGATAAAGATTCAGGGATGGGAAAAGTTGGGGAGGAGACCATCACCTTTCATTATAAGTCCTTTGTATAATTTGGATTTTTGCAATGTGCCACTACTACTTTGATTGAAAATGTTCTTTTATTATAAATGCAAAAATAAATGGCATAAAGGGCATCAACTTTAAGGCCCTAAAGAGGTGCTAGCTGTTACTTGGGTTGACCCCAGGCCTGGACATTCAAAAGCATCTTCCACCAAGCCTGAGGTTTTCATCATCCTCTGGGGCTGCAGAACCATCAACAACCACACAGCAGTTTCCCAAACTCATCTCCTAGGAAGCAAATACAGTATGCCAAAGTCTTCCCCTTTCCAAAGCCTCAAAGCCCCACCCACCACAGGCTCTGTGGCCTCTTGCCTCCTATTCTTCTTACTGGATGCACCCATTTTTACCTGGTACCCCAGGTTCCTACCTAGAATCTACCAGAGCCAACACTCAGCCCCAGTGAAACCTCCAAGGTATGTACCCCAATAATGTCCTTCTGCCTACAGACTATTGTCCCCAGAGGTTCTTTCTTCTCATGGTACAAACAGAGCCCTTGTATGTTAGGAGAATCCAGAGTTCCCAACTAATTCTCCATTCATTGCCAAGTGCACCTATTACAGGTGTAAATGGTCATCTCGTCTTAATCTTGTTCATCATCTCTATTATTATCCTCTTTATCAATTACTCTTCTTAGGAAGTCAGTTCGCAATTGCAAAATTGTGGAACCTACCCAAATGCCCATCAGTCAACGAGTGGATAAAGAAACTGTGAGATATATATATGAGATGGAATACTACGCAGCCATAAAAAGGAATGAATTAGCAACATTTGCAGTGACCTGGATGAGATTGGAGACTATTATTCTAAGTGATGTAACTCTGCAATGGAAAACCAAATATTCTATGTTCTCACTGATATGTGGGAGCTAAGCTATGAGTACGCAAATGCATAAGAATGATACAATGGGCTTTGGGGACTTAGGGGGAAGAGTAGGAGGGAGGTGAGGGATAAAAGACTACAAACATGGTGCAGCGTATACATGGGTGATGGGTGCACCCAAATCTCACAAATCACCACTAAAGAACTTACTCGCCAGGCGCAGTGGCTCATGCATGTATTCCCAGCACTTTGGGAGGCCAACTGGGGTGGATCACCCGAGGTCAGGAGTTTGAGAACAGCCTGGCCAACATGGCAAAACCCTGTCTTTACTAAAAATACAAAAAAAAAAAATTAGCCAGGGGTGGTGGTGCGTGCTTGTAGTCTCAGATACTCAGGTGGCTGAGGCACAAGAATCGCTTGAACCTGGGAGGCAGAGGTTGCAGTGAGCCGAGATTGTGTCACTGCACTCCAGCCTGGGCGACAGAGTGAGATTCCATCTCAGAAAAAAAAAAAAAAAAAAGGAACTTACTCATGTAACCAAATACCACCTGTACTCCAATAACTTATGAAAAAAATAATTTAAAAATCTAATAGTAGAGCATGGAGAGGAGAGTCCATGAGAGACCTGAAACATTTAAAATAAAAGAAGTCAGATTCAGCAATCCCACCACTGAGAATTTGTCCAAAGAAAATTATTATATCGAAGAGATATCTACACTCCATGCTCATTGCCACACTATTCACAATAGCCAAGATATGGAATCAACCTAAGTGTCCATCAATGGATGAATGAACAAAGTGGAGTACACAATGCAATACTCTTCAGCCATAAAAAAAAATGAACTCTTGTCATTGGTGGCAACATAAATGGAACTAGAGGACACTATATTAAGTGAAATAATCCAGGCACAGAAAGTTGAACATGGCATGTTCCCACTCGTATGTGGAAGCTAAAGAAAGTTGATCTTGTAGAAGTGAAAAATAGAACAGAGGATACTAGAGGCTGGGAAGGGTGGGGGAAGAGAAGGATAGGGAGAGATTTGTTTAAGGATACAAAGTTACAGCTAGATGGGAGGAATAAGTTCTAGTGTTCTATAGCAAAGAGATTATGGTTTTTGCCATTGAAAGTAATGGCAAACTGCAATTACTTTTGCACCAATCTAATAGTTAACAATAATATATTATATGGTTTCAAATAGGAGGATATTGACTATTCCCCACACAAAGAAATGATAAATGTTTGAGACGGTGGACATGCTAATTACCCTGATCTGATCACTATGTATTATATGTATCACAACATCACTATGTACCCTATGAACATGTACAAGTATTATTCATCCACTTAAAATAAATAAATAAAAAGAAGTCAGAAATCCCACCCTTACCCACATATCCTTCTATGTGAGTGCCTGGGAACTACCTATTCTCTTGCTACATTGAATTTAAATAGTTCAGTATGCTCCGTTCTTAGCTCTTGTCTTTCCAAGCTGAAAATGCAGTTTGAGACCATGTTGGCCTGTTGGCCAGGCTGGTCTCAAACTCTTGACCTCCAGTGATGTGCCCAGCTTGGCCTCCCAAAGTGCTGGGATTACAGCAGCGAGCCTAAAATAATTTTTTTTTTTCTGTCGCCAGGCTGGAGTGCAGTGGTGTGATCTCAGCTCACTGCAACCTCCGCCTCCTGGGTTCAAACGATTCTCCTGCCTCGGCCTCCCAAGTAGCTGGGATTACAAGCACCTGGCTAATTTTTATATTTTTAGTAGAGATGGGGTTACACCATGATGGCCAGGATGGTCTTGAGCTCTTGACCTCATGATCTGCCCACCTCAACCTCCCAAAGTGCTGGGATTACAGGTGTGAGCCACCACGCCCGGCCTAAAATAATTTTTTGAATTAAGTTTTTGAGTCACAGGCTGGTCTTGAACTCTTAGCCTCAAGCAATTCTCCTACCTTACTCTCCCACAGTGCTGGCATTACAGACATGAGTCATCATGGCCAGCCAAGGCAGGCTTTTTTCAGCTGAGGTTCACCTTGGAGGATCATTGCAGCAGCCAGGGGAACAAGGCCTTCACCCAAAGCACATATCTGAATTGTGCATCACAACAAGGACACATAATGCAAAAAAAAAAAAAAAAAAAGGCATTTTATTTGATGCTGAATACAAAATGTTTTACTGTCTCTCTTCTTTATGAGGCCTCTGGGCCTCTCTCAGCAGCCTTTTCACCTCTGTCCCTAGCCCTCGCCAGCACTTTGTCTCTGCTTTGCTGCCCTCACCATTATAAGAGTCACAAACAGTTTTCTTTACCAGATCAGCTTAATTCTCATTTTTCATAACCTCATCCACATCTTAATTTCCTTCTTTCTTCTGGACGTTTCTCCCTTCTCTGTCTGCTCCTCTTCTGCCTTTTGTAGCAGAAATTTATTATCCCACTTGGTTCCTTTATTTTATTTTATTTTTTCTAGCTACCACCGAAAGCGTGACCTGCATTTTCCAAAGCAAGGCAGACAGTTTTGAACCACAACCGACATAGGTTAAGCTCTGCTAAACTCTATGACATGAGGATTATAAATTAAAGGTCAATCCATTCTTTCACATGGTTGCTATTGGGGAAAAAAAAACTCTTGAAATGTACTAAATTCAGATAAATTGGAATCTTACGTCAAGGCTACAGAAGAAAGGCTGCTGTTGGAATAAAGATCTGCTTCCAAGAGCGTATTTAGACACATCTTGCCTCTGGTGATTTGTCTCTGACCCCATCTCCTTAATCAGACATCTGTTCATCCTCCTGCCTGTAGAGTAGATGGTCATCAGAGGCCCCCACACCCATTTCTATCCCCAGCTTATAGCTCAGACCTATGGCAGGCAGGGTCTGTTTGACTTGGGGAGATTTTGCAAAGAAGTGAGTTTCCATCCCCTCATGGCAGCAGTACATAGAGTGACAAAGAGCTGACCCCCAGGTCAACAGCCAAGAGTGAGAGTAGCCCTGTTAACACCAGAAAACACTAACCACGGACCTTGCTCTGCCAAGACAAGAGATGTTCTGCCACCCCGAGTTAAGCTGCTTGACAGAAATACGACATAGACCCAGCCAGGAATGCATTTCTAACAGTTACTTCCATTTGCTTTTTACAAAACACCAGCATGCATATTATCTCATTTCGGCTCATCAACAATCCTGTCAGGTAGGTGGAGCTGGATTATTATTTCTATAACAATTTATTTCGTTGTGCAAGACAGCGTGTATACAATGCAGCCATGCTGTACCTATGCTATCCAAAAGCAAGCGTAGAAACATGCAATCCAAAAGAACCAGGTCTCATGCTAAGGCAATCACAAGCCTGCCCAGGATCCAGATGGTGTTGCAAAATCCACCTTCCCTTCTCCCTTGGGTCTCCTTTTAGTCTGAAGAAGCCACGTCTAATTAAACCAGAAAGACCCACATTCTCATCTCCCTCCCTCTTCCTCTTATATGTCCCTGCCATTTCTGCTGGTTAGTGCTTTTTTCCCTACCTATGCTTTGGTGTGGAAATTCATTCTGTTTTTGGAAGCCATAGCAAGAAAAACTCACTTCCCCTGATTCCTTATAGCCCCTTCTTCACCACCCTTGCTTCTCTGTCCTGGGAGATACATTTGCCCCTTGGCCTGAGGCCAGCAAATTCCATATGCCCCACATTCAGAATAAAGTAAACATGAAGTCCAGCCTCTCTCTCAATATTTTTGATCACCTCTCGTAGAATAACATCATTGGGCTGTGATGCTGAAGACCCCATCCACCAGCTGCGACAACAGAGAGGAAGGAACACCCTCTCTTTCCATGTTTGTCTACTATTGGAAATATGGAAGATGCAGAAAAGTAGGAAAGATGCTGATAATCTCACCAGTCAGTGATCATCACCTGTTAAATAAAATTTGTAAGAGGACATTTATTTGAACTCAGCTCCTGTACTGAACCCAACAGACAAAACCAATATGGAGCCATTCATGCTCAATGAAACTCATTAACTTGGGAGTCTACTCAGAACTGAGTTTGAGTTAGTTACAGCAGCTGAGCTTTAGTCAATTGCAGGTGGCCAGTTGATTCAAACAAGATGGAAACACGGAGCTGTAACCAATGAAGTTGTTCTTTTTCCTCACTTTCATTTTTCTGCCCATCGATGCTGTCTGACCACGTAGCAGGCAGAGCATCTTTGAACCCATCCAGTTCACTGAACCATTTATTTAAAGGATGAGAGCTCTGAGTCCAGAGAAAGGAGGTACCTTTGTCAAAGCCACATTCAGTATTTGAACCTGACCTGTTCAGTGGAAAGCCCAGGCTCTGAAAAACATCACCCAAGTCATCCCAGAATGCAGAAACCTCAGACTGCCACCCCCAACTGAATTTGGGTTTTAGTTGTAGGAAATGAACCAAACTTCTTTCCCTCCCTGAGTTCTGAAAGTGACTCCTCTCATTCACTCACAATCTCATTCTCAGAACCTTGCAGAACATCCATCTAATAATACTCAGAGAGTTTATAAGATACCAATACTCTATAGCAGTTCTGTCTAATAAAAACACAATGTGAGCCACGAATGTCATTTTAAATATTCTAGTAGCCATATTAAACAAGTGAAAAGAGACAGGTGATGTCAATTTTTAAATTAGTTTTCTTTAACCCAATAGGACCAAAATATTATTTCAGTATATGCCACCAACCACATTGCAAGCACTCAAAAGCCACATGTGGCCAATGGGTACTGTATTGGAAACTGTATAGGACAGTTTTATAGAATGGTGTGCAGTGTGCATTAGAATAAACCAGAAATCTTACTACATGCAAACTCCTGGGACCCATTCTTCAAGGTTCTGATTCAGTGGGTCAGCGAAGAGATCTGCATTTTTAGCAAGTTCTCCCAAGTGACTCCAAAGAAAGCTTTCTGCAGAATACACACTGATGTAGGAGATTTTTCAGGGCAGAGTAGAAGTTTCACCTGACCCTCAGGCGCCAGAATAACTCATAGGATCTACATCCCTAAGAGGAGGCACCAGTACAATTTTCACCATTCTCTGACTCAGTAAGTGGATTTGATGGGTGTATGTGATGATATAGGTGCCCCAGATTAATAGGACATCAGGACTTTGGGTTGGGCCCATGGATTCTTGCATCATCATTTATATTTGCACCATGACGCATTTCTTCAAATGATGCTTGAGGTATGATTCTAATACACGGGGAAGGAGCTCAGACAGAATCCCATTCCCTTCAAAGCAAGACAACTTTGAACGGCTGTGTATCTACCTAATGGCTTCTCTTTGTTTTATTCAAGAGTCTACTAACTGGGTAAGGCGACTTCCTACACACAGACATGCCTCCAGGCTTGGACTCAGTTACAAACAAGGAAGGACAAGGGTAGGAATGGTCAGCCTGGGTTTTCCTTCTTGTAATGTTTCTCGAAGCATCGTCTGAGGACCAGATAGACCAGATAGGGCAGTGATGCTAGGCATGCAATAGACAGTCCTGCAAATTCGCAAAGTCCTCCTCTAGAGACAGATTCATATGGTCAGGTGTAGACTCAGAATCTCCAAGGTCCAGTACCCCCAACACCCTCTTCCCCTAGGTTATTCTGATGCAGGGGATTAGGGTGAAACCAGTGGAACCCATATATACCTCACTGGTCTCATCAGAATGAAACTACAAAAGTCAGTAATACCTCTCTCTTTTTAAACTTTAATTATACATGTACTATTCACAACAGCAAAGGCATGGAATCAACCTAAATGTCCATTGATGATAGACTGGATAAAGAAAATATGGTACACGTACACCATGGAATACTATGCAGCCATATAAAAGAACAAGATCATGTTGTTTGTAGCAACATGGAAGAAACTGGAAGCCATTATCCTTAGCAAACTAATGTAGGAATAGAAAACCAAATACCGCGTGTTCTCACTTATAAGTGGGAGCTAAATGATGAGAACTCATAAACATAAAGAAGGGAACGGCAGACACTGGGGTCTACATGAGTGGAGGGTGGGAGGAGAGAGAGGATCAAAAAAATACCTCTCAGGTACTATGCTTATTAGCTGGGTGACAAAATTATCTGTACACCAAACCCCCAAGACACACGGCTTACCTATATAACGAATCTGCATATGTACCCCTGAACCTAAAATAAAAGTTTAAAAAATTATGCAAAATTTATTCATATTCTAAATTTCCAATAATAAAATATTTCAACCAATACAAGGAAATTGACTAAAATTTAAAAGTTCCCTCACCTCTTCTATAAATACACTCTTCCCCAGAGGTAACCACTGTTAACAGCTAAATTCAAATCCTTCTGGCATATTTTCAATGCATTTACATATTAAAGATGTATACATATGTAAAGATGTTTTGTTTTATTGGTAGAAAAATAGGTATGTACTGTACTATGACTTGCTTTGTCACTTAAGTAAAATGTCTTAGAAATCACTCCATGCCAGCTCTATAGGATATAAATATAACTCTACCTTATTGTTTGTTTGTTTGAGACAGAGCCTTGCTTGTTGCCCAAGCTGGAGTACAGTGGCACAATCTTGGCTCACTGCAGCCTCCACTTCCCAGGTTCAAATGATTCTGAAGCCTCAGCCTCCTAAGTAACTGGGAATACAGGTACACATGGCCACAACTGGCTAAGTTTTGTATTTTTAGTAGACACAAGATTTCACCATGTTGCCCAGACTGGTCTCAAACTCCTGACCTCAACTGATCCCCATACCTTGGCCTCCCAATGTGCTGGAATTACAGGCGTAAGCCACTGTACCTGGCAACTACCTCATTGTTTTTAACCGATGCATAGTATTCTATAGTACAAAAGGTCCATATGTGATTTAACCTTTCTTCTCTTTACTGGTGAGTATTTAAGTCTTCGTGTGTGAATGTGTGTGTTGCTATTACCAGCAATGCTGTAACAAACTTCCTTGTTCAAATTTGCCATGTGCTTAGGGAATAATGAATATAAAACCACCAATCTTGAGCCCACAGGTCCTCATTCAAACTCAGAATCTTTTAAGGAACGAATTCTCTGACTCTTTTCCAGCTGCAGTTATTTGCAGTGCAAGCTCCTGTTAGTCTGCTGCTCACCAGGAATATTCAAAAGCACAACTCCACCTTCATGCCAAGGCCTATCTCCCCCAACCCCAGAGAGAAAAGATCTCCTTCCCTCTTCCATTCCAAGATCCACTTCATTTCTCAGTTCGAGACTTACCTTTCCCTGACAAAACTCAACCAAGAGAACATGCATTATTTTCAGGTCTTGTAGCCCCTGCTCCACCAACAAAAGACTAGAAGCTGGCTTCATGGCTGGCACAGGTCACTAAGTCCCTCTTCCCTCAACACACAATTACTGAGCCTTTTTTCACATGCTAGGAACCTGCGGCAGAAAGATCAACAAGACAGAACTTGATTCCTGTCCTGATGGAGCTTACAATCTAGTGGGGGAGAACCAGCCTCCACCCACGCCCCGGTAAAGCAAGCAAATAAACAAATTATTAAGTACAAACTGTCTCTGTTTATATGCAGAAAGGAAACAGAAACCAGGCTAAAGAATAATGACTGGGGCTGGGTGCGGTGGCTCATGCCTTTATCCCAGCACTTTGGGAGGCCAAGGTGGGTGGATCACCTGAAGATGGGAGTTCGAGACCAGCCTGACCAACATGGAGAAACCCCATTTCTACCAAAAACACAAAATTATCTGGGTGTAGTGGCGCATGCCTATAATCCCAGCTACTCAGGAGCCTGAGGCAGGAGAATCACTTGAACCTGGGAGGCAGAGGTTGCACTGAGCCAAGATCGTGTCATTGCACTCCAGCCTGGACAACAAGAGCAAAACTCTACCTCAAAAAAAAAGAGAGAGAGAGAATAATGACTGGAGGATGAGAGATTCTTCTTTAGATGCAGTCTTGAGGATGGAGTCTCTGGGGAGATATTTTTGCTAACATTTCAACAATGATAAAGAGTCAACCATGCAAACGAAGAGTCAGTAGAGTTGGAAGCAAAGAAGGGTCCAGGCAGAAGGAGTGACATGTGCACGTGCATCTTGCGAAAGGGAACAAGGTGTGTTCTGGGAGCTGATGGAACAGTGTGTTTAGAGCCAAGTGAGGGAAGAGAACTCTTGGCTTGAATTTGGAGATGGGGGCAGGGAATCAGATGATTGAGAGCTTTGTAGCTTATAAGGAGGAGTTTGGATTTCATTCCAAATGTAATGAGAAGCCTTGAGAGAATTTTCACCAGGTTTATAGTGATCTTAACATTGCTAAAGATCATTTTAACTGCTGTGGAGAACAGATTAGAAGAGGGAGCTGTAAGACTGAAGGGAGCAAACTAGTAAGAAGACTATTGGACTAGTTAATGAGTTAACCAACAGTACACAGGCCAAACTCTGCTTTTTAAAAAAAAATCCCATTTAGGGAACCAGCAGGGAAATAGGGCGTATGCTGGGTCAAACTCCATCCATTGGTCCTCTAACATATGTCAGTATGGTCCTCCCTACCACAATTATTTCATTAGTGATTTTGGCCCATCATGGACTGCAAACAGGGCTTAAACAAGGTCATACACCTGCACACACAGCCCAAGACAATGTCCAGGCATATAGCGGTCTATATTCAGATCCAGAAAAAAAATCTAACTTTAAGATGGCTCAGCTCTGCCACTGTGTTCATTTTATATTGCTAGAAGTAGATTTAACATCCAGTCTGAAGCATCTGCATTATGGTTTCTTTAGTATACTTAGAGATTCTCCAAGACTATTGGGAGGTATTTGCCTGCCATCTGCACAGCTAGTTGGAGCCTCCAAAATGGTCCTTCCAGAAGAAATAAAAGGACTGTCTATAAAGCAAATTTCGAACTCCTCCTAAAAATAAAAACTGATTATCACCCCCAAATTGGCAGTTAGTTCCAGATTTAAAAACTTGAACTCTAATCTTCACCTGACATTCCTGTTACTCTAAAATGCCAGTATGCTAATGAGAACAATGCAGCGTGCAGACTGGCCTTGTTTCCCTGAGCATCTTTGCAGGTGGTTGTCTTTTGCCGCGTCTGGAAAGCATTTTTATTTTGGGGCTCTGCTTTCTCAGTTGGTCTGCCCACGGTCCAGGTCTGGGATTTCAGGTTAATTTCTGGATGTGTACAAGCGACTAGACTACTTTGACCCCTTCAGACATCATGAAACATTAGCTTCACAGACATTAACCAAAACTGGGTATTCAATGCCAGCTCATTTTGAAGCCCAAAACATTGGATAACGTTTCAAGTATATCCTTCTCTTGGCAAGACAGTGACAGGAGAGCCCTTTAGGGTAGATTTTGTAGGTTTCCAATCACTACAGTGGCCACTGCTGTATATTATTAAATAGTTTTAGGAAATATGGCATGCAATACAGGGTGGAAAGAAAAACCAGGTCTGTTACCTGGATTCAACAAAATCCTAAGCTAGCAGGCTCAACTGATATTGCAAAAACCGACTTGCAAACAGTGCTGTCTTCCTCGTCAGTGTGTTTCCAGGACAGTTTCTTGATAAACCAAGTTAGTGGTTGAAGAAAGGAAGAACAAGCTAAGGAGTTATGGAGGCACAGGTCTCTTGATTTGGAGCAGGAGTCATTGGAAGAGGTCAATTGTCAAACGGCAGCCTGATCTGGTCGCAGGCTGTCCTAGGATTCAGCCTGAATGTATTGTCATCCATCACAGGGAAAGCCCAATAAATCCTTCCTCCTTGAGCATTTGTAACTCAGCTTCTGTTTCTAAATCCATAAATCCAGGAGGTAAACAGGGATAGCATCTCTCATTTCTCCTACACACACAATTCCTTTTGGCCCTGCACCAATCAGTGGGACCAGTTCACATGCTTATACTTTGCACTTCAGGTCTCTGAAATCTTTCATCATCACGCCACAGCCATCATCACCAACATCAACAATTTGCATTTACACTCTTTAAAGTATTTTACATTTATTATCGAATCTGACCCAATCAGATCATCCCCATTTTATACAGGAATAACTGGAGATCCTAAAGTCAATTTATACCAACAGCAGTAATGAGAGCATCCACTCATCACACCCTAGCTAGGACTAGACGTTTTAACGTTTTAACTGGACAATTTGAAAGGTAAAATGTCATCTTTCCAGTTTCCAGTTATGTGATGCCTATTAAAGATCAATATTTTCTTAATATGCTTATGGGTCATTTGTATTTCTCGCTTTGGAAATTAACTTTTTATGCCCTTTGCACATTTTTCTTTCAGATTTTTTAAAGATTTTTTACATCATAAAACTATTAATCTTTGCAATATTAATTGTAAGTCTCTCCCTCCCCCATTGCCTCTTGCCCTTTAATTTTGCTCAACGTGCTTTGTCGTACAAAGCTCTATTTTTTTTAATTGAATCCATTACTATTTTTCTCGTTGATTTTTTTCTGAGTTTTATGCTTGGAAAAATCCTATCTCAAACTGAGATATAGATTTGTCCTTATTTTATTCTTTCTGTTTTGGTTCTTACAGATTTTTGAATATTTATCTGTTTAATTCATTTGAAATGTATTTGGGAACATAACATAATAGTGAAGATATACATTGATTGCTTCTTTCCCCCTAAATAACCAATTTTTCTAACACGACTTCTTAAATTTACCCATTTCCATTGGCCCATGGTGCCTTCTTTGTCATAGTCTCATATGATACGTATGTTCAGGTTTTAGTACATAGTGTTTCATTTCTTTCATTGATTATTTATTGTGCCAATGCCACATTATTTTCATTGTTTCAGCCATATAAAACGTTTTCTAATTTGGTTGGGCAATTACCTTTGTTGTCAAAATGTCATCGAATCATCATTTTTCTTTTTTCCAAAATGTCTTTAGTCTCACCCGGTAATTCTTTCAGGTGGGCTTTGGTACAATTTCTGCAAGATCCTTAGAAGTCTCAATAGGATTTTGATTGAAATATTGTGAACTTATATATAAATTTTTAAATAATTGACACCTTGGCAATGTCTAATCCCCTCATTTTAAAAAGAGGTATTTTTTAAAGATATACTCCTCAGTCAAATTGTATATATTTATCAATATATATTACTTAAATTTACCATTGTGATTACTTCTAAGTGTGTGTGGCAGCTATGGATGAATCATTTTTCTGCTATGACTTACAGTTAATTATTGGTGATACCTTAAATGTTTTGCTTTAAAGATTTGTCTATCCACTGCGCTGAATTCCCTACAGATTTAAAATTTTTTTATTATCTTCAGTTTCCTAGGTATCAATTAATATAATCTGCAAGTAAACAATTAAAAGTTCTCTATTTAATAGTTGTAGCTCTTATTTCTGTTTTCTACATTGTTACATTATTGCAAACTTCCAAATTAATTAGGGAAGAAAATGTCTTTGGGAATCTTTATAATTTTAATGGGAATGCTTTGTGTATTTCTCTATCATCAAAGATGTTGACTCTTATTTTAAATTAATATTTTATTATATTAAGAAAGTAACCAATTGCTCCTCACTTTGATTAATTTTCATGAGTAACTAGTGTGGAATTTTATCTAGTGGTTTTTTTTGACATTTTGGTCTATCATCATATTTATTGGACTTAGAAGCGGGATGCATTACATTTAAGTTAGCTTAAAACACACATTAATGTATATTTCTTAAATAAGATTTTTCACTTGAAATATTTAGCATTGTGCGTAGAACATAATAGGAATGTAATAACTGTTTCCCTTGTAAAATTGCTTTTATTATCATTGATACTATTTATCAAAGACTAGAATGAAACAGCACCTGTTGACACACCAAGAGACAGAATTAGCATGCTTTTTTTTCCTTATTTTTATGCCTTTTTTTTTTGTTTTCTCCAACACGTCTTGTCTTTCCAAACAGGTATCAACATTCATAATTAATTTTATTGTCAAAATATTTGCGTTCTCAAGTTTTCTATTGTAAGTATCCTTCCAGGTGGCTGGAATTAATCTTGAAGCATTGCTTTAAAGGAATAGTTAGATTTGTTTTTCTAAGCCATTGCATACGCTAGAACAACCCGAGCATAAAAGAGACTTTTTTTTTCCCTTTGGAGACAAAATCTTGCTCTGTCACCCAGTCTTGCCATGGCGTGGTCTCGGCTCACTGCAACCTCCACCTTCTGGGTTCAAGTGATTCTCCTGCCTCAGCCTCCCGAATAGCTGGGATTACAGGAACCCACCACCACGCCCAGCTAATTTTTGTAGTTTTTTTAGTAGAGATGGGGTTTCACCATGTTGGCCAGGCTGTTCTTGAACTCCTGACCTCAGATGATCCACCTGCCTCGGCCTCCCAAAGTACTAGGATTATAAGTGTGAGCCACTGTGCCCAGCCAAAAAAATTTTAAAAACCTTTTTCAGCAAGTGCTCTATCATGACAAACATCACCACCACAAAACAGAGATCAGCCAGTGGCAAGTAGTCATTGAACTCTGGAAGGAAGAGGGGGAAAAAAAAACAAAACAAAAAACAAAAAACGTTTCTCTTTAACTGTTTATAAATATCAGGCTTTCTCTGCTCTGCACATCAAAATAATTTTGTAGTTCTCAATTCAGTTCCATCAGTCCTATGATTGGTGGAATTTTCTTTCAGATTTTGACAACAGTTTCAGTATCAGCTTGGGTTTTCAAGGTTGTATGAGTTTTCATTTTTCTATGTCTTCTTAGGGTCTTTTAATACGAAGTTGGAAAAGACTGTGTCCAGTATCATTTTTAAACAGGCGCCAATTGATCATGTTCGACATAGCACTATATAACTTTTTGGCAGTTTAGAAGAGTTCGGGCATTATCCAAGTATCAGACAGACCTCAGATTGTGTATTAGTTGAGAATCTTTTTGTTTGGTGGAACAAAAACCCCAAATTAAAGTGGCTGAAGCAATCAATAGAATTCAGAGATTCGCGTGACTAAAACATCCACAAGAGGGCTTCAGGTAAGACTTGTGCTAATGGAACCAACAATATCACCAAAGTCCTGGTATCTGTCCATCTCTCTTTTCTGTCCTTCCCAGAGTAGCACGTATACGGGGCCCTGCCTCATGGCAGCAAAATGGCTGCAGGAGCATCCACTTTCATATCTTCACACTGCACCCTCCAGGGAAAGAAGCAAGAATCATCTGAAGGCTTCTGCAAAGTAAAAGTGAATTTCTCTAGAAGGTTCAAAACTTATCTCCTTGCATCTTTGTGGCTCTTCGGGATGAGATGCCCATTCCAAAACCAATTACTGTAGCCAGGAGGTGAAATGCATTGGTTTAAACCAATCATAGCCCACCCCTGACAGAAGAGTCAGTCCCACTCAAAGTGCACAGCTGAAATAGGCAAGACGCTAAGTTACTCAAGGGGAAATCATGACCCCTGTGGGAAGAAGAAGAGTAATGGTTGATGAGGCAATCAATAAGCATCCACTTAGTACAAGTGGTACCTACACCTCTCATCTTGTCAGGATTCTGTTGACTCTAAGTGACAGAAACCCACTAGATTAATTATCTACTATCACATAACAAATAAACCCAAAACATAGCAACTTACAGCAACAAGCGTTTATTATTTCATAGTTTTTGTAGGTCAGAATCAGGGTCTTGCATGAGGTTGTAGTGAAGATGTCAGTTGGGGCTGCATTCATCTGAAGGCTAGACGGCACACTCATTGGCAGGTGGCCTCAGTTACTTAACCATGTGAGCCTCTCCACAAAGCTGCCTGAGCTTCCTTACAACATGGCTGCTGTCTCCCCCCAAAAGAAGTGGTCCGAGAGAGAGAAAGAGCAAATGGAAAACTGCGGTGCCTTTATAACGCAGTGTCCAAAGTTACATGCCATTTACTTTCACTTTATTCAGAGTCAGTAAGTCCAGTCCACACACCAGGGGAGGAGTATTAGACTCTATTTCTTGAATGGAGGGAGATCTATTTGCAGATTTTTTTTTCTCACTCTGGCACCCAGGCTGTAGTGCAGTAGTGTGATCTTGGCTCACTGCAGCCTCCACCTCCCTGGTTCAAGCAATTCTCCTGCCTCAGCCTCCCATGTAGCTGGGACTACAGGCGTGCACTGCCATGCCCAGCTAATTTTTGTATTTTTAGTAGAGATGGGGTTTCACTATGTTGGCCAGGATGGTCTTGATCTCCAGACCTCATGATCCTCCTGCCTTGGCCTCCCAAAGTGCTGGGATTACAGGCATAAGCCACCGTGCCTGGCCTATTTGCAGATATTTGTAAACCACCAAACCCACCTCAAACATACTTAAGCCACAAAGGAGGATTGTTGGCTTCAGGGCAGGGAAAGATGATATGGTTTCTTATAGGGAAAGAAGAGCTGCAAAAATCCAGTCCTTGGGAGCTGAAACTGGACACTGAACATGACCCACATTCTCTCATCTTTTTCTTGTCTTTGCTTTTTCAGGTTTTCTTTTACCCATTGGTCTCATTTTATTTATAAGGCAGAAGGAAGAATTTCTCCACATGGTGGGCAAAATAACCACCAGTCCCCCAGCTTGGCAACCCCAGAAAGAAAGAAAATTGCTTACTTCAGCATCTGAACCTCAATTTATGGGATGGATTCTAGCCGGGCATGCTGGGTCAGTGTCCACCCAAGAGCAATCATAATTGTCCAAAAGATGAGTCCATTGATTGGTTTGGCGTGCATCTCGTGCTCAATCCTTAGGTCAGGGGCCATTCCCAAATTAAGCGGGGATGGGAAAAAAAAGAACTATCACTCTTCAAGATGGCTGCTTACTGCCTTTGTGACTTTGAGGAACATACCTGAACTGTCTATACCTCAGCTTCCTCGGCTTCAAATTGCAAATAACAAAGACTCCCTGAAGGATTGGTTTAGTATTAAATGAGAGGATGCATATGAAGTGCCTAGTACAGTAATGGCATACAGTCCATGCTCTGGAAAGATAGCTCCTATAACTTATTATTATTTCTTGTTCTTGATGCCTTCTGTGAAAACAAGCTCCTTGAAGATAGAGATCAAGTCCTCCTATATAATAGCCCTAGCCTTTACGGTTTTGCCAGGATGAGGGAAGGAAGTGTGCCACCCCACAGCTCTATAGAAAGCCTTAATGTGGCTTGTTAGAAAAGTGAGCAGCCTAGCAGAAATCTCTGCACACTCTTGGAGGCCTGCAGAAACCTGTGAACACGTTCCCCATAATATATTCTGCTGCTGCCATTAGTAATAAAGGAGCAGATGTTGAACAAGGAGCCTGCCCCTGGCAATATCTGTTAATTGATGTGATGTGTGTTTCTTTTCTTTTTTTTTTTTTCTTTTTTTGAAATGGAGTCACTCTGTCACCCAGGCTGGAGTGCAGTGGTGCGATCTCTGCTCACTGCAATCTCCGCCTTCCGGGTTCAAGCGATTCTCCTGTCTCAGCCTCCCGAGTAATTGGGACTACAGACACCCACCACCAAGCCCAGCTAATGTTTGTATTTTTAGTAGAGACGTGGTTTCACCATATTGGCCAGGCTGGTCTCCAACTCCTCATCTTGTGATCTGCCCACCTCGACCTCCCAAAATGCTAGGATTACAGGAGTGAGCCACCTCACCTGGCCTGACGTGTGTTTTTATGGAAGCTTGATCAAGGTGTTTTATCCCTGGCTATGAGGGAAACCTTAGAATGGTCAGATTCAGGATGGTCTTCTAAAAAGAACTTTAAGGAAAATATTAGGGTCATTATCAAAATCTCTATAATCTCTATACCAGCAAAGAAGTAAATACTTGTCTTTAAAAAAAAAAAGGAAGAGGGTGGCTGGGCATGGTGGCTCACACCTGTAATCCCAGCACTTTGGGAGGCCGAGGTGGGCGGATCATGAGGTCAGGAGATCGAGACCATCCTGGCTAACAGGGTGAAACACCATCTCCACTAAAAATTACAAAAAAATTAGCCAGGCGTGGTGGTGAGTGCTTGTAGTCCCAGCCACTCGGGAGGCTGAGGCAGGAGAATGGTGAGAACCCAGGAGGCAGAGCTTGCAGTGAGCCGAGATCACGCCACTACACTCCAGCCTGGGCGACAGAGTGAGACTCCGTCAAAAAAAAAAAAAAAAAAAAGAGGAGGGTGCAGTACAAGTGAGTTATTTATAGGAGGAATAGAGAGGGGACCATTTTATAGCTGCCTTCCTTTTTATGAGTTTGATGTAATTCCCATAGGTACACAGACGGTCTCACATACATAGACACACACACATGGACACAAACACACTCACAGATAATCCTCACAAGCCCACTAAATGGAAATAAGAGAGGCAAAGAGAAAAAAGAAAACATACACACACACAAGTACAGAGGCAAACAAATCAAGAGAGATGGACACAGACGCCAGCACACTTTCTTAGGTACCCATCAACCTAGCCAGTCTGCACTTCTTGGGAAATGATAGCTGATTCAGCTTAATGGGGAGCACCTGTACTATTGGCCTTGAAAGATTCCTTGACCAGAAGAAGGCTTAAATATATGACCACTACCCAAGGCAAAGAGATTTAAAGCCTCATGTCAGGCTTCAGCTTGTGGGTCCAGTTAATTTTTAGCTTTGGAAAGGGACAGACAAAATCTATCAACCTGGTACGCTCGTCAATCCTCAGTGGTTCATCTGACATCAAGAGAGTGGGGAAGAATAATTTTTGGGGGCTACCCTTCGAACCTGCGATATCCTCCTACTGGGCTTACCGAATAAGAGGCAAGACAATCAAAATAACAGCTCGTAACATATAGTGAGCTCTTACCATTTGCCTGGTACCATGCTCTGTTCTGTAAGCACGTCGTCTCATTCTATTTCCACAATAATCCAGCCACATTTTAGAGGTTAGAACCAGGACCAGAGTAAATCCAATTAGCATCATCTGAATCATTTTGATTCATTATGTGTAAGCCAGCCACCCAAAGCATATTTCTATGAAGAAATTACTAACTGGTCACCAGAATGAACTAAAGTGTAGGAGCATCCAGATGTAGCATTCGGTTAGGTAGTAAACTTCACAGATTGGAATAAATAATGCATCCAGCCTAAATAACCTCTTAGGCCAAATCAAGTGGTGCCGAGTTTAAATCTGGATTGGAAATTGAGTCTATGACTCTAAGGGCGTACAGAATCCCCAGTTTACAAAGGGAGCTCCACTTTCCTCAGTTCCTTTGCTAAGGACACATGAGATTATTTAGCTGCTCTGCAAAGCTGTGGTCAGAGGCAGAAAAGGTAGCACTTCTGGGAATGGGTAGAATCATCTCGGCCCTGGGTGAGAGGGTACAGAGGAGTTCTAAGTCAGTACTTTTTGGTTGCAAGTAATGATAATCTCTGTATGTCATTGGTGCAGACAAAAAAAAAAAGATGAATAAGTAATAGTCATCACACCTACTGCAGCAAAATTTTACCAACATTCAGTAACTAGTGGAAGAGTCACTTTTACAATGTTGGTGGGAGTGTAAATTAGTTCAACCATTGTGGAAGACAGTGTGGCAATTTCTCAAAGACCTAGAGGCAGAAATACCATTTAACCCAGCAATAAATCATTCAATTATAAAGACACATGCATGCGTAAGTTCAATTGCAGTACTATTCACAATAACAAAGACATGGAAGCAACCTAAATGCCCATCAATGATAGACTGGATAAAGAAAATGTGGTACAAAGACACCATGGAATATCATGCAGCCATAAAAAGCAATGAGATCATGTCCCTTACAGGAACATGGATGGAGTTGGAAGCCATCATCCTCAGCTAACTAACGGAGAAACAGAAAACCAAATACCGCATGTTCTCACTTGTAAGTGGGAACCGAATGATGAGAACACATGGACATATGGGTGGGAACAACACTCCTGTCAGACAGTGGGATGCGGGGAGGGAGAGCATCAGGAGGAATAGCTAATGGATGCTGGGCTTAATACATGGGTGATGGGATGATCTGTGTAGCAAACCACCATGGCACAGATTTAGTATGTAACAAACCTGCATATCCTGCACATGTACCCCTGAACTTAAAATAAAAGTTGAAGGAAAAAATAATAATAAAATGCAATCATCAAGGAAAAAAAATAAAGAAAGGACTTAAGTCAAAAGGGAATTAATCGCATTATAAGTACTTAGAAATCTGTCATGGGACCCACAAGCAGGAATGTAGTTACGCTACAGAAAGAGGCTGACAAATGAAAACCCATCAGTAGCCAGTATCTTTCCACCTCTCACCTGTGCTTCAGAGCCATTCAGAGTCATTCTTTCCCTGCAAACATGCAGAACACACAGAAAAGCAGAAAATAAAAAACAGGGGTGTGTGCCTCCGCTCCTGAGCTTCTACAGACCAGCTTGATCGAAGCTAAAATCTTCCAAATTCCCTGGGAAGAGACCATGATTAGCCCAGCTGGGGTCACGTGGACACTCCTGGTCCAATCAGCTGCAGCCAGGGGGCTCAGATTACATGGTACCATCATAGCTGCTGGGATTTGCCCCTGTGCCTCTTTGAATGGGATGGAAAGTTTCCCCAAGAAAGAAAACTTTTGTCAACTGGTAAGACCCTCAGTCAGTTGTCTGCTACAAAGATATAGGAGGAGAAGTGGGTAGAGAACAAACTGGTACCTAACGTTTTGGGGTGTTTCTATGTACAAGGCATCATGCCAAGAAAGTACTTAAAATACATTACGTAAAGTCTTTCTTATTTTTTCTTTTTTTTTTTCTTTTTTTGTTTGGTAGAGACAGGGTTTCACCATGTTGCCCAGGCTAGTCTCGGACATCTGGTCTCAAACAATCCGCCCACCTCGGCCTCCTAAAGTGCTGGGATTACAGGCACGAGCCACCACGCCCAGGTTGGTCTTTCTTATTTTTTCAACTTCTACATCTAAAGCCTTTCTTTTCATAGGGGTTCAAAAGAAGCCCTGGGCACTCAACAAAAAACAAACATCATTCCGTTCCCCTCCGTTCTCCTGCCCCACGCTTTGGCCTTTCAAGCCCCATTGTCCCTGCCCCCAAAATATTTATTCTCCCAGTTACAAAGCAAATGGCAACAAACAGTCGCTACTATCTATGTTAGCTGCAGCCGGTCAAGAATGTCCAGCTATATTTATTTTGAGCCTAACCCACCTACGTGTAATTTCCATTCATCTGGTTCAGTCCTCTGGAAGATAATTTGAATCTCTCCTTAACAAGGCATCTATTGAAATCTGTGTTAGTGTGTTGGTGTTGCCGTAACAAAGTACTACAGACTGGGTGGCTTAAACAATAGACTTTTTATTGTCTCACAAGTCTGGAGGCTGGGAGTCTGAGATCAAGGTGTCAGCAGAACTGGTTTCTTCTGATGCCTCCCTCCTTAGCTTGTAGATGGTCATCTTGTCTCTGTGTATGTGTGCGTCTTAATCTCTTCTTACAAGACAACCAGTCTTATTGAATTAGGGCTGACCCTGATAGCCTCATTTTTAACTTATTTACTTCTTTACAGACCATATCACCAAATATATTCACAGTCTGAGGTACTGGGGGTCAGGACTTCAACATATGACTTTTGGGGGTACAGAATTCAGCCAATAACAAAGTCTTGGAAGGCAGTTCCCATTCTACCCCCAAGTCTGTAATGTTAGCTAAAAAAAAAAAAAAAAAATCACAATATATAAATTTAGAAAAGAAAAGAGGGAGGTTTTATTTATTGCAAAGGGTTACAGCCTACAAAGTGGCCATTCCGCAGGCTGAGAAGCACAGCCTCTGGCCAACAGCCCAGAGAGAAGCACTTTGAAGGAGGGGTTGAGGTAAGATATTTATGGTAAATGTTTTGGCTAAACATACATATTCAACAGGTTACAGGAGAAGCTATGAATATTCATGAAGGAGGTCCTGATGCATGTGTGTTTAACACACATGCATGTGACATATGACCCATGTTCACTTTGGGGTGGAGATACAACATTTAACTGTATTATAATTAGGCCCTATGCATCAAAGGGTCTTTTCAGGACATGAAAGCATACGAGTCCACAATCTCTGTAAATTGGCCAGAAGCAGTCCATGGTCGCTGGTCTTCTTATCAGGAGAAAGTTACTGAAATCAGTTCCTTGTCCAATCCAAGCTGTAGTTGTGGCTGGTGAAACAGGGGGTCAGTTAATCAGCATCTGCCAGCTGGATGAGCTGTAATTGTTTTAATATTGCTTATCTTGAGGCCAGTGCTTGTTTAGCTGTTAAAGAAAAAGAAAAACCTGTGGCAGTTAGAACATAGTTTATCTTTTAAGTGTAGGGGTGGGTGATTCAACACCTGCCTGATGCGCATGGCCTTAGGTCCTATTTATAATTTGGTGTCTTGTTGTCATAGAGTCTCCTCTGTCAGTCTTATGGTCTCTATTTTAACATTAATGTGGGTCAGTATTGTGTCTAAACTCCAGAAGGGAGAGGGTATAAGGCGGTGTGTCTAACATCCTATCCCATCATAACTAGGAACTAAGTTTTTAAGGTATTTTTTAAGGGAGTCCCCTTGGCCACAAGGAGGTGTCTATTGAGTTGGTGAGGGGCTTAGGATTTTATTTTTAGTTGACAAGTCTCACCATTAAAGAGCCACTTCTACACTACAAGTCTTTCTGATTCCCAGCACATACCTTATCAAGGTATAAAGGTGTAAGACTTCTCCTATGGGAAGAGGCATGCTTTAAACAAATGCCTCATCAGAAAAGAGCTAGCTGCCATGTCAGATAAAAAACACTCCAGAGAATGGGGCTTGGTGGATACCTGGGTTGGATGCACAAAAATCTCACAGAGAGAGGAGAGAGAAAGGGAACAAGTCCTATGTCAGATTTCCCCTCCTTGAAGCTACGCAGCTCTAGAAGCAGTTCATATGACATAGCTTTGATCCTTCCATGGTAACTCTGAAGACCTACAGAGATGCCTTAGAAGGCCAACAATGCCCCTGCACCCGCCAAGCTCATACTACATAGAGGTTAAGATCACACCATCTTTTCCAACTTTGCTTTTCAACAAAAACATCCTACATCTGACCATGCCCTTTGTCCCTCTCCGATGTGGACATAACCAGGTTAAGATTCTGTATCTTTCTCCTCAGTCTCTGCTCAACTGAGTGTCAAGGGCTTTCCTTAATTTCCATGGGATCCAGGAAGGTTGAATTCCAAGTTTTAAGCTTCACTATTCCGGGAGACTTCCACAGGCACAATTTCAACTCCTTGGTCCATGGAGAAAGGGGTGGTGATTGGTGATGAGCCAATTTAGTACCTACTGCCAATGTACTCAGTAGTTAAATAGATTAAATTAATCCTCCTTTGAGCAGAAGCTTTCAACCTTGGCTGCACATTGTATTCACCTTGGGAGCTTTAAAAAAAATACTAATGACTGAGTCCCACGGCTAGATTCTGGTTTAATTGGCCTGGGGTGCAGCGTAGGTTTTGGGACATTTTAGCACTCTCCTGGTTATACAAATTGAAAGCAAGTTGAGAATGGTTGCCTTGGTGTGATGGTTCTCAAAGTGTTGTCCCCAGACCAGTGGCATCAACATCACCTGGACACTTATTTGCAGATTTTCAAGTCACATCTCGGACATAGGCTTAGCAATCTGCAGTTTCACCCCTCGCCAGGTAATTCTGATACATGATGAAGTTTCAGAACCACTGTTCCGGAGGTCCTCAGGGTTTGGCTGCCACTTGCTTATAAATAGATATTTGACAGGTCCTGCTCAGCTTCTTCCTACTGACTGCTCACAACAAAAGTTCCTTTGTTCTACCTCTAAGTTCAGACCACCTTCATTTCTAGATGGAATTCTCACTTGAGGTAGGAAGGATGCAAGGGATCCAGGCTCAATACTGAGGCTTACTATACACAATGGAGCGCTATTCAGCCATAAAAAAAGAATGAGATCCTGTCATTTCCAACAACACAGGTGGAACTAGAGGTCATTATGTTAAGTGGAATAAGCTAGGCGCAGAAAGACAAACATCACGTTTCCACTTATTTGTGAAATCTAAAAATCAAAACAATTGAAATCATAGACATAGAGTGGAGGGATGGTTACCAGGGGCTGAGAAGGGCGTAGGTATGGTTAATGGGTGCAAAAAAAAAAAAGTTTAGAAAGAATGAATAAGATGTAGTATTTGATAGCACAACAGGGTGACTAGAGTCAATAATAATTTAATTGTACATTTTAAAACAACCAAGAGCATAATTGATTGTCTGTAACTCAAAGGATAAATGCTTGAGGGGATGGATACCCCATTCTCCATGATGTGACTATGATGCATGCCATGCCTAAAGAGTAATGCATAAAGAGATACATTTAATAAATAGATATGTTTAGTATGTACCCACAAACATTATAAATAAGAAAATTTTGAAGTAGTAATAATTCACACACACACACACACACACACACACACACACACACACGTTCGTCTTCCTGGCAGACTTGTTCTGAACCTTTGGTGTCCATCTTTCATGTGTGAACCTGGCTTCATAAACCCGGTTCCAATCTGGCCCACCAGCTCTGATAACTATGCTAGTGCCTTATTCCTCAGGGTCAAAACATTTTTTTCCTGAGTTATCTGCCTCAGACCTCCAATCCTTCTAACATTGGTAAACCTAATAATTTATATGGGTCCCATCTTACCCCAAAACCAATGTCTTCTTCTGAATTTTCTCTGAATTCACTGCTTGTTTCTCTCCCTAGCTACTTTCCTACATACTTTTTCTAAAGGAAGTAATGAATTATGTGGATGTAGGTTTATTGCCTGACTTTAAAAAATAACACCTACTCATCTTAGAAAACTTAGAGAAATCGCAGGGACAAAGAAGCAAATAAAAACCATCATTCATCCCACCTCTCTGAGACAATCATTGTTAACATTTTGGTATGCTTCCTTCCTTCTTGTTCCCTTGCACATTTATGTTATGATCTACTTTATTCCAGAAAGTATATTAGGTGGGTTACAAAAGGGCATAAAATACAAGACAGAATACGTTTGAAAAGTCTTATTGATTGAATTATTGGTCTCGATGCTTCAATGCTTCACCATAGTATGTTATACAACCACATCCTTGACATAACAAGTGGAAGATATATCCCCAAACACATACCTTGAGTTTGGGATTGGCTGTGCAACTTGCTTTGGCTAATGGTATATTAGCAATACATAATGCAAACAGAGGCTCACAACATACTTGCTTTGTTGGGCTTGCTTTGTTATACTCCAGAGATCTGTCATGTGAAGAACATACCACAGTGTCCACTGCCCCTTAGACCTGGGTCCCAAAATGGCAGACCTAGGGAAGACTGCTTGTATTGGTCCATTCTTGCACTGCTATAAAGAAATGCCTAAAAGACTGGGTAATTTATAAAGAAGAGAGGTTTAATTCTCATGATTTCACAGGCTGTACATGCAGCATGATGCTGGCATCTGCTTGGCTTCTGTGGAGGCCTCCAAAAACTTACGATGATGGCAGAAGGCAAAGCAGGGATGAAGTGTCTCACGTGGCAGGAGCAGGAGGAAGAGAGAGCGAGGGGAGTGGGGGTGGGGGGTGCTGCACCCTCTTAAACAACGAGATCTCATGAGAACTCACTATCATGAAAACGGCACCAAGAGGATGATGCTAAACCATTCATGAGAAATCCACCCCCAGGATCCAACTACTTCCCACCCGGCCCCACGTCCAACACCGGGGACTACAATTCAAGAAGACATTTGGTGGAGACCCAGCTCCAAGACGTACTGCCGCATGCCACCCCTCAACAAGCCTATAGATGCATAAGCAATAAACAGTTTCTTATTATTGTATGCCGCTGAATTGTGTGTGCTTTTTAAATCTACTTTTATTATGGTAATAGCTAATTGATACCCTCTTTCACTTATCCTGAGATGCACACGTTTTCACATTATAACATCGCTGAAGTCAAAATGTGTCTTGTAATCAATGGCATGCCGTAGCTTTCTTGGCAAGGTTCTTTTTCCTTCCTTGATACTTAATACTATACAAAAAACGGTGCATATTATATTTGGTGGCATCCTAGATACTATGAAATACAGTAGGTGAAAAATCAGTTAAAAAGTAAAACATACATTATTGTTCCATTACAATTCATAGCTATGCACACACATATATATCTGTTATATTTGTGTGCTTTGCAGACATATATTTTATGTATGTGTATATATGTGTATATGTGTACACATATATACGTACATATATACACATACATATCCATAAATTCAAAAAGTAAAACTTGTTTGTTCTAAAGAATGTTAAGAATATAGACTAGGGAGATAACTTCTCTTTGGTTTAGTAGAACAACTGAATAGTAATTTTTGAATGTGAGACTCAAGGCTCTTTATGTAAGTCTAGATGGAATGAAACTAAAAGAGAATTAGATTGTTTCTTATATTAACAGAAATTACTAAATTATATGCTAGTTGATCAAGATAGCAATTGGGATGGCGAGAGGCTAGAACTTGCAGAAAAGCATGACAGTAAGTAAAGTAAGCAATTCCCAGTGGCGGGAAACAGTCAATGAATCACAAGACTGATGTTCAACACTTTTTGCAATTAACCACAGTTTATCCTAGACCTTTTTCACATCACAGCCTTTCTGACAGGATAAAAGGAAAGGTGCTACTATGTCCCATTTGTGGTGATAGATCCTAGGAGGCAGAATAGTGAGTAGGTAGAGGGAATTTACTAACTCGACAGATATCTTTGTAGGGCACTGAACTACTCATGGATTAAGAAATAGAAGCTCAAGCTATGTTAACCGCAAAGGCAGGAGCGTTCCCAAAGATTGTCAAGATGAGAAAGCTAGAGTAACACAGTCAGAAAGAAAAAAAAAAAACAACAACTAAAAGGAAGTGCGCTAAAACATTGGCAGTAGTTGCCATTAAGTAATGGAATTGTGGGTTGTTTCTATTTTCCCTTTATTTGTACTTGTCTATGCTTTCCAAAATTTCCACAATGCAGCTGTATTGACTTCATAAGCATAAGAACAAATGTTTTTATTGTGTCCATGAGAAAGGGAAAAGAAAATTATGGGACTGTGAAATGGAACCAGGCGTGTGACTGAGATCATGAGCTATTTTTGTATCCTGCTCATTTTCATGAATCTAGAGTATTCCCCCGTTTTATTGCAAATTCTTCACAGTATCATTAGTGATGGCTACATAACAGCATATAAATGAATGAATCATAATTGATTTAATCCTCTGTTATTATATAGTTGGGAAATAATTGAGTTATTTCCATTTTCCATACTATTGTCTGTTAACTGTGCTGAACATTTTGTATATAAATGTCATCCACTCCATAAACATTTTAATATGCCTAATTTTCTGATTATCTAAATGCCTTGCTATCTCACTTTTCTTACCTTCTAGACCACTCCATGATCACGAGCTAAATATCCTCAATGCCTTTTGATTACTCAACCATGTTCGGTCACTGTCTCCCTAAATTACTGTGGTCTGATTCCTGAGCAGGAACCCCTTCCAGCTCCAGCCAGCATTTATAAGGCCCAGCCTTCTGTTGCTTCAATTCAAAACAGCATTGTCACCAAGCTGCTCACTTCTCCTAAAAATGTGTCTCAAAACACACTTCCCCATTAGCTGTATGCATTTATCAGTGGAGCAATAAATGATGATGGTGCTGTTATTCATCAAATGGTCAGAGTAATTGTGTCACTGGCTGTGCCCAAGTTCCTATGAGTCCTCACACATCAACCCCTATTTCTTATTCTTAAATTTTTTAAATTTTTTATTTTTCCATAAGTTATTGGAGCACAGGTGAAATTTGGTTACATGACTAAGTTCTTCAGTGGTGATTTGTGAGATTTTGGTTCACCCATCACCAGAGCAGTATACACTGCACTATATTTGTAGTCTTTTATCCCTCGCCCCTCTCCTACCATTCCCCCCAAGTCCCGAAAGTCCATTGTGTCATTCTTAAGCCTTTGCGTCCTCATAGCTTAGCTCCTACATATCGGTGAGAAGATACAATGTTTGGTTTTTCATTCTTGAGTTACTTCACTTAGAATAATAGTCTCCAATCTCATTCAGGTTGCTGAAAACGCCATTAATTTGTTCCTTTTTATGGCTGAGTAGTATCCCATCATATAAATACACCACAGTTTCTTTATCCACTCGTTGATTGATGGGCATTTGGGTTGGTTCCATGATTTTGCAATTGCAAATTGTGCTGCCATAAACTGCAAGTAGCTTTTTCATATAACTTTTTTTTCCTCTGAGTAGATACCCAGTAGTGGGATTGCTGGATGGTAGGTAGCTCTACCTTTAGCTCTTTAAGGAATTTCCACACTGTTTTCCACAGTGGTTGTACTAGTTTACATTCCCACCAGCAGTGTAGAAGTGTTCCCTGCTCACTGCATTTGTGCCAACATCTACTGTTTTTTGATTTTCTGATTATGGCCATTCTTGCAGGAGTAAGGTGCTATCACATTGTGGTTTTGATTTGCATTTCTCTGATCATTAGTGATGTTGAGCATTTTTCATATGTTTGTTGGTCATTTGTATATCTTCTTTTGAGAATTGTCTATTCATTTCCTTAGCCCACTTTTTGATGGAATTGTTTGTTTTCTTACTGATTTGTTTGAGTTCTTTGTAGATTCTGGATATTTGTCCTTTGTTAGATGTACAGATTGTGAAGATTTTCTCCCACTCTGTGGGTTGTCTGTTTACTCTGCTTACTGTTCCTTTTGCCGTGCCAAAGCTCTTCAGGTTAATTAAGTCCCAACCATTTATCTTTGTTTCTATTGCATTTGCTTTTGGGTTCTTGGTCATGAAATCCTTGCCTAAAACACTGTCTAGAAGGTTCTTTTTTGTGTTTTTTTTTTTCTACCAGGGTGGATAGGAAAGGACCATCAGGTGGGGGCAGGCTAGACGTGTCTTAGGTCAGACTCTCCTTGGGCGGATCTTGCTGCCGCTGAGTATTTGCGGTGTCTCCTGGGTCCTGAGGGAGCAGCCCACTTCCCTCAGAGGGTCTGTAGGTCCTCTTGGGATTGCTGGTTTGTTCTTGCAGTTGATCTGGAGCTAAAATTCACAATGTGAGTCTCTGCACCCTGCTCTGTCTGTCCAAGTTGGAGCTGTAATCTAGTCCTACCTCCCATCCACCATGATGATCCCCAATTTCTTTTTACAATTTATTTTTATTCTCTTTAGAGACAGAGCTGAGTTCTGACTCTGCCACCCAGACTGGAGTGCAGTGGCATGATCATAGCTCCTGGCAGCCTCAAACTTCTAGGCTCACACAATCCTCCCACTTCAGCCTCCAGAGTAGCTGGGACTACAGGTGTGCACCACCATGCCCAGCTAATTAAAAAAAAAAAAAATGGATACAGGATCTCACTTTGTTGCCTAGGCTTGTCTTGAACTCCTGAACTCAAGCAATACTCCCACCTCAGCCTCCCAAAGCGCTGGGAATACATATATGAGCCACTATGCCTGGCCACAACCCTAATTTCTCTCCTCTCTCTCTTTCTCTCTCTCTGTCTCTGTGTCTGTCACTCTGTCATTTTTTTAAGAACCATATGAGGCCAGTCGTGGTGGCTCATGCCTGTAATCCCAGCACTTTGGGAGGTTGAGGTGGGCGGATCACCTGAGGTCAGGAGTTCGAGACCAGCCTGACCAACATGGAGAAATCCCATCTCTCCTAAAAATACAAAATTAGCTGAGTGTGGTGGCACTTGCCTGTAATCCCAGTTACTCAGGAGGCTGAGGCAGGAGAACAACTTGAACCCAGGAGGCAAAGGTTGTGGTGAGCTGAGATCACGCCATTGCACTCCAGCCTGGGCAACAAGAGCGAAATTCCATCTCGAAAAAAAGAAGAACCATACGAATCAGCAACATTCCCAGCAGGTTACGTAGGAAACAGACAAGATTCACTGATTTCCCTTTACTTGATGGGGCTTTAAGCAATTCTGGTTTTATAGGGATGTGGGCACACACAGCCCATAGGCTCTGTGCCTTGCATTATGAGAGTTCACAAAGCCTCATAAGACATGACTAGCCTTGAGCAAACTGGCCCCAGTTTGCTCATCTGATAGATTAGGCTGTGGCTTTAAGCTCAGAGTCAGTGGAATCTCTTTGCTTGGTTTATAAAATGTGCTCAGTCCTCAGAATCTTTCGCTTCTTCCCAGAGGAAGCCTGAGGAGACTGACACTGTTGTAATACCAAGGACAAACTTGGGCTCCACCCCCATATCTCTCTCTCTCTCTCTCTCTCCCCCCCCCCCCCACACACACACACACACACCCGCACACAACCAGGAGCCTTAAGCAAACCTTGATCTTGTAATGTTTGAAACCCTATCAGAAAACAGAGTCCCTGTGCCTTCTTATCTCGGTCTCAGCGCAGAAAGGAGGTGGTGATTGGCAAATGGATTCATGTCAATGACATTCTAGGCCTGATAAAGTGCTTCTGTGGGCCCTGGGAGAGATGGATTTCCAAAGTCGTGGGCAGGTAAGTTGGGAGAAGATGAGAGCTGACTGTTGTCTGGACTGATAATCGAGTCCTCTTGAGAGAAAGTTGTCAAAGCTTAATCAGATGCCCCCTAGTCCAACGCCTTGGGCACTCACTGTTTTGCCTTTCCAGAATCTATTTGCTTGTATTAACAGTGTTGCCACCCTATTTTCTTCTAAAGGGGCCTCTCCTCTCCCTCTTAGGTCCATGAGGTTTTAGGGACCTGACACCACCATCTCTTTGGCTCCAGAAGCAGTCAGGGCATCCAAAGCTGGCGAGTGTCACCACTGCATTCCCTCCCACATGATGATTGGTTTAAGAGTAGGCACATGACTCAAACCCAGCCAATCAGGGTCCGTGAATATCACTCAGGAGCCCACAGCCAACACATGGGAAAATCAAAGAATGGGGATAAACAAGACTTTCTACCATAGTGATATGGACAGGAGACAGGAAAATACTGGGTAGAAGAGGGCAGTTCCCCAGCAAAGGCCTCACTCTCAAGCCTGGATACCTGCAGACCTAAGTAAGAACAGGTATTCCTGTTTTCACACCCCAAAAGTTGCCTTTCGGCCAACCACGCCCCCTATCCTGTACCCATATAAACCCCAAGCCCAGGATCCAGAAGCAGACAAGCAGATGAGGAGACAAGCAGACGAACAACAGGATGGTGTGACAGAGGAAGAGAGAAGAGACGGAGCGCCTGAGCACTGAGAGGAGCTTGGCTGGGGGTGGTTGGAGAGGAGTTGGGCCACCACCGGATGGTCAAACTCCAGGGGAAGATCATCTTCCCACTCCATTCCCCCTACCAGCTCCCCATCCATCCTGTTGAGAGCCACCTCTACCACTCAGTAAAACCCCTGCATTCATCCTCCAAGTCCGTGTGTGACCTGATTCTTCTGGGATGCTGGACATGGGCTCAGGATACAGAAAGCTGTCGCACTGGCCCTCTGTCCTTTCAGAAAGTTGGAGGGTCCACTGAGCTGGTTAACACTTAAGCCATCCACGGACAGCAAGGCTAAAAGGCCGCGCTGTAACACACGCCCACTTGGGCTCCTACATCTGTCCGTCTGTGTGCTCTTTCTCCCGTAAGGGATTTGAGCATCAGCAGTGAGCGAAAAGACAAGCCACACCCCTGTCACACATCCTTCAGTGGGGTCAGGGAACTCTCTTGTTTCAATAGGATTTGAGCACCTAAATTTAGGATATCAAGATTTCCAAATGATGTAAGTGACTGTGCTCCCTTTTTGTTTAAGTTGATGGGACTTAGGTTTTCTTTTATTCAAAATCAACGAACATCAAACACCTGCAACAAACAGACACTATGAGAAGCTCCAGACGTTGATGTGTCGCTGGCTAAATACAGTGGGTAGAATCCCAAGATGCCTCTGTGAATAGGGTTATAAGGAAATTCCAGTGACAATACACGCAGAGAAGTTTAATGAGAAAAGCATTGTGCTGAGGATCAGAAAACAGATTTGCACACAAGTTTCTAGCAATATGACCTTAGATAAGTTATTTAGCATTTGTAAGCCTCCATTCCCTTGACTGTAAAATAGGATTTATATATGTGTGTGTGTATATATATATTCAGCCCTTATAATGATCTAATTATATATGTTTGTATTATATATATGTGTGTGTTTATATGTGTGTATATATGTGTATATATACATACATGCATACATATATGTAATTAGATCATTATAAGGGCTAAATAAGGAAAGTCTTTGCATGTGCATGTGTATGTTCACTGCAGCATTATTCACAATAGCAAAGACATGGAATCAACCTAAATGCCCATCAGTGATAGACTGGATAAAGAAAATGTGGTACACCTACATCATGGAATACAATGCAGCCATAAAAAAGAATGAGGTTATTTCCTTTGCAGGGACATGGATGGAGCTGCAGGCCATTATACTTAGCAAACTAATGCAGAGACAGAAAACCAAATACTGCATGTCTTCACTTAAAGTAGGAGCTAAATGATGAGAACACACGGACACATAGAGGGGAACAACACACACTGGGGCCTCTCGGCAGGTGGAAGGTGGAAGGAGGGAGAGGATAAGTACAAATAACTATTGGGTACTAGGCTTAATACCTGGGTGATGAAATAATCTGTACAACAAACCTCCAAGACGTAAGTTTACCTGTGTAACAAGCCTGCACGTGTACCCCTGAACTTAAAATTTGTTTTTGTTTTTGTTTTTGTTGTTTTTGTTTGTTTGTTTTTTGTTTGTTTGGGACAGGGTTTCACTTTGTTGCCCAGGCTGGAGGGCGATGGCACGATCTCTGCTCACTACAACCTCCACCTCCTGGGTTCAAGCGATTCTCCCACCTCAGCCTCCCGAGTAGCTGCGACTACAGGCACACGACTATGCCCAGCTAATTTTTGTATTTTTTGGTAAGACGGGGTTTCACCATGTTGGCCAGGCTGGTCTCAAACTCCTGACTTCAAGTGATCCACCCATCTCGGCCTCCCAAAGTGCTGGGATTACAGGCATGAGCCACCGCACCCGGCCTAAAAGTTTTTTTAAAATGTCTTTGAAGCACCTATTACAGTGCCTTGCATGCAAGGCAGGGAGTGTAAACGTGTTGCATAGTATTTCCCTTTCTCGGCATAGCATTAGGTAATTACCTACCCCTTGTGAACTTTCACTTTCTCATCTGTGAAATGAAGGCCTTTTCACTACATCTGTGGCCTTCAATCCTTGCTGCAAACTAAAATTACCAGGACAGTTTTAAAATATACAGATGCTCAGGCTTTCTGCCCAGAGATACTGATTTAATTGGTCTGAGTGGGGGCTCTTGGCATTGACATCTTTTAAATACTCTCAAGTGATGCTAATGTGAAGATGGGGTTGAGAACCACGGCACTGGATGAGGATCGCTTTACAAGTTAGCAACCTAAGGCTCTTATAAAGAAAAAATAATTTCATCATTACAGCTATACATTTTCCAGCAGAAATATCCTGAAATGATGCATTTGAAAATGAGCAATTAACCCTTCAGCAGAAGATGTTTTAAAACTTTTACTCAGACTCATCAAAGTCAATCTCTGTTTAAGGAGCAAATTCATTAAGAGCAGAAAATTTTTACCACTCTGAGATTATTCGGCAAACTCTCATACTGCCTCTGCCATGCTTTTGTTAGGACTGTTATCCCTAAGTAAAAAAATCTTGGGGGAAAGAGATATCAATTTTATTTTGTAAAAATATTTGATGGAGCTAATGAGTGTGTGTGTTTTTAATAGTTCCCTTGGGAAATGCTACACAGTAAATATAATTAAAAGTGGGAGATGGAACTGATTATTCATCAAGCATGTATTTTAAGAACCCAATTATGAAAAGAATAATGCAACGTGGAACATGAAATGGCTGCTAACAATGCTGCATTTTTCTAAAGTGTTTTAGAGAGCTCTCAAATCCCTAAGATTGATAAAATTACCACAGTGATATCTTGCTCAGCCCTTGCTATTTGCAGTGTCTCATATTTATAAAAGAGAATAGAACACATCCTCTTCTCAAAAGGATTGGGAATAGGGAAATAAGCCATTGTCTCTAAAGATCTGGATGAAAAAAACACCATATAGTATTCACATTAACAGGAATCTGCAATAACAGTGGAACAAGAACTGAAATATGGCATAATAAACTGAGATTTTATTTCAAGCTCCCACACAAATTACCTGGATAGCCTTAAAAATTTTAGGCTCTAGGGGACGTCTGCTTCCAGCCAAGACGGAGTAACCGAGACTTGATTTACTCTTTTGCCTGAAACAACCACAAAAAACCCCACAAAAATATATGAAACAATGATTTTCAGGACACCGGACTTCAAGTAACAAAGGATGGCAGTCCCTGAGAGATTAAAAAGAAATGAGGTGAGGCCTAGGACTTCCCTAGCATTAGCCTTGAGGGATGTCCCAGACATAATACCGGAAGGGGGAAACCAGGAAGAGCACAGTGGGCTTCCTGAGTTGAGGAGCTAGGTTCCCAAAAGCCCAAAACAGCTAGGGTTTGCAGGACAGGGTGCTGGAGAGGAGGGAACCACACAGAAGAGAACCCTGAAGATTTGCCAGAAGTCTTCCTTGAGTATTCAGCAAAGTACTGATTGGCTCACACGCATAGGGAACTTTCTAAGGCAAAGAGAGGCCATTTGAAGGATTAGAAGGAACAGTAGCAAGCATTCCCATTAAGCCAGAAATCATTCCTATTCCTATTCTACAAGCCAAACTGAAAACTTCATAATTTAGAGTACTCAAGAGGGTTTGCCTCATTAGCGGGGAACAATTAGCCCTAAACTAAACACTACTCTGATCTCATCTAACAAGTCTTAAAAGCAATACTCAAAAGATTCAAACTGTTTCCAAAAACAATTGCATTTCAGAAAAAGAAAAATCTCTAAATTTATAGGAATGCAAAAATATCCAACAGCTAACAATGTCTGGCATCCTATCAAAGACAAACAGGCATGAAAAAAAAGACGGAAAATACAGATTATGAGGAGAAAAATCAATCAGTTAAAACTGACCCAAAACATCCACAGATGTTAGAATTAGAAGACAAGGACATAAAATCAGTTATTACAACTACATTGCATATGTTCAAAAAGCTAAGTAGAAACATGGAATATATTTTGAAAGATGCAAACAGAACTTCTAGAGATGAGAACTATGATGTCTGAAATGAAATAGATACAGGCTGGGATTAACCAAAGATATCCCAAAAAAAAGAGCATGAATTCAAAGAGCAGTAGAAACAATCTTGAATGAAACACAGAGAGAAAAAAAAATAAAAATGAAAAAGAGCATCTGAGCTGTGGAACAACTTCAAGCAGCCTGATATACATAATTCAAGGATTCAAAGGAGAGAAGGGGGAAAGAAACATCTTTGAAAAAATAATGATCAAAAAGTTTACAAATCTAGTAAAACAACTATGAACTCACAGATCCAAAAGATTCAATAAGTTTTAAGTATAAACAAACAAATACAACAAAACACATCATAATCAAATTACTCAAAGTCCATGGTAAAGGGAAAATACGAAAAAGAGCCAAAGCCAAATAATATGTTACATAAAGAGGCACAAAGATAGGTATGATGACAGATTTCTCCTCAGAAACAATATAAGCAAAAAGACGTGGAGCAGTGTCTTTAAAATAGTGAAAGAAAAAAATTCAGCTAGAATATACCTAGAAAAAATATTTTTCAAAAAATGCTTTCAAAATGAAGGCAAAATAAAGACAGTTGTAGACATTAAAAATGTGAAAGCTGCACTCCAAGAAAGGTTAAAAGAAGCCCTTTCAGGAAAAAGGAAACTGGTTGAATCTTCTAGAGGACATGACAATCCTAAATATTTATGCACCTATATGAACCTAATAACAGAGTTTCAAAATACACAAAACAAAAAATAATAAAACTTCGAGGAAAAATAGACAAATCCACAATTATATTCAGACATTTTAAATACTTCTTTCTCAATTATCAACAGAACAAGTAAACATAAATCAGCGAGTATATAAGAGATCTGAACAACACTAACAATCAACTTGACGTAAATGACATTTATAGAACAACTCAGCAACAACAGAAGAATACCCATTCTTCTAAAATGCAATAGAGAATTCACCAAGATAAACAATTTTATGAGCCATAAAACATGTTTCAGTAAATTTGAAAAAATTTTAGTCATTCAAAGTATGTTGTCTGACCACAGTGAAGTTAAATTACAAATAAACTAAAGATACCTAGAAAGAAAGACATTTGAAAAAATCCAAATGTTTGGAGACTAAATACACTTCCAAATAGTTCAATTGTCAAGATAAAAATTAAAAAGAAAACTGGAAGCCATTTTGAAGTAAATGAAAAGGAAATATACGTATGAAAATTTGTGGGATGCAACTAAAGCATTTACTTAGAGGAAAATGTGTAGCCTCAATGGCTATATTAGAAAAGAAGAAAGCTCTCAAGTCAATGACCTCAGCCTCTGCTTTAAGAAAGTAGAAAAAGAAGAGAAACTTAACTCAAAGTAAGCAGAGAAAGGAAATAATAAAGATAAAAGTGGAAATCAATGCAGTAGAACACAGAAAAATAATAGAGGAAATCACTAAAACCAAAAGCTACTTATTTGACAAAAATCAATAAAATTGACAAATCTCTAGCCAGACTTACAAGGGGTAAAAATGAATAGAAGGCAAAAATTACAAATATTAGGAAAGAAAGAGGTGACATCACTACAGATATTAAAAGGATAATAAGGCAATATTATGGACAATGTTATACTAAGTTCGACAACTTAGATTAAAATAAATATATAATCATTCAAATCGATACACAAAAATCAATTATATTTCTGTACTGAAGCAACAAACAATTAGAAGTTCAATTGAAGTTTTGAAATAAATATTATTTACAATGGCAGCAAAAATGTGAAATACTTAGGAATAAATCAATCTACAAAACAGAAATTAAAGAAGACATAAATATTGGCCAGGCTGGTCGTGAACTCCTGACCTCAGGTGATCCACCCGCCTCAGCCCCCCAAAGTATTGGGATTACAGCCATGAGCCACCTCGCCCGGCCATGTGTGTTCTCTTGATGCAATAAAAAAGTCATGTAACCTCTCTGTACCATTTTTTTGTTTTGTTTTGAGACAGAGTCTTGCTCTGTCGCCCAGGCTGGAATGCAGAGACACGATCTCCACTCACGGCAACGTCTCCTCGCGGGTTCCAGCGATTCTCCCGCCTCAGCCTCCCGAGTAGCTGGGATTACAGGTGCATGCCACCACACCAGGCTAATTTTTTTTGTAATTTCAGTAGAGACAGGGTTTTGCCATGTTGGCCAGGCTGGTCTCAAACTCCTGATCTCAGGTGATCCACCCACCTCGACCTCCCAAAGTGCTGGGATTGCAGGTATGAGCCACTGCGCCCGGTCTGAACTTGTTCTTTGCCTTGAGTATGGGGAATAGCAATGTGCTTTAGATTGCACACCCCTCTGTTTATGGTTGCACAGTGATCCACGCACTCATTAAACAAATTTTATTGGGCATCTACTAGGTGCTCGCAGTGGACTAGAGCATTCTGATGCTTGGTGGAGTGGAAAAAGACATGATTTTTGTGCCCTGAGGCTGAGATTTGGGTGGATGGGAGCAAATAATATATAATCACATTTGCAGATTCAATAATTAATTCAGATTGCCAGAAATGTTCATAAGGCACCCAGCGAAAGAGGGGATAACTGGAGGAAGAAGATGCCTACTTTGGATAAATTTTTCAGGGAAGATCTTTTTGGGGCAGGGTAACAGTTAAGCTGAAATCTAAGTAAGTGGACAAAGTTGGTCATGACAAGAACAAGCTAGGCCAATGGAACAGAAAGAGAAGAAAAGGGAAGGGAGAAAGATGATTTAAAAATTTTTTAATGTTTTTAAACAGCTAGAAGTGGAAGTTAATCACAGGGCAAAGGCACATCCCCCAAAATCTCTGCCTGGAAATGTGGAAGGCATACAAAGGAACCAGATGGCAAAGGAAGCTGTGCACACCCCATGACGATCTCCAGCCTTCTGCCTCTAAACACCTCCACTGTGCCCGAGAGCAATGCTGCCGGCAAAAAGGGGAAAAGAGCCTTCATTGTCTCCTCTCATCCTACTGCCAGGCCCCACTTCCAGATTAGAAATAAAAGAGAGAATCTCCAAGCCACCAGCGGGTTAAAAAGAGAAGAAGGAAAATATGATCAAGCAGCAACGTCAACTGAACCTGCACACATAGACGTTTATGACTGTAAAAGAAAAAAAATGTCTAGAAGGACATTTCAAATTCCTAACACTGATTGTCTCTGAGAATAGACTCAGAATATGTTACAGCAAGCCTGTATTCTCTCTACAGTAATTATTTGGTCTCACATTTATTCAATATTTCCCAGGTGCCAGGCGCCATGTTGAATGTCTAGTTGATATTACTTTGTCTCATCCTCACAGCAACTCCATAAAGTGGGTACGATTATTGATCAGTTTTGCCAATGAAATGATGGAGACTTGGAAGTTAGAAGACATCTGAAGGTCTCACAGCAGGAGGTGGCACAAAATTCAGGGCTGTATAACTCCAAAGGTTGGTGCTTTTAACCAACACACTGCCTCCTCCAATTCAAAAAGAATAAATTAAGCTTACATTAAGAGAATACTTAGCACATGCTGGGGGCTATGTACTTAATCCTTACAACAAGGATATAAGGCTGGCGCTATCTGGGTCCCCCTTTAATAGATGAGAAAACTAAAGGACAGAGACACTTACTGGCTGGTAAGTGATGCATCCTGGATTCAAACCCAGGCTGTCTGGATCCGCAATTGGTGCTTCCACTACTAATCAATCTACAGAGCCTCTAAACTTAGAGTTGTGCCTGTTTTGTGCCAGGCACTGGACTGGGGATAAAAAATAAATGAGATCATCCTTTTATTCAAGCAGAATCATGATTAGGAGGAAATGCTGTGCTAAAAAGATAAGTCACAACCAGGATACAGCATGGTGGACCTTGTGTGCTTGCAACTGTGTAAAAACTCGTGCATATGTAAGTCTTCAAAACGTTCGTATACTTGCAGCACGTGACAAGTAATTTCACTCCTTGTAACCTATCCTAAAGAAATCAGCCGAAATGCGGTCAAAACGCATGTGCAAAAATGCTTTTTGTAGCAAAGTATATGATAGCTAAAGCTGTCCCCCTGTGGGGATGTTGAATTAATTATAATACATCTATTTGAAGGGGTATTGTGCAGTCATTAAAATATTATGTTGTAATATGTAATGCTTTTAAAATATCTTTTAAAGCTTTTAATTACAAGGAGAAATGCTCATGATGCAGGATTAAGCAAAACAAGAAAATGAAGATTGCAATTCTAGCACAATCTCGGTCATGTAAAATAATAAGATATAATTAAAATTACTACCAATAACAATAATAATATGTGAGAATAGGCCAAAGACTTAATAGTGGTTGTCTGTACGTGGTGAAATTATGGATGATTTTTGTTCCTGCTTCCTTGTTACTGTAGTTTCAAATCTTTGGAAAGTCATCATATATTACTTTTACAGTCAGGAAAAGGTGAGCATAAAATTATGTGCGGGAGAAAAGGCTGGAAGAAAATATAGAAATATATTAGCAGTGGTTATGATGGTGGGAGATAGTTGGCATTTTTCGTTCCTTTTTCAAGATTTTGTGTATGGCAGTGTTGTCACATTTGTAATGAAAAATACATAAAATTAAAGATGAATAATCCCAGCATAATTTATAGGAATGAAAAGTGCCTGAGTGTGGTGGCTCACGCCTGTAATCTCAGCACTTTGGGAGGCCAAGACGAGAGGACTGCTTGAGCTCAAGAGTTTGAGACCAGCCTGGAACATGGCAACACCCCGTCTCCACAAAAAATACGAAAATTAGCAGGGCATGGTGGCACATGCCTGTGGCAGCTATTTGGGGGAGGCTGAGGTGTGAGGACTGCTTGCACCCAGGAGGTTGAGGCTTCAGTGAGCTACGATTGCACCACTGCACTCCAGCCTAGGTAACAGAGCAAGACCCTGTCTCAAAAAAAAAAAAAAGAGAGAGAAGTTGAAAACAATATAGAAATTCAATTGAAGATTGATCAAATGAATTATGGTGTTACCTGGAAAAAAAAGGATATTATGCAGCCACTGGAAATAACGTTTGCAATGGGTTTTTAATGATGGAAGGGCATGTTTACAGTAGATGTTTAAGCCAAGATTTTGTATTAAGGCATCTCTCAATTTTTGAATAATAACAGGGAAAATATTTAGAGGAAAATACACCTAAGTATGTAAACCAAGTAAAATGACTGGGGCAAGTCGTTTTGACTCCCTTTGATTTCTGACTCATGATTTAGAGGCTGATTTTGCTAAGGTTGAGGATGCACCCAGGAAAAAGAGAGTCAAGTCACAGTAGGATCTGTGGCCTGCACTTTTTTCAAAAAGTGTTTTAAGGACTTCAGTATTTAAATGGGAAATAGCAGGCAGGAGGGGAAGGAGGAAATTTATAAAAAGCGAGGGTAGGTACTGAGTTAAGTGGTCATCTTCTTGTGAGGCTTTGATTGGCGCTCACTTAATTGACAAGTTACATGTGAAAATGGGGGTAGTGGAACAGTCACTTATGCATTCATCTTGCACTCAGCAAATCTGCATTTTACATACAATAAAGTAAACATAGAGTAGAGGAAGAAGTCAAATATGCATTTGAGGTAAGTGGAGCTATGATTTCTATTCTTCCTTTCCAGCATTATTGTAACAACAGATAATACCCATTCCATGCTAAGCATTTCTCCAAGCACCGACCAAAGATAATCATGCCTATCATGTGTGTTGAGGGAAGGAGGTTGATGATTAAATAATAGAAAACATTAAAGTGCTTATCTATTAATACATGCTAGCTCCTTTTGTGTTTAGCCACCTGGCTACAGATCAAATGCATCATTTCCAGGATCATTTGTGAAGGAGATGTGTCACCTGGCTGGATCCTCACTCTCCAGGGGAACCTTAGCCTGGATACCTATGTCACAACAACAGCTCCTTCCAGAAGCAAGCGATGCCATACATCGATACTCACCACCCACATTCTTGAATCTGAAGATTTCCAGGTGGTTAAGCTAGTAGTCATCAAGGAAGAGCACCCATTTTTCTAATCTTTTTATCCACCATGGTGCATTTTTTTTTCTGTCAGTGGCCTTTAGAACTTCTGCTCAATAACCCTAGGTAAACTGGAATTACTGTGAACAGTACTAGGTGCGCTGGAGCAGAGTGGGAGGGAAATTGAGACAGTAAGACCTTATTCCTGAATTCAAGGAGCTTATGAGGAAGTAGCATTTGTAGCATCCTTAGAAGCAGTCCCCACAGTGGGTAAGAGCAAAAGCACTGGAGCCTGACTTCCAGCTCTGTTGCTGGCTATGTAAGTGAGCTTGAGCAAGTTTCATACATTTTCTGTGCCTCCATTTCCTCATCTGTGAAATATGGATAAGAGTAGAACACACGCCACTGTGAATAAATCTAAAACTTTGAATAGTGCCTGGAACAGAGCAAGCACTTCAACAAATTCTAAGGATTATAATAATTACTTATCTTACTGTAATTATCTGTGTCTATGACTGTCCCTCTACCAGATATCAGAGGATATAACTAGTCAGCAGTTTATCTCTTGAATTCAAGTTGCAGGCATCTTGTATTAGGCAGCCCAAGACTCGTGTCTACCAACATAGTGATTCTAGTACACAAAAATGCCTTTCTTGATAGATCCAACAGAAATATTGCAAGAAAGGCTATGACTGGCCCAGCTTGGGTCACATGCACATCCTTGTGCCTGCAGGTATGGACCTTCCCATCTAATGGGATGAGTTCCCTAAAGGAAAGAGAAATTCTAGGGAAAACATGATAGGCAGGTATAATTACAGACATCCACAAAGGGAGGTCATGATAATGAAGTTGAGATAGCCAGCTGATCCCCCAAATCTATCTTTTTTTTTTTTAATTTTCTGAGCAAAACAGACAGGCTACACTTCCCAATCTCTCTTGCAGTCAGGATGGTGATTAACATGTAGGCCATGGAATGGAAGGTGGAAGGCTGAATTCCCTTCTGAGCCCATGCTTTTTAAGAAATGATGTGGGGCCTTCTTTTCACTGTCCTTCCCCTTACACCAGCTGGATGGAGAGGATAAGTAGACACTAGAGAATGACCAGGAAACATACGTCTGTCATGTTGTTCCATTACCCGTCTGGGGCTATTTGTTACTCCCACCTAGTTTATCCTAACTCATACAGGTAATAATACTAGAACTATAAATAGGGTTCAACTCATAAAAAGTTTTAAAAATCAGTTGGAAAAGAACCATGAGCAAATTAAACCTCTTTTCTTATAAATTACTCAGTCCCAGCTATCTCTTTATAGCAGTGCAAGAATGACCTAAAACACGTTATTATCCCCACTGCACAGATGACGAAACTGAGGAACAAAGAATTAATCAAGTGCTTGGTTAAGTTAAGTAGCTGATAGAGCTGAAACTTTACATTATTGTCTGTAAAGCTGAAACTTTACACCATTGTCACCCACAACCTATCAATAGCCTATGAGAAAGACAGGGAAGGACCCACAACAAACCCTAAAACTCAAGCTCAGGGAAACAGAGTGAGTGCTCAATAAATGTTAGTTGAATGATTAAAACATCATAATGCCGGCAAGATCCAACAAATCAAAGATGCAGGGAAACTTCACTCACTCTACCCTCCCAAAAGATGCTGGAGAGACACTGAGAGATGACTCTGAATCTCTGCTTTTGCCACATTGGACTTGATGAAAGAAGCTCCCTCAAGTCAGCTCAGATGCCCATGGCAGTCCTGGGGCCAGGGAATTTATCTCAGGAAAAAAAAAATTGGTGAGGATATGCTTGCTTCATTAGCTGCCCATCGATGTGGAAGACTGACCAAAGAAAGATGTATGTTCCAACCTCTCCAGAGAAAGAACCCAACAGGTTTTGACAGATATCCCTGAAGTCCCTGTCTGCGCCTTTTAAACAGTTGGCTTAACAACTGCCTTTAATTTCACCGAACATAAGTTATTGATCCTGATCTTCTGTTGCCTGGAAGCCCAATCTTGATTGCTAATTGAGCTATTGATTTGGGGCTCACATTAACCGTTCCTGAAGGGATGAATCCTGGGTAATGTGGGAAGGTGGGCTAGCGAGGTGGAGAAGGTGAGGGCTCTGCAGGAAAGTGATTTTAATTAGTAATAATAGCTTCATACTTAGCCAACTGGCTTGTAATACATGCAGTGACATACCCATAGATCAGGCAGAAAAACCAGTGGTCATCCTTCTATAGGAAAATTAAATTAGGTCAATTATCTAACTGTTGGGTGATTTCAGATAGTTACTTAATTCAAAACATACCTCTTGCTGCACATGTCAGATCCGTAGCTCAGCCCCCAAAGCTTACTCCAGTTTGTATAATTAGTCAGGTTGGCCTCTCTCCTACCCCTTTCCGATATAATATTTTAATGCTTTGAAATTTCCAATAAAAAGAGGTCGTTAATAGGAGAATGGCTATATAAAAGGGCTTACATCTCTGCCATTGAATTATTATGGAGTCACTTGTTGACACCAACTAACTTGACAGAGCAGATTCCACAATAGATGTATCACAAGTTAAAAAGCCATGTTCCAGAAAGGTATGTATAAAACCATTACAGTTCCTTAAAAAATAAACAACAACCATATTGATTATATGAGCCAAGAGAAAGACAAGGAAAGATCCACAACAAATCCTAATATTGGATAACATTGAGGTGGGCATGGAGGTGGGTGAGGGGAACACAAGTGTACTATTTAAGATCTAGTAGGCTGGGTGCAATGGCTCTCTGCTGTAATCCCAACACTTTGGAAGGCCAAGTTGGCAAGATTGCTTGAGCCCAGGAGTTTGAGACCAGCCTGGGCAACACAGGGAGACCCTGTATCTACAAAAAAAAATTAAAAAGAAAAATTAGCCAGGCATAGTGGCACACCCCTGTAGTACCAGCTACTCAGGAGGCTGAGGCAGGAGGATCACTGCAGCCTAGGCAGTGCCAAGAGGAAAGTTCATGGCCCCAAACACCCACATCAAAAAGTCTGAAAGAGCACAAACTGAAATTGTAAGGTAACATCTCAAGGAACTAGAGAAACAAGAACAAACCAAACCCAAACACAGCAGAACAAAGGAAATAACCAAGATCAGAGCAGAACTAAATGAAACAAACAGATAAAAATACAAAAGATAAATAAAACAAAAAGGTGGTTCTTTGAAATGATAAATAAAATTGATGGACCATAGCAAGATTAACCAAGAAAAGAAGAGAGAAAATTCAAATAACCTCATTAAGAAATAAAACAGGAGATACTACAACTGACACCACTGAAATACAAAAGATCATTCATGGCTGCTATGAACACCTCTATGCACATAAACTAGAAAACCTAGAAGAGATGGATAAATTCCTGGAAAAATACAACCCTCCTAGTTTAAATCAGGAAGAATTAGATACCCTGAACAGACCAATAATACGCAGCAAGACTGAAATTGTAATAAAAGAAATTACCAACAAAAAAAAGTCCAGGTCCAGACGGATTCACAGCAGAATTCTACCAGACATTCAGCGAAGAATTGGTACCAATCCTACTGACACTATTCCACAAGACAGAGAAAGAGGGAATCCTCCCTAAATCAATCTATGAAGCCAGTATCACCTTAATACCAAAACCAGGAAAGGACATAACCAAAAAAGAAAACTACAAACAAATATCCCTGATGAACATAGTTGCAAGAATCCTTAACAAAATACTAGCTAACCAAATCCAACACCGTATCAAAAAGATAATCCATCATGATTAAGCAGGTTTCATATGAGGGATGCAGGGATGGTTTAATATACACAAGTCAATAAATTATGTGATACACCACATAAACATAATTAAAAACAAAAATCACATGATCATCTTGATACAGAAAAAGCATTCAACAAAATCCAGCATCCCTTTATGATTAAAACTCTCAGCAAAATAGGCATACAAGGGACATACCTCAATGTAATAAAAGCCATCTATGACAAACCTACAGCCAACATAATACGGAATGGGCAAACGTTGAAAGCATTCCCTCTGAGAACTGGAACAAAACAAGGATGCCCACTCCAACCACTTCTCTTCAACATAGTACTGGAAGTCTTAGCCAGAGCAATCAGACAAGAGAAAGAAAGAAAGGGCATCCAAGTTGGTAAAGAAAAGGGTTGAATCAAGTGTACTCTCAGATGCGTTTCCATTAAACTGAATAACCTCGGCATGTCAGCTGGTTCTACAGAGCTCTGGGTGAATCAAGAGAATGTTTGAGATGATGGAAATGCTAAATATGAATTTCATCATTACATAATGTATATACATATCAAAACAACTGACTATACACCATAAATATGTACAATTATTATGTGTGAATTAAAAATAAATAAATATTTTTTAAAGAATCCAGTTTACTATCACCATATTTGCTGGAATCATAGGCATTGATTTTTCTTAGTAGAAAAATCTTCAGTAATTTTCCAGAAAGAAAAATCACCTGGACCAGAGTATCCATGTATGTCCCTGCCACAATCTGAGGCTTCTCCATGTAAATGTGGTGTGAAATCAGAAATGGGTTCAAATCCTACCTCCACCAGCATTTGCTAGCTTCAAACCTTCTTCTGAAAAAGAAATCAAGAAAGCAATCCCATTTATAATAACAACAAATAAAATAAAATACCTGGGAATAAGTATAACCAAAGAAGTAAAAGATTTCTACAATGAAAACTATAAAATATTGATGCAAGAAATCAAAAAGGACACAAAAAATTGAAAGATATCCCATGTCCATGGATTGGAAGAATCAATATTCTTAAAATGTCCATACTACACAAGTACTTTACAGATTCAATACAATCCTTATCAAAATACCAATAACATTCTTCATAGAAATAGAAAAAATAATCCTAAAGTTATATGGAACCACAAAAGACCCAGAATAGCCAAAGCCATTCTGAGCAAAACGAATAAAACTGGAGGAATCACATTACATAGCTTCAAATTATACTACAGAGTTATAGTAACCAAAACAGCATGGCACTGCCATAAAAAGAGACACACAGACCAATGGAACATAAGAGAGAATCCAGAAATAAGTTCATATATGTACAGTGAACTCATTTTCAACAAAGGTGCAAAGAACATACACTGGGGAAAAGACAATCACTTCAATAAATCTTGCTAGTAAAACTGGATATTCAAATACAGAAGAATAAAAGCAGGCTTATATTTCTCAACATATAAAAAAATCAAATCAAAACAGATTAAAGACTTAAATCTAAGACCTCTAACCATGAAACTACTACAAGAAAACATTGGGGAAACTCTCCAGGATACTGGCCTGGGCAAAGATTTCTTGAGTAATACCTCAAAAGCACAGTTAACCAAAGCAAAAATGGACAAATGTGATCACAGGAAGTTAAAAAGCTTCTGCACAGCAAAGGAAACAATCAACAAAGTGAATAGACATATTCCCATAGAATGGGAAAAATGTTTGCAAACTACCCATCTGACAAAGGATTAATAACCATAATATATAAGAAGCTCGAACAACTCTATAGAAAAAAATGAATAATCTGATTTTAAAACAGATAAAAGATCTGAATAGACATTCTTCAAAAGAAGACATACAAAGGACAAACAGCTGCATATAAAAGTACTCAACCTTACCGATCATCAGAGAAATACAGATCAAAACTACAATGAGATATCATCTCACTCCAGTTAGAATGGCTTATATCCAAAGACAGGCAATAACAAATGCTAGGGAGGATGTGGAGAAAAGGGAACCTTCAAAAACTGTTGGTGGGAAAGTAAATTAGTACAACCACTTTGGAGAACAGTATGAAAGTTCCTCAAAAAACTAAAAACAGAGCTACCATACGATTCCACCCCATTCCCTGGGGACATTTGACAATGCTTGGGAATATTTTTGGTTGTTACAACTGAGGTATGAGGCAAGACTTGACTCCAGAAGCAGGGCTTGGACACTGGACCAAATTGAGGACTAGCTAAAACAGGGATGAGGTGGAAGCAGCCTTCCAGAAGACATGCCCATCCCTGTCCCATGTCAGTTTACCATTGCCATGGCAACACTCAGGATTTACCACTCCTTTCTATGGCAATGACCCAATGACCCAAAAGCTCTCACCTTTTTCCTAGAAATTTCTACATAAACCACCCCTTAATTTGCATATAATTAGAAGTAGGTATAAATATGACTGCAAAACCGTCATCAGCTGCTACTCTCTGCCCTGCTCTGCAGGAGCAGTCATGCAGCTATAACACGGATGCTTCAATAAAGCTGTTTTCTTCTACCCTACCACCGGCTCACCCTTGAATTCTTTCCTGGCAAAGCGAAGAACCTTCGTGGGCTACGCCCCATGTGGGGGCTTGCCTGCCCTGCATTACAACAGGAAGAGGGGAATGCTACTGGAGTCTGGGGGGTAAAGGCCAGGGGAGCTGCTAACATCCTACAATGCACAGGACACCCCCCTCCCCACAATGCAGAATTATCAGGTCCAAAATATCAATAGTGCTGAGGTTGAGAAACCCTGCTTTAGACCAATTCACTCTTCTTTTGCTATGCTAAATAAAGCACCAAATAACCTGAGTCCACCAGTCACAGACCCACATCATCAGCATGGAAATTGCACAGAGGATGTACCATCTCACATACCCACAAGGGCCACACAGCTCAGGGAACAACCACCAGGCAGCCACCCTGAAGACCCATAATCTTCACTGAAATAAACTGGGCTGGGGAGTGGCCACGAACAGCCCAGACCCCTTTCTCAAATCTGAGCCCAGAGCTGCAGCTCAGCAGGAAGTCAAGTCTGTTTGACAAGTGTAAGCTCCTTGTCAATGCTGCTAAAGGTTTCAAAGCCTCTCTCTCCAAGATGGAGGTGTCCTCTGAAGGAGAAACTTCCCAGCAGTCCCAGCCAGCACGATTCAAACAGCAATAGCTTCCTGGAGCGGAGCCTGACCTTGTGCGGGCAGGAGCTCAGTAGAGGGGGGAGCAACGTTGATTTCTGAAGACTGTCAAGTGAGAGCTACTTTGGGCTGAGTTGTAGGAAACTGGAGATCTATAAACCTTTTTATGTGCGGAGAGAAAGGAGCCAGCATTGTTTCCAATGAGTTTCCCAGGCGAGAGGAGACAACCAGAGGCTGAGTGACAGTCGGACAAGGAGCAAGTTTCCCTTTTATTAACAGGCTCATAAAGCTACTTTAAAAAATAAATTAAAGCTAGAAAAATATACTTGGATTTACTGCCAGAAGGGAAGGAGGATGGGGGCTGTGCTGATCAGCCTGGCAGTGACATCGCAGGGACACGCTCTTGCAAGATCAGCTGAATGTCCGGAGGCTGCAAAGCATACCCTAGGGCAAGTAGCTCTTGAGCTTTGACCCCAGGTAATTAGCACTGGCAGTCTGCAGCCTCAGGTGAATCCTGAGACAAAAAGCCCATCCCCAAGTCCTGGCTTTACAGTCTGGAGCAGGGGGCCTCTGAGAGTTCCTTCTGCACCATTCAGCCAGACCCTGAGATGGAGACCTATAAATCACCATCGAGCTTGAGCCCTTATGCCTGTCCTGAGACTCCTCACTCATCTAGAGGCAAGCCCTGGAGCCTGGTGTCAAATGGATGCTCCATCCATTTTTCTTGCCTGTCCTCTGCTCCTCCTTTCCCCAACTCCAGTTTCCTTTCTGTTCCTTTTCCGCCTTCCTTCTGTTCTTTTTTCCCTTCTCAAAGTATTCCAATTGCCACTGTGTAAAGTGAGGCACACCTCATTTCTCATGTGAGCAGATATAACCATGTCATGTCACTCTACCATATATAATTCTCAGTGGCTTCCCCCTGAGGCCAACCAAGCCCCCTAGCATGGAACACAAAACATCATAGCTGATTCCAGACAGCTTTCCAGTCTCACCCCCAATACCAGTGCACGCAAACACACACACACACACACACACACACACATACACAAATACATCACTTTCTGCCCTTCCCAAGCACAGCATATCATTTTAAGCCTCTACTCACAATTATAATAAGCTGACATCTAATAAATGGTTTCCCCTATGCTGGAAGCTTTCTATTGATTCATTCATTGAATTTTCACAGAAATTGGATGAGGTTAATTCTGTCGTCCTCATTTTTCAGATGCAGAAACAGGGGTTTAATGAGGCTAAAATGACCATCAAGGATGATATAGTGCTACAGATGGGATTTGATCCCAGCCAGGTCCAGCAGCACAACCACAATGACCCTTGCTGCCTCCACAGCTATGTCACTGGACCTGCCCATCTCCCCCTTGGAAACTCTGACTCTTTCTCTAGGTGAAATAAAACCATTTGCTTTTTTTTTTTTTTCTTTATAAACTGACTCTGATATGTATGTGCCCTGAAACTGTCTTTTTTTAAATTTCCCTTAACGTATGTATTGAATGCCAAAAACGACGAGAGATACTGGCAATGCAGCAGTGAATAGAAACCAACCTTGAAAATGAGGCCTCTGGATTTTAGATTCTGTGAAGCCAGGCACCAGATCTGCGTTGTTTGCTGGGTCCCTGAGACCTAGCACAGGACTTGCTATGGAGGAGGCATTCAAAATCCATTGAATGCAGAAAGTGGAAGATTGAATAAATGAAGGCAAATTTAGAAGGAGGTGGCACCTCCTTGCTGAGATTCCATCTTGAAAATAACCCTGAGGCAATGTCCTTAGAGGGACGGTCCCATAGCCATAACCCATCAGCACTACTGATGCCATCATTCATTCATTCAATAAATGTTAATCAAACTCCTGTTAAAGGCTGTGCCCAAGGTTAGATGCTGGAGATGACAAAGAATAAAACACAGTCCTTGCCCTTGAAGGCGTTAGCTGGCAAGAGAGCAAAAGGCAATTACAGTGTGGTGTCCTGAGTCTGCTACTGTAGGAGTCAACCACAGGTGGAGATTTTGAGAGTACAGGGATGAGTTCCTAATCATATGTGAGAGATCATGGGAGGCTTCCTGGAGAAAGTGACATCTGAGCAGAGACTTGACGGATGAGAAGGAATTAGCCAGATCTAAGAGGGAGAGAGAGAGTGTGTGTGTGTGTGTGTGTGCACACCTGGGGATGGTATCAAGAAACGTGCTCCAGGTGGAGGTGTCAACATACACAGGATGCAGAGGCAAGAGAAAAGAGAAGCTGTTCATTATGGCTTGTGTATGTGTGGAACATAAAAAACTGGTAGGCAATGGCCAGGTGCAGTGGCTCATGCCTATAATATCAGTGCTTTGGGGGGCTGAGGTGGGAGAATCATTTGAGACTGGGAGTTCGAGATTAGCCTGGGCAACATAGCAAGACCCTGTCTCTACAAAAACCTTTTTTAAAAAATTAGCCAGGCTTGGTGGTGTGTGCCTGTAGTTCCAGCTACTCAGAAGGCTGAGGCAGGAGGATCCCTTGAGCCCAGGAATTCAAGGCTGCAATGAGCTGTGATCGTGCCACTGCACTCCCGTCTGAGCAACAGAGGAAAACCCGCACCTCTAAAATAAAAAAAATAAAAAAAATAAAAAAAAATGTTGGGCACTAACACTAAAGAAAGAGTTCCTCTCATTCTATGTGAAAGGCTTGAATTTTATTCATAAGGATTGTTGATCTCATTCACACGATGTTAAAATAAAGAAAGAAAAATGCATGGACCTCGGTTTGATACTCTGGAAGGAGAATGGAATTCCCATTCTGCCAAGTACGAAAAAAAAAAAAAAACTCCAAAAAATATGGCAGCAGCATAGTGGCCCTTTCCCTATGGTTCTGCCTCTGAAGTTTCCAGGGACCCTGGTTCCCTTCCTGGTACGCCCGCACGGAGGTAGGGATGTGGTGATCAGTAACTCATCTGCCGCAGGGATTCCTGTCCAACAGCCTCCCTTTCATGATATTTTGCTATTTGTCACCTTTGTCACACAAATTCCTATTTTTAAATCTTTTTCTTTATTGGATTTTATAATATTGATCACATTAAAGCAAAATTTTAAAAAGTGGCAAGTAGGGTGAGGAGAGAAGGTAGGAGATTAAGAGAAGGTACAGTGTCAGTCCTCATATATCGCAGCTGAGTGGCAGCCTCTTCTCATCTTTGCACTCCTAGGAGCAATAAACACCAGAAATGCTTGAGCGAGGAAAAAGCAAGTTGAAGAAAATGATGTGAAGTTTGACTAGGTTATTGCTAGAGAAGCTGACACTGTTATCACCGCTTTGTGACTTGGCCTTCACTCTGCTTATAATATTTTTCCTCCTCTCTCCTCCACTGCACTTTTCAAAATTCAACAGAGTTATCTTCAGTTCAGTTGACATTAATTAAGCACCAACTGCATGCCAAGTCCTGAGAAATCAGAGAAACATGCCCCATTCACTGTCACTGAGGATCTCAAAATCTTAAGCCATAATCAACTAGAATTGGATTACAGGAAATTTGCTTTAAAGAGTCATTACCCTTGATAATACCCTTTGCAACATGCTTTATACATGTGTTATCACTTCTAATCCTCACAGCAACCCCAGGAGGTAGGTTTCCACTGAGCCACGCTTTATGAATGAGGAAACACGCTCTTAGAGGCTTAAAGACTTGCCTGAGATCACCCAACCAGGAAAGGGTAAAGGTGGGATTCTTAGTCTAAAGGTTCAATCACTATAGTATACATTTTGTAAGTGGCAGGGCTAAGTCTTGAATCATTGTCTGCAAGAATCCAAACTCTCTGCAACTAATCATCAAGTAATAGTACTATTTGGAAACTCGGTTTAATGCTGGTATGTAGCTTGAACTCCAATACCGCATTTTTCCCACGCAACATAAAGATATACTCTGTGTGTGAGACTATCAAAGGAGTCTTCAGTCATTCCATCCGGGACTGGAAAAGGCTTCACAAAGGAGGGGACACTGAAAATCAGTCCCAGTAATAGTCTCTACCATTTAGTGGGCACTTACTGTGAGCTTGATGCTGTACCAGACTTTAATACATCATCTCATTTCACCCTTAAAACAACACTCTGTCAGCTCCATTCTGGCTGCCATAACACAACACCATCGACTGGGTGGCTTACAGATAACAGAAATGTATTTCTTACAGTTCTGGAAGCTGGAAGTCCAAGATTCGGGTGCCAACATGATCTGGTTCTGGTGAGGATCTTTTTCCATGCTGCAGACAGTGATTTTCTCATTGTCTCCCCACCCAGAAAAAAGAGGGTGAGAGAGTTATTTGGGGTGCCTTTTATTCGGTCACTAATACCATTCACGAGGGCTCTACACTTATGACCTAATCACTTCCCAAAGGCCCCACCTCCGATACGATCACCTTGGGCTTTAGAATTTCAAAATATGAATTTGCAGGGGACACAAACATTCAATGCATAATACCCTCCAAGGTAAATTCCTGTGATGAAGACTTGGTTTCCCACCCAACCACCATGTACCCCTTCCTCCTTGCTAAGACAGCTGGCATCTTCTTCATTATGCTCCATGAAGCCAGTGAACTTTGGGTGCCTTCCCAACCCATGAATCTTGACTTCTCTAAGCCAATGCCAGTGGGCTCACTGGCTTACCAAGCAATCTTCAAAGCACAAGCACATGACTCAGCTCTGGTCATTGAAATACGATGGAAATTCTGCTGCAGAACTTCTGGGAAAGCTTTGCTCACTCTGAAGAAAAAAAAAAACAAAACATGACGTGGATGTTTTCTTTGTTCTGTCTGGGTGTTGTCACCTGCATATACTATCTAGATAAGCAGCCTTCATCTTAGACGATGGAGGATCCAGCCTAAGAAGAAAAGCCAGTATTCTGTAGATGTCAGCACAGAAAAACAGAGAACAAAATCAACAAAATAAAAACCTGATGACTTGGTAACATGGTTGACCTGCTGACTTAGCCAACTCTGGGACCACTGGACCCCAGCCTTTTTGTATAAGCCACTTTTAATTATGTTTTCTGTTTTCTGTAGCCAAGACCATCGTAAATAAAAACAGGATTACTGACCCCACTTTATGGATGACCATGCTGAGACTCACAGAGACTAAGTGTCAGAACCAGGATTCTAACTCAGGATTTCTGGCTTCTAATATTGTGGTCCTTCTGTTGCACACCACAAATGAGATGAAAGCTAAGAGGCAGAAAGTGGGGTGGGAGGGGGTTGAACAGTCCAGGCTGGGGAAATAGTATCAGAAGACTTGCAAATCAAAAGGAGAGGAGAGTGTGCTTGTGTAGAAAGAAGGCTGATCGGGCTGGTGGGGAAGGTGGATTCATTCCCAGTGGGGCTGAAATACCAAGTCAGAGTGGATTCTATTTGTTGTCACTGATGGAAGGGATATAGAGGGGCTTTTTTTTTTTTTTTTTTTTCTGAGTTGGAGTCTCGCTCTGTCACCCAGGCTGGAGTGCAGTGTTGCGATCTCAGCTCACTGCAACCTCTGCCTCCTGGATTCAAGCAATTCTCATGCCTCAGCCTCCGCAGTATCTGGGATTACAGGTGCCTGCCACCACACCCGGCAAATTTTTGTATTTTTTGTAGAGATAGGGTTTCTCCATGTTGTCCAGGCTGATCTGGAACTCCTGACCTTAGGTAATCCACCTGCCTCAGCCTCCCAAAGTGCTGGGATTACAGCCATAAGCCACCGTGCCTGGCCTATAGAGAGGCTTTCATCTCATTGATGGTGTACAACGGAAGGAACACAAGATTAGAATTCAGAAATCCTGAGTTTGAACTCTGGTTCTGACACTACTGCTTAAGCAACGTGAATACTTTATATAGGCTGAAGGAGATGGGGTGGGGGGACCATAGGGAGCCACTGTCACAGCCCCAGTTTGAGGGATTGGCTCTAGGGCAGTGGGGGTGGGTATGGAAAGAAGGGAACAAGAGTAGAAATCACTATTGTTACACACCAATGAATTTGGTAAGTGGCTGACAGCAGTGAGTGGGAAAAAGTCAAAGTGACCTTCCATCAACACCCCTCCATCCTACTGGGGGAAACCTTTCCTCAACTATGCTGACACTTGTTCCCTCATCAGCAGGAAGGATGATTCGTGTATGCATGTCTGTTTCAGACAATGATTTCTCCAACTCTCTATGGTCCAGGAACCCCTATCAAAAGTTCTTCTTGGCGGGGTGGAATGGCTCATATCTGTAATCCTAGCAATTTGGGAGGCCAAGGTAAGCAGATTACCTGAGCCCAGAAGTTTAAGATTAGACTGGGCAATATGGTGAGAAACCCTGTCTTGACAAAAAATACAAAAAAAAAAAAAATAGCCAGGCATGGTGATATGCACCTGTAGTCTCAGCTACTCGGGAGGCTGAGATGAGGGGATCACTCCAGGCTCTCCAGCCTGGGTGACAGAAGGAGATGCCGTCTCAAAAAAAAAAAGTTCTTATGCTTGCAATGGCCTGCACATCTGCCTTGCTTATGTGTTTGATGGAGTCTTCTACCACTCCCCTGCTCTCTTACTGTGTCCAGCCCAACCCGCCTTCTTTCTGGTACTTAAACACAGCAAGAGGGTTCCCAGCTCATGGATCTTATCCTTGTTTTTCCTTCTGCCTTAAATTCAACTTCCAGGTTCCTTTAAAAGTGCTTATCTTCTCATCATGCAGGTCTCAGCTAGAATTTCACCTCCATAGAGAAGCTTCCCTTGAGGTCCTACCTGCCTCCCCCAGAGAACTGCAGAGAGAGAAAAAGGGAAAGAGAGAGACTGATTTTGTCTTCTGCATTTGACATTATGAGAAAATCCTGGGTGCTTTAAGAATAAACATTGTGGATGATAGAACTACCAAGTGCAAAATGCCATTTCCATGTAAATGACCCAGACAAGCAAAGCACTGACTCACCCCAAGAAGAATCTACCTGGGGGAAAAAAAAATGTTGTTTACAAGAACAATACCAGATGTTGGACTTGGAAGGCCACGTCTTGACATTTGAAGGCTACCAAGGGAGATACAGGGACTCAAGGGCAGGCAAAGAATAAGCAGCAGAAGAGAGTTCATTTAGAAGTGACTTTACATATTAAGTTAATTCCCAGTATAATTCAAGAGTCTGATGGGGGATGGAGGAATAATGGGAAAAAAAAAAGGAGTCCTTTAAAAGTCCTGAAGAGGGAGCAAGACCTGTAATTCCATCTACAAGTAATGGTAGTTGAAATTGGTTGTCCCTGATTTGAATAATCTTGATGGCATCGGTATTTTCAATTGTGATTAGTGGTCGTAATGTGCTAATAAATAAGACGAGAGACAAGGTACAACCTTGCCTTGTCCCACAAACGAGTTGGAATTGAGACTGCTGGAGGCGGGCAGGCTCTGGACCTGAGGAGCCCCCACCAGGACAGGTGCCTAAGAACTAAAGGATGATTTCCGTGAGATTTTGAGACAGGACACTTAGGAGAAAATTTCCTCTACTCTGAGATCAAGCCATTCTACCAAAAAATAAGGAAGCACTGGGCTTGGTTTTCCTTAGGGCAGCCCTTCCCTGGAAGAAAGTCACTCATGTCTCCCAAGCACCTCACTAGAAAGAAGCACTCAAAAAGCGCTTTTCCCATCTTGTTAACAATATCATCCGTCCTAGAGCAAGGCATGGGCACAGTGGCCCACTGGAAGGTTCTCCTCTAAACACTTTGAAGAAATTCTCAGTGATAGGAAGTTTTTGAGGTGCTTAAGTAGGTAGGTGAGAGGTTAACTTCAGAACCAAGATGGCCAACAAGCCAGGACTCCAGCACTGGCATTATATGTGTCCCCAGTAATATCCTAAGGGAAACATATTCGTTTCCTAGGGCTCCAGGACAAAGGAGAACAAAGTAGGAGATTTAAAACAACAGAAATTTATTATCTCAAAGTTCTAGAGGCCAGGAGTCTGAAATCATGGTGTGCACAGGGCCACGCTGTCTTTTAGATTCTTCAGATTCTTGTGGGTGCTGACAACCCTTGCTGCCTAACAGATCTCTGCCTCCACAGTCACAGGGCCATCTTCCATCTGTGTGTTTGTGTCTCCACACGGCACTCTCCTCTCCATGTGTCTGTCTCTGTGTCTCTTCCCCTCTTCAATGACATCCGTCATATTGGATTAAGGGCTCATTCTATACCAAGATGACCTCAGCTTAGCTTACATCTTAATTACTCTGCAAAGACCCTATTTCTAAATAAGGTCACACTGACAAGTACCAGGGGCTAAGATGTCAGCATGTCTTTTGGAAGAATGTAATTCAACCCACAACAGGAAGTAAATAGGTGTGATGAGGGGGAAAAGCCGATGGGAAAGACAGACAAAGAGAGAGAGAGAGAGACAGAGAGAGAGAGAGAGAGAAAGAAAGAAAGAAAGAAAGAAAGAAAGAAAGAAAGAAAGGAAAGAAAGAGGGAAGGAAAGAAGGAAGGAAAGAAAGAAAGAAAAAGAGAAAGAAGAAAGAAAGAAAGGAAAGAAAAGAAAGAAAGAAAGAGAAAGAAGAAGAGAGGAAAGAAAGGAGGGAGAGAGGGAGGGAAGGAGGGAGAGAGAGGCAGGGAGGAAGGAAGGAAGGAAGGAAAGAAGGAAGGAAGGAAAAAGGGAGGGAGAGAAAGAAAAAGAAGGAAATAAAGCTGGTGGGAAAGAAAGAAGAGGAAGGAAGGAAGAAGGAGGTGAGAGTAAGGAAGGAAGAAGAAAGGAAGGAGGGAGGAAGGAGAAGAAGGAAGGAGAAGAAATGAGGGAGGGACGGATGCGGGTGGGAGGGAGGAAGGAAGGAAGGGAGGGAGGGAGAAGGAAGTGGGAGTAAGGAAGGAAGGAAGAAGAAAGAAAGGAGGGAGGAAGGAGAAGAAGAAAGGAGGGAGGGAGGGATGAGGAAGGAAGGAAGGAACAAAGAAAGGAAAGAGATGCTGCAATATGGAAAGGAGTCTAATTTATATAAAATTTCGTGTGAACATTTACAAGTTTTTGATGACATATCTATTTCCATCAAGTAGATCGATTCAGTAACATTTCCTCAACTTTGGCAAGTCATGTGAGCCTCTGTCTACTTAGCGCTGCCCTAGGGTCCCTGATCAGAGTCATCAGGGGGATAGATACCAGCAGTGGATTCAGGCTACCCTAATTCACTCCACCTGAGGCTTAGAAAGGTTGTCACTTAACCCAGCTCTCATTGCTGGCAAATGGCAGATGAGATTTTAATCCAAAGACATGATCTTTTCATTGTGCTGCAATACTTCCCTGAATGTTAATCTTACTGAATGAATCTGTAAATGAATTAATGAACGAACGAGTGAAGAAACTATTCAGTCGCACATGTAGTGGCCTCCAGTGCTTCTGGAGATGTTTTGGGGTCTGGAATAATACAGGAAGGTTATCTCATTCACCCATGTGATCCAGAGCTTGGTGGAAATGCAACCAGCATTCTCTGTGAGGATCCAATCTCTTCCAACGCCGAGCCACTGGATTAAAAACAGCCCTTTTGTCCCGTCTTCTTCTTCTCCCTGAAACAGATGCTGAGGCTCAGCCTTGCCCTGCAACTCATCCTAATTTGCCCCTTGTCATTCATCCACTGTGGCTGGTCCACAGTAATGTTCTACTTTTAGGACCAGAAGAACCTGGGCTGCTGTCAAGGGAAGAGACTATCAATATCAAGTTAATGTGTGTAATAGGCTGGTCACCATGTTCCTCATTAAAAGACAGCTGATACGAATAGTAGCAGAAGTATTGGTATTCACATCAGCAAGATCATGACCATTTATTTGGTTGACTGTACTAGTTTGCTAGGGCCGCCATAGCAAAGTCCAACAAGCTAGCTGGCTTAAACTGTAGAAATTTATTTGCTTACAACTCTTGAAAGCTAGAAGCCTGAGACTGAGGTGTCAGCAGGGTTGGTTCATTTTTAGGGCCATCAGAGATCTGTCTCGTGCCTCTCTCCTGAGCTTGCAGTTGTCTGTCTTCTCCCTATGTCTTCCCTCTATTTCTGTGTGCAAATTTCCTCTTTTATGAGGACACCGCCATCTTGAATTAGCTCACCCTAATGACCTCATTTGAAATCACCTCTTTAAAGAAACTACCTCCAAATACAGTCATGTTCAAAAGTCCTGAGGATTAGGACTTGATGATATTAGTTTGGGGAGGGTTTCAATTTATCCCACAGCACTGTTTCTACTTGCCATATGGAGACCTAAGGCAAAATCTTTAAAAAAAGGTTTTGTTTTGCTTTCAGAAAGAGATTCACTCTGTTGCCCAGGCTGGAGTGGAGTGGTACGATCTCAGCGCACTGCAACCTCCACCTCCCAGGTTCAAGCAATTCTCCTGCCTCACCCCCCCAGGTAGCTGGGATTACAGGCACCTCCCACCACACCCGGCTAATTTTTGTATTTTTGGTAGAGATAGGGTTTCACCATGTCAGCCAGGCTGGTCTTGAACTCCTGACCTCAAGTGATCCACCCGCCTCAGCCTCACAAAGTGCTGGGATTACAGGCGTGAACCACCGCACCCAGTCTAAAATCGAAGTAGAAATTACAGATCCCTACTTTCAAAGTACCCATAGTCATGGACAAACTGTAAACTCCATGTTCCTACCTCCAAGTAGAAGATTGAAGTCAGGAGAAGTGAGAATGAAGTGGAAGGATCACGGCTTTGGAAGAATTATCTGGGCTTTGAAAAATGGGTAAAATTGAGGTGAATGGGGGCGGGAGGAAAAATTGTGTGCTAGACAAGGGCTAGAACATAAATAACAGAACAGAGGTATAAAGCCCATTTTTACCTCTGTTTTTGAGATTCCAGTAGTACACATTCTCCACTCCTAGATTTGCCAAAGGAAGTACTCATTTTGGGGTGCGCCACTCAGACTATGGTTTGGAATTCAGAGCCCTAAGAGACACTAGCTGTGTCCTATTTTGAAGCACCTCTCCGTCTTTCAAGAGCGAGTCTCCTCTTTCCATGTGTCTGCTCTGGTGTATTATCAGACCCAGCTAATGGAGAGGAGTTAGCGGGAAGTGTCAGGGAGTTTTATAAAATTATCATGTCAACTCTCTTCCTGTCAGCGTGCATAAGGGAAGAAGACAAGAAAATGATATTGTCGTTTAATAGTTCACTTTAGATCTTCATCTCTTATCACTCATCATTACTCCATATTAATTACTCTGTATTGGCAATCTCTGGCTGTCTGTTGTTCCATAAAAGATCTTACTGAGCTTGTGACTGGACAGCTTTCATTAGGAAGCAATTCGAACCACATTTAACTTGAGAAGATTAACAGATTAACTGGAACCATTACCCCACCTGCCTCTCTGCCTCCAGTGAAGGTGCAGCATGGTCTTGAATCCCGGGCATAGCCACTGCCTGATTGCATCACACTGAAAGTGTCACCTCACCTCTTTGATCCCAGTATCCCAATATGCAAAATGGGGTAGTACAATCCTTTTTGGAGGACTATTGTAAGGCTTTTGTTTTGTTTTGAGACAGGGTTTCCCTTTGTACTCAGGCTGAAGTACAGTGGCATAATCATGGCTCACTGCAGCCTCAGTCTTCTGGGCTCAAGCAATCCTCCCACTTTGGCATCCCAAGCAGCTGGGACAACAGGCACAAACCACCACACCCAGCTAAATTTTTTTTATTTTTAGTAAAGACAGGGTCTCTCTATGTTGCCCAGGCTGGTCTCGAACTCCTGAGCTCAAGCAATCCTCTCACCTCAGCCTCCCAAAGTGCTGGGATTACAGGTATGAGCCACCATGCCCAACCAAGATTTTAAATAAACGTAAAAATATCTGACACAGTCATTGGTACAGAGCTGGTACCAGTAAATGACACCTGTTAGTATTTTTAGTGAGTATAAATGGAATGAGAGAAGATTCAATGGACTTACTCCAAAATGAGGCTACCTCCACTTTCAAAATACTGCCCCCTGCTCTCACTTTTCCCATCAAGAAGGGTTCAGTTCAGCTCAGCAATCATTTATCAGGAGCCTGCTAAGTGCCAGATGCAATGTCCACTCTAGGGATAGAGAGATTAACCTGGGATATCCCTAAGTCTTTGAGCCCAGCAGCCACAGAAGTACATAGTTTCCTCTGCCTGGAACCAGAATGGGGTCACTCTCTCTGAGCTCGGTCTACATGTGCCTTTCTCTATGAAGCCTTGTGTGATGCTCCTGAGCAGCACCTGCCCTGCATCTTTACAGCTCTTATCACGGTGGTGCTCATATACTTATGATGTGACCATGGGATTGCTAGCCTCTCCTGCGGATTTACAAGCTCCCACAGGGCAGGACATTTGTTCTGTTCATTGTTGAATCCCCAGTGCCTGGTGTACTGAAAGGAGGGAGGTTTGAAAGAGCTCATGAAGAAGAGTCAAATACAAAAAAAAGAGCAAAAGGATGTAATTACACCTGAGCAGAAGCAACCCAGATACCATTAAGACATCAGCTTGTCCTCCTCTGAGCTATCAGCTTAGGAAAAGGCAGCTCTAGGCCAGGCGCAGTGGCTCACGCCTGTAATGCCGGCACTTTGGGAGGCTGAGGCGGGCGGATCACCTGAGGTCGGGAGTTCAAGACCAGCCTGACCAACATGGAGAAAGCACGCTCTACTAAAAATACAAAATTAGCCAGGCGTGGTGGCGCATGCCTATGATCCCAGCTACTCGGGAGGCTGAAGCAGCATAATCACTTGAACTCAGGAGGCAGAGGTTGTGGTGAGCTGAGATCACACCACTGCACTCCAGCCTAGGCAACAAGAGCAAAACTCTGTCTCAAAAAAAAAAAAAAAGAAAGAAATAAAAGGCAGCTATACCTTCTATTTCTCAATTTTTCTTTTTTGGGAGAAGGTACAAGCAGCCCCAGAGTCCCATGGAAGCAGTTTTCTCTCAATACTTGACCCACTACCTCCCCACCACCAGGAGAGAAACTCCAAGAGAGAGGGCCCTTTATTTCTCTTGTTCATTGCCATAGCTTCCATTGCTTCCATTTCCCAGCACAATGGGTACTTAGTAGTTCACAAAAAGTTGAGTGAATGAATGAATGACTAGCTCTTTACCACGGAGTCAATGGCAAACTCAACTACTTTCAGCCAAAAGAACATAAAAAAGACACTGTGCCCACCCAGGAGCAGCAGCTTATGCCTGTAATCCCAGCATTTTGGGAGGCTGAGGCTGATGGATCACTTGAAGCCAGGAGTCCAAGACCAGCCTAGTCAACGTAGCAAGACTTCATCTCTACCAAAAAAAAAAAAAATAGCTGAGCGTAGTAGCACACATCTGTGGTCCCAGCTGCTCTGGGAGGCTGAGATGGGAGAATCATTTGAGCCCAGGAGTTGGAGGCTGCAGTGAGCTGTGATCATGCCACTGGCACTCCAGCCTGAGGAACAGAGTGAGATCCTGTCAGAAAAAAAAAAAAAAAAAAAAAAAAAAAAGACGCCGTGCCCAAACTGGGGCTTGGCCTTTAGAGATTTGGGGAGCTTCTCCTTTGCCTGCCTTAGGGAAATCCTCACATCATGATACTCAGTCTTTTCCAGACAAACAAACTGAAGGGCAAGAAAGGACTTCAGCATTCACCTCCATCACCCCCTCCACACAGATGAGGCACCTGAGACTCGATTCAGAGCCAAATAAGGAAGGAGAAGAAGTACAAAATTAAGATTCTGAAGACCTGGGTAGAGGCCTTGGCTTAACCACTAAGTCACAGTATGATCTTGGGTAAGTCACTTCATTTCTCTGAGCCTCGGGTTCCTAAGCTAGAAAATGGAAAAAAAAATAATAACACATACCTTAAAGGATGGTGGTGAGAATGAAATACAATGAGGTTTGCAATAATATTTGAAACCTCAGCCAGGCACGGTGGCTCACACTTGTAATCCCAGCACTTTGGGAGGCCAAGGTGGGTGGATCACTTGAGGTCAGGAGTTCGAGACCAGCCTTGCCAACATGGAGAAACCCTGTCTCTACTGAAAATATAAAAATGAGCTGAGCGTTATGGCACATGCCTGTAGTCTCAGCTACTTGGGAGGCTGAGGCAGGAGAATGGCTTGAACCCAGGAGGTGGAGGTTGCAGTGAGCCAAGATTGTGCCATTGCACTCCAGCCTGGGCAACAGAGTGAGACTCTGGCTCAAAGAAAAAAAAATTGGAACCTCTAAAGTCTAGACATCTAGGGGAAATCTTTTTTCATCGCTATTGCATCAGTGCATGGGTCTTTGGAAGGGATTTTGGATGGGATTTCAACTGATTTTGGTTCAACAAACATATGGTAGACTCCTTCAAGTTTCCAAGCACTAGGCTTTGCCACAATGGCCACAAACAACAACAATAGTAAGAGCTACCATTTGCTGATCGCTCAAGGGTTCCAGGCACTATGCCTTGTGCTTTCAATGCATTGCTTCATTTATTCTCACAACCCTATTAACTGTGTACAATTATTAATCCTCTCTTTGTAGATGAGAAATTATACCCCAGACAGTTAAAGTGACTCTTCTAGGGCAACACAGATAAGTAGAAGGACCAGAATTTGATCCCTGAACTCACTGAATCCAGAATCCACGCTTTTATTCAGTACCCAGAATAAATAGACAAATAATCCAATGTAAAAAACGGTCAGTGATTTTAAAACACACTTTCCAAAAAAAAAGAAAAAGAAAAAGTGCTCAACATTAGTCATCACTAAAACGAAAATTAAATCTAAACAAAATACCACTTTACGTCCAACAGAATAAGTAATTTTTTTAAAAAAAGAAGAAAATTAATGAAACCAAATGTTTATGAAATTAAGGAGCAACTGGAACTCTTATAAGTTGATTTAGAAATACACTGCTTATATAACTCTTTCCAAAAATGCTAACAGTTTTTCTTAAAACCATATATATACTTATTCGATGACCCAACAATTTCACTTCTGGCCGGGCACAGTGGCTTACCAGGCCTGTTATCCCAGCAGCGAGCTGTAATCATATTACTGCACTCCAGCCTAAGCAACAGAGTGAGATCCTGTCAAAAAAAAAAAGAGGCCGAGGTAGGAGGATCACTTGAGTCCAGAAGTTCAAGAACAGCCTGGGAAACACAGTGAGACCACATCTCTAAAAAAAAATTTAAAAATTAGCCAGGCATGGTAGCACATACCTGTAGTTTCAGCTACTTGGTAGGCTGAGGAAAAGGAGAGCCTGAGCCCAGGAGGTTAAGGCTGCAATGAGCTGTAATCTGCACTGCACTCCAGCCTGGGTAACAGAGCAAGACACTGTTTCAAAAAAAAAAAAAATCATATATATATGTATACATTTCTAAATATTTACCCAAGATAAATGAAAATACAAGTTCACAAAAAGCCTTGTACAAACAATGCTCATAGCAGCTTTATTCATAATAGCTGATGACTAGAAACATCCCACGTGTCTACGTAAATAGAAGAATGAATAAGCAAACTGTGGTATATCCATACAACAGAATACTATTCAGCAATAAAAGGAAATAACCTCCTAATACATGCAACATAAATGAACCTCAAAAACATTATGTTGAGTGAGACAAGTGTTAGACAAAACAATATACATGCCATTTCATTCATTCATGTGAAATCCTAGAACAGTGCTCTATTCCACTATGGGAAGAAAAATCAGAGCAACACTTGCCTTTGGAGAGTAGCTTGGGAACCTACTGAGAAAGAGCTTGAGGAAACTCTCTGGGGTGATGATAATGTTCTATACCAAGATAAGGGCTTGTAGGCTGGGCACAGTGGCTCACGCCTATGATGCCAGCACTTTGGGAGGCCAAGGTGGGCGGATCAGTTGAGATCAGGAGTTCGAGACTGCCCTGGCCAACATGGTGAAACCGCGTTTCTACTAAAAAAAAATATGAAAAATAGCCAAGCCTGGTGGCATGCGCCTGTAGTCCCAGCTACTCAGGAAGCTGAGGCAGGAAAATCATTTGAACCTGGGAGGCAGAGATTGCTGTGAGGCAAGATTGCACCACTGCACTCCAGCCTGGAGAGAGAGCAAGACTCCATCTCAAAAAAAAAAAAAAAAAAAAAGAAAAGAAAAAGATAAGGGCTTGCATTTATCAAAATTTGGCTAATATAAGTTTAACATTTTACTGTTTGTAAATTTTACACCAAAAGAAAAACCTGTAAAAATTTTGGAAATAAATAGTATAATCAATATCTTTAATTACGGATTACTCAGAAAAGGGCCAATATTTTTACAGTACCTTCCATAGTGTGATGATAGACATCAAAGGACTATCCCAAAATGTCTGCACCGACGGACCTGCAAGAATGACTACAGTTCCAGAAATAAAGATCCATCAATTTGCAGTAGCAAGCTGTAAATACCTGTACAGGAATAAAACTGTCTGCAAACAGAGATTTCTTTCGTGACCAGCACATCTTACTGGCCCTGGGGGTTGCCCATCAACCCCCAGCCACCTTGTTTCTCTTCCTGAGCTCTTGGTATGGCTCACGAGAGTTTCCCTGGCAGAGGCAGTCGCCTTGCCCTCTGGGTGCCCAGCCCACACCCCAAGCACCTGCTAATTGCAAGAAACAACATATGGCAGGCAGCCTGGTTGCAGACCCCGCGGCTCCCCTGGCTTGCAGCCCAACCGTGGAGGCAGGCTGCATGCTGAGCTGCTGGGATCGAAGAGGTGTCATTAGAAAATGATTCATAGCCCTCTGCCTTAATGAGGACTCACACCCGAGGGCTTCCAATTACCCAATCGATGGCTAGAGTGCTGCTCCCAGCCAGCGGCCTCTTGCTTTCCTTTCTCTTCTTTAAAAATATTTGCAAGAGGTTTCAATGAAGTCTTTCTCTCCTCTCCTTGGCCAACCCAAGCCCAGGGAGGAAACTAACCCAGACAACCATCCCAGGAAGTTCCCTGGGACAGACTGATGAATCCTGCATGGCTCAGCCTAGAAAACAGAAAACTCCACATGAATTCCCCACCTAGACAGGGCCAGATCTGGGAGGTGACATGTGAGCTCAAAGACTGGGAAAACAGCAATGTGCAAGGGATCAAATGTCCTGATGTTGGAAATATCTTGGCACATTTGAGGACTTGTGAGAGGACAGTTGTGAGCCAGGAGAAAGTGGAGAGAAATGATGCTGGAGAGATGGACATTAGCTAAGAGTGAGCTGAGGGAAGAAAATACAAGAGCCTTAGACTCAGTCTGGACATAGATCCCTGTTCCCCAACTCCCTGTGTGCATAATATCTGCATGGTGAAAATTACTAGGTGTCCACCAAAATTCATCATTCTCTTCTGTAATAACGATATATTTATAGCTGTGATATAGCTGCCCAGTCTGAAACTCACTATTTTCTAGTCTTCCCTGAAAATAGACGGAAGATCTTGCCCAAAGGATGTAAGTGAAACTGTGTGCGTGTGTGTGTGTGTGTGTGTGTGTGTGCATGTGCATGTACAACTTCCAAGCCTGGCCCATAAAATCTTGCATGTGTGATCATCCTGTATTTATAATTTACTACTTACTGGGAATAACAGTATGACCCTAGTGGATGCCACAGCCATTGGTAAATGTAAAGAACTGAGACCAACAATGACTGAGTGGAGCCCAGTACCTACCTTCCTGGACTCTATCAGCAGAGAGAATCAAACTTCTTTGTTCTTTAAGCCTCTTAATTTGGCAGGTTTCTCCATTGTACCAGCTTAGCCTAATCTGGGTAACATTATTTGGGAAATATTTTATTATCTGTGTATTTCAATTCCTCATCTGCAAAGAATAATTTCTTCCTCTCAAGACTTTTATGAAAAGTAAGTGAGCAGACATCAAGATGCCCAGACATCAAAGGGTCTCGGTAGGACGTCTTCCTGTCCACGCCTCTGGCCACAGCAATTTCTACGCAGGACTCTGGTGTGTGACTACACCCTCTTCTCCAACTTCGCACCCCAATACCTGTTCCATAGTTGCTTCTTCTGGCTTATTGCAATGGAGGCAGGGCCTGTCATCTCGCACAGAATTCTGCATCTTGCTGTCACCTGTTTTTCGGCTGTCCACAGTGACAGCCAGACGATGGATCTCTTTGTTCTAGTACTGCTGTCTCTCAAAGGCTCAGAACTCTTTGTTGATTTCTTTTTACTGCTGCGTGCTGGAAGTCAAGTGGAAGTCACACAACTTTGGAGGACTGCCTCACAAGTCACTTTGGAAACTCACCTGTAGCTCAGCCTAATGCGGTAAAAAATAAAATGTGCGGAGAGGATAGAATTGTTGACAGTGGACACCAAAAGATTCCTATTAGAACATCTCTTCCAACCCTTTGGCAATACAGATGAGGAAACTAAGAAGCAAATATGAGAAAACTATCCCAAGGTCACACAGAAAATTAAGCAATATAAGTGCAGAAGCAATCAAAATCAGATGTCACCAACTTTTTCATTTTTAGGGCTTCAACAAATGCTGATTCACACAAAATACCTCTATAAGACAAGTAAGAGTTGGGCTGATGAGACCAGCTCCCCTAATTTAAAGAGAGAATAAGCCCTACTTCTTTTGTGAGGAGCGTTATTTCTGGGGTACCTGTGTATCTAAAATCCAGTTTCAACAATTTCTAGAAATTAGCCCTCCTGGATGTTTACATAATAAACATCTTTTAGTCCCTCCCTCCTCTGTGCCAGGCACTGTGCACAATACTTGAGATTCACTGGAGAAAAGAACTAGAAATCGTCTCAGCCTTGAAGGACTCATGGCTAAGAAGAAAGCAAAGAATCACACAATTATTAATAGAAAGTACTTCTAGGGGTAAGTATATAGAACAATGGGAATTTACAAAAAGAGGAACTGAGAAGGTTTTGGAGGCAGAGAAGCCTTTCCTAAAGAAGAGGGCTTTTGAGCTGGGAGGGCACTGCATGATCCATTTCTTAGCCTCACATTCACTCATTTATCCACTCAGTCACTCAACAAGTACTGATCAATTGCTTACTGAATACCAGGCCCCATGCAAGGCATAGGAGATACTGCATTGAACAAGACAAATCAACATCCTGCCATGATGGTTTTACACTCTTGCCATATCTGACTCTTAATTTCTAGCCTGCCTCCGACTGCTATGGCCAGGTTCTTCTATCATCTCATCTCTCAGGATTGGGCGACATCTGATTATATTCCTAACCATTATCAGCTTGTCTCGGCATCAGATATGCTTGCTGCATTAGACCAGCTCCCCAATGTAAATATCCTAAGAAAAGGCAACTTTGCACTACAGTGTGAATGACTGATACCTAGATTGTGTGAAGCATGGCTGGAGGAACTGGGAGTGCCTTTCCTGAAGAAGGGAAAACTCAACTATGCGGGGTCAATGAGTTCAAATATGTTAATGGCTGTTTGGGAGAACAGAGCTCAAATGTAGTCTATAAGGTAAAAGGAACATGGAGAGATTTCAACATCACACCACTTAGAGTTGTCTGCCAATGAAAAGGACTTCTTCCAAAGGTAGTGAGCTCCTCCTCACTGATGATATTTAGGCAGAAGCTAGATGGACACTTATTGAGACTGGATGGCAAGACAATTTCTATGTGTCCTTCAGACTCTTAGAATTTATTATTCTATCATTGCATTCTTAACTTAAGTTCAAAATTAGATTCTTTTAAAAAAAAAGAGAGAGAGAGAAAGAAAGATAGAAAAACAGAGTCTTCTCACTTCCAAGATCAGGTTTTAGAAAATTAAAATATTTTTAAAAATTAAAGAAAACAAAAAACAGGGTCTTTCTCTGTCACCCAGGCTGGAGCACAGTGGCATGATGGCGGCTCAAGTGATCCTCCTACCGCAGCCTCCCGAGTAGCTGGGACTACAGCTGCATGCCACCATACCCAGATAATTGTTGTATCTTTTACAGAGACAAGGTTTCTCCATGTTCCCCAGGCTGGTCTTGAACTTCTGGGCTCAAGCGATCCACCCACCTTGGGCCTCCCAAAGTGCTGGGATTACAGGCAAGAGCCACCATGCCCAGCCCTCAACTAGATTTATAATCTTCCTTCCAAAACCTGCTCCTCCCACAGCCTTTTCCATCTCACTTAAAACTTCAAGTTGCTCAAGACAAAATCCTTGGAATTCTCCTTGATGTCTCTCCGTCTTTCACACTTCATATTCAACATGCTAGGAAGTCTGATGGGCTCCACCTTAACTTACATGAGCATCTGACCACATCTTGCCATCTCCACGGTTATCACACTGATGGAAGCCATCAATAACCACTTACCCTATTTATTATAATACCATGTGTGAAGCCCCAAACGTGCATAGACCTAGCCCTCAAGCTTACTGCATGATAGAAGAAAAAGAGGCAAATTAAATGATCACACAGGTATAAATGTGTAATTATAAATAGTTTAGAGGAGGGGACTTTGGTGCTATGAGAAGGTAACTTCATTAACTCAGTAGTATCAATTGCATTTTAACTGCACCCAATAATCTTTCATATCATTATGGAACTATAAAGTTTTCATTGGCTTTTACTAGCTGATGCAATTCTCCCAGAAACCTGGTGACGTGGAAAAATGGATCTGGATGTCCATTTTACAGATGAGGAAACTTGGGCTTAGAGTGGTAAACTGAGTCACTGAAGGCCATATAACAGGAAAAAGAATGGAACTGACGGTCAAGCAAATAACCAGGGCTCTCTCACTGCCTCTAATGCAGGTGTATGAACACCTTTAATACCAGGGCTCTCTCACTGCCTCCAATGCAGGTGTATAAACACCTTTAATACCAGGGCTCTCTCACTGCCTCTAATGCAGGTGTATAAACACCTTTAATACCAGGGCTCTCTCACTGCCTCTAATGCAGGTGTATAAACACCTTTAATACCAGGGCTCTCTCACTGCCTCCAATGCAGGTGTATAAACACCTTTAATACCAGGGCTCTCTCACTGCCTCTAATGCAGGTGTATAAACACCTTTAATACCAGGGCTCTCTCACTGCCTCTAATGCAGGTCTATAAACACCTTTAATACCAGGGCTCTCTCACTGCCTCTAATGCAGGTGTATAAACACCTTTAATTCAAAGGTTTCCCAATCCCACTAGGGAATGGTTAACGACTTTGGGAGAAGAGAGCTAAGGATAACCATTAAATACACAGAAAGGCATAATCCATGTTCCAGAGGTTCAGATTGGCATGGCAAGCCTCAGCCATGCACCTGTGCACTCTCCTCTCCCTACGGGTATAAACATGGAAGAGCTGCTTGTTATTTTAGGAGGGTGAATAGGTCATAATAGCAAAGACATGGAATCAACCTAAATGCCCATCAATGGTAGACTGGATAAAGAAAATGTGGTAAATATACATCATAGAATACTATGCAGCCATAACAAAGAATGAGATCATGTCCTTTGCAGGAACATGGATGCAGCTGGAGGCCATTATCCTTAGCAGACTAATGCAGGAATAGAAAACCAAATACCACATGTTCTCACTTATAAGTGGGAGCTAAATGATGAAAACACATGGATACTAAAAGAGGACCAACAGATACAGGCCCTACCGGAGGGTGGAGGGTGTGAGGAGGTAGAGGATCATGAAAAATAACTAATAGGTACTGGGCTTAATACCTGGGTGATAAAATAATCTGTACAACAAACCTCCAAGACACGAATTTACCTATGTAACAAACAGCACCCCGAATTTAAAACTTGAAAAAAAAAAGAAAGAAAGAAAGAGAGAAAATAGTGGGCCGGGCACGGTGGCTCACACCTGTAATCCCAGCACTTTGCGATGCCAAGGTGGGCAGATCATGAGGTCAAGAGATCAAGACCATCCTGGCCAACATGGGGAAACCCCGTGTCTACTAAAAATACAAAAACTAGCTGGGTGTGGTGGTGTGCACCTATAATACCAGCTACTCAGGAGGCTGAGACAGGAGAATCACTTGAACCCAGGAGGCAGAGTTGCAGTGAGCCAAGATCGCACCGCTGCACTCCAGCCTGGTGACAGAGCGAGACTCCATCTCAAAAAAAAAGAAAAAAAGAAAGAAGAAAACAGTAAAAATAAACAAGTAAAAGAGTGAATACGAAAAAATAGAAAGGCAGCAACATTTACAATGGTCAAGGATTATATCCCTGCTAATACGTAAACCAAAAGTCACAGCTCAATGATTCTAAAATGCATTAAGGTAATCAGGCTGCTCTAGGGATAGGAGAAATGATTTGGGATAGTCTCCATGTCATTGTCAAGAATTTTGGAGGAGTTATTTCAGTTTGGATCAGAGATATAAATTCCTGATGCTCCAGGTGTCTGAACTACCTCCTAAAGTTAGACTCTTGCAGAAAAGACGTGAGCCTCTGCCTCCAAGGTGAAAAATAAAAACGTTCAAAGCCTGGACTCCAAGTACATGATATACCCATCATCATGGAGCTTGAAGGTGCCAATGCTCTAACCATTTTGTTCGCACTTTATGCAATGAATGATAAGTATCATCAGGTCAAATCTCTTCTTCTTGAACATCGTGGTATGATATGCGAAATAATTAAACTTACTTACTTGCTCTTTCCTTCTTTTTTTCCCCCTTTATTTTCCAGGCCCCATTCCAGAAAAGATTTAAGATGAATGCACCTAAGTCATAAAGTAGAAAATTACGAACTCTAATTAACATATTATTAATTCATAAGATGTGAGAGGGAAAAGATCTTACACGTCAAGTTCAGAGAGGTTAATCAAGTCATCAAAAGCTATAGAAAGTCATTGTTCAATAACTATTTTATTGAATGCCTACTCGGTACACAGTCTTGTATTTTTATAATAGATTTTTATTTCCTCCAATGCATATTTAATTGAGCATATATTGTACAGCTCAAAATCAAGATTAGATCTTGAGACAGAGGAAATAAACACATTTTGAATACTTACTATGTGCCAAAAACTGTACCTTATGTCCAATTTTATGTACATAATGTCATTGCGTCCTCACCAAAACCCTTGGGAGAGGTAATATTGGTTACTGGTTTTAGTTCCTAACCCTCCTGTGGCTGTGGTCCTAGGGTCCTGCAAATGAAGACGGAAATGATTTTGCAGTGAAATTTACCTGTTATTGACCAGCTCACCAATGCACGGGAGGTAGGTAACATTCTAAACCAAGCTTAATGCAGAGAGGGAGGTTTTCACAAAGATTTTGTCAACTCTAAAATTACAGTAACTTCCTACGCTAATTCAACTACCTTTCCCACCCTCCCTAGTAACTACCCACATCTCTATAGAACTGTATGGTGAGGAAATGGAAAGAACCTTAGCAGTGAAGAAAAGAGGTAATTAATCTCTCTTCATTCTTTCCTGAGAGGTGTTATCTTATTCCTTAAACATCCAAATAAACTATTAGGTTGGTGCAAAAGTAATTGTGGTTTTTGCCATTACTTTTAAGGTACTCCCAGCCTAATTCTGCAACAACAGAATTGTTCTAAATTCTACATTTTATATACCAAATTGGAAAAGCCAAATATCTCTCACGCTTGTTACCTGTAGCCTTACTATGAAATGACTGTGTGTGTATTCACAGCTACTAGGGAGGCTGAGGTAGGAGGATTGCTTGAACCCAGTAGGTTTAGACTAAAGTGATTGGTGACTGTACCACTGCACTACAGCCTGAGCAACAGAGGGAGACCCTGTCTCAAAAAACAAATCTAAAAATGAATCTAAAATAGCTATTAGGATTATGGTTTGAGTCAGGCAACTCTTTTCAAGCAATTAAGAATGTGCTGGTGTGCTGATGCCAGGCCTAGGTCTACAGGCCTATTAGCTAACAAAGGTACTCTAACTCAATTCATCGGACAGCAAAGAAACAAAGAAAAAGTCATTATGCAGACATCCAGGCACTCGAAGCCAAAGGGCCCTAAGATAATGTCAGCTCTCTAGCAGTGAATGGGGAATACAGCTAGGTTTGGACAGCTGGCATTCAAAACTCTTTGTCTTTATTGCTCATCCTCATTTAATATGAGAACATTGCATGATCCATAATATTTTCTTCATCCATGTGTTCTCCATGTTACAACGGATGCTCAGGGAGCTTAGGCAACTCTGAGGACTGACAAGAAGCAAAATTTGATTCCAAGTTGGGTCTCCATGTCTTTTTTTGCTGTAGTAGATTTCTCCCTTCACTTAGGTCTCCACCTGACTCTATGGAGACACTGAAATTCAAGGAGGCTAAATGATCCCGTTGTTCCACAGAGCTAGAACACAGGTCAAGCAGTGTGGTTGCAAGTGATTTTTCCAGGACGTAACACCAGCACATTCTTTTTTTTTTTTTTTTTAGATAGAGTCTCACTCTGTGATCCAGGCTGGAGTGCAGTGGCGCGATCTCGGCTCACTGCAACCTCTGCCTCCCTGGTTCAAGTGATTCTTCTGCCTCAGTCTCCTGAGTAGCTGGTACGACAGGCGTGTGCCACCACGCCAGGCTAATTTTTGTATTTTTAGTAGAGACAGGGTTTCACCATACTGGCCAGGCTGATCTCGAACTGTTGACCTTGTGATCTGCCCGCCTCAGCCTCCCAAAGTGCTGGGATTACAAGCATGAGCCACCGCGCCCAGCACCAGCACATTCTTAATTGTTTAAAAGGAGTTGCCTGACTCAAACTATGATCCTAACGGCTAATGTAGATTCATTTTTAGATTTGTTTTTGAGACAGGGTCTCCCTCTGTTGCTCAGGCTGGTGTGCAGTGGTACAATCACAGCTCACTTTAGCCTCAACTTCCTGGGCTCAAGCAATCCTTCCGCCTCAGACTCCCAAGTAGCTGTGAGTACACTCACGTGCCGCCACATCTGGCTAATTTTTGTTTTGTTTTGTTTGTAGAGACAGGGTTTCCCCATGTTGCCCAAGCTGGTCTCAAACTCCCGGGCTCAAGGGATCCATCCGCCTCGGCCCCCCAAAGTGCTGGGACTACAGGCATGGACCACTGTGAATGGCCATATTTTTGGATTCTTTGTCTTGGGCATTCTTCTCTATTGGCTCAACTTACTCCTTTAATTGGTGCCTCTCTGGTGGTCCTGGAAAATAAATGTCTGACTCCAGCTTGATTCTATTCAGTCCCATTGGCCAGGTCAGTCTGCCTCTTCTCTCCCATAAAGGGGAAATTGGAGCATGGGTCCACTCTTAGAAGTTAATTCACTTCTTCACCTTGGGGTAAATTCAGCATTTGGCAGTACACACTCAACAAATGAGCCTCTGAGCTCAGGGATAAAAATAAATAAGTAAAAGTCTTGCCCTTAAACCGGACAGTATGAATCGTAATTAAAAACCCCCATTATGCTGTTTCAATAGGAACAGTCCTGCCGTCATTAAGCTGAAACAGAATTCCTTCAGGGAGAAATTATTTCTCGTTTGATTTCTGTCAGAATGGCTTTGACTTTGAGGATACATCTACAGAATGGTGTCTCCAGGCTCCACCTCTGAGGCTCTGCTCAGACAAAGGAGACGTTTGCTTCGAACAGATGAAACCTGATTAAAGATTCATTTCAAATTAACTTTCCCTGATTATTTCTCTTTTGTAATCTTTATTATTACTTTAAGGGGAGGGAAAATAGAAAGACGAAAAGCAACCCTCCCTAGATCCACACGTAAATCTTCACAGTAGCCACTCAACAGTATCATTAATTCCGCCTGAATATTCCCACAATGCAAAGTAGCAGGCACTTATGCAATGGCTATTTATTGGGAAATCAAGCCCCCATCCGTTCTTTGATGTTGTGTTATTAAACTGAAAAGGGAACAGCACTGGCAAGATGGATGAAGGCGACAAAGAATACAGCATGGACTAGTCCCAGTGCTCTGAAGTCCTGTCTTCAAGGTCATGATAGAAACAAGGTAGGTGGAAAACAAATTAACCTCCAAGGGCCCAGGTGGTGCCCAGCCCTGGACTTTGTAGCAGGGCTCTTGGCTGAGCAGAAGCTGGGCTTCAGATCACTTCCAGTGGGTGGAGATGGGAAACAGTCCTATCCATTTGCAGCTCCATAGAGGCTGAGGAACAACCTTGGAAGAGAGCCCAAACCCTGGCCAATATAAGGATCTGGGCATATTTCAGGCATATCTGAGGGGTGAGGGTGTCTCAACAGAAGTTGTCTTAGTGGAAGGAACAAGGGGCTCCTTAGGGAGCAAAGTGAAAGAGAAAGCAGAGCCTGTCATTGCAAGTTAGACGCGGGGGCAAGACATGAGCATCTAAGGGAAGGAGGATTCTAAGACAGGAGGGAAGAGGCTGTGTACTTTCCATGCACTTCAAGAAGTGACTTAAAAAATGGGCATAACTAAAGACTGTAATATCTTGAGTCTCAGGCAGCTTAATAATATGACGCCCCAACCAAGCGTAACACAAAAGGTGTATTTGTCATGTTTCACGTGAGATATCACCTCAGTCTCAGATGCTGGTATTTCCTGCCTACTGACATTGGATGTATCTGCATTCTCTTGCCCCTGCACTGAAACACCGGTGATGGTAAGGGAACAGAACCCCAGCCTCACTGTGTCACCCCCATGGGATTGGCAGGCCCAAAGCAAGGGATTTGTAACCCATCAAGAAACAGAAAAGAGTGTGAGACTTTTATTATAAAACCTCAACGAATCAAACTGTGGGGCTCCCTCACTGGACATAGCACAGAAGCAGCATTATCTTCTCAGTTTTCAAGCATTACGACTTAAATCTTTAGTACCAGAATTCAAAAAAAGCATTTCCTGGCCAGGTGTGGTGGCTCATGTCTGTAGTCCCAGCACTTTGGGAGGCTGAGGTGGGAGAATCACTTGAGGGAGGGAGTTCAATACCAGCCTGGGCAACATAGAAAAACTCCATCTCTACAAACAAATAAATGTAATTTAATTTAATTAGCCGGACATGGTGGCAAGCACCTATGTTCCCTGCCCCTCTGGAGGCTGAGGTGGGAGGATTGCTTGAGCCCAGGAGATTGAGGCTGCAGTGAGCTATGATCACTCCACTGAATTCCAGCCTGGGCAAAAGAGCAAGACCCTGTCTCAAAAAAAAAAAAAAAAAAGGAAAAAGAAAAAAAGGCTTCTCCAGTTTCTGCAGTTTTGAAGAGGGACAGAGTTTCAACTCTCTGAAACCTAGGCAGTAGAAGTTATAACTGAGAACATAGGTCATGCTGCCACACTTTACCTAGGCTTGCATAGAGAAGAAACAAGTCTGATTTTTGGACATTCATGGGCACCATAAGGATTCTTGAAAACAGTGGGGTAAGGAGCTCTCCCTACTGTCAAGAACTCAGGTTATTACTGTAATATAGTTTTATTTGTACTCACAGATGAGTGAAGCCCAAAGCATACGCATCTCATCCCACTTAATACTTAGAAACATCCTGAGAAAAGGGAATTATTGATTTTTTATTGAAAATAGGGAACAAGTTCAACCACGTTACATAAACTGCCCAAGGTCATACAGCTGGTAGCAGAGCCCGGACTCACATTCCACATTCTATGCACTCTCTCTGCTTCCATATTTCCATGCTGTCTTTCAAAGTATAAAAGGGTTCATGCTATTGAGGCAATATTCAGAAGGGAAGGTCACAGGTAACAGATACAACTGGGGTGGGAGTTGGGGAAAAGGGTACCCAGACTGCTTGAGAGTTGGAGCAGCCTTAAATGAAGAGGTGAAAACTTTTCCTGGAGAATGATTGCTATTGCAGATGATGGGGACTAGAACTGATGTTGAGCTAAAGAGCTGTGATGACAACATTAAGGCCCAGACAGGTAGCCTAACTTTCCCAAAGTCACACAGCTAGTATGTGGCGGAGCCAGGATCTAAATCCAGACCACATAGATTTCCAAAGTTCATGTTCTTGAATATTATGGTGCACAGTCTTTCAGGTGGCTGCCTGTGGTTCTTTGACCTAAGACAGAAGGCAGGAAAGGAGATAGGAATATCGTAGAGAAAGGAGGGCCAGAGCTTAGAGGTGGAAATCTCTGTGGCTATATTTACATCGAACCCAGAACGAGTCTTACCCTGACATCTTCCTTGGCGCTTCTCAGTCCCTTCATCTGGTCATATCGCTTTCACCTTCATCGTGACCTCCACAGGGAGACTGTCACACAAGATACAACAAGGGAGAGTAGAGGTGTTGAAGCCAAGACCAGAAACCAGGTCATGAGGAGCCTCAAATACCAGCCTGACTTGGGACTGGTGGGTTGATGGAGCATGATTGAAGAGTTTAAATCAAAGAACCTAAAAAACCACCTTCCAAGGTGATCCTGAAATTTGTCAATATTTGCAACCAGCCAGTGTAGTCGGCTTCTTAAGGTGAGGAAGAGATGGCTGCTCAGAGGATGCTAAAGATTTTGTGGACAATTTCAATCCTAGCTGTGATTTCTTTGTAGTTATTCCATAGCCACTAGGTTGTTGAAACTGACTAATCCCTCATTTATCTGTCCTAGCATATTCTCTCTGCCCCCCTCTTATCTTTTAGGGAAGGCAGCTAAGTTATGCTCCATGGATCTTAAGCTTACTATCTCCCATTATTTACTCCAATCCCATTAAAGTGCCACCTTATAACTTCCATCCTGACCCCAGAAGTTGTATCTGCATGTTAACTTGGAAGAGGTTGCAGGATTCAGGGTCCATTTTAGCACTATCTGAATATCCGCTCCAGTCTATGGTAAGAACAGAGAAAGAGAAAAACCTAAGAGATCCCTGGATCCAACTCATTCAACTTATCAATTGGACAGAGGCCTGTATGGTTGAAAGGATTTTCCCAAAATCACCCAGAGAGGTTTGAGGCCTCAGAGAGCAACAGCTCAACACACACGACCCCTCCTTTCTCAAGGTAGGTTCTCTTCTCTTGCCCAGTAATTCTTCTCTTATCTTTCACAAAGGAAATAAAAGCAGCTTGATCTACTGGACAACTGTAGTTTACCCTTGACTCCTTCTCTCATTCATCCGCTTGCGGAGGAGGGAATATAAGAGAAATAACCTGATTTAGGTATTGAGATTCTGAAAAAAGGGAGGGGTTGGCTTGGATGCTTAGAAAGATGATGTCACCAACTATAAGAAAAAAAAAAAGTAAAAACTGTTTTGGAAGAAGGTGATGGTGTTGACAAATACACAGACATTCTCTGGAGATGAGGAGTACACAGTTGGCTATGTTATTCCTAAGTCTTTAGGAAGGCATCTAGGCTGAAGAAATGATCTAAACGTTATAAAGAGTGTAAATTATAAATGGAATGAATGTGGAGTACATGAGGCTGCTAGAGTGCTGAGTAACACTGATAATAACACATGTAGAAGCTGTAGGAGAAACATATTCAAGGAAGAGCCAGAAAGGAACTGGCCAGAGAGGCATGCAAATATCCAGGGGAGTCTGGTGTAATGCAAGCCAGGAGTCATGGTATTTCAAGAAAGAGCCAAAATCCACAGGAGCAGACATATCAGCAAGGCCCAGCATGGTAGACTGGACCTAACCAAGCAGGTGAACTGAGTATCACAGAGAGCTTCACTGGAGTATTGGGAGGAGAAGCCTAATCATAATAAACTGGGGGCAATGGAAGTGAGAAATGGGAGAAAATAACAGTAGACAACTCTTTCCGAAAATACGAGATGAGAAATGGGAAGGAGAATGGGTGAAAGATTCAGAGGGGGAGCCAATAGAAGGATATTTAGAGGCGAGAGAGACTTGAGCATATTGATACCTTGACAAGGCAGACACAAAAGGAAGGGGGAAATGGAAACTCTGGGAGAAAATCATGTGTCCTGTGGAAGAGAAGAGATATCTCATTTACTCAGCCTGAAGGAAATGAGATGATGATGGGCCAGCTGTAAATACATCTGCTGGAAGCTGGGAAAGGAAGAGTCTCATGACCTCCATTTTTTTCTAATGAATTTACGGGCAGAATAGGCTAAGTTTTGCTGCAGGAGAAAAAAAATGCCCCCAGTATCTCAGAGGCTTAACACACTGTGTGGTAACTTGGGTCCACAGGGTGTCCTCCTCATTGCAGTCACTCAAGGACCTGGACTGCTGGCGATGCACTCCACCATAGTTAATTGCCACTGCAGTGGGAAGGGAATTCAGTAAATTGCATATCTGTCTTTAAAGCTCCTGCCCATATTTCATTGGCCAAAGCAAGCCACGTGGCCAAGCCTAACCTCAAGATTAACATTTGACCAGAAGGTACAGAGCCAGAAATATTTCATAAATGGCATAGATGGTTATTGCAAGGAAGTGAGAGATATGGTGTCTACAGTCAGGGAAATTGAGTGGAAGTGTGGAAGAGTCTTTAAGGGAATTGAAAAATGGAGTTGATTTCAAACAAATGAAAGGACTGATGGGTGGCCTTGATAAGCTGAGTTTGGCATCCACAATTTATAGTGCTGCTAGTTTCACTAGTTGCAGGACTTTTAGCAAAACCCATCTCCTCTCTGAGGCTCTGTCTTCTGATCTGTAAAACAGAGGAGTTGGATCAGATGGCTTGTAAGTTTCACTACCAAATTCCAAGATTCACCATTTGGACAGTGAATCTGATGATACTGAAACACCATGCCGTTTAACACCCCTATGCCGACCACAGGTCTTACAAGGGAATAGAATGTCCGAGATGCCTGCTGTGATATACACACTCTACATCAGCATTGACGCCATGGGGCCCTGATGCATTTGATGAGTAAAGCAGAGCCCATTCTTTCCCATCTTAACAGATGCTACATGGATCCAGAGGTCAATGGATTTGATTTTCTTTTTCTTTTTCCTATTCACCACCACCACTCCCGTTCTCTGCCTCCAATTCACTGCTGGTGAACACTGTCACACCATTGGGGTGGGTGGAGGAGGAAGGGAGGGGGGAGGCAGAGGGAGGAAGGAGGGAAGGAAGAAGGGGGGAAAGGCATTAATAGAACAGAAGCAGGCAATGATGAATTAAGGGAGCAGCCATTAATTTTTCATTTTGACAGATTATCGTCCGTCAGAAGGCAGAAGAGATGGCTCTTGTGCCCAGAGAGGAGACACTTGCTCTTTGTAATACAGGCTTCTCTTTTTTTTCTGGAATTAGGTGGTGGGCACCCAAAGAATAAAAAATTTATAGTAATCTATAATTTACATGTTAGATAAATAATGAACTAAATCCTGTCGTTAAATTGGTCCTTCATTTTTCTTAACTCCCTGGGTGATAAACCTGATTCTGCAACAGCATTTAGTATAAATTAAATTTTTGTAAGGCTGGAGGAAGGTAAACTGTTTTAAACACTTCGGATATAGATTGTCCTGGACATTGCATTGCCTGGGGTCTTAAGATACAATAGTCCTACCAATGTGGCTTTACATGAAGACTAGCATTAATTAAGGGAGGATGTTCACGGGGTATTTTGCAAACCAGCACTGATTCTGTAAGGCTTTGGAGTTTCATGAGTGGAAAGGTGAAGTCCCAGCACACAGTTGGGGCTAGCTTGCACAGCAGGACAGCTGGAGAGGATGACTTTCTTGGGCACCATGAAGATGTCTTCCCTAGATGCTGACTAATGTAATGACATGATGGAAAAAGGCACTGCCTTTTAACCCCTCCATTTCCCCAACTGTAAAGTGAGGGCAATCATTGTTTAAAGGCATCAATTAGAGGATATATGTAAAACAAATATTGGCACAGTTGGCAGTCATCAGGGGATAGCTGACATCAATAAAGCACTGGCGTGCAATGGATTACATGTTAGTAGTTAACGATTATTCAGAGCCCAGTGTGTTCCTGACCCTGTTTCAAGAACTTCAAATGCTTTAACCCTTATATTCCTTGAACCTACCCTATGAAGTGGGTGTTACCATTTTCCCCATTTTGCTTTTGAGGAAACTGAATTATTATCGACATGCCTACCTTGGGCCAGGCTTATATTGATATATTCCAGGAGTAAGGGATATAGTGGTGGATAAAATAGAAAAAAAATTCCCTACATTCACAGAGCTGACATTCTTGTGAAGGGGATGAATGCAATAACAAAATAAATAAATACAATATGCAACCTGGAAGAAAGCGATAAGTATTTTGGGAGAAAAATAAAGCAGAGGTGGGGTGCGGTGGCTCCCGTTTATAATCCCAGAACTTTGGGAGCCAGAGGTGGGCGGATCGCTTGGGCCCAGGAGATTGAGACCAGCCAGGCCAACATGGCGAAACCCCATCTCTACTAAAAATACAAAATAATTAGCTGAACATGGTGGCACATGCCTGTAATCCCAGCTACTCTGGAGGCTGAGGCACCAGAGAACCCGCCTGAACCCAAGAGGCGGAGATTGCAGTGAACTAACACTGTGCTGCACTCCAGCCTGGGCGAGAGTCAGAGTCTGTCTCAAAATAAATAAATAAATAAAAATTTAAAAATAAAGCAGAGAAGGCCCATAGAGAATAGAAGAGGGGTGCTACAATTTTAAGGGGTTGTCATTTTTAATAGATAAGCATAGCGTGCCTGTTCCCAGAACTGGAATTCTGAATCATTCCGCTACCTTGTTTAAGGGAAAGACTATGGGTTCCCGAATCAGATAGGTCTATGCTTTGCATCTGATCTCTGCCTTGTATTCGCCTTGAAACCTGGGGCAATTTGCTTACTCTCTCCAAGCCTCAGATTTCCTGACTGCGAAATGAAAATATCGCTTCAGCAGGGTTGTCATAAAGATGGAGAACGATGGAGATGAAGGTGAGGCCACGTGGTCTTTTAATACATTCCTTTCCTTATCTGTACCTTGGAGGGAATAGTGACACCTACCACTTAGGTGTGCTGTGAAGAATAAATGAGATAAACTATATTACCACAAATAAAAAAGAATTTATAGGTGGCCCCAAGGGCCTACCTGAGTTTGGCATCCATTAATTTTTGTGGCCAAATATCAAGAGTTGTATGACCTTAAGCAAGATCATTTTCTCATCTGTCAAATAGCAGCAGTGGACCAGATGGCCATGATGTAAGTAAACATAACACTCTGGTATAAGCAAAGCATCAAACCTACCTGGCACAAGGTAATAAGTAATAGTAACAGCCAGTTACAAAGCCCTTTTGTATGCCCTCGGAGCTGCGCTAACACTTTGCGTGCACTGCCTTCCCTAGAGCTCAACATAACCTTAAGAGAGAGATAATGCTACTATCCCCACTTTACAGACATGCAAACGGGGTCAACGAGCTTAAGAAATTTTCCCCAAGCTCACCCAGTAACCAAGTGGCAAAATTGGATCTGGGGACTTAGTCTTCTATCCCAGGATGATTTTCTTGTCTGAGCGGACTAGCATCATGAAGACAGATCTCAGGACATAATAGGCACTTTTAGGCAACATCTTTTATTTTCAATGTGCCTCATCTCTTTCTTCCACAGCTCCTCACTCTGAGACACACTCGCTTGCAAGAGTCAGGAGCACAACAGAGGTCGGGAGACTGGAACAATCTCCCAGGTAACCCAAGAATAAAAGCTCGTCAGTCTCCACAGGGCATCCTGGGATTCTGTTCAGCTCACCTGCCAGAAGAAAGAGGTGCCTACACCAAGGTGGGGGTGGGTGGCAAACTTCCCTTCCCTTTTTATTCTCATCCAGTTCTGTGGCTTCCTATGGCTTCCAAGTACTATAACTCCCAAATGTGTACACCCAGCCACACTCTCCCTTGAGTTACAGACTCACCCAGCCAATTGCTACTTGATACTGCAACTTGCACGTATTTTAGGTATCTCAAGTTCAACATGTCCAAAATTAAACTCCTAGTTTCCTCAATTTAAAAAAAAAAAAATCTGTTCATAAATAAACCTTCTCTAAATTCCAAAGAGGAAATTTGGAGTTGGATTATTTTGTAAGTCGTGTCTTTCTGGCAATCTGCCATTACCCCTCCTGACTACCCAGGAGGAAAACATCACTACCCAAAAGTCGGGAGAATCACTAAGGGTTTCTAGGAGACTCCCAGGAAATCTGGGAGATGGGAGTGCTTTCCTCCCCACCTATCCATGGTGACATTTTTGCTTCCAGGACAGGGAAGGATAAAAGAACTCACTATGTGATCCACCTTCAAGTCTCATTCTTCAAAGGTAATCAGCCCTGAGCACTCTCTGGAGTAAAAAGGACCAATTTTTGTTGCAACGATGAGAGGTTTTACCTAAAGGGCCAATTAAACCATGAGCAATCATTTGCAGATAGATTTTGGAGGAGGGATTTCTGTTGTGTTTGTTTCTTTGCAAAGACCTCAATAATCACTAGAATTTAGTTCCATGAAAAGTAAAATAAGTATCAAAGAGCTTTTCTGGAAATTACCATTCTGAGGGTAAGATTCGAAGATTTCTCTCTATGGCTTCAGGACCACTAGAAATTCTGCCCCACTCCAGAAGCCTTCTCCCCTCCGAGAGACTATGTAAATCTCTGAAAAAGACTCTAATTGGTCTTCTGGGGTTAACATTCACCCCTTGGACCCATCATTGTTGCTAAAGGACGGGGCTGTCTGATTGGCCAGTTATTTGCACACGATCGTAGTGACTGTTAGTGGAGGAAGAAAGATAGGAAAGATCTCTGGATGGAATTTTTTTATTATTATTATACTTTAAGTTTTAGGGTACATGTGCACAATGTTAGGTATATCTCCTAATGCTATCCCTCCCCCCTCCCCCCACCCCACAACAGTCCCCAGAGTGTGATGTTCCCCTTCCTGTGTCCATGTGTTCTCATTGTTCAATTCCCACAGCTACTGGTTTCCACCCCTCTATTACTGGATTCCTTTGATGAACACCATAATGATGATGATGATGACAATTTAATGTTCATATCTCAAACATATGTCAACACTTTTCATGCATGATCTCATTTAGATATGACAACAATCTTATGATGTAGGGACCATTGACAGATGACAAAACCAAGGCTTAGAGAAAGTAAAATACTTACCCAAAGTCATTCTGCTAGGAAGGAAAATTATTTGAAAACTACTGCCTTAATAGATGCACTGGTTATCAATTGCTATATGGCAAATTACCCCAAAATTTAGCAGCTTCAGACAACAAACATTTGTTATCTCATAATTTCTGTGGGTCAGGAATCCAGGCATGGCTGAGCTGGGTGCCTCTGCCTCTAGGTCCCTCAGAGTCTATATAATCAAGCAGTCCAAGAGGACTGCAGTATGATCTGAAGGCTTGACTGCACGAAAATCCGTTTCTAGGCTCACTCATGGGGTAGTTGGCAGAACTCAGCTCCATATAAGCTATTGGACCACGGGCCTCAGTTTCTCACTGGCCATTCATCACAGGCCTTCCTTACTTCCTTGTCATGGGGGCTTCTCCATTTAGCAGCTTACAACTTGGCACTGGGCTTAATCACAGCAGCAGGCTAGAGAGTATGCAAGATGGAATTTACCGTCTTTTTGGAACCTTCTCTCCAAGGTGATATCCTATCACTTTTGCCTGATCCTATTGGCTAGAAGTAACTCACTAGGTTGAGTCACATTTAAGGGAAGATGACTGCACAAGGAAGTGGGAACTTTTAGCGCTATCATAGAGGCTGCCTACTGCAGCACTTTTCTTTTTGGATAAACAGACTGCATTCATATACAAACCATTTAGTATTGCGGAGGGGCCTTCTCCTTCAACTCTCCAAATTCATTCACTGGATTTGTTTTGCCCAAATCCTCACGGGATCACCTGATATGTTCATTTCTGAGAGTAACCACACTCCTCCTTGGCTGCATTTTTTTTTCCTCTTCACGTCTGCACCACTCCTGAAACATTTGAACCTGAGAAGCATCGTATACTGTGATGAGCTTGGGAGCAGCTAATCTCATCCCCTCATTTTGCAGATAAGAGCACTGAGGCACAGCTAAGGAAAGGAACCCTCCTGAAACCCCACAGGAAGCCAGAGGCAGGGCTGGGACTCTGAATCTCATCTGCTCCCAGTATGCAGCACATCCTAACACACCGGGATCCTTGCTGGGAAATCAATCCAAACCAGGCACTTGAGCTCTAGGGAGACTGCCAACATTTCATCAACATACAAATGAGGGAAACATTTAGGCAGTGCTTCTCCCCTCATCCCCATCCCTTTCTTCACAGGGAGCTGACTTCATTCCCTCCTGGGAGCAGATGGACTCACTTGTTAACTGAGCAGTGAACAAGCCTTTTTGTATGAAAATCTAAGGAGCTCTTGCAGTGTGTCTGATGTGGTTTCAAGGTACACAATGCCCTCTAGTCTTGAGTCAGGGTAATTCCAAGAGGAAAGATTCTGAAAACAATGGGAAATTATAAAATACACAAAATCCAACACTGGATGTAATTATTCACAATAAAGCTGCCCAACTTGGCACTCCAAGGGTTCCAGGGACTCCCAAAATTCCATGTAAATCAGTCTATAATGTAAAACATTTTATGGAAAGGGTCTGTGGCTTTCATTGAATTTTTTATTTTTTTTTGAGACAGTCTCTCTCCGTAGCCCAGGCTGGAGTGCAGTGGCACAATCTTGGCTCACTGCAACCTCTGCCTCCCAGGTTCAAGCCATTCTTATGCCTCAGCCCCCGAGTTGCTGAGATTACAGGCGTGTGACACCATACCCAGCTAATTTTTGTATTTTTAGTAGAGACGGGTTTTCATCATGTTAGCCAGGCTGCTCTCAAACTCTGGGCCTCAAGTGATCCTCCTGCCTCGTCCTCCCAAACTTCTGAGACTACAAACATGGACCACCAGGACCCACCAGCTTTCACTGAATTTTAAAAGAGCAACCATAGCTATGTCACTAAACAAAAAGGTTGAGACCCCTAATTTGGACTCTCAAACTGTTTGGAACATCTTCACTGGTGTAAAAGAAATGTCCAAAATGAGCATCGGAGCATGTGCTTTTTAGATACAGAAGTACTTTGGGAGTTTAATATCATACATCTTCTCTGTTTGGCCCAACTTTCAAAGTTTTTCATTCCTTCCTATAGACTGTCATTTGGAAGCCGATATGTGTATTTCAGGATTCAATTTAATTCAATAGGTGTTTGCTAAATGCCTGTTCCATTCTAAGTGCTGCGGGTTCAAAAATGAACCACAGTGGGCACTAGTTAATTTTTGCCATTCAATGTTCATCTCCCATTCTTTGGCAACACCATCCCAGTTTCCTCCTAAAACCACTCACTTTTCTATTCCTATTCCTGAGCCAAGGCCTCTGATCAGGCCGAGTCCCCTCAGCACCAGAGATGGAGACGTGACCAGCCATTCAGTGCATCCCATCTTCCCACCCACAGAGATGGCTTCAGGGAAGGGTCAGTCAGAGCTATTAATAAGTCTTGGAGCTGAGCTAGATGAACCCAGAAAGAGGGTCCTGCATTTACCTGCCACTGGAGTTAAATCTGAAAAGACAGAGAATAAATCTGCAGCAAAGACTGAGAAATGGAGCCAAAAGATGCACAGACAGAATTGAGCCCTAGATGAAGCATACCTCAAAGTAGCCCAGACATTAGACATTTTTTTCCCCTAACAAAAGTGAGTCTCACTGTCGCCCAGGCTGGAGTGCAGCGGTGTGATCCCGGCTCACTGCAACCTCCACCTCCTGGGTTCAAGCAATTCTCCTGCCTCAGCCTCCTGAGTAGCTGGGATTACAGGCGCGCACCACCATGCCCAGCTAATTTTTGTATTTTTAGTAAAGATGATGTTTCACCATGTTGGCCAGTCTGGTCTCGAACTCCTGACCTCAAGTGATCTACCTGCCTCGACCTCCCAAAATGCTGGGATTACAGGCGTGAGCCAGCACACCCCACCAGCTTTATATCACTTTCAACAGAAAGAATTTTAGTGGTTACTCTGCCCTTGAGGAACACAGAGTCCAATAAGGTAATCTGTTTATAATTCATAATAGTACACAACAAATGCCATAAGTAAATGCACACACTCATATAAATATGTATATTAAAATATGTGGCCGGGCACAGTAGCTCACGCCTGTAATCCCAGCACTTTGGGAGGCTGAGGCAGGCGGATCACTTGAGGTCAGGAGTTTGAGACCAGCCTGGCCAACATGGCAAAACCCCATCTCCACTAAAAATACAAAAATCAGCTGGGTGTGGTGGCACGCGCCTGTAATTCCAGCTACTCCGGAGGTTGAAGCAGGAGAATCGCTTGAACCCGGCAGGTGGAGGTTGCAGTGAGCCGAGATCTCGCCATTGCACTACAGCCTGGGCAACAACAGCAAAACTCCATCTTAAAAAAAAAAAAGTATGTATTTATACATATATAAACATATAATTTATATATTTATAGTTATAAATTATATAATACATACAATTTATCTATAAATATATATTTGACATAAACATATATATACAAAGTTCAGAAGAAAATGAAGGGAATATAAAACACCACCTGTAGGGAATTTTATTGTGCCTTGATGGAATAAAAGTATTTGCACAGGAAACAATTAATCCAGAGGAAGGACATTTATAAGGAAAGAATAGTGGAGCCAGGACAGTGCTGGGTGTGTCTCCGCCTCTGAACAGGCTCTCACAGACGAGTCAAGAAGTCTCTTAGAAATTACGACTTTCCATATGTAACTGTCTCAGACCTCAGCTACATGGACCACAAAATAAGATCACATTTTCTTTTTTCATTATTTTTTCTTAAGATATCAATCATGTGCCATACAATTTGCCCTTTCAAAATGTACAATTCAATGGTTTTTTATGATGTTGTTGCTGTTGTTGCTGCTTTTTAAGACAGGGTCTCACTGTGTCATCCAGGCTGGAGTGCAGTGGTGCGATCTTGGTTCACTGCAACTTCTGCCTCCCGGGTTCAAGCGATCCTCCTGCCTCAGCCTCCCAAGTAGCTGGGACTGCAGGCGTGTATCACCACGCCAGGCTAATTTTTGCATTTTTTGTAGAGACAGGGTATTGTTATGTTTCCCAGGCTGGTCTCAAACTCCTAAGCTCAAGCAATCTGCCCACCTCGACCTCCCAAAGTGCTGGGATTACAGGCATGAGCCACTGAGCCCAGCAATTCAATCGTTTTCAGTATAGTCACAAAGTGAGGCAGGCATCATCACTATCCAATTCCAGAACATTTTCATTATCCTAATAAGAAGCCTGGTACCCATCATCATCACTCTCCCATTGCCCCTTTTTTCAACACTAACCTGCTTTCCTTTTTTTTGAAACGGAGTCTTACTCTGTCACCCAGGCTGGAGTGTAGTGTCACTATCACCATTCACCACAGCCTCAACCTCCTGGGCTCAGGTGATTCTCTCAAGAGTAGCCGGGACTACAGGTGCGTGCCACCATGCCCAGCTAATTTTTGCATTTTTTTTTGGTAGATACAGGGTCTCTCTATGTTGCCAGGGCTGGTCTAGAAATCCTGGGTTCAAGCAATTTTCCTGCCTTGGCCTCCCAAAGTGCTGGGATTACAGGCGTGAGCCATGGTGCCAAGCCCTAATCTGCCTTCTATTTCTATGGATTTAATTCTTCTGGACATTTCTTATAAATGCAATCATATAACATATGTCTTTTTGTGTCTGGCTTCCTTCACTTAGCACATCGTATTCAAAGTTCCTCCATGCTGTGGTGTGTATCAAAACTTCATTCCTTTTTAATGGCTGAATAATATTCCTTCATGTGTACAGACCACATTGTATTTATCTATTCATCAGTTAATGGACATGGAGATTGTTTCTACCTTTTGGCTATTATGAATAATGCTGCTACGAACACTGGTGTGCAGATTTTTCTGTGGACATACTTTCAATTCTCTTAGATATATACCTAGGGGTAGAATTGCAGGGTGATATGGTAACTCTATATTTAACTTTTTGAGCAAAAGTCAGACTGTGTTCCAAAGCAGATGCACTGTTTTACATTTGTACCAGCAGTGTGGGAGGGTTCCAATTTGTCCACATCCTCCCCAACCCTTATTATTGTCTGTCTTTTTTATTACGGCCATCCTAATGGGGGTGAAGTGGTATCTCATTGTTGCAGTGATTTGTATTTCCCTAATAACTAACATATTTCCTTCTAATGACCAAATCATGATACTTGTGTCCCTTCTAGCCTGATTACTAGACATTAGCCTTTTAAAAAGTGATCTCCAATGATTAATTTCTCCTAGTGCCTCCTGTCAGCCTGTTTGTTGCAATTACCAAGTCAAATAATCCCATTCCCGCTCTGCTTCTGCAGATCATGCTGGTGTACACCTGCTGCTCATAAACCCACAGAGGCAGACTTTACTGTGGCTACTACTCAATGGCCATGCAAAGAACTCCTTCTCCAGCAGCCCCCCTGGCTTGCAATCCTGCTGAGTTCAGGAGAAAAGGTACAGAATGATGTTGGATTCCATTAGGAGACAGAAAATTATGTTTTTTCCACCTCTGGGGCCAAAATCAGCCTGCACAGAGTCTGAAAATTCTTTAAAGAAATTTTCTCTAAGCTTCTGACCATCTCTCCTCTAATCAAAGGCATTCAAACCCAGCTTATAGAGCTAGGTAAGAAACGGAATGCACAGAACCAACCCATCCACCAATAGTCTCCTAAGCCCCTTCCACAAACTCCTTCCTCTTCCAGTTCAATGATTCTCAGAATTATCGACATTCGGGGCCAGATTAATTCTTTTTTGGGGAGGATGTCCTGTGTATGGCGGGATATTCAGCAGCACCCCGGTCTCTATTTAACCACCCTCACTCATGACAACCAAAAATGTCTCCAAATACTGTCAAATGTTCCCCCAAAAAGGGAGGTTGCAAAATTGTGCCTGATTGAGAACCACTGTATTAATTTGGGGTAGGCAGAACTCCAAGAGGGACCTCGAGATCCCAGCCCCCTGAGGCAGATATTCTGTGGGTGGTGGGACCTAGGAATATAATGGGCTATCACTTCCATGATTAGGTTGCACCTTCAAGCTAGAACCATCTGGTAGCTGAGCTACTCCATCTCAACTCCAACTCCACAACTGTGAGAGATTATAATAAAATTATTGTTGCTATTTTAAGCCACTCTATTGGAGTATTCTATTATACAGCAACTCCTTGAATAACATCATTTCATTCAATGTCATTTCATTATAACGTTGGTGAGAAAAAGAATCCTTTCTCAGCCAGGGGCATCGTCTGTATGGAGTCTGCACCTTCTCCCCATGTCTGTTATAGATTTTCTCTGGGAACGCCAGGTTACTCCAACATCCCAAAGATGTACACATTAGGCTCATTGGTGTGTCTGTGGGGTCCCAGTCTGAGTGGCTATAGGGGAGTATGTGAGTGCACCTGGCAATGATGGGATTGGTCCTGTCCAGGACTGCTTTCTGCCTTGAACTGTGAGCTTCCAGGAGGGGCTCCAGCCACTAGAGACCCTGAACAGGAATGAGAAGTTTAGAAAAATGAATGAATATAAATTATTGTAAAAAATTCATAAAGTATATGATAATCATACAAATGCATGACAATAAACGATGCAGTAAAATAGCACTCTGCAAGCCCGCCATTATTTGTAATTTTTTTTAAAATTGAGACAGAGTATCGCTCTTGTTTCCCAGGCTAGAGTGCAATGGCACGATCTCAGCTCACCTCAACCTCTGCTTCCCAGGTTCAAGCGATTCTCCTGCCTCAGCTTCCCGAGTAGCTGGGATTACAGGCATCTGCCACCATGCCTGGCTAATTTTCTATTTTTAGTAGAGGCAAGGTTTCTCCATGATGATCAGGCTGGTCTCGAACTCCCGACCTCAGGTGATCTGCCTGCCTCCGCCTCCCAAAGTGTTGGGATTACAGGCGTCAGCCACTGCACCTGGCTTGTGATTGTTTTTTAACTGTGTGGTGGCAAGAGGTGCTCCTTTCAATTTTTCACTTTGCAAACACTTATTCCTTGATTCCTTGATTTAACCCACCAACACTACAACAGCTATCACTCACAGATTAACCAAAAATTGAATAAATAGGCTCATGATGACTCATGCCTGTAATCCCAGCACTTTGGGAGGCCAAGGTGGGCAGATCACTTGAGGCCAGTAGTTCGAGACCAGCCTGGCCAACATGGTGAAACCCCATCTCTACTAAAAATACAAAAATTAGCCGGGTGTGGTGGTGCACGCCTGTAATCCCAGCTACTCGGGAGGAGTGAGCCAAGATCGCACCACTGCACTCCAGACTGGGTGACAGTGAGACTCCATCTCAAAAAACAACCAAAAAAAATGGATAAATAATTCTCTCACTTGTTTTTATCAATCTTTCTTAAATACATATATAGCTCACACTTATGTCAAGATTTTAGAAGCATTCTGGGTCTTTATTTAGGAGTTTGGTGATGTTTTTGTGACCAGAAATATGCTGCAGTAATTTAACTCTTTTTTCTATCAATTAGCCTATGGTAAAAATTGGTTTCTTCTTATGTCATTTCACTTGAGGTTGCTGTTTACAAGAACCTATCAATGACATTAAGTGAGGAGTTACCGTTTAGTAACAGATAACAGAAACAGACTTTGGTCTCTGGAAGTGGGAGGCTGCCATAACAAAACCTAAACTGCTTTGAGATGGCTTTGAGATGGGTGTGTGTACACATTACAAAGGCTTTGAGAAATCTGTTAGCAGAGGCTTGATGGCCCTGGAGGAGGCTGTTGGTGAGGGCTTAGTAAAGTCAGAAAAATGTCATGATCCTTGGTATGTAATTATGAAAGGTTTAGCACCACTGTCACCTGTGCTGAAGTGGAAAATAGAAAATATACAGAATTAACTGATTAATTTGGATGAAGAGATTAGAATTCCAGACAGACTGTTGATACTAGTTTCTTTTCTTTTAGCAGATAAGGATGGAGGACAGGCATGGGGACTAACACCTGTAATCTCAGAACTTTGGTAGTCCAAGGCAGGCAGATCATTTGAGGTCAGGAGTTCGAGACCAGCCTGGCCAACATGGTGAAACCCTGTCTCTACTAAAAATACAAAAAAGTTAGCCAGGCGTGGTGGCATGCACCTGTAATCCCAGCTATTTAGGAGTCTGAGGCAGGAGAATCACTCAAACCCAGGAGGTGGAGGTTGCAGTGAGCCGAGATCGTGCTGTTGCACTCCAACCTGGGCAACAGAGTGAGACCCTGTCTCAATCAGTCAATCAATCAATCAATAAAAGATAAGCATGGAGAAACATGACTTGAAAAATGAACTGTTTGATTTTCAACCAAATTTAAAGAAAGTGTGAAAGATCTTGGACTGATGGGTTTGAAAATAAAGTTGTTTCTCATTTCTAGCCTCTCCACATGAAAAAAAAATTTTTTTTCTTACATTAAGAAATGATCTTAGAACAAAAATCAAATCCAGAGTAGAACTATGACACCCTTTCTTCAGGCTTTAGAAAAATTTAAGGTGGTACCTCACAGACCCTTTCAGCAAACAAAAGGTCCTCTAAGGATCTTACAGGTATGCCTCTCAGACATTCCTCACTGAACTTCATTAAACTCATAACAATTAGGGCAACGTTTCACAGCAGCTTTCCAGGGAGCCCAAGGTAGAGAATCGCTTTTATCAACAAGATTTGTGGGTATTGATTTTAGCTAATTGAGTGAACCCAAATAAGATTCACTAAAAATCTTCAAAGTTGTTAAGAAAATTATGTTGGCAAAAACATCACCAGCTTCGTAGTTGAAGCTGGTGATGTTCTGCCAGCCTATTTTTCTGGACAGAGCTCACACAAAGCAAAAGGAAGTCTTTAGACATTCCCTCCAAAAAGTACTATGGATAGGAATCAGACTGGAAAAAAAAAAAAACTATTTGGCTGCAAACACGAGCTGTTTTATAGAGAAGGAAGGATAATTCAAAAGGTGAACCAGGATTCCATTGCATAGAGAATTATTCCCAGGAAATAGAGCTAAATAGTAATTAAAGAACTAGCAACACGTACTCAGCTGCATTTCAAAATGCCTATGCACCAATGAATGCTATGTGACTGCTATTTTCCCATGTTTTGAATGCGAGTGTCTATAACGATCTGTGCCTGTCTCACCGTGGTGTGTTAGTGAGACAGTCAGGAAGCTTCATTCACACCTGAACTTTGATAACAAGATACTGGACCTCAAGCCCAAGATTGATAGCATAAAATGATATGGCATCAAGGTGCTTTAGAGGAGGGGTTGAGTGTATTTTGCAAGTGGAAGGACTGTGAATGATCATGACCAGAAGGCAAACTAAGATTGTATTTCCATAATCCATCATCGGCAGCAATGCTTCTGGCGTCATGTGCTACTACAGAACTTTGTTAATCTCCCATCAAGAGATGGAGTCTATGCCCCCTTCCTTGAATTAAGGCCTTTGGGACCATCACAATAAATAGAATGTGACAGAGTGAGGCTGCATGACTTCTGAAGCTCGGTCGTGAAAGGAGATACAGCCCTGCACCCCTCCCTCCACCCACACTTCTTTGGAGCCCTGAGCTGCCCTATAAGAAGCCTTGCTGCCCTGGAGCCACCATGCTGAAGAGTCCACAGGGAGATACACAAGGAAAAAGAAAGTGATTCCCAAGAAGCCTGCATCAGTCAGGAATCTCCAGAGGGACAGAACTCATAGGATATATGTATATATGAAAGGGAATTTATTAGGGAGAAGTGACTCACACAATCATAAGGCAAAGTCCCATGATAGGCTATCTGCAAGATGGGGAAGAAAGAAGCCAGTAGTGCTCAATCCGAGTCAAAAAGCCTCAAAACCAGGGAAGCCGACCATGCAGCCTTCAGCCTGTGGCCAAAGATTGTTGTTTAAGTGGTTGTTTAGGAGTGTGTAGCACCTACCCTGCTCCCTTCCCCCTGCTCCAGACTTGTAAGATGTTCCTGCTTCCCCTTCACCATCCACTATGATTGTAAGTTTCCTGAGGCCTCCCCAGCTATGCTTCCTATACAGTCTGTATAATTAAACCTCTTTTCTTTATACATTACCCAGTATCAGGTATTTCTTTAGAGCAATGCAAGAACAGACTAATACAGCAAGGAACTACCTCTGGACAATCCGGGAAGACTTGGTAAAGGCGATGAAATTTGAGCCTGATCTTGGAGTATGTTTTGAAGGTGAAATAAGGGGAAAATACATTGAGGACAGAAATGATACCACATGATTAAAGCACACATAAAAGAGGAAGATTTTTTCTCTGGAATTTAGATATTTTAGGACACACGCATGCACACACACACACACACACGCGCGGGCTTCAAAAAGTTCATGTAAAAGTGGAATTAAAAGATAAAAATGGGCCGGGCACATTGGCTCATATCTGTAATCCCAGCACTTTGGGAGGCCAAGGGAAGAGGATTGCTTAAAGCCAGGAGTTCAAGACCAGCCTGGCCAACATGGTGAAACCCTGTCTCTACTAAAAATACAAAAATATAGCCAGTCATGGTGGCAGGCACCTGTAATCCCAGCTACTTGGGAGACTGAGGCAGGAGAATCATTTGAACCCAGGAGGCAGAGGTTGCAGTGAGCCGAGATCATGCCACTGCACTCCAGCCTGGGTGACAGAGTGAGACTCTGTTTCAAAAAAAACAAAAATAAAACAAAACAAAGAAGGATAAAAATGAAAATATAAACTTTATTTCTCAACAGAATTTCCATCAAGTTCAGGACACTTTTGTAAGCAATGATACCAGCCATTAGTCCATCCCTAAAGAACTGAGAGTCCTGGGAATTCAACCATCTCAATGTAGTCTTTTTTATACTATTAACTGGAAAAAAACGAGTGCCCTTTAAAGATATTTTAAGATTAGGAAATAAAAAGAAGTCCGAAGTAGCCAAATCAGGGCTATAAGGGAGATGTCTAAGGATTTCCCAACAAAACACTTGCAAAATTGCCTTTGTTTGATGAGAAGAATGAGCAGCAGCATTGTCATGATAGAGAAGAAATTTCTGGTGAAGGTTTCTCAGGTGATTTCCTGCTAAAGCTTTGGCTAACTTTCTCAAAACACTCTCATACTAAGCAGATATTATCATTCATTGACCCTCCAAAAAGTCAACAAGCAAAATGTCTTGAGCATCTCAAAAAAGTATTGCCTTGACCTTTGCTCTTGACCAGTCCACTTTTACTTTGACTGGACCACTTCCACCTCTTGGTAGCCATTGCTTTGATTGTGTTTTATCTTCAGGATCATACTGATAAAGTCATGTTTCAGGTCCTGTTACAGTTCTTTGAGAAATGCTTTAGGATCTTGATCCTATTTGTTTAAAATTTTCATTGAAACCTCTTATCTGCAACAAATCTGGACACAACAGTTTTGGCACCCATCAAGTAGAAAGTTTGCTCAATTTTTCTTTTTTTTTTTTGAGATGGAGTCTCACTCTGTGACTAGGATGGAATGCAGTGGTGCAACCCCTGCCTCCCTAGTTCAAGAGATTCTCCTGCCTCAGCCTCCCAAGTAGCTGGAACTACAGGCTTACACCACCATGCCCAGCTAATTTTTGTATTTTTAGTAGAGACAGGGTTTCACCATGTTGGTCAGGATGGTCTGGATCTCTTGACCTCGTGATCTGCCCAAGTTGGCTTCCCAAAATGCTGGGATTAGAGGTGTGAGCCAGTGCTCATGGCTCCCAATCTTAATTTTTAATTCTTTTTTTTTTTTTTTGAGATGGAGTCTCGCTCTGTTGCCCAGGCTGGAGTGCAGTGGCGCGATCTCAGCTCACTGCAAGCTGCGCCTCCCGGGTTCATGCCATTCTTCTGCCTCAGCCTCCCAAGTAGCTGGGACAATTTTAATTTTTGAGTCAGAATTGTGTATGCTGAACCAATTGAGATGCCTGTGGTGTTGGCTATTGTTTCTGTGGTTAATGATTGATTCTTTTCAATTAGGGCATGAACGAGATTAATTTTTTCCTCGCAGATTGATGTGGATGGTCTGCCACTGTGGGCTTCATCTTCAACATCATCTCATATCTTCTTACAACCAGTTATCCATTTGTAAACTGCTGATTTCCTGGGGGCATTGTCCCCATAAACTTTTCATGAAGCATCTCACCATTCTTCCACTCAAGTCTCAACATAAATTTGATGTTTGTTCTTGCTTCAATTATAGCAGAATTTATGTTTCTCAGGGAGGGGCTCTTTTCAAACGAATGTCTTGTCCTTCTGAGTGTCTAAAACTAGATTGACTTCAGACATACTGTAACAAGTTAAAACAAGTTTATTTTGGTGGAAAAAAGAAACAGAAATCCAAGCATAGTTTTTTCACTATGCATGGAAAATTCACATTTCCATGAACTTTCTGAAGACCCCTTATGTATATATAAAAGTTAATTGGCTGAAACACTGAGCATATCAGGACAAATGACAGGAAGCAAAGCTACAAAGGTCAGGTGGGTGCTAAGACCTATCCTACCATATAGTTATAGTCATCAGCGTCCTGGTCAGACATAAATCAAGGCAGAGACCATTCAACTGTCATAATCTTAGAAGATTTTATTGGCTGCCTATTACCTTCCCATAAGTGTGAATCACAGACCAAACATAATTGTGAGGTTATGCAACAACTTCCTCAATTCACTCCCCTCCAATCACAATGATAACCTTAAAGGGAAACACAACTTGCTTCTTTGAACTTCACCTTTGTCCTGAGAGAAGTGAAATTCCCAAACTGACCGTGGCTTAAAACAACTAAATGTGTATTTTTAACACTGGAAGCACGCATGCTTCGCCTTTTTCCATGGAAAGCTTAGTAAACAGAGGTGCTATAACCGGCTCCACTGCCTGAAGGCACATTTGTTTAATCAAGGTACTCTAATACAATTAGCAGAGAACAAAGGAGAGCCATTATGCAAACAACAAACAATTCAAAGCGATCCAGACTCGGATCTCCCTCCAAGAGTGGCAGTGGAGTGGCAGATCTAATGTCCTTATATCTGTTCTCTGTATGAGCTTTCATGAAATGCCATAGAAACCAAATATCAAAACACCCACAATTTTAAGAGACAAGATAGGTGATGGAAGCCACCAAGAAGCAAGGAGCTCTCTAGGGAAGTGGCAAGAAGGGAGAGAGCCATTCAGAAGCCATGCAAGCCTGTTAAGGAGCTAAGTAGTTGGAATGTCTGGATGACTCCCTAAATAAACACTGAAACACTTTAAATTTGTACATAAATAAAACTAAACCACAGTAGTCAACATAGGAAAGCCAACTATTGTGTTTTGTTTTTGCTGTTAAACACCTTGAAGACATCACTTCGTTCATGTATTCTACAAATATTGGTTAAGCATCGACTATATGCCAGGCACTCTTTTACGTATTGAGGATACAGAAGTGAATACCCCAGGCAAGACCTCTGTCCTTATGGAACTTATGTGATAGAAGGAGATGGTAAACCCATAAACAGATGGATCTGTTAATGATGACAACAATGAAGAAAATAAAATTGGGTAACTAGAGAAGGAAATTGACTAAAACAGGAGAAGGGGTCAAGTTTAGCCTGGTCAGGCAAGAGGTGACATTTAAACTGAAGAGGAGACATTTGACCTGACACCAGATGATAATAAGAAGCTAATCTTACAAAGATCTAGGGGATATGGATTCTATGCAGGAGTGACACCCTGAGGTTGGAAGCAGCCTCAAAGCTTTAAAGAACAGAAGGGAGGTCAATGCAGCTGGAAGATCATGGTGAAGAAGAGTCGGGAAATATGGTTGGAGAGCAGGGCACGGGCCAGATGATGAAGGGCCTGGCAGGCCAAGGTAAAGAGCTTGGATATTATTTAAATGCAATGGGGACTGAGTGCAGTTGCTCATGCCTCTAGTCCCAGCACTTTGGGCGGCCAAGGCAGGAGGATCACTTGAGACCGGGAGTTTAAGACCAGCCTGGGCAACATAGTGAGACCCTGTCCCTTAAAAAAAAAAAAAAAAAAAAAAAAAAGCAATGTTCTTTACTTAGCCAAGCATGGTGGTGCATGCCTGTGGTCCCAGATACTCAGGAGGCTTAGATGGGAGGATCACTTGAGCCCAGAAGTTCAAGGCTGCAGCGACCTGTGATTGCACCACTGCATTCCAGCCTGGGTGGCAGAGCAAGACCCTGTCAATCAATCAATCAATCAATTATGTGATGGGAAGTCATTGGAAGTTTTTGAGAAGAAACATGGGATCTAATCTACATTACTAATCATTGCTATAAATACTGTATGGGCAATAGACTGATAATAAGGCACAAAGGAGGAAGCATAAAAACCATGGTAGTTGCCCCAGCAAAAGATAATAGAAGTTTGGACTTGAGTAGCCACAGTGGGAATTATTTCACTTACTCTTGACAATGACCCATACAGTAAGTACCAGCCTGCTCATTTCACAGGTGAAAAAACTGAGGATGGTCATGGATTATATATTAATAACATGATAAGTCACACAACTAGTGAGTAGCAGAGCCAAGATTCACTCAGGTCTGCAAGAACCAAAGCCCCACACCTCCTCTCTCATACCTCTCTGCCACCAAGTGGAGTCGAGAGCTGTTAGGAGGGTCAGCAGAGTTCAGAGGCGTGGATTCCCAGGCCCTCAAACCCAAGATCAGCAGCACTCTCCCCGAGGAAGGAAGGAATAATATTTGGCAATAAAAAGGTGGATACATGTAATGCATGTCACATAACACAGTGAACCTCAAAGATGCCTCGCTGGGGATCAGCCTTTCTCAAAAAAAGGCATACTCCATGATCCCATTTACATTAAATTCTAAAAGAGGCAAAATTAATACATGGTGAAAGAAACCAGAACAGTGATTAACTGGGGGAAGCGGAAGTTTTATACTTTAAGTATGATAATAATCAGTTTTGTCACATCATCACAAGGAAGCTTTTCTCAGTATCAATGCATAAATAAACTTAAAAAACAAAAAACCAAGATCAGCGATGCAAGCATTGTTATATAAGGAAATTCTGAATGCTGAACACTGCCAGACCCATGAACTGGAGAGTCGCCATCTAAGACGTTTGCCAGTTCTAGGTCACCCTTACAAATGTGGAGCATTTGCAAACTGTCAGTCTTAAAAACCAGCAAGCGGGAGACGACATGTAGAAATGGCACCTCAAAAGGGGAAGGAAAAGAAGGAAGAACAGGTCATCAGCCTTGGACCTTGGGTGGGTGTAGGAGAGAATGTATTTGGTGTCTGCCAAATTTTTGCATCCTTCACTGACACTTTGGTCCATGTCACTTTTGTCCATGGCTGGAAGATGCAGCTTCCAGCTGCATCCATTTGCTGCAAAGGGCATGATTTTTGTTCTTTTAGATCTTTCTGTCAAAGAAACGCTCTGCCGTGTTACTGGTGGGATGTAGGTGAAGGCAGACCCAGATGAAACCTTACCATAAGCTGCCATGCTGGCCACCCAGGATGTGGCCCAGAGGTGCAAGGAGCTGGGCATCACTGCCCTACACATCAAACTCTGGGCCACAGGAGGAAACAGGAACAAGTCCCCTAGACCTGGGGCCCAGATGTCCCTCAGAGCCCCTTGCCTGCTCAGGTATGAAGATCCGGCAGATTGAAGATGTCACTCCATTTCCCCTCTGACAGCACTCCCAGGAAGGGGGGTCACCGTGGTTGCCCCCCTTTGAGGGCTCCTGAAAATATTTTCTGTTAATTAATTGCTTTCCTGTAAGAAAATAAAAAGCCAGCCAATATGCCCTGAGCACTAATTATATGCCAGAGCCTCTTCTAAAAGCTTGACATGTTGAATCCACCAACAACCCTTGGAAACTGGTTCCAGGATTATTCCCACTTTAGAAATGAGAACGCTACAGCACTGAAGGACTGAGATCCTCTGATTGTTTGCTTATATCCCCAGTGAGACTGGAAACTCCTTGAGTCTGGTTCCATGTTCTGTGGCTTCATGGATCCTCAGGTGCCGTGATAATGCCAGCCACAGAGTAGGTACTCAAGAAGTGGGGCAAAAAATCAAAACCACAATGATATATCAACTCACACCAATCATAATGGCTATTACTAAAAAGTCAAAAAACACAGATGCCGGTGGGGCTGCGGAGAAAAGGGAACGCTAAACCTCTGTTGATGAACATGTAATTTTGTTCAGCCCCTTTGGAAAGCAGCTTGGAGAGTTCTCAAGGAACTTAACACAGAACAACCATTCAGCCCAGCAACCCCATTACTGGGTATATACCCAAAGGAAAATAAATCATTCCACCAAACAGACACATGCACTCACATGGTCATCAAAGCACTATTCACAATAGGAAAGACAATACACAATAGCAAGGAAATCAACCTAGGGGCCCATCCATGATGGGCTGGATAAAGAAAATGTGCACCATGGGATACTATGCAGCCATAAAAAAGAGAAAAATCGTGCCTTTTGCAGCAATATGGATGTAGGTGTAGGCAATTATCCTAAGCGAATTAACACAAAAACAGAAAACCAAATACCAAATGTTTTGACTTATAAGTGGGAGCTAAATATTGAGTACTCATGGTTATAAACATGAGAACAATAGCCACCGCAGACCACTGGAGCAGGGAGAGCAGGTGGGGAACAAGGATTGAAAAACTAACTATTGGATACAGTGCTTACTACCTGGGTTATGGATTCAATCACACACCAAACCTCAGCATCACACAATACACCAGGTTAAAAACAAACAAACAAAACCTGCATATATACCCCCTGAATCTAAAACAAAAGTTGAAAAAAGCATAAAAATGTGCAGCAAAAGAATGGATGCTGTGTTCTTAGTTCTCCCTCCTGCTCTCCCCTCTCTCTCTCTCTCTTTCTCTCTCTCTCCTCACCCCCACCACTTCAGTCTTATTGGCCAAGTGCCTTATATCACTACCCAATTTAATTCTAACAACAACCCTACAAAGTCCTTCTCTTTCTGCCTATTTTGTACATGAGAAACTGGGACTCTCAGAGGTTTCAAGTTTTAGAATTAATGTTTTGACTCAGGGATTTTTAACAACGATCTTACATGTTCAGCCCAAGGATGGGACTCCTCCTGAGAACCCTAGGTCTGGGGAAAACTTGCAAATGGAAACGAATAAATCCTGAGGTTGTCTCTAAAGGTGTAACTACAGGGCTCCATAAATGATATTAACAGCTGTGTCTCTACGGCTCTACTAAAGTCAAAAGTGATGCTGTTGATTAAAAATAAATAAATTAAAATAAATAAAGAAGAATGACTGCTCAACCATCGGCTGAAACCATGTTGTCCTGTGCCAAGTGTCAGCTTCAGGATAGGTTTTGATGTGGGAAGAGTTAAGCCTTGAGTTATTATCAGAATTAGGGTGCTTTATTGGTTCACATCGTCCAATCTTCCCCAGCCATTATGGTTTTGCTGAAACATTAAACTACTTTAAACTTTCATTTTCCTCTTAAAACTAAATTAGTTTGGAGGAAATTGTATTTTCCGAGCTCCAGCACCAGCCTCAGGCAGAGGGAGTTACAGTACAGCGCCCAGATAAACAACAATCACGGCCTAATTACTAAGTGATAAGTGCAGTGTTTCTCAACTTACATTTGCTTTGGAGTTTCTGGGGTCGTGCAGGGAGGCAGCTCTCAAGCAGATTTCCTCAAGAAGCTTTGGGTATTTTTTCTTTTTTACTTTTTAATTTAGTTTCAGGGTGTCCATGTGCAAGTTCGTTATCTGGGTATATTGTATGATGCTGAGGTTTGGGGTATGGCTGAATTTGTCACCCAGGTAATGAGCATAGATAGGACCCAACCTAGTTTGTCAACATTTACCCCCTCCATCCCTCCCCACTCTGGTAGTCCCCAGTGTCTGTCATTCTCATCTTTATGTCCATGTGCACCCAATGTTCAGTTTCCACTTATAAGTGAGAGCATGTGGTATTTGATTTTCTGTTTCTGCATTGATTTGTTTGGGATAATGACCTCCGGCTGCATCCATGTTGCTGCAAAAGGCATGATTTCGTTTTTTCATGGCTGCATGGTATTCCATGGTGTATGTGCACCACGTTTTCTTTATCCAGCCCACCACTGATGGACCTCTAGGTTGATTCCACATCTTTGCTGTTGTGAATAACGCTGTGATGAACATACGAGAATATGTGTCTTTTTGGCAAGAATATACGTTGTCTTTTTGGCAAGATGATTTGTGATCCTGTGGGTATATACCCAGTAACAGGATTCTTGAATCCAACGGTAGCTCTGTTTTTAGTTCTTTGAGAAATCTCCAAACTGCCTTCCACAGCAGCCGAACTAATTTACATGCCCACCAGCAGTGTATAATTTGAGTTATTTATACGGTGGTCTTCTACATCTGTAGCTACAGAAAGGGTAAGGACAAAGAAATTTACAAAGCACCTAATACTCTTCTGCAGTACTAGGTACTAAAGTATGTTATTTCATCCTTACTAGTAGTAATAGGAGATGCCCATTTTATAGAGAAGGACTCTTGAGGCTGGGTCTAACAGATGAAGGCTGATCTACTGAGATCCTGCTGCATGCTAGAAAATACGCTGGGCTCTTCTTTTACTATAACACACATCCATTCCTCTGTCTGCCCCGCATGTCGATTCTTTGGGGAAATGCTCTTTCTTTCATATCAACCATACATACTATCCCCAAGAAGTCATGTGATTGAATCTGAGCCCATCTTGGGACCTTAGTCATGTGATTAAAACTGAGCCAATTATAGGACGTCCAACAGTCATGTGATTAAAACTCAGCCAATCACAGGACCTCACCACCCTGGCCACAGTGATTGGTCTAAGAGGCAGGAACATGATAGGAGCCAACCCAATCATTCCTCTTCCTCAGAATTTTTCCACCTGGAGCTGGAAGTAGGTTTCTGCCCTCTCTGGTGAAAAACCTGGGAAAAGTCTAATTTTTACCTTTTGGTGGCCATGGGGGCTAATGAAAGCCATTCTCAGAAAGACAAAATAAATGCTTGGCAGGAATATAGAAGAAAGCTGAGAGGTGGGAGGAGAAAGAACCTCTCTGTTTCTTGCTGTATTTCCTTGCTGTCCATAGCTGAGTTACTATGCCCATAACACACCTACCACCTTTTGCCCTAGCTGAATCCAGTCAGGGTGGCCATTTGCAAGCAAGAGTACCGATGACACTCTCATCACCATATCTAATTTATTGGGCACATACTGTATGGCAGGCACTAATCTAAGTGTTTCTCTTGTCTTGACTCATTAAATCCACATAATTTTTTTTTTTTTTTTGAGACAGTCTTGCTCTGTCACGGAGGCTGGAGTGCAGTGGCGCCCAATCTCAGCTCACCGCAACCTCTGCCTCCTGGGTTCAAGTGATCCTCCTGCCTCAGCCTCCCCAGTAGCTGGGATTACAGGCATGCGCCACCACGCCTGGCTAGTTTTTGTATTTTTAGTAGAGACAGGGTTTCACCGTGTTGGCCAGATTGTCTTAATCTCCTGACCTTGTGATCCGCCCGCCTCAGCCTCCCAAAGTTCTGGGATTACAGGCGTTTAAGCCACCGCTCCCGGCCAAATCCACACAATTGTATGAGGTAAGCACCAGTGATACTTCCCTTTTACGTTTAAGAAAAGTGAGGCATGGAGATATTAAAACGATTTGCACAGGGTCACAAACCCAGAGTTTCTTCAACTAAAAAATGTGGAATATATAGGTCTTTTCAAAATCAGTGCCTACTTACAAACATTGTGAGTTTCTTTGCAGGAAATATTGACAAAGTCTATACTGATCCGGTGCCTCCAGCAGCTTTACTCAAGGGTTCACCCTCCTCCAGCCTCTCACCCCAGGAGGGCCATAAAACTATTCTCAGAAATAGATTCCTCTCTGCTATGGGCTAAGGACCGAATATCCCATTTCACAGATGGGAAAAAGAAGTATTAGAGTTTAAGTAAGAGTCTCAATGTGGTGGAGCTAGGATTCTCACCCAACTTCAGAGCTAACACTTTAAATATCTTCCCTCTATTCCTTCAAGATGAACTCATCTTGTTAGATTTGCTCAGATGCTGCACCAGTTCACAGCCCCGAGCTGATCTCTTTTTATTTCTGCAAATGAAAATATCTTTATTGTGTTTTCTTTTTCTGCTGAATCTGAAGATGACACAGGCTGCCTGACATTATTCTCATCAGCAGTGCCCAAGCCCACAGATGGTGAGGGCTGAAACTTCCTGTTAGACAACTGTTTCGAACTTTCAGGGCTGATTGCCTCTGGCAGAAGCAGCCCCAAACCAACCAGAGTGTTTGATGCTGCAAGAGTGTGTCAAGACTGCCTAGCCATTTGCTAGTCCCTTTTAATTTTGAGAGTGAATGGGAGAGGCTGGCTGTGCAGAACAGAGGGGAAGGCAGAAAGACAAGGAGAGAGAAGGACAAGGTGAGAAGAAATGGTGATTTTGCAAAGCAGCAGTGAAGAGTAAAACTGATACCATTATTGCTCATTCCCTCCCTGGGATCCTGATAAGACAGGACATTTGCGGTTGCTCGTGAAAATGAGGGTTTGGCCAGGGTGACCTTGTACATAAGCATGCTTCATTCGCTGAAGAACCCAAAGCTCTTCCTGATCCAGGCACTGCAGTAGGCGTGGTCTGAGAAGAGTCCCTCGTGTCCCCATCAAAACCTTGTCTCACGAGTGGACTCTGAAAACTATTTATGCATGTCTGCAAGTGGCATCTTTGGAGTGGAAGGAGGTAGCAACATTATCAATTAACAGGACGGGTGCAGTGGCTCACACCTGTAATTCCAGCACTATGGGAGGCCGAGGCAGGCAGATACTTGAGGTCAGGAGTTTGAGACCAGTCTGGCCAACATGATGAAACCGCATCTTTACTAAGAATACAAAAATTAGCTGAGTGTGGCGGCGGGCACCTGTAATCCCAGCACTCTAGAGGTTGAGGCAGGAGAATCACTTGAGCCCAGAGGGCAGAGTTTGCAGTGAGCTGAGATGATGCAACTGCACTCCAGCCTGGACAACAAAGACAGACTCCATCTAATATATATATATATGTGTATGTATATATATATACACATGTGGTCCTAGCATGACTGGAATGTCAAAATCGAGTCTCTTGCAGCAAATATTAACAGTCTATACTGCTCCAGTGCCCCTAGCAGCTTTACTCGAGGGCTAACCCTCCTCCAGCCTCCCACCCTATGAGTTCCATAAAACCATTCTCAGAAATAGATTCCTCTGTGCTCTGGGGTATGAGGGATATTTTTGGACAAGGACTGTATTTGCTTTCTGTTGATGCTATAACAAATTACTACAAACTTCGAGGCTTCTGAACTCAAATCTATGATCTTACAATTGTAGAATCTGAAACTGATCTCACTGGGCTGAAATCAAAATATTGGCAGGGTTGCATTTCTTCTGGAGGCTCTAGGGAAGAATTCATTTCCATGTCTTTTCTGCTTCTAGAGGTCACCTACATTCCTTGGCTCAGGACCCCTTCCTCTCAAGAAAAGACTAAATCCTTCTCATGCTCTTGTCTCCTGGCTCCCTTTCTTTTCTCTCTTTCTCCCCCTCTTATAAGAACCCCTGTGATTGCAACAGACTCACCTCAATAATCCAGGATAATCTTTCCATCTCAGTGTCAGCTGATTAGCAACCTTAATTCCATCTGCAAGTTTAATCCCCCTTTGCCACGTAACCCAATATGTTCACAGATTCCAGGAACTAAGATATGGATATCTTTGGGGATGGGAGGGGTCATTATTCTGCCTACGATAATTATTCTGCTACCATGGAGGTTTTAGCAAAATTCTTAATAGCACAATCAAAGCCCCTGCCCTGCTTGCAGGAACAGCAAGAAGATTCAAGCAGAGATGTAGAAATTAATCTGGCAATGTCCTTGCCTCTCTTCAGTGCATTATCCCTTCCTTTTTCATTATCTAGAGAAATATTCATACATATACACTCATACATAGGTATTTGCTGAAGTGCCATTGCTACAACAGAACTACAGAAAACCAGTTAGCAATAATGATATAGATTTATTACTGCAAATATGGAAGAATCTCCAAAACAGCACTCCCTTTATAAAACAACAATAACACATACTTTTTATGCACACACAAACACCACACCCTCCTCTGTCCAAGTATTGATACACGCTTGCTTACATTGTGAGTGTCCTCTAAGGCTACTGTGTGGCCATAGTGTCAACACAGGTCATGGTTAGACCACCAATATGTTGATTCAAAGGAAGCACGACGGTCACGCCAGGGGCCATCATGCCACGCTGTGACTGTGGAGCGTCAATATATCCTCAACATGCAGGCACTGCTGGACAGCCAAAGCTGGCAGGATGCCCTGAATAGGTTGGTGAAGACTCGTGCTATACCCCCAGGGTGTCTGCCTTCTAGGTCATTCATTGGCTCTCAGGCTGTTGCTGGAAGGAATAGATTGGCCAAGCTAATGGGTTCAGCTCTTGGAGGAGCATGGATGAGATGCCAGTGCAGACGTCATTGCACTCTGAAGACCAGTGCATCTTGAGGCTGTGGGTGGGCTCTTCATGAGCGTTCAAACGTCCTCTCAGTCAGCTTAAGCTCTGGCACGGAATCTGTCAAAGTCTCCAAACTGAAGGCATTAATTTTCTTTCTTTTCTTGGGTTGAATGTCACAGTTAAAGTCACTAAGAAAGCCTCCTTTCTTTTTGTTTCTATTCTTTGCATCTCTCTTTGCACTCTCCCTGTATCTCTCCCTGACTTCCCTCCCTCCCTCCCTCTCTCTTCCTTTCTCTCCTCCTCAGTCCCAGGTCTCGAGCTCATGTCCCAGGCTCTGCCACACAATATCCTATAACAAAAACTCCAGCTAGGTTCAGTGATTCACACTTGTCATCCCAACACCTTGGCAGGCCGAGGCGGGTGGATCACTTGAACTCAGGAGTTTGAGACCAGCCTGGGCAACATGATGAAACCCCATCCCTACAAAAAATAAAAATAAAATTAGCTGGGTGTGGTGGCATGCACCTGCAGTCCCAGCTACTCACTTAACCCTCTTCAGCTCTATTGCTGATGATTTCTTATGTGCAAGATGGAAATAACGATCCTGTTTCTTTGGGCTGTTATAAGGATGGCATGAAATATGGTATGCAGGTGCCCACAGCACGCACACTGGTCATGTACTGTACAATGGAACACGTATCCACTCTTCCCTTCCTTCTAGGTCAAGGCACATGGCTTGGCAAATACTAGGTGCTCAATAAATGGTTGAAAGAGTATATAGCACTTTGGTAGGGGCAGGGGATAGGTGGACAATACCAGCCTCCCTGCTTCTGGCCAATGGGAAAGCTCAGTGGAGGCCTCTGAACTGAGATTTTGAAAAGTCCCTCTTCTCTTTCCTGCTTGGTTGTTGATGGGCCTTCCCAGTTCATTTTACAATTTTAAGACTCCCAGAGCAGATGGCTGGAAAGGTCCCTATGAGCCAGGGAGGTTTTAGCAAAAAGGTCCCTATGAGCCAGGACTCCCTTTAATGAAAGAACCCATATCAAATTACCACCAGCAGTAAAAGATAATGTTGGAAGACATAACTGGCTTGTCCAAGGGGCAGCTGCCTTCAAGCATTGCTAAATTCAGGAGTCAGCGACTGTTGTCCAAGCTCATTCTCTCTTAATTTTAGTTCTGTTTTCCCCTGAGTTCATTTCAAGGTGGCTGTCTTCATGAGGTGGGTCCTAGATTGGCAAGAATTAAGACAAGGATTGGCAATAGGTCAAATGCGGCCCACTGCTCATTTTTGTAAATAAAGTTTTATTGGAATACAGTCACACCCATTCATTGAAGTATCTATATAGTCTATGGATACTTTTGCACTAGAGGCGGCAGCACTGAGTAGCTGCAACAGAGACTGAATGGCCCAAAAAGCCTAAAATATTTACCATCTGGCCCTTTACAGAAAAAAATTTGCCAATCCCTGATCTAAGTGAAAGATCCCTACTTTTCCATGGGTGGGTGTAAACTCTCAAAGGACATGTTTGGGACATGATTCTCTCCCTGAATCACTCTCTGGGGCCAGGGATGTAAAAATCTCTGACTGGCCAGGCTTCATCCTGGAACCATCTTTGTGGCTGGGAGCTGGAACTGGGCAGGACACCTTGATGGAAGGCCCCACCGAGGCCGCAGGGAATAGAAGAGCAGCACTTTCCCCGGGGAAAAGCAAAGCACTGTCACCACAGAAAAAGAGAGAACAATTGCTAGAAAAATAGGGGAAGCCCGTTACAAATGAATGAATGAATCGACATAGCTTGGAGTAACAGGCGCAAATGACACACTCCCTGATTTTCAAAGGCATCCCGTCCCGGAAAGTTCACTTCAAGTTTTGAGTCAACCAGCAGGTGCTGATTTTCTGGAAGAAGGACTCACCCGGATTCCTAAGATCAAGAATTCCAGCACTTTTTCATTCTCACCACTGATGATTCAGCAGAGGAAAGAGAAAACAAAATAAAAAAACTATTGATCCTTCAGTTCGAGATATTGCCAAGGGCGGAGGCTGAATTGTTCATACCTCTTAAGCCATAGCTATAATCTGAAGCTGGAAATGACCCTTCTGACACTGCCAAGATCCTCCCTTGGCTCTGGTTAAAGGGTTAGAGATGCTGCCTCTTTCCGCAGTAGAGCTATGAAGATAACCCAAGTCCAAACAATTTAGACCAGGAATGCAAATACCTGGCAGGTGTCACTCCTCCCTCCATGAGTGTGGAAGGCATAGCTAATCACTCATGGATATTTTTCAACACAGCAGACATGCACTCATTACTAGTTGATATTTATCTCTTTTGGTTAGCCAGACCCCAGAGTCCTCATCTGGCCACAAAGAAGACCTTGCACTACCTTCTTCATTCTAAATACCTACCCCTTTGGGAGGATCACTTGAGCTCATGAGTTCCAGACCAGCCTGGACGATGTAGTGAAAGCCTGTCTCTACAGAAAAAAAAAAAAGTGTTTTGAATTACCCAGGAGTGATAGGGCACACATCTAGTCCCAGCTACTCAGGAGGATGAGGTGTAAGGATTGCTTGAGCCCGGAGGTGGAGGGTGCAGTGAGCTGAGATGGCTCCACTGCACTCCGGCATGGGCAACAGAGTGAGGCCCTGTCTCAAAAAAACAAAACAAAACAAAGCAAAAAAACCTACCCAATACCTATTTCCTCCATCAATTCCCAGACACAACAGTCCTTGTTTCAGAAATATTAAATGAGAAACCAAATGTCCGTCAATGGGTGAGTGGATTTAAAAAATGTTTTGTATGCATCTACAATGGAATACTATTTAGCCTTAAAAATAAAGGAAAGTTGGGCCGGGCACGGTGGCTCACGCCTGTAATCCCAGCACTTTGGGAGGCCGAAGCAGGCAGATCACGAGATCAGGAGATTGGGACCATCCTGGCTAACATGGTGAAACCCCATCTCTACTAAAAATACAAAAAAAAAAAAAAAAAATAGCTGGGCACGGTGGCACACGCCTGTAGTCCCAGCTACTCAGGAGGCTGAGGCAGGGGAATTGCTCGAAAGCAGGAGGCAAAAGTTGCAGTGAGCTGAGATCGTGCCACTGCACTCCAGCCTGGGCAACAGCGAGATTCCATCTCAAAAATAAAAATAAAAAATAAAATAAAGACATAAAGGAAAGTCAGATACTTGCTACATGAATGAAACTTCCCAAGACATTATGCTAAATGAAGTAAGTCAGACACAAAAGGACAAATATTGTATAACTTGCTTATAAGAGGTATCTAGAAGAGTCAAATTCATGGAGACAGAAGGTAAAATAAAGGTTACCAGGGCCTGGGAGGAGAAACAATGTTGAATGGGTGCAGAGTTTGAGATGGATGGTGGTGATGGTTACACAACCATCTGAATGTGCTTAATGCCACTGAGCTGGACACTTAAAAGTGGTTCAAATGGCAAATTTGATGTCATGTATTTAACAAATATGTTTCCATTACCAGCGTGGTGTTCAGGATCTTCACTGTTCCTGTCCATAATTCCAGCTTTATCCCTCTATTTTTGATATTTGCAATGCTCCTGCCACAGGTTGGATTCCCAAAACATGGTCCACGTTTGTCTGTTTTTATCATCATCCCTTCCTCAAGCTATTTCTGCAGCCTGTGGAGCAGACTGTGGTGGTTACACATTCCTTTTTGCCCAGGTCTTATAACCCATTCCTCCTTTTTCTTTCCTCTGCGGACTCCTTTTCCACACCACATGACCTCAATATCCTGTGAATCTCACTCTAAACCCACCTTTCTTCTTTAATCCTCATTAAAGTCCTTTGAGGCAGAATTCATCTCACTTTTCGTGCTTTCCCATAGCACCTTGCTTTATGAGCTCATCTGTTTGCCTTGTTCTAAGGAGGTTGTGTTTGTCTTTCTCCTCCACCCTTTCCCCTTGATAATACAGAATCACACTGAACTCAGATATGCATGGCCATGAGAAACACACGCCATAATGCCCGTTCAGGAACAAATTCAGAACATTGTTCCCAGGCATTCTCGTGCATGAGCTCACCTAGAAGTGTCTTTCAAATGCAGGTTCTTGCCTCACCCCATAGATCCCAGTTCAGTTTGCTCAGTGCAGGTGGTTCTTGGACCACCCTTTGAGAAACATTGTCCTGGAACCTAAGTCAAGGTAAGTTTTAAATTCCAGTCTGTGATAGTATCAGCCTGAGGCTGGGGTAAATAGCAATGAGTATTAAGGAGAAAGCTGCAGTATGTACCTAGATGTAATATTTCTTTAAATTTCACTGCATTTTTTATTTCATGACCACTCTATTTCTTTCTTTGTTTCATGCAAATACTATTAAGTATTGTCATTTCCGTAACTAGTTTTTCTCTTCCTTTTTTTTTTTTTTTTTTTTTTTGGCACGGTCTCACTCTGTCGCCCAGGCTGGAGTGTGATGGTGATATCATGGCTCACTGCAACTTCTGCCTCCTGGGCTCAAGCAATCCTCCTACCTCATTCAACCTCCCAGTAACTGGGATTACAGGTGCAGGCCATGTCCATGCTAATTTTTGTATTTTGTGTAGAGACGGGGTTTCACCAAGTTGTCCAGGCTGGTCTCGAACTCCTGGCCTCAAGTAATCTGCCCACCTCAGCCTCCCAAAGTGCTGAGATTACAGACGTGAGCCACAATGCCTGGCCTTGTTTTTCTATAATAGCAGGAAGTCTTATATACAAAAGTGTCTCAAAGAGTCCATGGAACGTAACTTATCAGTATGGTTCCTTTCATCCTCAACTTTTGATGGGGCCATTCTTGAAACGTTTTCCTTGTCCTGGCACCCAACTCAAACCACATGAGCCCCCAGACTCTTCCTGGACTCCTCCAGTGGGGAATGATCTCCCCTGCTCCACATTCCAACCCATCTTCCTCGTCCCCACCCTCACTGCCTCTTGGCTCCTACTGAAGCCACTTGATGGACTACTGACAAGGTAGTCCCTGTTACAACAATAGTTGCCATGTACTAAGTGTTTGCTACACACCAGGCCCTGTGTTGAGCATTTTCCATGTATTATCCCACGTCATCGTCACATCTACCTTATATGCAGTGTCATTAACATCTCTCTTTTAGACATGAGGAAACAGAGGCTCAGAAAAGCTAAAACAGGCTAGGCAGTGGCTCACACCTGTAATCCTAGCACTTTGGGAGGCCAAGGTGGGAAAATAATTTGAGGCCAGGAATTTGAGACCAGCCTAGGTGACATAGCTAGATCCCATCTTTAGAAAAATAAAAAATAAATTAGTCAGGTATCAAAAATAAATTAGCTGAGTAACCTGTAGTCCCAGCTACTAGGAAGGCTGAAGTGGGAGGACTGCTTGAGTCCAGGAGTTTGAAGCTGCAATGAGCTATGATGGTGCTCTAGCCTGGGCAACAGAGTGAGACTCTGTCTCAAAAAAGACAGAGAGGAAGGAAGGAAGGGAGGGAGGGAGGGAGGGAAAGGAGAGAAAGGAAGAGAGACAGAAAGGAAGAAAGGGAGAGAGGGAGAGAGGGAGGGAGGGAGAGACGGAAGGAAGGAAGGAAGGAAGGAAGGAAGGAAGGAAGGAAGGAAGGAAGGAAGGAAGGAAGGAAGGGAAAGAAAGGCTAAAACACTTCTCCAAACTTGCTCCATTAGTAAATGGCAGAGCTGGCCTTCAGACCCTTGGCCTGTCAGACACCAGCATCTACATCTTAACTACCACACTGTACCTGGTTGACATCACCATTTAACATGCTTTCTGCACATGTTCACCTTACTTTCTCACTCAAGGTTCATAATAACCCAGAAAAGGAGGAATTATTTTCTCTCTTCTCTATCACACTTACTTCATACATGAAAAAAAAAAAAAAATCAAGGCCCAGCAGGATGAAGTAACTTACCCAAATCTTACCTCGGTTGATGGATTTTAACCTGTGAGGCGTATGGGTGTGGAAGAAGGACACAGCATTCCAATATAGCCTTTTCCCATCAACGTAGCCTCTTTCTTAGGAAACAAAAATGCAGTTTTCCTGGGACCTCATTGCTGGTTGTAAATGTGAAGTTAGAGCCTTATTTCTAACTCTGGAATTAAATCGTTCACCCTTGCATTTAGAATGTGAAAATTAACAACTGTCGGTTATTTTCTTGATACATTTTCTCTAAAGGGCAAAGATGAAGGCATCTTCTCTGTGTCAGCAGGAAAATCCCCAGAAAAAGACATAAAAAAAAAAAAAAAAAAAGAGCTTCCTAGGTTGTCAATTAAACAAGAGTCTGTCCATGTGCATCCACGGAGCTCTGGGCCACAAAGTTATTTTATTTTTTTTAGCGACAAGGTCTTGCTCTGTTGCCCAGGCTGGAGTGCAGTGGTGTAATCATAGCTCACTGCAGCCTCAACCTCCCAGGCTCAAGCAATCCTCCTGTCTCAGCCTGCCAGGACCAGGAAAACATTTAAAGAATGGCCCCATCAAACCATACTCTTCTCTTGCACAAATGCTGTTTCCCAGAAGGTCTTGAAACGTGTTGGTCCTAAGCACATCAGAAGAGTAGCAGGCAGGATGCCATCATGGTTCGTAGCCCAGCTCTGCCATATATTCACAGCGTGACCTTGGACAAGTGATTCTATCCCTCTGCAGATGAGAATTTTACCGGGAAAAATGGTGGTAGGAATAGCGAGAACTCACCTAACTGCATGGTTGGGTGTATTTAATGAAACTTTGGGTGCAGAGCCTTTAGTCATGGCTTTAGCTTCTTAAGAACTCAAAACATAGTAGCTTCAAAAGCCAGGAGCTTGAAGACAGAGAAGAAATAGCCCAGCGAGGAAAGAATGGGAGGGCTTGGAGGAAAGTGATGGCTTCTATACGGTGACACCAGACAGCGGTCAAGGAGGAATCAGAAAATCCTGGCTTGACTGCAAACCACACCAGTTATATAACTGGGTGACCAGTCGCAACTGTTCTCAGCTTCATTGTCATGAAAGGACTCTTATGAGGATAAAATAAAGCACCACCTATAAAGTATCCAGCCTAATGCAGGGTGTTCAATAAGCCTTGAGTACCACCCTTCTCTCAACCTGCCGTACCAACTGCCTGGTGTTCAGCAGTGGATACAGATTTGCCATCACTTCCCACAGCCAGAGCTGTTTCACCCTTGATGGTTTCTCTCTCCTCAGCAGCACTCCCCCTCCTCGTCCACTGTCCCTGGGCACTGCCCACACCCCAGTCCTGGCCACCATCGTCTCCCACCGAACTCATGAGGCTCCCTTGAGATTCAGGTTTCACCCTTTCTCATTGGTTCATCTCCTCATTATATATTCAACTCTGCCACCTTCTCTCAAGAGCAGTCTCAGGACACAGATGAGAATGTTTTCCATATGGTCTAATTGCACTCCAGGGAGTCTTACCCACAATCTCTTCCCTCACTGATGAATAGCAACTCCTAAACATCTTCCCGAGCCTCCGTTCCTATTGAGCCTGGAGAGGGGCTTCTTCTCCACCCCGGAAGTCAGGCAGCTCCTCTAAGTCATTTCTCACCCACTTTAAGAGCCCTTTGTGCATTCTCCACCCACTCATGTTGGTTCCAACGTGGGAGTGTTTGAGTGGGCTTAAAGTTCACCTCTCGACTCACCAGCGCACTCAGTTCTTGAAAATGTCCCCACACACCCTCATGAGTGAACACCTCACCCTCAAACACCGCAGCTGGCTGAGGTGTTGTTGTCTTTCTGAAATGGTTTCTGTGAAAGTCCAGTTCTCAGAGTGAAGGTCTTTCCTGCAGGGGTGCCGGACAAAAGACTAGTAGGATGTTTATACCCCGGGAATGAATCAGAAGACAGGGCCATAGTGGTAGCATCTGACACTTAGTCTGAGAGTGAAAGTGAGGCTACTAGGAAAAGCAATCTGAGCTGCAATACTGGGCACAAATCAGAAAATGGAGTGCAAGGTGAGCTTATTAATAGACAAATGGTTCATAGGAAACTTTATGGGGTCGATATCACACCAGCATGAGAGCTGACCTTGTGATGCAGGGCAGGTGAGCCCCAAAACTGGGGCTTAGCCCACGAAGATTCTTGGCTTCACTCGGGAAAGAATTCAAGAGCAAGCTGCTGGTAGAAGAAACCTTAGCTTTAATAAGGCAGCAGCCGTGTTACAGCCTCATGATCGCTCCTGCAGAGCAGGGCTACCCCATAAACAGTGCGTTGAAAGTAGCAGCCTAGGGTCAGGTCTGCAGTCATAGTTATACCCAATTTTAATTACATGCAAATGAAGAGGCGTGTTTTTCAGAAACGTCTAGAAAAAGGATGGCAACTTCCCGGTCATTGCTATGAAAAAGGGTGGTAACTTCTGGGAGTTGCCGTGGCAATGGTCAACTGACCTGGCACTGGTGGGCGTGTCTTCTGGAAAGGTGCTTTTGCCCCTTCCCTCTTTCAGCCAGTCTTCAGTCTGGTCCAGAGTAAAGTCCCACCTCCTACCTCACTTGCATATCTCTTCCTTACTTCTCAACATCACATCAGTAGCTTGAAATTAACCGTGGTGGGAGTATTTACACCACAATAATAAGCAAACGCTACGAGTCAGAGTTTAGTTGTTTTTGTTTTTGTTTTCGGAAAGCTGGTTGTTAAACATTCACCAGCACACCACTGGTAGACTAGCAGAACAGGAGGGTAATTAAGAGCACAGGCACTGTAACCAGACAGACTGGGAAGCCTGCACATATTTAGCCTTGCTGAACCTCAATTTCATGATCTGTAAAATGGGCTGAGCCGCCTGAAAGGGATTCATTCAGCTTCAGTGCTCTCATTGTACAAAATGCTCAGCACAGTTTCAGGGACATAGAAAACCCTCCTTAAAAATGGCAATAACCATGCTGCTGGTGCCACTATGACAGGGCTCCAGGTTTCTCCTCCTGACGTTGTCTTCCCAGTCAGGCATAAGCGGCTGAAAAGAGACACTCAGGGGCAAAGTGAAGCTGAATATATATAGTTTCAGAAGTGCCAAAGTCAAGAAGAAAATTTCTACAACTTCTCATCTTTGCCAACTTACTTTTTGGGTGTTTGTTAAAGAAATTGAATTCAAAAAGCCCAGTCATTCTAGAAGGATTTTTCAATAATTGCCTTTTTTCCCTTCAGATGTTCAGAGATTATTTCCGCCACCATTGAGATACAGATAAAAAGGAAGTCAAGTGTTTCAGTGCCAAGCCCAGCCTGCCTCATGAGCAGGGAGGTTATAACAAGAAGATAGCTGTCTCCGAGAAAAGCTAATCCATCGTTTTCATGTCCAACCTTTACAAATTGTGCCCGTGTGGCAGAGTTTGAATCACTCTCTCTAACAGCCTCTGAAAACAAATGCAAAACCTTTCAAGTTCATTCAAAGTCATTACAGCACTTTCTAGAACTGAATCAATTACTGTAACCTCTGTGGGTGTGTAAAATATGAAATTACCAGCACCCTCACAGAGCCACAGAATTGGTAAATTAGCAAACATTGATTATGGGAGCTTTGGGAGCAGCCCCTGGTGTATTAAGTGTCTTGATGACAAACAGCAATATATTATTTGTGATATTTTGCTTGATGAAATTGTCTTGTCCGTTAACGGTGCTTTGCCTCAGTTACAGCTGATTTTGCCATCTCAGAAATTGACATGGGGGTTGAGCTTACCATGTTGTCAGTGACAAAAATAAGACAATCCAATTGTTCTGATAGAACCAGTATTTATTTTGTATCACAATCAAGTTGAGAGTTCGGGCTTTCCAAATGAGCTCACCACGGTTTCTCCTCTCTGGACACTGTGGGTCATACATCAAGAACAGACTATTATTTAAACTCTTTCCATGTGGGAGAGCTGTTTGTCCTTCTCATCACTCCCTTCTCATAATCCATTCCTTACCTTCCTTCCCCCTTGTTATCCTATGGATCCACTTTCTGAGCCAGGTTGACTAAGGGCAGGATCACTGTACACTAAAAGGTCAGTGTCTCTAATCCCAGCACTTTGGGAGGCCGAGGCGGGCAGATCACGAGGTCAGGCAATCAAGACCATCCTGGCTAACACGGTGAAACCCCGTCTCTACTGAAAATACAAAAAAATAGCAGGGCATGGTAACACATGCCTGTAGTCCCAGCTACTCGAGAGGCTGAGGCAGGAGAATCGCTTGAACCCAGGAGTCGGAGGTTGCAGTGAGCCAAGATCACGCCTCTGAACTCCAGACTGGGTGACAGAGCGAGACTCTGTCTCAAAAAAAAAAAAAAAAAAAAAAAGGTCAGTGTTCCCCATGTAGCCTTCTTCTCTTCTAGTTCCTGCTTTCTTGGTTTATGTCTTGATTTGTCTCAAAGCAAAAAGATAAGCTTCAGATTGTCTTTTCTTGGAATGGAGACAGAAAAACGAACGAATGTGGATAATACCTCCCAACACTAGCACTCTGAGACCTCTTGGGACGTCTATCTGGCTCACAATAATGACCCCACTATATAGGAACCCCTTCCTCTGCCAACCCAGTCTCTGCCAACCCAATCATAGCTGAATGATCCCAGGCATGAGCACCTGGCTGGACCTGGGAAAATCGGATTCCCCACTGGGAATTTGATATTTGGAAGACCAAGATTTAGAAACTGCACGTCATTGGATCTAATGTACTCTAATGAGAAGCATCATGGATTCTTGAGCTCATGTCCCAGAGCAGACTTGGTTTTTTCCTTTATTGATTCTTGGTTATCCAATACTTTCTGGGGCTCCTTACGCTATTATGGTACCAGAGTACTAAAGCCCCGTCTTGTTTCTCCTTCACTTTCTGCCATGATTGTAAGTTTCCTGAGGCCTCCCCAGAAGCAGAAGCTGCTATGCTTCAAAGTCATTACAGTACTTTCTAGAACTGAATCAATTACCGTAACCTCTGTGGGTGTGTAAAATATGAAATTACCAGCACCCTCACAGAGCCACAGAATTGGTAAATTAGCAAACATTGATCATGGGAGCTTTGGGAGCAGCCCCTGGTATATTAAGTATCTTGATGACAAACAGCGATATGTTATTTGTCAGATTTTGCTTGATGAAATTGTCTTGTCCGTTAATGGTGCTTTGCCTCAGTTACTGCTGATTTTGCCATCTCAGAAATTGACACGGGGGTTGAGCCTACCATGTTGTCAGTGACAAAAATAAGACAATCCAATTGTTCTGATAGAGCCAATATTTATTTTGTATCGCGATCAAGATGAGAGTTCGGGCTTTCACCTTCCGCCATGATTGTAAGTTTCCTGAGGGCTCCCCAGAAGCAGAAGCTGCTGTGCTTCTTGTACAGCCTGCAGAACAGGGAGACAATTAAACATCTTTTTTTTATAAATTACCCAGTCTCAAGTATTTCTTTATAGCAATGCAAGAGCAGATGGATACACCCTCCAATCTAGCCACACCAAAATAATTCCCACCCATCCCCTGGTCTACAAGAAAAGTTAATGAATATGAGTTAAGTTGGTGCTTTCCCACCAACCCATGAACATTTTCCTGCTACCAACACTTTAAACTTTGAACATGAAAACATGCTGAGTAGGTGGGGCACGGTGGCTCGTGCCTGTAATCCCAGCACTTTTGGAGGCCAAGACAGGTGGATCACCTGAGGTCAGGAGCTCAAGACCAGCCTGGCCAACATGGGGAAACCCCAACTCTGCTAAACATAGCAAAATTAGCCCAGTATGGTGGGCACACCTGTAGTCCCAGCTACTCAGGAGGCTGAGGCAGGAGAATTGCTTGAACCCGGAAGGTGGGGGTTGCAGTGAGCCAAGATCATGCCACTGCACTCCATCCAGCCTGGGCAACAGAGTGAAACTGTGTCTCAATTAATAAATAAATAAATAACTATTCCCTCACTGCTCAACTCATGGGCCCTTACAGCAACTAAGCTCATGAAGCCATGAGATCTTCTCTCCAGGGAAGGGAGACAGCAGGGGAAAGTGGAAAAACCCCAGCTTTGGTGTCAGGGACACCCAAATTCAAATCCTGCCTCTGCCTGTTAGTGTCTGTGTGCTTTGAGGCTCACTGTTTATCTGAACCTCAGTCCTCTTGTCTGTGAGATGAGCATAAAATGGACACTTCCCCGTGGATTTGCTGTGAGCACAAAATAAGATAACAACTGTAACACCCAAGCAAGATTTCTAGTCTGTAGTAAGATTTTTTTTAATCATGGAATTTTGCGTGTTTTTAGCCAGACTGCATTGAAACTGTATTCTGTGCCTGTACTAAGCCCCTTTCTTGTTCTGTGTCTTTTTATTCTCACATGGGACCATTGAGGGTGGTAGTTTTGGGCCCCACTATACAGAAAAGGAAACTATGCTCAGGGAGGTTTAGTAACTTGTCCAAAGCCACAAGCTGCAAACAGCTACTAAAGAGGATCCGATTCTAAATCCACACCATGACTCTGTCTCCCCCCAATACAGGATGTGGAGTTTGGGTCTGTGAGCTATTTGCAAGTTATTATTTCCCCCTCCTCATCACCTAGACTGGGTCTCTAGTTTCATGATAGTTTCTTCTTTTTTTATTTGTTTGTTTGTTTTAGACAAAGTCTCCCTGTGCTGCCCAGGCTGGAGTGCAGTGGTGCGATCTCAGCTCACTGCAACCTCTGCCTCCCAGGCTCAACTTTATTCTCCCGCCTCAGCTTCCTGCGTAGCTGGGATCACAGGCATGTGCCACCATGCCCGGCTAAGTTTTGGTAGAGATGGGATTTCGCCATGCTGCCCAGGCTGTCCTTGAACTCCTGGGCTCAAGTGATCTGCCTGCCTAGGCCTCCCAAAGTGCTAGAACTACAGGTTTGAGCCACCATGCCAGAACTAGTTTCCTGATAGTTTCTGATATGAATTTGTTCACCCAAAATGCGCACACACACACACACACGCACACACTCTTTCTCTTTTGAAGGAATTCATAAGTTCTGATAAAGGAGGAAGATGCATCTCACGTCACCCCACTCTCCCATTCTGCTGCAGAAGATGTACCTGGCTCATGCACCATGCTGTTCTAGTTAATAGGCATCAACACTCTGCTGCCCCTTCTGACCTGCTCCCCCAAACATAGACAGCTGTCTCAAAGCATCCAATCACACCCTTCCTCAACCTCTCACACCAAGGGGGAGCATCTCCTGGAAGCCAGAGTTGAGGAGGGGAGCATGCTTTCACCAAGAGGAGCGCAACAGGCTTTTGACAGATCAGAGTGAATGACTCTCTCTCTCTCTTCACTCTGTTAACATAATGAGGGGATAACCCGGTATTTAAATCGCAGCCTTGGTGGTAAATCTGCATTGTCAGCTTTCAACATGATTTACAAAATAATTTAAAAATGCATGAACTTTCTTCTTTATAAAGCATGAAAGTGCTAAGTTAACTTCTAAATATTTCATAGCCCAAGGTGAGCTCTTTGCCTTCTGGCCATCACTCACTGAGCACGCGCTCTGTGTGTGCTTCTGAAGACACTCCATTACAGGATGTGTGAATTTGCAAGGCATTCTTGGTAGGGGGGATATTTTGCCTCTGGTCATTTGAGTAATGCTATTGTTTGCCATCCTCCTGGAAAATGGCTGCTGCAGGAATCCCTGGCAGACTCTAGATCTTGTCTATTTCATGACAGCTGAGCACAGGACTATTGACTTTGAAGGTCCTTCCTGCAAGGTGGGAAAGGCACTCTCAGAAGAGGGCTTTAGAGAATCGTTCGGAGAGGACAGCAAAATCCTCAGCATCTTGGCTACCTGGAAGAGATTGCAGCTGGCTAGGGTGAGAAGCAAGGATGACCAAAAATCCTCCATCATTATGGGAAGAGAAGGACAGCTAGACTTGGATGAAGGTTATTTCTCTCTTATCACTAGCTTTCCACTCAAGGCTAGGATTATGTGTGCATCCCTGGAGCTAAAAGTTGAGTGCAGCTATTCCAAAATGGTTCTGACCAGGACTCCCCAAAGCCATCTGAGACCGTTGGCCTAGAGTCAGACCTCTCTCATGTGCAGTTAACCCATTAGTGGAAATGGCTCTTCCTTGTCGCTGGAAGCAGCAAAGTGGCAGCTGGATAACTAGCAGGGACATTTGTTGAAGAGAATTGAATATCACATGGAGAAGTGGACAGGGAGTGTTTCTACGACTGTGGTCCTCAGATCAGCAGCATCAGTGTCATCTGGGTTGTTTGTTTAAATGCTGATTCCCAGATCCCCCTTCAGATGAACTGAATTGGAATAGGTAGGCAGAGGCACCCAGGAACCTACATTGATAATTAGCTTCATTGGTGTTTCTCATGCACACTAAAATTTGAGAACCATTGGGCTTACTAGTAGTTCTGAATCCTAGCTGGACACTGGAATTCTTAAAAGAAAACTTAAAAAAAAAAAAAAAGTCCTGATGTCTCAAGTCTCACCCCCAGAAATTCTGATTTCATTGACAAACCTGTGTCTTGGGCATGTGGAGAGTTTTCACATCTCCCCTAGGTGATTCTGAGGTGCAGCCAAGGTTGACCACCACTAAGCTAGAAGAATTTTAGGCTCTTGGATTTCTATGAATTAGTATTTGCACTCAACCTGAAATTCTCTAAGTGATGGAATGCACATCACTTCACCAGGTAGTTCCTTCTTTGACTGATGGTTCTAATTGTGAAACCTAATTTTTTCAGCTGAACTGAAATTTTACTCCATACCAATTCTATTTCCTGGTCCCAGTTGCCTTGAGATCAAGTCATCCCAGTTAACAAACTGTACAGTTGAAATTTGCATTAGCTTTTTCCTGCCACATCCTTTTTTTGCCTCCAATTTCTCATCTCCTTCCCACCCTCTAATCTCACCTGATAGCCAGTGCCCTAATCTCTCTGCCTCCATGAAAACTCACTCTCAGCAAAGTATCTGAGATGAGCTGATTGCTCACTGGCATGATCAAGTCAATTGAGGGGGTGAGTATTGCGGAGACCTGGCTCCACATGGCTCTATCCCTGTGGGACCTTGGACGTGACCCTTTCAGTCTCTGGGTCTCAGAGTTCCCATCTCTAGAGCTAGTAGGACTAGTCTAGATTAGTTCTTAAAACTCTTTCAGCTCCCATAATCTAATCTGGGAAGGACTAGACTGGGAAGCATAGGAGCAATAGCTAATGTAGCCAATGGAAAGAGAATGAGAGAGAAGAAAGGAAAGAAGGAGACAGGGAAGGAAAGAGAAAGGAAGACAGCGAGGGAGACAGAGAGGAGAGAAAGAAAGCAGGAAGGAAGGAAGAAGGGAAGGTGGGATGGATGAAGGGAGGTAAGGGGGGACGGATGAAGAGAGGGAAGGGAATGTAGTTAACCAATAGAGGAGGATGGGAGGGAGAGAGAGAATTGGGATTGGGGAGGAAGTTTGGAAAAGAAGGAGGGGCCGGGCATTGTGGCTCATGCTCATAACCCCAGCACTTTGGGAGGCCGAGTCAGATGAATTGCTTGAGGCCAGGAGTTTGAGACCAGCCTGGCCAACACAGAGAAACCCCCACATCTACTAAAAATGCAAAAATTAGCAGGGTGTGGTGGCATACGCATATAATCCCAGCTACTCAGTAGGCTGAGGCAAGAGAATGGCTTGAAGTGGGAGGCGGAGTTTGCAGTGAGCCGAGACCATGCCACTTCACTGCAGTCCAAGCAGCAGAGTGAGACTCTGTCTCAAAAAACAGGACGGAGGGAAGAAGGAAGGGAGGGAGGGAGGAGTGAGGAAAAAAAGGGAGGCCCATTGCAGCCTTTTGAAAACTTTCTAATGCATTAAGCAAAATATTTTGAAAATGTAGACAACAACACTACTCTTTATATAGTTACTTATTACACAGTGCTAGTGTGCTGTTTGAATCACAAATTGCATGCTAATGGCCTAATTCATAAACCATTGACATTCTTTATGAGTCCTTAGCATTCAGAGATGAAGAATTTCTGTTCAAAATATAATTTGCATTGCAAAATTCAATAATTTAGTTTCTCATATTCATTAATGCCTAAAACCACAACACATAACTTATCCCATTCCAACCCCCTCCTTGGAACACTGGAAAAAGAAGTGTTTCAGCTGGGAAATCAAGTACTGCTTTTTATGGCCACGTTTGAAACTGCTGTGAGAGTTATCACAAGGGAAGCCATGTTGGTTTTCTTCAAGGAGTGGGCACTGAAGGATTCTGCCACAGCAAGATAGCAGAGGTAGAAGGGCCTCTTGCACCCATGCAGAAGTTTATTTAACCTTCCCAATCTCAGGAACCCCGTCTGAGACCAAAGTTCCTGCTGAAAGAGATGTGTGATTTTTGGTGAACTCATCCATAGAAAACTCAATGAAGTGACCAGTGTAACATTCAAAGTAACAATTGAATAATTCATGGGACACTCAGTTGAATAGTCTGTGGAATCCTCAATGAAATGATCAATGTAACAGTCAACCGAATAGTCCATGAGAAAACTGAATAGTCTGTGAAGCACTCAGAGGGATTGTCAATTAGATATTTAATGGAAAGGGATGTAAAATTCTTTGTGAACTAGAAATGAGGAACATTCCCTTGGCAGATAGCTCTGTTATGAGATAGGAAACCTACCTCATGTAGATGAGAAGTAAAGTTGAATTCATAACAGCTCTAGCTGTTTTTGTTTCCTAGTATAAGTGAGGCACTGAAAATCTGTTGGAAGAAAGAACGGAGAGGTGGATTGCTTATGGAAGAGCCAGTGGGAATGCTTACCTGGCTCAGGTGCCCCTAGTAACGTCTTTTGTGGTACTACGTAGGGTTCAGCTCCAACACACCAATCTTGATTTGATGGGTTTTAATTAGAATGTGCTAATATAAATTTTTCTTTTGAAACAATGCGTAGGCTGCTCAGAACCCAGATCCTAGTATTGAGACAATAAAATTAAATGAACGTAACTCCTAGAGTCAAAAGTCCTGCATTTTAATTTTCACTCTGCCTCTAGCCCTCTGTGTAAACTTGTCCAAGCCACATCCTCTCTCTGGGACTTATAAATAGGGAAGTTTGGATGTCGTGATCTCTAAAAACTCTTTCAACACTAAAACTTCTAGGACTTCTGAATCTGACCCTAGTATTATGATCGAAATTGGACACCAGTCACTCCTGTCTGGGTGTGCTTGCCTCCCAGAGCTGCTATCCAAGGCCATGAAAGGTGAAAGGCCAAACACCTTACTAAAATTACATTCTAGGGGTCCATTAAAGAGAACGACGTGTCTCATTTAGTGCTGTATTCCAGATGCTCAACCTACAACCTGAATATCATTAGTGCTCAAGAAATAATCATTCAGGCCAGGCACAGTGGCTCACGCCTGTAATCCCAGCACTTTGGGAGGCCGAGGCGGGCGACTCACGAGGTCAGGAGATCGAGACCATCCTGGCTAACATGGTGAAACCCCGTCTCTACTAAAAATACCAAAAATTAGCCAGGCATAGTGGCGGGCGCCTGTAATCCCAGCTACTCAGGAGGCTGAGGCAGGAGAATGGCATGAACCCAGGAGGCGGAGCTTGCAGTGAGCCGAGATCACGCCACTGCACTCCAGCCTGGGTGACAGCGCAAGATTCCATCTCAAAAAAAGGAAAAAAAATAAAGAAAAGAAATATTCATTCATTCAACAGATGTTTTCTGTGCACTGACACTGTGATGAGCTACATTCTAAGCAGTAGGGATATCATGATGAACAACATAAATAAAGTCCCTACCATAAAGGTAGGGTAGTAAAAGTCCAAAAGGTAGTAAAAGTCCAAAGCTTACATTGGACTGGAAGAGACAGATAACCAACAAATAAAGCACACATAAACAAAAGCAAACAAGTTTGAATAGTGATGAGAGCTGATAAAATAAAGTAATTGATGGAGAATTGTTGAGATGAAGGGATTACTTTCGATTAGTTCAAGAATATATCCTCAGACATTTGATAGAACATCTGAGTTGAGACCTGGATGACATGAAGAAGCCAGCCGTGGGAAGATCCCAAGGCAGAGTATTCTGGGAAGAGAGAGGAGCAAGTGTCAAGGTCCTGGAGCAGAAACATGCTCTGTGAGTTCATGGAAGATGGGCCAAGGCCTGTGTGGATGGAGTATTGTGAGGGGCGATGAATGGGCGAGGTGGTTATGGTTCATGTCGGAGCCTTTGATACATGGTCACAGGTTAGTATATTATTCTAAGTGTAATAGGAAACCACTGAATATTTTTAAAAGGTAAATGGCATGATCTGGTCCAGAGCTTTAAACAACCAAGTGGATGCTTTATGGAAAATTGAATTGTTGAATGAATGGAGTATGAAGTACCAATTGAGTGTTACATTGATTATTTCACTGAGGGTTCCACAGACTATTCAACTGAGTGTCCCATGAACTATTGACTTGTTACCTTGAATGTTACATTGGTTACTTCATTGAGTTTTCCATAGACCAGCTTACCGAAAATCACACATCTCTTTCAGCAGGAACTTTGGTCTCAGATGGGTTTCCTGTGATTGGGAAGGTTAAATGTGCTCCTTGGAAGAGAGTCATCCCGGGAAAGTGATACCTGTCCAGGAGAAGGATGCAATCAGGCATTTCAGAAAGCAACTCCAGTGTGACTCCTGCTGCTGTGACATCTGACCACGAAAGGCAACCCTTCTGCCTGGCACCCAGTACCTCTTTGTGAAGCCTGAAAATGGCTCTCGTTTTGAGATTTGCTTCACTTCTCCCTCCTTCTGTCCCTGCAAAACTCTAGCCCTGCAGCCTTGCCATGAGAGCAAGTCATTCATCAGAAAATCTGAAATATTTATTGTGCATATTTTAAAGGCCAAAGTGCTACATCATTGAGCTCTGCCCAGATGGGGACAAGGTTTCGCAGTGTGATGACTGGGGTAAGGATGTGCCGGACAAAACTGCAGACAATTAATCTGTGCAAATGTAATTCTTCAAAGGCGACCGGAGGACTCGCTTAAGCGCCAAAGACAAACCAGTCCATAATGACCATCATTAAAATTTAATGCAATTTGCTTATTTGAAAAAAAAAAAGGAATTCTTCATGTCCTTTATAGCTATCACTTATCATACTCCTACAGGGATAATGTGAGAAGTGGGAGCAGGTGGAGGGTGTAGAATTGCTTTGAGGGCTAATCATGAGCCAAATTCTGCTGGGAGGGTCTCTCCAATGCACCTACATCCGTAGACATCCCTCTCTCCTGTTCCCATCACTACTTTTCCTTTGGCAGTGAAAGAAAAAATAGTAATGGGGTGGTACATCAGATGGGATAACACACACAAGTGCTTGGTGGGGGTGCTGAAGGCAGAGGTGCTGGTGGATAGGTGAGCAATATGGTGGTTGTTACTGACTTTGAGCAAGTCCTTTGATCCTCAGGACTCTCACTTATAAAATCTACAAATGTACTTGGCACATGGTCAACATTGAATTCATGCAACTATCATCAGAGTTATCATCGCTATGGTTGTACTCCTAGATACTGGCTGTGGGCCTTTGGGCAAATCTGCTAAGATTTTCATGAAGCGGAATTATTACTGTGTCTTCCCCATTGGGATCTTGGGAAGATTAGACAAAGTAACATGTGCCCAGCACTTAGGTCCCTGTGCAAGTTCAGAGAACAGCTACTCCTGTCATCATCCCCTTCTCCATCGGTCTCAGTGACTGACTTTCTCCTAACGTCAAGACTCGCTTTGGAACTGGGGCTGGTGCTGAGATGCTATGGTGGGGAGTGGTGGTGGAGGGGTGTGAGTGGTGGGAAGTCTCACCATCTGAGTGTCCTCTGTGCCTAGTCTCTGAGTCTCTGTGTCCCCCATCAATAAACAGGGGCATATATTGGAACCACATACTTCATAAGCCTTGTTTTGAAATAAAATGCAGTCATAGATACTAAGGCACTAGGAAGGGTTAAAAAGCTCTATATAAATATAAGGTGTTGATGGTTATTGTTTATTAAGTAGCAAGGACTTTTTTATTATTACTTTGATTCCTCTAGCCCTGAGATAGCAGATAAATCAGAAAAATGTCAAGTCAGAGTGAAACATAGATCTCCAGGAACCAGGGTACAGAGCTTCATCGGGATTTTTTTTTCTTCTTACAATCTTCGCTGAAAGACATTTGAAGGGAAGTTAATAATTGAAACATAATGAATAATTGCAGTTTGGGGTCCATAGCACAATCATAATTGCCAGTTTATTACTTTTTTAATACATTTGCCAAGTATTAATAATATTGAAATAATGCAAGAAGATCATGGGAAATAAATGAAATATATCATTTGTCAAGGAAAAAGGATTTCCAAACTGTAGGCACTGATCTTATGAGTTCTGTGATGAATGTGGCATTGCAGCAAATCCTTCGTCGTGGGAACGTCACCTGCAAATTTTGGTTCCTGCATAATTCTCATCAAGTCAAATAAAGGTGATGGTATGGGAGACTCACTGCGTAGGGAGCCCTGCCATGTTTCATGTGCTGCCTGGGGTGTGTGGAACACAAAGGGCTGAGAATCACAATACCCATGTTTTAGCCCCGGCTCTTTGGGTCGATCCTGAGCAAGTGTCTTATTAAGTCCTCATGGTCAAAATGAAAGATAAAAGCTTCAAAAATGAAGGGAGTGGGGAGGGCGCGGTGGCTTATGCCTGTAATCCCAGTACTTTGAGAGGTCGAGGCGGGCAGATCACCTGAGGTGAGGAGTTGGAGACCAGCCTGTCCAACGTTGTGAAACCCCGTCTCTACTAAAAATACAAAATCAGCTGGGTGTGGTGACGTGCACCTGTAATCCCAGCTACTCGGGAGGCTGAGGCAGGACAATCACTTGAACCTGGGAGGCGGAGGTTGCAGTGAGCCGAGATAGCACCACTGCACTCCAGCCTGGGTGACAGAGCGAAACTCTGTCTCAAAAAAAAAAAAAAAATGTAGGGGTTGAAACACATCCTGAATCCCAACTCTTTCATCTCTAACAACCCATTTTATTATTTTTAGCCCCCAGGTACTTGCATGTTTTGAAAGCTCTTCATATAATAATTTGTACATAGCTAACTTCACCACACCTTGACGTCTTCTTCGGGAACTTTGAGGGACTGAACATCCTTGTCTCTAAAATGAGAAGGTTGACTTGAGTGAAGGCTTGTAACCTCGGTATCTCAACATTAGGGAATAATGACTAGCAATGGGGAGAGTCACAACTAATTTATTACTAAAATCAGCTCAAGTAATGAAGTCTTCAATAAATTGCTTAAACAAATTAAAGTGGATTCAAAGATCCCTCTGACAAAGCCATTCTTGCACCCTTAAGTTCAGATGCTTATTCTTTTTCTTTTTCTTTTTTTATTTTGGTTTGTTTTTGTTTGTTTGTTTGTTTGTTTTGGGTTTTTTGCTTCCATGTTTTAATCATGTACCAGGCATTTAGCTCAGGAAAAGGGGAGGACTCCCAGTTGAGGCACTGGGAATCACCACTGTTCATGGTCTAATTATCCACCCTTAGTCAGTAGTAAAAGGCAGAGCAGGTGTGAAGGGCACTTGTTTGTTTCAAAATAAAGATAATATTTCCTTTGTCCTGGCTGTAGGAATCACACATTTTTACTTTTATTAAACATACAGGCCAGGTGCAGTGGCTCACACCTGTAATTCCATCAGGTGTGAGCCAAAGTGGGAGGATCATTTGAGCCCAGGAGTTGGAGACCAGCCTGGGCAACAAGATGAAACCCTATGTCTACAAAAAATTTAAGAATTAGCTGGACTTGGTGGTGCATACCTGTAGTCCCAGCTTCTTGGGAGGCTGAGGCTGGAAGATCGCATGAGCTCAGAAGTTGAAGCTGCAGAGAGCTGTGATTGCATCACTGCAGTCCATCCTGGGCAGCAGAGTGAGATCCTGTCTCAAAAAACAAAAACAGGCCAGGCATGGTGGCTCACACCTGTAATCCCAGCACTTTGGGAGGCCAAGGCCGGCAGATGACCTGAGATCAGGAAGTCAAGACCAGCCTGGCCAACATCATGAAACCCCGTCTCTACTAAAAATACAAAAATTAGCCAAGCGCGATGGCACACGCCTGTAGTCCCAGCTACTTGGGAAGCTGAGGCAGAAGAATGGCTTGAACCCGGGAGGCAGAGGTTTCAGTGAGCCAAGACCTCACTATTACACCCCAGCCTGGGTGACAGAGTGAGACTCCATCTCAAAAACAAACAAACAAACAAAAAAACAAATATATATTTATATATGATAATAAATCTGCCACCAGGATATAACTGATGCTAATATTTTAATAAACATTCTTCCCAATTCATATAGCTATTCACATATATGTATAGATTCTATTTTTCATAACCATGATAATATCATATGATATCATATGGTGTGAAGCTACAATCTGGTTTTATCCGCCATTCTGTTTTATACCAGGAACTTCTTTCCATGACGGCAAAGCCCTGCAGAAGTTTTCCATTCTATTGATTGACTGTTAATAATTCACCATTGACATCCATGGAGCTATCAAAAAGCAGCTGTAAAAAAGAACAAGAAAGCTTATTGTGTACTGATATGAACCACCTCCAAGATATGTATAAGCATAAAAGGCAAGGTTAGAACACTGTTTACTTTGCTCCTATTTGCATAAAACAAGAGAGAAAAGAAAAAGGAAAGGTGTCATGGCAGGGGTGGGTGGGGGGCAATATTTAAACATTTTTGCCCTGAGACTGGGCGCCGTGACTTACACCTGTAATCCTGGCACTTTGTGAGGCCAGGGCAGGTAGATTTCTTGAGCCCAGGAGTTCGAGACCAGCCTGGACAGCATGGTGTGACTGTCTCTACAAAAAAAAAAAAAAAAAAAAACTTCGCTGGTCATGGTGGTGCCTGCTTGTAGTCCCAGCTACTCAGGAGGCTGAAGTAGGAGGATCACTGGAGCCTAGAAAACCATGATCCTTCCACTGCACTGTAGCCTGGGTGACAGACCAAGATGATGTCTCAAAAATAAAAAAAAAAAGACAGACATATTTGCTCTGGAGGGGAAGCCAAAGAATTGATGGTGCTGGTTGTGCTGGGAGATAAGCCAGTGGGCAGATAGAGACCTGAGGCAGGAGAGAAGTGTCATCGTGTTCCCTATTGTACCCATGGAATTTTGGACCATATGGCTGTATGAACCTAGACAAAGAATGTGTGTGCTGTGGTTTTTTTGTTTGTTTGTTTGTTTTTTGTTTTTTTTTGAGACAGAGTCTTGCTCTGTCGCCCAGGCTGGAGTGCAGTGGTGCGATCTCAGCTCACTGCAAACTCCACATCTTGGGTCCACGCCATTCTCTTGCCTCAGCCTCCCCAGCAGCTGCGACTACAGGCGCCCGCCACCACGCCCAGCTAATTTTTGTATTTTTAGTAGAGATGGGGTTTCACCCTGTTAGCCAGGATGGTGTCGATCTCCTGACCTCGTGATCCGCCCACCTCGGCCTCCCAAGGTGCTGGGATTACAGGTGTGAGCCACCGCGCCCGCCCGGCCGTGCTGTGTTTTTATGTTGTATATACTTCATTGCATATGTGTGTGGATGTATGTATTTAATTTGAATACAGTAGATAAATTTGTCTTATATTTAAATTATATCATTTATAATGTATCTGTGTGTGACTTTGAGAAAACAGTTTACCACTGTGTCCTCCATCTCTAGTCAAATGCCTGGAATAAAAGGAGCTCAATAAATATGTACTCAATAACTTCATGTTTGAATGAATAAATAAATTCTGATTATTAAATAGCGTATTTGTGAGTTGCGATTTTTTTTAGTTACTTCCACTTTTTTCAGTTTGGGTGTTCGGTCACAATCTGGGCATTGCCATGGAACATGTGACCCATATGAATAACGTCTGCCTGGTGTGCGGTGCTGAATAAACGTTTGAGGATCCCTGGGCCAACTGCCCTCAGGGTGCTTCCAGCTGATATAATCTTGAATTCCAGGATGTGATCTGGAAGACACAAGATTCGGGAGTCCTTTTCCTCTGAGAAGGGAATAGAGGGGTGGGAGGTAGAGAAGCTAGAAGCAGAATCCCAACCCAAGACCCACTTACCCAGAATACTTGCCCCTGGCCCGAGTGACTGCTCCAGCTCCGCAAAGCCTCCTTCTCTCTCTGACCCTCATCAGACCCAGAGGAGGGCTCTGCCTCCTGCAAGCAGCCTCACATGCCTGGACAGATCTTCCCTGCAGGCTCACACCACCCTCTCCTTCCATCCTCCCACGCTCCAATTCCCTTATCCAAGGAAAATGACCCCTGAAGCTTCACTCTTCCAGATCCCATCCTGGGATTCGGGGTTGTATCAGCTGGAAGCACTCTGCGTGCAACTGGCCCAGGGATCCTTAAATATTTATTCACCACCACAAGCAAGACAGATGTTGTTCATATAGATCTCATGTCCCATAGCAATATCCAGATTGTAACAGAAAACCTAAACTAAAAAAGAAAAAAAAAATGGAAGTAACTTTAAAAAATTACAACTCACAAATATGCTATTTTTTTAATTATTTTATTTTTTTACACAGAGTCTCGCTCTGCCACCCAGGCTGGAATGCAGTGAAACAATCTCTCCTCACTGCAGCCTCCACCTCCCAGATTCAAGCGATTCTCCTGCCTCAGCCTCTGGAATAGCTGGGATTACAGGCACATGCCACCATGCCTGGCTGATTTTTGTATTTTTAGTAGAGATGGGGTTTCACCACGTTGACCAGGCTGGTCTTGAACTCTCGACCTCAGCCTAAGGTGATCCACCCGCCTCAGCCTCCCAAAGTGCTGGGATTACAGGCTTGAACTGCTGTGCCGGGCCACAAATATGGTATTTAATAATAAGAATGTATTTATTCATTCAAACATCAGGTTATTGAGTGCATATTTATCAAATTGCTATAAATATATATATAGCACTTGGCTAGAGATTAAGGATACAGTGATGAACTACTTTTCCATAAAATAGTTTATAGGAGGAATAGAACAGTCTCAGATAGAGGTAGGAGCTCTGGAGTCCAGCCACCTGAGCAGGAATCCCAGCTGATCGCTCGCCTGCTGGGTATCATTATATCAACCTCAGTTTCCTCAACTGTGAAATAAGAGTGATGATGATTGCATTGAATTCATCAGATTGTCATAAGTGTTCAATGAAATAATGCAAGTAAAATAGCTGGTATATAGCAAGCACTCCAAAAATCTCAGCTATTATTACTGTTATAATAGCACCCATTTTATCCAAGGTTGGATAGTCAATGAAAGATACAGAAAAAGACAGGGAGACTTGGGAGTTGATAAGAACAGGTGAAGTAGAATTCAATTCATTCACTGAACCAATTTTTATTGACCACTCACTATAGCTCAGCATTCCACTAGGTACTGGGAACCAGTGGTAAGCAAAGACAGACATAGTTCCTATCTTCTTGGAGCTTACAGACTGGTGGGAGAGATGGACATAAACCAAAGAATCACACGAATAACTGCTAAATTTTGACAATGACAATTGTTACAGAAGAGAGATGTAGGATGTTTCAAGAGCTGACAACAGGAGGACTTGATCTAATGAGAGGTATCAGGGCAGGCTTCCCTGGAGAGTAAAGTTTGAGCTGAGATGGAACTCAGGTTAAAAGACTAAGCAGCAGGTGCAAAGTCCCTGTGGCAAAGACATACGCATGGAACTGAAAGAAGTCCAGAGTTGCCAGAGAGAGACTACAACGGGGAGTGTAGAGTGAGGTGAGGCTGAGAGCGAAGTCTGGACCAGCCCCATGCAGGGTCTAATGATAATAATGACCACAAATAGAGTGGCAGCAATCATATATTGAACTCTTGCTATATGCCAGGCATATTATATCATATCGTCTAAACTCATGACAATACCATGAAGTTGGTGCTATTATTTTCTGCGTTTTACTAATGGGGAAACAGGCTTGAGGTCATGTGGCTACCAAGGACGTGAACCACTTATGTCTTACTCAAGAGCCCTCACAGTCCTGGACTCAGAGCATCATACAATTTGTCATACAAATGAGGACAGTCCAGGGTTACATTATTAATAATACTAAGACCACAGACATAAACCAGGACCTCCCCAAGCACTACTGGATAATATCTCAGGATAAAAAAAAATGAAAGCACTTTGTAAACAGTGATATCTACTAAGAGATCAGAGACAATTCGTCTGACCATAAGGTTCAGGAAGGGGAAAGATCTCAGTGTAACCAGGAGATCATTTTCTTGAACCAATGCCTCATTCTGCTACAACATGAAGCTTCATTCCAGTCCCACATCTTCAATATATTTGACATTTTGAAAAATAATTAATTGTGTCAGTTTTATTAATGTTTTAAAATACAAATTAAAAATGTGACAAATGAGTGAGAAACAGCAGTCTGTTTTAATGAAAATTTCATATTCTCCATCAATAAATCATAAACTAAAGAGAACCCAACATAAGCCACTATATTCCTTGCCTGTCTGTGTATGGGGTTACTTGGCAGAGGGTTCCACTTGGGAACTGGGAAGATTCTAGAATTCTGCAGGGCCCAAGAGTTCAGGCTGGTGAGGATCAAAGGGGTCTGGCTTACAAAGACGTAGCACAGGCTCCAATTCCCCTGTTCTTTCCAAGAACAAAGGGCTTAGAGAGATGTAGCACAGTGGCCCCATATGAACTTTACCTCTAAGGGATCCACCACCCTGCGAGGCAGCTTTCACCAGGACAGCATGGTGACCAAGAAAAAGCACGCCAACATTAGGCAGAAATGCAGCAGAAGCATACCATTGTGCTGGCTGGAGAAGTCATCCCCCATCACCCTTCCTGGTTGAGATGTTGAGGATGATTCGTGGGGGGGGGTCCCTTGACCAAGGAGGATGTGAAACCAGGTACCCCTCTACTTCCTCTGCCAAGATTTCTCCTGCTTCAGACTCTGTTCCACCTGTAGGGCTCATTCCCAAACTTTGTGTCTAGAACCTCTACTGAAGTGTTCTTTTCCCTGTTTTAACATCTTACAAGAGATGTTTTATCCTACCTCTGGGTAGCAGTAAACCAATTCCATCTATTTCACATTTTTAAAGAAACCCAGATAAGGAGATGTGAGGGTCTCCCTTAGTCATCCCAGGTCATTTTAAATTCCCAAGTCTGCTCCTCCAGCACCATCTTGGAAAACTTTCATATCTGATTTCAGGTTTGCAAAGGATTGGGCCTGATTGAGCTAGACCTGCTTTTCAAAAATTCTAAATATGTAAGAACGATTTGGCAGGGAGTGGTTGGAAATGCAAATTCCTTGGCTTTATAACGTTCTAAATATTGATTCTGTGGGTTTGGGGTGGGGGAGGCCAGCAACAGGGGTAGGAGTGTGCTTTGTAAATAAGCAACCTAGGTGCACTATTCAGAAGCACTACACTAAATGAGCCTTGGAAGGAACAGGGGAATTGGAGCCTGGGGTTAGTGGGTTATCTGAGGGAACTGGGATATTTCCAACCAGAATCTCCTCAGTCTCAACTCCCCAATCCTCCCAGCTCTTCCCCACATCCTCCCTCTGCACCAGAGTTTAGCAAACGTAGTCTTCTTAGGCCAGATTGAAATGCCAGAATGTATGGAGATTAATCACAGAATAATACAAACTGCCGCTTATCATCTCCTATATATTTGACATAATTACCCTACAAGCAACATGAAAATGTTATACTGTAATAACTCCTAGCCAGGAGAAAAGGCAGTGCTGCTGATAACACGAAAATAGACAAGAATACAGAACACAGCCCTTCGAAAACTTTTAATTAATTTTTCCCCCTTTCAGCATAATTGATGTCAGTTCAGACTTCGGTGTTTCTGAAGTGTTTGGCCTCATAGCAAAGAAACTTAGGATCAGACAGACTGACTACAGAGCAAAGCTGGGCCCCAATGGGGGACTAAGGAGAGACGGCATGAGGAGCACTTGTTCATTTTTAAACACATAATTTAGACTATGTCACTTTTCTATTTAAATTATTTTATCGTTCCCCCTTGCCCTGCCCTGCAGAACCCAAAGACCAAGGTCCTTTGGTGTCACTGGGGATAATTCATGGTGTGGCACTTGCTTGTTACCTTGTCAATTTCACCTGCTTTCCCTACCTACCAAGTGCCCCAGTGTGACTGAGTCACTTGCGTCATGCAATGGTGCACCTTGCATCATGCAATGGTGCACCTTGCACCATGCTTCATTCCTCCAAAACTTTGCACTTGATGTTCTATCTACTAGGACACCCCTCCCACCGAAACATCATCTGGCCAACCCAACTCATTCTTTAAAACTCAGCTCAGATGTCATCTCCTCTCCAGAGCCTTCCTTTCTCAATGACAGCCAAGGTTTCTGCCTTGGGCTCCTAGAGCCTCCTGACCTTTCTTCTAACATGGACTGTATCACCCTATATTGCATGAACCCACCTGTCTCTCTCCTCCTGTAGAATGTGAATGTATCATTCATTTCTATAGCCCAAATTCCACACAATGTCTAGGATAGAAAATGTGCTGAAAGAATATTTGAAGAATGAACAAATAAATATTCTCTATAGCTACTAGAGTAACCTAACGCTTTGTCAAAGTCCATAACATAGGAACCTACACAGTAAATTCCTTGTGTAAAAAACCATGCATCTCTCTTCATAAACCACTGTGATTCATTGGTCAAACTGGCTTATGTAATCCAATATTTTCCTTTTTGCCTAGACTGCCAGGAAGCGCAACGCTAAATGCCATGATAAATAATAACAACAGCATTAGCCTAGGTTTTCTTTTTGTTGATAGATTTTCTTTTTCCTTCACTGTGATTTTGTTGCTGTTTTTGTTTTCTGTTTCCCATTTACTGACTTATCAGTAGCAAGCAACTTTATATAGGCAAGCTGCAAAGACCAAGTAAAGCATATATGCAAGCCCTCTCATGCTGGCTTTATGTCTTGCTTAACAGATAAGCACAGCTTTTGGATAAATAACAAGTATAATTTGTCTAAGTGGTAAACGAATACTCAACAAATGTTTGTTGAGCATTAACTGAGCCAGGCATCAAGCTGGGTCCTGTGCATATAGAGAAGAAAACACATGGTCTCCTCATTCAAGGAATGCCTTGTTTACTGGGAAGTAAAGGGGGTGATATTTGAGCAGGGTCTTAATGGATATGTAGGGGTTCACCAGTAGAAGAAACAAAACCTGCTGAATTTTAAGAACGTCAAGTGACTTGATATTGCTACAGGATACATGTGAATGAGCAGTCGGTAGACGACCAACCTGTTGAAATGAGGAATGATAGCTCATAAGACTCTTAGGAACAGACGTTGCTGATAAGTTTAGACTTTACCCTACAGGCCACTGGTCTATAACTGTTTTACATAGGGGTACCCCTTTTCAGTGTTCAGAGATTTCATGGCAGTAGTCTCAGTGCAAATTGACTGAGAAAACACATGACAGCAAAAGTCATAGTAAGTTCAGTGATGCGTTTAAATTAATTTGTATTTTGTTCAACCCAATCAAATTTACAGACATTTGAAAAATAGCTGCACCCAGGAAAACATACACTGCTCCCCTCAGAGATATAAATAAAATATGAATGTGTCTATTCCAAGTGGTTACTCTTCTCCTCAACATCTTTCTCTCTCTCTCTCTCTCTCTCCACCTCCCCCCAACCCCGTAATATCTTATCTTGTGAGGCTTGGCATTGAAATGCAGTTTCCACAGTGCATGTTTCCAGTGTGGTTATAAGTTGTGGACCTGTTTTATCAGATGGTCTTGTCTTTTGTTTCATCAGGCCTATATTGCACCCTTTCTCTTTTCTTTCTAGTTGTTCTCTTCTTTCTCTTATGTTCTTGATCACTAGTCTATTTTTGGCCAGGCTCAATGGCTCACACCTGTAATCCCAACACTTTGGGAGGCCAAGGTGGGAAGATTACTTGCATCCACGAGTCCAAGACCAACCTGGGCAACATAGCAAGAGCCCTTATCTACAAAAAATAAAAAATAACCAGGCACAGTGGCACATGCCTGCAGTCCCAGCTACTCAGGAGGCTGAGGCAGGAGGATTGCTTGAGCCCAGGAGGTTGAGGTTGCAGTGAGCTGTAATCATACCACTGCACTCACCCTGTGCAACAGTTATACTCTGTCTCAGAAAATAATCAACATCATCATCATCATCATCACCATCATCACCATCATCATCACCTATTGCTATCAAGTTACATTTTGATGTGTTAATCTAATTTTGTGGTCCTTAAATATTCATGTGTATCAGAACCACCCAGAGGGCTACTCAAATACAGATTGCTGGGTGTCATTCCCAGAGTTTCTAATTCAGTAGATCATTAGTGGGGTCTGAGAATTTGCTTTTCTAACAAATTCCCAAATGAGGCTGATGCTGCTGATCTGGGGACCACACTTTGAGAATCAGTGAGCTATCTTATCTCCCTTCTCCAACTATATTACCATTTCATTTATGGTTTCATTGGTTTCTTACATATTTTACCCTTCTTAAAATTCTCAAACCTTTGATTTCATAAATAAATGCTCAGCCAGGCATGGTGGCTCATGCCTGTAATCCCAGCACTTTGGGAGGTTGAGGGAGAAGGATTGCTTGAGCCCAAGAGTTTGAAACCAGCCTGGGCAACATAGCAAGACCCTATCTCTACAGAAAATTTAAAAATTAGCTGAGTGTGGTGGTGTGTGCCTGTAGTCCCAGCTGCCTTGGAGGCTGAGGCGGGAGGATCACTTGAGCCCAGAAGATGGAAGCTATAGTGAGCTATGATCATGTCACTGCACTCCAGCCTGGGAACAGAGCAAGACCGTGTCTCAAAACAAAAAAGAAATGTTCAAAATGAATAAAACAATTATATTAAGAACATAAATGTTCATAAATACATACAATCCTGAAGAACACTTTTACATGCACCACGATGTTTCAGACTGATTGTGTATACTTTATAGAATTTCTTAACTCATTTCAAACTGGTAAGTAAATCAACACATATAATTTGCATTCCTTCTAATTGTCACCTGTCAGCAATTGTAAACATGTATAAATGAGGAGCCAAGACTTTCATGTGATCTCTTTAGGTTTACATGTTTACCTGAGACACTGAATGTACCGACAGTAGCCAGACTCTATATAAAGATGAACCCTGACCCAAAAATCTGCAGCGACCAGCCCGGACATTATCTACAGGAACCAGCCCAGGGTGCCAACCTGTTCTCTGTAAGTCAGACTTGTAGAAAGTCCGGCCACTATCTCTAGCAATTGGTTCAGGAAGCCAAGCAACAACCCCAGTAACAATCAGTCCCAAATGCCCAGGGTTCAAATAATAACTAACAGCTTCCCTAAAATTTTTGTCCCTGTATCCAACTGGGGATAAACCCAAGAAAGCTAACCAGATACCCCTACCAGATCACAGCAGATGACCACTTGTAATTATCCCACCTTCAGGTTCCCCATGACAACAGCTGCAATCAGAGCACACCAAGTCTTCTTTTTCTTCTGCAATAAAGGTTTCGCTCTCCTCTATCTTCCTTTGAGTGTCTGCCAAAACGCAAGTGATGCTGGCTGACTCCCTTGCTATGGCAAGCTCTGAATAAATAGCTTTTTCTTGTTCTTATTTGGTTGGGCTGCGTTTATTTCTAAAGCTAGCTGGGAGGACAGGGGAAAGCCACAGCCAACTGAGCCTTGGGTAAAGGTATCTAAGCATTACATAAAATACTTGTATGTACAAGACCCATTAGAATGTTTATCCAGTCTGCATATAATGGTTGCTGCAGGTAAGTGTCCTCAGGCTCTTTTCCAGAATTCTGTTGAGGGATCGTGTGGTCTCATTGACAGCAAATACGGCTGGGGGAAAAGGGGGGTCGTCAAGGAATTTTTGAGCTGAAAGTTGTCATGATTTTTGCATTAAAGACACCATCCCAGCAGCTGTGTGGAGGATGAGGAGTAAGGAAGGGCAGAAAGCATCAACCAGGATTTCTCCAAAGGGGTTAAGCAAGAACTCTAGACCAGATTTTGTCTCCGTGGAGGCCCTTCCTTGTCCTGAAATGCATTCCCATTGCCCCTGAAGAGACGCGCTTTCTTTCTTTCTTTCTTTCTTTCTTTTTTTTTTTTTTGAGACGGAGTCTCGCTCTGTCACCCAGGCTGGAGTGCAGTGGTGCAATTTCAGCTCACTACAACCTCTGCCTCCTGGGTTCAAGCTATTCTCTTGCCTCAGACTCCAGAGTGGCTGGGATTACAGGCACCCGCCACTACGCCTGGCCAATTTTTGTATTTTTAGTAGAGACAGGGTTTCACCATCTTGGCCAGACTGGTCTTGAACTCCTGACCTTGTGATCCACCCGCCTCGGCCTCCCAAAGTGCTGGGATTACAGGCATGAGCCACCGCACCCAGCCAGCACGCTCTCTTTACTGAACACAAAGGTTGGCAAGGTTGTCTTCTCAGGCAGGAGGAGGTCCTTGCGTGGCCTCTGAGTGAAGTCTCGGGGAAGTGCGGACCACAGTCATGGTTATTTAATTACCATGAGAGACTCTCATCAGGATACCAACAGGCAAGTTCACAGCTGAGAAACCCCTCTTACTTGCTGGGCTTGGGAGGCCCATCATTCCTTTGATGGGCCTGTGGCCTGCTCTTTTGACCTCCAACATCTGGATTTGCTGGGGCTGTGGAAATGATTCCCAGTCCAGGTGATAGAAACGTCAGGAACAAGACTCTGGCCAAAACATTTGGCCGGACTTTGTTAATTTCATGAGGAAAGGGAAAGTGCAAGTTTCACGCTCCTGGAACGGCTGCAAGCAAGACCCTCTGAAAAGCCTGTTCTTCAAATAAGTTACTTAGACACCGTGAGTTTGAATCTAAGCTCCCGCCCCTATTAACGGTGGGACCCTGACTGAGCAAGGGGCTTAGTTAGCCTCTCCACCCCTGGATTTTCTCATTTGTGAAAAGGACATAATATGAGTTCCTGCCTCTCAGGGTTGCTGTGAAATGATTCATTTGAAGGGTCTGGCAGTGTGCCTGACCCATAGCAAACTCTGGCAATTATAACACATGTTTCTTGAGTGCCGGGTGGCACCTCTATAGCTTCCTACAGTCAAGGTCAATGATTCTCAGATACTAGCCATGTACAGCATGGCTTTACAACCTTTTATTATTATTACCTCCCTGATGAGTCTTTTAAACTTTTTTTCCTAATCGTCACCCCACACACACCCTTGAAATAATAGAACAGGTGCACTGTGTATCTGTTTCTGTACTGTGACCTTTTGCAGGGCCACGAACCATTGTAGTATCCTAGACCTTTTTCACCCCCTAAGAGCAAATTATCTGAGCAGAGATGAAATCTTATATGCATTTTTTGTCCTTTTCTTGCCCATAGAGAAGTGAGCTAAAAATTGCCATGTATATATATACACAGAAAAAAAATACACCCATATATGGAAAATACTTTGTTTTACTTTAACTGACAGAAATGACCATGTGAAATATTTCAATTTTACGTAGTCAGTGGAGGAGCTACTGTTAAAAAGAAATAAAGCATCTTCCAATTTAATAAAGGGAGTGAGAGAGAGAGATCCAGTTGTTGCCTGGGTTAAGAATGCATGATCTCGCCAGGCGCAGTGGCTCATGCCTGTAATCCCAGCACTTTGGGAGGCCAAGGCAGGTGGATCACAAGGTCAGGAGATCAAGACCATCCTGGCTAACACAGTGAAACTCCAGCTCTACTAAAAATACAAAGATTTAGCCAGACATGGCAGCATGCGCCTGCAGTCCCAGCTGCTGGGGAGGCTGAGGCAGGAGAATGGCGTGAACCCTGGAGGTGGAGCTTGCAGTGAGCCGAGATCGTACCACTGCACTGCAGCCTGGGCAACAGAACGAGACTCCATCTCAAAAAAAAAAAAAAAAAAAAAGAATGCATGATCTCAGGTTGGGGGTGGTGGCTCACACCTATAATCCTAGCACTTTGGGAGGCCAAGGTGGGTGGATCACCTGAGGTCAGGAGTTCGAGACCAGCCTGGCCAACATGACAAAACCCCGTCTCTACTAAAAATACAAAAATTAGCCCGAAGTGGTGGTGGGCACCTGTAGTCTCAGCTACTCGGGAGGCTGAGGAAGGAGAATCGCTTGAACCCAGGGGGCAGAGGTTGCAGTGAGCCACGATTGAGCCACTTCACTCAAGCCTGGGCAACAAGAGCAAAACTCCGTCTCGAAAAAAAAAAAAAAAAGAATGCATGATCTCAAAGTGAGATCTGTGTGAACTGAGAAAAATAAGAAAGTTCACATACATTCTGTTTAAAGTTCAACCTTTTATTCCAAGATATCATGTTTTCCTTCGTGTGTGTGTGTATGTGTGTGAAAGATGGTTGTAATAGGAAATGGTAGTGATTATCTTTTTGTATGCGGGGTTCTGTGTCTGTGTGCTCAGGTGGTGGCTGAATTGATAGACTTACTTGCCATGATGAAGAGTAAGTAACAGAACTTCTACCTGTATTAGTCAGGGTTCTCTAGAGGGCAGAAGTAATAGGATAGATGTTGATATATATAAAAGGGAATTTATTCAGGAGAATTGGCTCACATGATCACAAGGTGAAGTCCCCCCACAGTCCATCTGCAAGCTGAGGGGTAAGGAAGCCAGTAGTGGCTCAGTCCGAGTCCCAAAACCTCAAAACCAGGGAAGCCGACAGTGCAGCCTTCAGTCTGTAGCCAAAGGCCCAAGATCCCCTGGCAAACCACTGGTGTAAGCCCGAGAGTCCAAAAGCCAAAGAACTTGGAATCTGATGTTCCAGGGCAGGAAGCATCCATCATGGGAGAAAGATGAAGGCCAGAAGACTCAGCAAGTCAGCTTCTTCCACCATCTTCTGCCTGCTTTTTCTAGCCGTGCTGGCAGCTAATTGGATGGTGTTTACCCACGTTGTGGGTGGGTCTTCCTCTACCAGTCCACTGACTCAAATGATAATCTCTTCTGGCAATAGCCAGAAATACCCAGATACATCCAGAAACAATACTTTGCATCCTTCAAGCCAATCAAGCTGACACTTAATATTAACCATCACAGTACCCTAGAATTTTGTTCGTGTTCTCTGGAATCTAAAATCTGGTCCCTCCTGGCCGGGTGCGGTGGCTCACGCCTGCAATTCCAGCACTTTGGGAGGCCAAGGCGGGCGGATGATGAGGTCAGGAGTTTGAGAGCAGCCTGACCAACATGGTGAAACCCCATCTCTACTAAAAATACAAAATTAGCCTGGTGTGGTGGTGCATGCCTGTAATCCCAGCGACTCTGGAGGCTGAGGCAGAAGAATTGCTTGAACCCTGGAGGCAGAGGTTGCAGTGAGCTGAGATCGCACCATTGCTCTCCAGCCTGAGCAACAAGAGCAAAACTTCGTCAAAAAAAACAAAAAAAAAAAAACCAAAAAAAAAAAGCAAGCAAACAAACAAACACTGGTCCCTCCTAACACTCCAGCTCTTGGGGCTCTGAATGTTCACCTCCTGCCCACTCCCATATCCACACATGCTTGTGGCTGCTAGAGAGATTCATCCCCTTCTTCACCCTGTGGTCCTCGCTGAACCCACAGGATAGAACATCCACTGCTCTCCTCCTGAGAGAACCGCAGTAGAAGACTGAGCAAAACATTCCTGGGCACAGCTATTCTGCATCTCACCTTGTACTTGATTTGCAGAACTACAAAGATGAATGATACATGGTTCTAACCCTAAACGAGTTCAAAGTCTAGCAAAGGTGACAGAGGTCTCCCGCCATCCTGTTCGCTCACTCTTCCTTGTTCTACTGAGCTATGGGTCTCCCAGGAAACGTGCTGCGGTCTCTGGCACTGGAGGATTTTTTTCTCCAAAGAAAGGATCCCCTAGAATTCTGGTTTTTACCAGAACCAAGAACCAGGAACAAGACTCTGGCCAAAACATTTGGCCAGACTTTGTTAATTTCATGAGGCAGGGGAAATGCAAGTTTCACGCTCCTGGAATGGCTGCAAGCAAGACCCTCTGAAAAGCCTGTTCTTCAGATAAGTTAGTCAGACACCATGTGTTTGAATCCAAGCTCCAGCCCCTAGTAACGGTGGGACCCTGACTGAGCAAGTGGCTTAGCCTACACTGTGTAGCCTTCTCTACACTGTTATAGTTAAAAATAATATTTAACATTAAAAAACAAAGATGAAAATGTCAAGGCCAAATTAGGTGAGCATTGCATAAGAAGAAAATTCCACAAATAAACAGTTGGCCCCAAACTCAACTTCCTGTGGCCAAAGCAAAGAGAGAAAGTCCATCAGTGACAACATTCCCAGTATCCTCAGATTTAACCATACTAAAGTTTGACAAGAAACATTGACTTTCTGTCTGTGAGGCAGGACAAAAATTCATCTTTTCAAAACCTTTCATAGAGTAGCGCAATTGATATTATGAGAGCATCTCAAACAATACTCTGAAATAAAATTTAACAGTGTGTTTCTAGGGGTGTTTCATTAAACTTCTCCATTCAAGCTCATGTACCAAATGTAAAACCCATGGCCATAACTGTGCAAAACTGAGAGCCACCCAAATGTCCTTCACTAGGTTATTGGATACACAAACTATACTACATCAGAACCATGGAATACTACTCAGCAATGAAAAGGAGCAAATGCAACAAAGTGGATAGATCTCAAAGGTATTATGCTGAGTGAAGAAAAGCCAGTCTCCAAAGATTCTATATTGTATGGTTCCATTTATATAACATTCTCAAAATTACAGAGCTCCAAAGCTAGAGGACAGAGGAGTGATTTCCAGGGGTGAAACAAGGACTATAAGGGGGACCAGGCACAGCGGCTCACACCTGTAATCCCAGCACTTTGGGAGGCTGAAGCAAGAGGATCACTTGAAGCCAGGAATTTGAGACCAGCCTGGGCAACACAGCAAGACCCTATCTCTGCAAAAAAAAAAAAAAATTTTAATATTAGCCAGGCATGGTTGTGTGTGCCTATAGTCCCAGCTACTACGGGGGCTAAGGTGGGAGCATCACTTGAACCCAGGAGGTTGAGGCTGTAGTGAGCTATATTCACTCCACTGCTCTCCAGCCTGAACCACAGAGTGAGACTCTATTTCTTTAAAAGAAAAAAAAAATACTACAAAGGGTAGCTACTTAGAGCTCCTTTGAGGTGATTGAAAAGGTCTGCTTCATGATTGTGCTGTGCAAAAATCTATACATAGCAGAAATTTGCACAAAACTGCACACACACACACACACACACAAAGATAAGATCTGTAGTTTAACTAACAGTATTGCAATGTGGATTTTCTAGCTTTGATATTGCACTGCAGTTATGTAGGATGTCACCACTGGGGAAAGATAAGTGAAGGGTTCAAGGTACTCTATGTACTATTTTTGCCACTGCCTGCGAGCCTATAATTATTTCAAAATAAATAGGAAAAAAAAAAAAAAGACAATGGCTGTGCTCTAAGGTCCTACCTGCTCCTGAATTCTCTAACTCAGGGACCCTGGCCTTCCGCCCTGAAGGTGAAACCTTGCTGTTTCTGCACAAACCCCTCCCCTCCCCTCCCAGCAGCCCTTGATCCTTGGGCTTAACAGCTCCCAGGGCCCACCGAGCTGTGATTCTGAAGTCGTCTTTGATCACTCACTTTAGGTCTCTTACCACTTAAGCTGCCTGTATTTAAACTTTCCCCGAGTGATCTCCATCCTTTTATCCAGGTCCTTTGATGGCTTGGCTCTGCTCACTTGCTAATCCAGCCGAGGTTCTTGCTTCCTGCCAGGTTTTTCTTCCGACTTCTCATCCTCCCCTTTGTTGCTCACCCTTTGCTTGGCGAAGAGGCCAGGATGGAGATGACAGGAGAGCACAAGAGTGCCGATCGCAGCCGTTTCATTCCTCTGGTCTGAGAAACACTCAGCTGGCCCTGGGGCATCAGCTCAGTGCCCCTGCTTTCCAGACCAAGAATCAAGACCTGTGATTTAATGGGCATTCTTTCATATCACTTTGAAATTGAGGTTCTGGAAAATCTGGCCACGGGTGGTCCCTGTGGGTGTCTGTGGCCAGAGAAGTCTTTCAGGAGAACGAAAATAGCTGTAGAGTCCAAAGAATCAGGAGATGAAGATTCAAGGACTTGAATCTTTTTTTGGGGGGACTGAGTCTCACTCTGTTGCCCAGGCTGGAGTGCAGTGGCACTATCTAGGCTCACTGCAGTCTCAGCTTTTCTTTCTTTTTTTTTTGAGACGGAGTCTCGCTGTGTCACCCAGGCTGGAGTGCAGTGGCACGATCTCGACTCACTGCAAGCTCCACCTCCTGGGTTCACGCCATTCTCCTGCCTCAGCCTCCCAAGTAGCTGGGACTGCCGGCGCCTGCCATCACGCCTCCTATTTTGTATTTTTAGTAGAGATGGGGCTTCACTGTGTTAGCCAGGATGGTCTTGATCTCCTGACCTCATGGTCCGCCCACCTCGGCCTCCCAAAGTGCTGGGATTACAGGCGTGAGCCACTGCGCCTGCCCAATCTCAGCTTTTCAAGTTCATTATCTTCCCACCTCAGCCTCCCAAGTAGCTGGAATTACAGGCTCACACCACTATGGCTGCTAATTTTTTCCTTTTCTTTTTTTTTTTTTCTTTTGAGACAGGGTCTCTCTCAGTCACCCAGGCTAGAGTACAGTGGTGCAATCTCAGCTCACTGCAACCTCTGGCTCCCAGGTTCAAGCGATTCTCATGTGTCAGCCGCCTGAATAGCTGGGATTACAGGCATGCGCCACCACACCCAGTTAATTTTTGTGTTTTTTGTAGAGACAGGGTTTCACCATGTTGCCCAGGCTGATCTTGAACTCCTGAGCTCAGGTGATCCACCCGACTTGGCCTCCCTAAGACTACTTCACTGTAACAGAACAATAAGAGATGCATTTGAAAGGGCTTCTGTTCTTTAATTTTCCCCTTTATTCACTGCCTGGGCCCTGCAAACAGATGAGGTCATGTGATTTCAGGGAAAAAAAGGGGTAGGGGCGGACAGAGTGGCTCAAGCCTGCAATTCCAGCCCTTTGGGAGGCCAAGGCAGGAGCATCGCTTGAGACCAGGAGTTCAAGACTGCAGTGATCTATGATTGCACCAAACTCTGTCTCTAATAATAATAATAATAATAATAATAATAAAAATGAGGCACCATTGCTGACCAGAGAGAGAGAATCTCCTTCTTGACCTCTCATAGCCCCTTCATAGCACTTATCTCCATTTGGAATCATACGTGTGACACTTGATTGATCCTCCACCCCCAGCCGTGCTTTCTGTGGGGTTGGCTCTGCTTCTCTTTCGCTCCCCACGGACAGTGTCTGCTGGTGCATACTAAGTCTTCCATAATATTTGCTGAATGTAAGAATGATGGAGTTAATTAAGCCCAAGGAGTGAGGCCAGGTTCAAAATCCTGGAAATGAGTCAAATAAGAATCCTAAAAGCAGCTGACACTGGCTTAGCACTCACAGATGAGAAGTCCTGTTCTACGTACTTTGCCTGCTGTAACTTATGCAACGGCCACAACAACCCTGAGGGTAGGCACTGATGTTAGTGCTGTCTTAAGGATGAGGAAGTTGAGGGACGAAGAGCTTAAGCAGTTTGTCCTTCGTACCACAGCTGGGTGTTCAAATGCCTATAGAGCCTGTGCCTTGAGCCCCTATGCTCTGCAGACCCCCAGAAGTAAACGTGGAAATATGGTCTCATAGATGGCTGGAAGTCAGAAGGTGAGGCAGCCTTCAGTACCAGGGCCTTCCCACTCATGGGGTTTCCCTCCCCTCTCCTCCCAGGTCTCTCCTTCACAGTAACCTTTGTGGTTTTCTCTGGTTTTGCCCATGTGAGTTGGTGTTTATCATGCACATTTCCTGAGCTCTTCTCTCTTCACATGTGATGCTGACTTTCTGAGCACCTCATACATCCCAAAGGTATGCACTACTGATGCAGGGTAAGTTCTTGGCTTAGCCCAGGAAGGAATTCAAGAGCAAGCCTGTGGTAGAAGAAAACAGCTGTATTGAGGAGGTGGCAGGGTTGCAGCTCCGTGACTGCTCCTGCAAGAGCAGGGCTACCCCACAGGCAATGTGCTAAGAGTAGCAGCTCAGGGCAGTTTTGCAGTCGTCTTTATACCCACTTTTAATGATATACTAATTAAGGAGCAGCCTTTCAGAATCAGCTAGAAAATGAGCAGTAATTTCCGGGTGGTGGGGAGGTGTTGCCATGGCAAGGCAAGGGGCAGTAATTTCTGGGTGTTGTCATGGCAATGGTAAACTGTCATGGCGCTGGTAGATGCGTCTTTTGGTTCCTCGTCCCAGCTTCCACCAGTCTTCAATCTGGTCCGGGGTCCAGTTATATCTGCTGCCTATCTCACTATTGTTTTCACGTCGATGACTCCCCATGCATCTGACCAGGTAATTCTCAACCAGGACAATCGTGTCTTCCAGGGGACACCTGGCAATATCTGGAGACGTTTTTGGTTGTCATAATTGCAAAGGGGGGATGCAGTTGGCATCTACTGGGTGGAATCCAGGGATTCTGCCAAACAGCCTACAATACAGAAGGAAGCTCCCAAGAACAAAGAATATCTGGCCTCAAATGTCACTAGTACCAAGGTTGGGAAAGCCTGGTTGGCCTCACCCTAAGAAGTATCTCCAACTGCCTCTTGGACGTGTCCATCTTGGATGTCCCCACAGTGTCTGAAGCGCTGTCTTCCAGCATGAATTTACTATCTACTCCCCTCCTTCAACACCACCTGTCGGCATGCCTCCTGGCATTTTCCAGCTCTGTGAATCATAATACCATCCATACTCATATTTCATCTGAGAACCCGGTCTCTTCTTCCTGCATCCATCACTCACCCAGTCCATCAATTCTACCTCGTAAATGCCAAGTCTGAATTCTTCTCTCCTTCCCGCCAGCTCTGCCCACATTCTCTCATCTACACAAGTATCAGCCCCTCTGCCGGCCTTTGTCCCTGCAGTTATACCAGCCCCCGCTGCTCCAGCCCATCACTCAAGCTATAGACAGAGATCCTTCTAGGGCACAAAAGTATCGCCTCCTCCATAGAACTCCCCACTGGGTTTCCTTTTGGGTTGAAAAGGGGTGAAAACATTCATCCTTTTCATCCTTTGGGGATGAAAATGTTCTAGAACTAGATGGTGGCAATGGTTGCATGACACTGTGCATGTACTGAATGCCACTGAGTTGTGTGCACTTTATTTGTCGTTGTTGTTGTTGTTGTTGTTTTGAGATGGAGTTTGGCTCTTGTTGCCCAGGCTGGAGTGCAATGGCGTGATCTTGGCTCACTGCAACCTCCGCCTCCCGAGATCAAGTGATTCTCCTGCCCCAGCCTCCTGAATAGCTGGGATTACAGGTACCCGCCATCACACATGGCTAATTTTTTGTATTTTTAGTAGAGATGGGGTTTCACCATGTTGGCCAGGCTGGTCTCGAACTCCTGACCTCAGGGGATCCACCCGCCTCAGCCTCCCAAAGTGCCAGGATTATAGGCGTGAGCCACCGCGCCTGACCCGTGTGCACTTTAAAATGATTGAAATGTAAATTTTATGTCATGTGTATTTTATCACAATTTTTTAACACCCTTCACATTGATCTCAATGCTCCTCCCTGTGGCCTTCCGTAATGTGGCCCCTGCTGACCGCTCCAGCCTCTGTTCTTGCTAAGGATGCAAATAAATAGTTGGATTTTGCTGGGGACCAGAGCTGGAGGTGTCTGAGATCCCATGGAAGAAATAATGAATCGGTGAGGCTTGAGGAAACAGGATACACTCAGAGAGGGTAGCAGATTGTACTTTCTAAACGTGGCTCTAGCAGCTCTCCAATCCCCCATGCCCTTGTTAGAATATGACCTTGATACTTCTCCCAGGGAGGTTGAGGTCTATGTTCCCTCCTTGTGAATCAGAACAGGCTGTAACTGTGGCAGAAGGGATGCTATATGACTTCTGAGACTAGGTCACAAAAGGTAACACAACTTCCACCTTGCCCATGGGAGCACTAGCCCTGGGCCCAGGAACTGCCATATAAGCCTCCCAAAAGCCCTGATACTACCATATTGTCAGGAAGCCCAGTGTAGCCCATGGGGAGAGCCATATGGAAAGGCCCCGAGATGATGTAAAGAGAGAAGTGCTCAGCCTGCCCCTAGCTGCTCCACTGCCTGCTGTTCCAGCTCCAGCTACTGCATGAAAGAGGACAAACCACAATCGCCCAGCTGAGTCCTTCTGCAATTCCCAACTCTCAGAGACCACAAGCAATATACAAGGGTCACTAGTTTTGGCCACTACATCTTGGGTAATTTATTAGGCAGCTACGAAGAAATGTATGTGGCCCTTAAGAACACAGGTGCTGGTCAGCAGCCTTGGTCCCTTTTCCAGAACCAACTTACCCAGGGCATGAACTCAGGTAATTATTTCCTGCCTCTGAGCCTCAATTTCCTCATTTTGGGAAAGATAATAACAGCACCTACTTCACAGACATCGTGGGAAGACTGAAGAAGATAAAGCGCCATCATCATCTGGTAACGTGAGCTGTTATTAACACTTTGATCTTTAAAATAATCTTGTGATATAGTGACTTTAGTAACTTCTTAGAGCTGCCCTGACAAACCACCACAAATTAGGTGGCTTAAAACAACTGAAATGTATTCTCTCACAATTCTGAAGGTCCAAATTTCAAAATCAGTCCAGGCAGGTGCAGTGGCTCACACCTGTAATCCCAGCACTTTGGGAGGCTAAGGCAGGCGGATCACCTGATGTCAGGAGCTCGACACCAGCTTGACCAACATGGTGAAACCCCATCTCTACTAAAAATACAGAAATTAGCTGGGTGTGTGGTGCATGCTTGTAATCCCAGCTACTAGGGAGGCTGAGGCAGGAGAATCACTTGAACCTGAGAAGCAGATGTTGCAGTGAGCACACGCCACTTCACTCCAGCCTAGGCAACAGAATGAGAGTCTGTCTCAAAAAGAAAAAGAAAAAAAACAAAGTTCAAAATCAAGGTGTCAGGTGGGCCATGCACCCTCTGAGGACTCCAGTGGAGGATCCTTCTTTGCCTATTCCAGCTCCTGGTGGCTCCAGGTGCATCTTGGCTTGTGGCAGCATCTCTCCAACCCCTGCCTCTGTCTTCATGTGGCCTTCTCTCTGTGTATCTCTCCATCCTCACATGGTCTTCTTAGAAAGACACCAGTCATTGGTTTTAGGGCCCACCCTAACCCAATGTAACTTCATCTTAACTATAGTAATTACACCGGTAAAGACCGCTTTTCCTAAGTAAGGTCACATTTATAGGTAGTGAAGTTACAATTTCAACATGATCTTTTTGGGGCACATGCTTGAACCTCCAACAGTCCCCTATTTAGGCAAGCAACTACAACACCCACCCTGAGCATTTCACCCCACCTCTCAGGGCCCCATTGACAGAAGGTGGAAGATCAGATGCCAGTATGATTGCACCCAGTTCTTTTTTTTTTTTTCGACATGGAGTTTACTCTGTCACCCAGGCTGGAGTGCAATGGCATGATCTCGGCTCACTGCAACCCCTGCCTCCTGGGTTCAAGCAATTCTCCTGCCTCAGCCTCCCGAGTAGCTGGGACTGCAGGCACGTGCCACCATGCCCAGCTAATTTTTTTTTGTATTTTTAGTAGAGACGGGGTTTCACCATGTTAGCCAGGATGGTCTCGATCTCCTGACCTTGTAATCCACCCACCTCAGCCTCCCAAAGTGCTGGGATTAAAGGCGTGAGCCACTGCACCCGGCCTCTTTTTATTTTTCTTTTTGAGATGGAGTTTGCTGTGTCACCCAGGCTGGAGTGCAGTGGCATGATCTCGGCTCACTGCAACCTCTTCTTCCCAGGTTCAAGTGATTGTCCTGCCTCAGCCTCCTGGTTAGCTGGGACTATACGCATGCGCCACTACGCCCGGATAATTTTTGTATTTTTAGCAGAGACGGGGTTTCACCGTGTTGGCCAGGCTGGTCTCCAACTCATAACCTCAAGTGATCCGCCCACCTCAGCCTCCCAAAACGCTGGGATTATAGGCGTGAGCCGCCGGACCCTGCCTTAATTCCACCCAGTTCTGAGACTAGCTGCTTCCATCGCACAGATCAGGACCAACGTCCCAGCTGTGGAGAAAAAAACAATGGCTGCTTCAAGCATTACAGGTGAATCCTCGGCCCGCCATGGGCTCCCTGAGCTGCTACTTCCAAGCAAGGACCCAGCAATCCAGTGGGTGCAGGAGGGAGCAAACTCCACCAAGGAACAAAGGTGGAAGCGGATAGGGGAGTCGGCTTTTTCAATGCATGAATATTTTATCAGTCATCAAAGCGTTGTTTCTCTTGTGGGCTCTGAGTACTCTGTTAAAAGAAGCATTTCATTGAGGAAATAGAAATGAATGTGGGACAGACGTCGATGTTCTAACAGAATCCCCATGCCACCCTCACAAGGAGAAGGTGGCTGAGCCCTGCAGTTGCGATGCTGCCGACTTCGTTCTGCTGATGATGGAGGAGCTGTGTGTGCGTGAAGCCCAGGTTTCCATGACAGAAGCTGCAGCACCAGGACAAGGACTGAGATCCCCATGGGGCTCTTTAGACCCCAAAGGTGAGAAGTCGGGAGCCTGGGGTGGCTGAATGGGAGGCAGAAGTGGGCGGCTTAGCTGGGCACTCAGAAGACCGGGCTTTGCGTCTCTGTTCTGGAAACTTCTGGCTAATGATCTTGTTGTGGTTGTTGTTGTTTGAGATAGGGTCTCACTCTGTTACCCAGGCTGGAGTGCAGTGGTGCCATCACAGCTCACTGCAGCCTCGACCTCCTAGGCTCAATTCCCCCACCTCAGCCTCCTGAGTAGCTGGGACTACAGGTGCACACCACCATACCCGGCTATTTTTTATTATTTTTTTTTTGTAGAGATGGGGTCTTGCTATGTTGCTTAGGCTGGGCTCAAACTCCTGGGCTCAAGCGATCCTCCTGTCTTGGCCTTCTAAATTGTTGGGATTACAGGTGTGAGGCACTGTGCCCAGCATGCCCAGTGATCTTGGATGCATCCTTGACCTCCCTGAGTTTCTGTTGGCTTGTCCATCAGTGGGAGCGAGGGTGGGCATCCTCTCCTTGGACAGTGGCAAGGGTCAGATGAGCCTTGGAACTTGCCCTGGAATCTCTAAAGTGCTTGGCCATGTTAACAAAAGTTTGCATGCCAGGGTGGCCCATCCTCAGCGACTAGGGGCTGGGCACAGAGGACGCACTTCCTGCTGGCTCCAAAAGGCGGGTTGTTTATTCTCAAGGAAGAAAGGGAGGGAGGTAGCCCGGGATGTCAAAGGGAGATTCTGAGGCTGGAGTTCGAGTCTCACCCTGGTTTCTCTCACTATCAGCCTCTACCAGAGCAAGTCTTCTCCTTCTGTGGGCCTCAGGCTCCTGTCTGTCATTCAGGGCATGAGAACATGCTTGGCAAGTTTCCAGGGGGCCCTCACTATGTCTGGGATCCCCCATCAGCCCCAACGTTCACCTCCAGGAGAAGGCACCAAAGTCAGCATTGGGGACTGAGGCTGGGTGTATTAGTCTGTTCTCCACTGTTGGTAAAGACATACCTGAGACTGGGTAAATTATAAAGAAAAAGAGATTTAATGGACTCACAGTTCCACGTGGCTGGGGAGGCCTCACAATCATGGCAGAAGGCAAAAGACACGTCTTATATCACAGCAGGCGAGACAGGGAATGAGAGCCAAGCAAAAGAGGGAAACCTCTTAAAAACCATCAGGTTTCTTAAGACTTATTCGCTACCACGAGAACAGTATGGGGGAAACTGCTCCCATGATTCGATTATCTCGCACAGGGTCCCTCCTGGAATTCTGGGAACTGCAACTCAAGATGAGATTTGGGTGGGGACACAGCCAAACCATAACACTGGGTTTTCAGTCTACTCCTGTCTGTCCAGCCCTAGGGAGATTCCCCTTCCCTTGCCTATAGCACAGTCTTGGGCAACACTTATTGAGCTAGTTAATCAAGGCAAAATTAGGAGGAAGAGTTTCTGGTCTCTCAAAAGACTGGACAGGACATTATTTTCATCGTACAACACACTCTTCCCTGCCACCTTCTCCCCATCTGCTTTACAGAACTTCTTACCAGGAAGCATACCCCGCATTCCACCAGCCATGTTTACTGTCTGTCATACCCGTGCACTCATACACACACATGCACAGACCCCAGAATGTCAGCTTCAAAAGGCAGGTTTTGAGTCACTTTTGTTCACTGCTAAATCCTTGGTGTTTCAAACAGCACCTGGCACATCAGGCATCAAAGAAGTCACTGTTGAATGAATGAGTCGATGAGCATATGAATGAGTAAGTGAATGAATGAATAACTATATGAACAAGTGAGTGAATAAGTGAATGAATGAGTGAATAAATGAATGAGTGAGCGAGTGAATAAATGAATCAGTGAATGAATGAGTGAGGGAGGAAGGCAATGAGTGGGGGAATGAATGAATGAATGAGTGAGTGAGGTAATGAGTGAATCAGTGAATAGTGAATGAGTGAGTGAAGGAGGGAGTGAATGAGTGAGTGAATGAGTGAGTGAATGAATGAGTGAGTGAGGGAATGAGTGAGTGAATGAGTGAGTGAATGAGTAAATGAGTGAATGAATGAGTAAGTGAATGAGTGAGTGAGTAAGTGAATGAGTGAATGAGGGAGGGAGGGAATGAGTGAGTGAATGAGTGAGTATATGAATGAGTAAATGAGTGACTGAATGTGTGAGTGAATGAGTGAGTAAATGAGTGAGTGAGTGAATGAGTGAGTAAATGAGTGAGTGAATGAATGAGTGAGTGAGTGAATGAGTGAGCGAATAAGTAAGTGAATGAGTGAGTGAATGAGTGAGTTAGTGAATAAGTGAGTTAGTGAATGAGTGAATGAGTCAGTGAGTGAGTGAATGAGTCAGTGAATGAGTGAGTAAATGAGTGAGTGAGTGAGTGAATGAGTGACTGAGTAAATGAGTGAGGGAGGGAGGGAATGAGTGAGTGAGTGAGTGAATGAGTGAGTAAATGAGTGAGTGAGGGAGGGAGGGAATGAGTGAATGAGTGAGTGAGTGAATTAGTGAGTGAATGAATGAGTGAGTGAGGGAATGAGTGAGTGAGTGAATGAGTAAATGAGTGAGTGAATAAGTGAGTGAGTGAATGAGTGAATGAGTGAGTGAGGGAGGGAGGGAATGAGTGAGTGAATGAGTATGTGAATGAGTAAATGAGTGACTGAATGAGTGAGTTAATGAGTGAGTGAGTGAATGAGTGAGTGCGTCAATGAGTGAGTGAATGAGTGAGGAAATAAGTAAGTGAATGAGTGAGTGAGTGAATGAGTGAGTGAGTGAATGAATCAGTCAGTAAGTGAATGAATGAGTCAATGAATTAGTGAGGGAATGAGTGAGTGAGGGAATGAGTGAGTGAGTAAATGAGTGAGTGAGGGAGGGAGGGAATGAGTGACGGAGTAAATGAGTGAGTGAAGGAGGGAGGGAATGAGTGAGTGAATGAGTAAGTGAGTGAATGAGTGAGTAAATGAGTGAGGGAGGGAGGGAATGAGTGAGTGAATAAGTGAGTGAGTGAATGAGTGAGTAAATGAGTGAGGGAGGGAGGGAATGAGTGAATGAGTGAGTGAATGAGTAAATGAGTGAGTGAGTGAATTAGTGAGTAAATGAGTGAGTGAATGAGTGAGAGAGTGATGGAGGGAAGGAGTGAGTGAATGAGTGAGTGAATGAATGAGTGAGTGAGGGAATGAGTGAGTGAATGAGTAAATTGAGTGAATGAGTAAGTGAATGAGTAAGTGAATGAGTGAGTGAGGGAGGGAGGGAATGAGTGAGTGAATGAGTGAGTGTGTGAATGAGTAAATGAGTGACTGAATGAGTGAGTGAGTGAGTAAATGAGTGAGTGAATGAGTGAATGAATGAGTGAATGAGTGAGCAAATAAGTAAGTGAATGAGTGAGTGAATGAGTCAGTGAGTGAATGAATGAGTCAGTGAATGAGTGAGGGAATGAGTGAGTGAATAAATGAGTGAGTGAGGGAGGGAGGGTATGAGTGAGTGAATGAGTGAGTAAATGAGTGAGTGAGGGAGGGAGGGAATGAGTGAATGAGTGAGTGAATGAGTAAACGAGTGAGTTAATTAGTGAGTGAATGAGTGAGGCAATGAGTAAGTGAATGAGTGAGTGAATGAGTAAGTGAATGAGTGAGTAAGTGAATGAGTGACTGAGGGAGGGAGGAAAAGAGTGAGTGAATGAGTAAGTGAATGAGTGAGTAAGTGAATGAGTGACTGAGGGAGGGAGGAAATGAGTGAGTGAATGAGTGTGTGAATGAGTAAATGAGTGACTGAATGAGTGAGTGAATGAGTAAATGAGTGAGTGAATGAGTGAGCGAATAAGTAAGTGAATGAGTAAGTGAATGAGTGAGTTAGTGAATGAGTGAGTGAGTGAATGAGTCAGTGAGTGAATGAATGAGTCAGTGAATAAGTGAGGGAATGAGTGAGTGAATGACTGAGTGAGTAAATGAGTGAGGGAGGGAGGGAATGAGTGAGTGAGTGAATGAGTGAGGGAGGGAGGGAGGGAGGGAGGGAATGAGTGAATGAGTGAGTGAGTGAATTAGTGAGTGAATGAATGAGTGAGTGAGGGAATGAGTAAATGAGTGAGTGAACGAGTAAGTAAATGAGTGAGTGAATGAGTGAATGAGTGAGTGAGGGAGGGCGGGAGGGAATGAGTGAGTGAATGAGTATGTGAATGAGTAAATGAGTGACTGAATGAGTGAGTGAATGAGTAAATGAGTGAGTGAGTGCATGAATGAGTGAGTGAGTGAATGAGTGAGGAAATAAGTAAGTGAATGAGTGAGTTAGTGAATGAGTGAGTGAATGAGTTAGTGAATGAGTGAGTAAATGAGTGAGTGAGTGCATGAATGAGTGAGTGGGTGAATGAGTGAGTTAGTGAATGAGTGAGTTAGTGAATGAGTGAGTGAGTGAATGAGTGATGAAATAAGTGAATGAGTGATGAAATAAGTGAATGAGTGATGAAATAAGTGAATGAGTGAGTTAGAGAATGAGTCAGTGAGAGAATGAGTCAGTGAGTGAATGAGTCAGTGAATGAGTGAGGGAATGAGTGAGTGAGTGAATGAGTGAGTGAGTAAATGAGTGAGTGAGGGAGGGAGGGAATGAGTGAGTGAGTAAATGAGTGAGGGAGGGACGGAGGGAATGAATGAGTGAATGAGTGAGTAAATGAGTGAGTGACGGAGGGAGGGAATGAGTGAATGAGTCAGGGAATGAGTGAGTGAGTGAATGAGTGAGTGAGTAAATGAGTGAGTGACGGAGGGAGGGAATGAGTGAGTGAATGAGTGAGTGAGTGAATGAGTGAGTAAATGAGTGAGTGAGGGAGGGAGGGAATGAGTGAATGAGTGAGTGAATGAGTGAGTGAGTGAATGAGTGAGTAAATGAGTGAGTGAGGGAGGGAGGGAATGAGTGAATGAGTGAGTGAATGAGTAAATGAGTGAGTGAGTGAATTAGTGAGTAAATGAGTGAGTGAATGAGTGAGTGAGTGATGGAGGGAATGAGTGAGTGAATGAGTGAGTGAATGAATGAGGGAGGGAGGGAGTGAATGAGTGAGTGAGTGAATGAGTGAATGAGTGACTGAGTGAGGGAATGAGTGAGTGAGGGAATGGGTGAGTGAATGAGTGAGTGAGGGAGTGAAAGAGTGAGTGAGTGAATGAGTAAATAAGTGACTGAGTGAATACATGAGTGAGTGAATGAGTGAGTGAATGAGTGAGTGAGTGAGTGAATGAGTGAGTGAGTGAATGAGTAAATTAATGACTGAGTGAATAAGTGAGTGAGTGAGTGGGTAAGCAAATGGATGGATAATGATGGATGGGTGGATGGATGCATGGATGGATGAGTGAATTGATTAATGGGAAAATGTATGAATAAATGAATAAGTGAGTGAATGAATGAAGCATGGGACAGGTATAAGCAAGTGAACTTATGAATGAACAAAGACTGAATGCGTGCATGAATATATAAATAAGTGAAGCAATGAGTGAGTAAATGAATGGATGGGTGGGTGGCAAGTGAATAAATGAATGAGTGAATAAATGAATGGATCTTCTTTGCCAGATAGAGCGCCTTCTCTGAGAGAAAGAGAGCGGCCAGTTGTTTGCCAGGGGTTCCAGCCAGGTCTGGACCTGAGGGGACAAATCGTGGCTGAGCCTCCCCAGCAAAGGGACACGCGCCGTAGTCCCACTTCCTCCTCCTGTTTACCTTCTCATGAGTATAAATCCCCTCCTCTAACCCCCGGTTAGTCCAGCACACCTGGATCTGACCACACCTCCACCTGCTCCGAGTTCTTTCTCCTCTCATCTGGCCCTGGGAGGCCCCTCCCTGTACTTCCTGCAACCACTCTCACCCCTGCAGGCCGGTCCGTTCACACAACAGACCTAAGGGTCTTAGAGCAGTGGTTCTTACCTCCCCTGCACAGCAGAATCACCTGGGGAACTTTGTGAACATAACAATGCCCAGGTCCGCCCTCGAGGGTCTGATTGCATTTGGCTCCATTGGGGCCCCAGTGCTAGCAACTGGTTGTTTTTTAAATAGGACCCCCACGTGATGCTAATGTAGAGCCAGGGTTGAGAACCACTGTCTTAAAGGCATATCACTCTCAAGAGAGAGTCCAAGTGGAATAAGAAAATAGAAGAGGAGAGGACAAGACAGAATGGAACAGAACAGATCAGAACAAAATGGATCAGAATAGAACAGAACCAATCCAATGGATTAAAATACGGCAGGACAGATCGAAACAGAATGGATCGGGCCAGGCACGGTGGCTCACGCCTGTAATCCCAGCACTTTGGGAGGCCAAGGTAGGTGGATCATGAGCTCAGGAGATCGAGACCATCCTGGCTAACACTGTAAAACCGCATTTCTACTAAAAATACAAAAAATTAGCCAGGCATGGTGCATGGTGGTGCGTGCCTGTAGTCCCAGCTACTGGGGAGGCTGAGGCAGGAGAATCACTTGCACCTGGGAGGCAGAGGTTGGAGTGAGCCGAGATTGAGCCATTGCACCCCAGCCTGGGTGACAGAGCTAGACGCAGTCTCAAAAAAAAAAAAATCAGAATAGAACAGAACAGGTCAGAATAGAATGATGGATCAGAATAGAAGAGAACAGATCAGAATGGATCAGAACACAACAGAATGGATCAGAATAGAACAGATCAGAATGGATCAGAACACAACAGAATGGATCAGAATAGAACAGATCAGAATGGATCAGGATAGAACAGAACAGAACAGAATGGAACAGCATCCCAACCCCACTTAATCATCAGCACCTCCTTACCACGGGCCATGGGCATCGCCCACTGCCTTCTCTCTCCCTGCCTCTACCTTCACCTCCTATTTCTCTCCATCAACCCTCCCTCTTCATTTCCCTCTAACACAGAAGCTTCTTCCCACCTCAGGGCCTTTGCGTCTGCTGTCACCTGCCTGGTCTGCAGTTTCCCTACCTACAGGTTCTTCATGCGGGTCTCAGCACAATGTCACCTCCTCCAAGAAGCCCTTTCTAATTGTCCTTCCTGGAGTCACATCTCTACCAGACACCTTTCATCCCATCACCCTGGTTTTTTTTTTTTTTTTTTTTTGAGATGGAGTCTCACTCTGTCACCCAGGCTGGAGCGCAATGGTGCGATCTCGGCTCACTGTAACCTCCACCTCCTGGGTTCAAGTGATTCTCCTGCCTTAGCCTCCCAAGTAGCTGGGATTACAGGCGCGTGTTACCACAGCTGGCTATTTTTTTTTTTTTTGTATTTTTAGTAGAGATGGGGTTTCACCATGTTGGCCAGGCTAGTTTCGAACTCCTGACCTCAGGTGACCTGCCTGTCTTGGCATCCCAAAGTGCTGGGATTACAGGCATGAGCCATGGCGCCCGGCCTCATCACCCTGTTTTGTTTTCTTCATAACACTAATCACTGTCTGAATCTCTCAGATAGATTATTGGTTCATGGGTTTATCATCTGTTCCCATGTGAGCTAGGAAGGGTGGAGATTTTCTTGGCCACCCCCATGAATGTGTCCCCAGGCCCTGGAACAGTCTCTGACACTGTAGGTATCTGGCAAGCATTTATCAAATGCATGAATGGATGGGCGAATGAATGAGCTTATTCTGTGTTGTCAGTTCCTGAGGTGCACACATGTTTTGGTTTGTTATTGTCCATTATTGCTCGCTTAGCAGAGTGTCTCAGCATGTCCCAAGGTGGACGTGTGGGACCAGATGTCCTGAGCATCATAGGATGCGAGGAGCATCCCTGGCCTCTTCCCACTGGAGCTGCCGGTAATACCACTCCCCACACGCACTAAGAACAACCAAAACTGTCTCCAAACACTGCCAAATGTCAGGTGGGGGAGAGAATCGCCCCAGCTGAGAACTCTGGCCCTGCAGTATTTAATCCAGCACTTGGGCGCTAGGAGGGCTGAAAACGTGTCTCTTGACGAATTTGGGGATCAAATCCTGCCTCTGGAGCAGTTCCACAATACGACCAGCAGGTGGAAGCAGAGACCGCCCTTTCGGTAGCATGGTTGCCCTCACTTTGCAAAAACTTTGTTTTCCCCAGCATTGTAACTGATTTTCCAACAGCGCTCATTTAGCCCCATGTGGCCATGTGAGTAACCCACTCCTTTTGCGCCTTTCCGGATTAGACAGGGACGTCGCAGCAACGTCCTGAAAGGAGCAGACAGCCAGTAAAGAAGTGCAGGCGTTGGTGGAAGTAGGGGGAGGACCATCTTGGGATCAGGCAGTTCTGAAGTTTACTCCCAGTTGCGTCCCTTTCTCTCCTTATGCCCTTAGTCCAGTTATGTTAACCTGCCAGTGCCTCAGTTTCCTCATCTGTACCCTGCTTTGCTTATCTCCTAGTCCTCACCACGGGCTACGTATTTCATATGCCTCTCTCTCCTCAATCATGTGGCACCCCAGAGAGCAAGGTCTGGGTCTGGAGGAGTCATTGCCCCCCCAGTTGCTGGTGTGTACTGGCCTTCCTTTGAGTGTTTGTTGAATGACTGACTGACCGACTGGCGTGGAGAATAGCACAGGTGCATAGATGTGGATGTCAGCTATAATGATGACAATGCTGATGTCATGGTGGTGTCATGTCGTTGTGGTGGTGATGTCATGGCATGGTGGTGATGATGTCATGATGTTTGTTGAATGACTGACTGACCGACTGGCATGGAGAATAGCACAGGTGCATAGAAAGTACTCAGTGGGTGTCAGCTATGATGATGACAGTGTTGACGTCATGGTGATGATGATGTCATGATGAAGACGATGATGCCATATTGTTGATAATCGTGTTGTCATCTTTTAATCCACACCAGTATTCCCCAAACCATCAGCACCTCCCAGAGTTTCCTAAGCCAAAGGCTCCTCGGGCCCTCCCCTACATCTCATGACTTGGAATCTTGCAGGAACAGAATCTCAGCCATGGTTTTGGGTTAGAATAGGCTGGAGAGCTCTTAAAAAACACTGATGCCTGGACACCAGCCCTAGAGAATATCAGATCAAGGATGTAGACAGCAGCAGGATTTTTGGAAGATACCCAGGTGATTCTAAGAGCAGCAAGATGACAACCCTTCTCTGTCACTTAATAAACGCCCCACCTCGGCATTTATGCAAACAGTGGCTCTGGGCCAGAAGCCTCGGCATCGCCTGGAAGCCACTTAGAAATGTGAGTTTTTGGGCTTCACCCAGGCCTCCTGGCTCAGACACCCTGGGGGTGGCATCAGCCCGAGAGTATCAACAAGCCCATAGAGTCTGGGGCGCGCTAAATGTGAACAGCACTGCCCCAGGGGACCCGGATGGGGAGCCCATTCCCAGGGGCAGAACACCAGGATGAAAGGAGGGATGGATTTTTCTGGGGGAGGACGGAAAAGGTATGATTAGTCTTGAAGAGTGCTCTATCAATTGGCCAACCCCTTGGGAGTCTCGCAGCTTCATATTGTAGACCTAACCTGACCCCGTAGAAAGCCCATGTCATGCCAGAGTTATTTTAGAGCAAAAGGAACTCCAGGCCAGAGCTCCCCAGAGAGAGCTGAACGCATTACAGGGCCCAGGAGGTAGGGCACCCTCTCCCTTTCCCAGACCCACCAAGGAGCTGATCCAAGGGACATGGGTGAGGAGGAAATGAAGTCGGAGGGGGCGTGAGGACTTTGCAATCTGTAAAGCTCTGTGTGTGATTAAAGGATCGTTTTTATTTCTCGCGAAGCGGTTTGGCACTCCCTCGGGCTCCTCCAGGCCACACGGACACACACGGACATAAGCACACAGGTACTAGGATAACAGCCAGGCCCCAAGCTTAGTCCGCGGGGATTTGTGGGGGAAGGAGGGGGGTGCCTGGCCTCCCCGAGTGGCCTTTGAGGAAGAAGAGGCCGCAGCCGATGGAGATCGGTCGGTGAAGCTCCGGGGCCAAGCCCCTCCCTCCCCTCCACGACCCAGCGCCCAGGCTCATATGGCCTGGTCCTGCCTCCGTCTCAGGCTGAGCTCGCGGGCTGCTGCCAGGAAGGCTGCCCCGGTGAGCAGCTCGGCGATGAAGCTGATCCAGCCCAGGGCCAGGGACCAGCCGAAGCTGATGTCCACCTGGTCCAGGAGGGCCTTCTCCTCCAAGAGACACAGCGCCTCCCGGAAGGCGGCGGCTGAATACGCTATGTAGACGCTGATCCCAGCGAGGGTCACCATGGCTGCAGGGAGGGCAAAGGGAGAGCAGATCAATCCCCCACCCCGCCCCAGCACTCCCCTCCTCCTCCTCGCCCTGCCCAGCCACGCTGCTCAGCGTCCAGCGTCCTCGCTCCTTCCTGCTGCGGGACCTTTGCGCGTGCTAGTCTCCCCGCTGGGTGCATTCACCCCTGCTTCTCTGCCTGTCATCGGCAACTCCTACCCTTCCCACACATGGCAGCTCACGCTTCGATTCCTGGACTTGCCTGAGCAGTGATTCCACAGCACCATACAGCTGCCCATCACTGCCCAGGTCACAATTGCAACTTTGCATTCTTTTGTGTAATTTTTTTTTAGACAGAGTCTCGCTCTGTCGCCCAGGCTGGAGTGCAGCGGTGCGATCTCAGCTTGCTGCGATCTCAGCTTGCTGCAACCTCCACCTCCCGGGTTCAAGCTATTCTCCTGCCTCAGCCTCCTGAGTAGCTGGGAATACAGATGCCCGCCACCGCGCCCGGCTAATGTTTGTATTTTTAGTAGAGACAGGGTTTCACCATATTGGCCAGACTGGTCTCAAACTCCTGACCTCAAGTGATCCGCCTGTCTCTGCCTCCTAACGTGCTGGGATTGCAGGCATGTTTGTGTAATTATTTAACTAACATCTGTCTCCCCCAGTGGCCTGTGAGTGTCCAGAGGGCAGACATGCTCCTGTTGGTTTTGCTCATTTTCAATTCCCCAGCACCGAGAACGGTGCCTGGCCCACGGTGGTTCTCCACAGATATTAGATTTGAGCCACATGGTCCAGTACGATAGCCACTGACCAGTTACACATGGCTATTTAAATTTAAGTTAACTAATCTAAATGAAGTTAACAGCTCAGTCCCCCATCAGCACTCACTGCCCTGGCCTGGTTTGCAGCTCCCGATGCTCGGCATGGATTAGGGAACTTCTCCACCATCACAGAAACTTCTACCAGGCAGTGCTGGTTTCGAGAATTTGTCACTGGGTGAACTATTAATGCTAATAGTAATAATAATAGTGAGTGGTTAGAGGAGATGAGAACTTTGCAATATTTTCACCTCCAGACATCCCTTTTGTTTTTTTTCCTCTGTGGATTCCAAGGGAGCATGTCATCACTGCTTTTTTTTTTTTTTAAAAGGAACATTTCAAATACACAGGGATACAGACAGCCTTTAAGGCAGCCAGCCACGTGCCAGGTCCCATTTTTCAAAACCTCTGGTCCACTAAACCAACCAGTGGTGTTAACCTAGCCATTGTCTGTCCACCTGTTGTTTTGTTTCATCTTGTTTTTGTGTGTGCTGCTGTTTAATTGACAAGTAAAAATTGTATGTATTTACGGTACACAGCATGAGGATTTGATATGTGTGTGTACACTGTGGAGTGGCTCGGTCAAACTATTCAACACAGGCACGGCCTCACATACTTAGCATTTCTTTTGTGTGTGGTGAGAACTAAAATCTACTCTCAGCGATTTTCAAGAACACAATAGGCTGTTGTTAACTGCTGTCACCATGACGCCCAATAGATCACTGAACTTCCTTCTTTTCAGCTGAAATTGTGTGTTCTTTGACCAACATCTCCCCACCCTCCCCTGCCCCCACCCCCAGCCTGTTCCATTCTCTCTTTCTGTGAATTTGACTCTTCTAGATTCTACATAGAAAGATCATGAGGTGTTTGTCTTTCTGTGCCTGGTCATGCCCGTTTTTTAGTCGATCAAAGCAGTATCTATCAGAATGGCTGATCAGCAGAATAGAGCGAGGGTGGCTGGAGCGAGGGTCTCCTGCCAGCTCACAGCCCTAAAGCTTGAAGCTATCACGAGTTTGGGCAAAGGTAATACATGCGGCTTCTTTGGTGAAGTAATGAAAAGGATTCTTGGAAGCTGCTCCCTCTGCACTGCTCCTGTCTTGGAACCAGAGACTAAGTGATTCTGGGCTGGAAACCACTCATCTCTTCCAACTGATATCCCAGAAGGGGAAACTGAACCCCACGAGGCCCTGGGATCCCCCTCGTTTGCTGAGGGTTCATACACAGTACCCATTGCCCAACCCCCAGACCACAAGCCAGAGCCCTAGGCAGGGTGGGCACCTACCTCCAAAGAGGAAGAGAATTCCAGTGAGCAGGAGGAGGAGGTAGGCTTGGAGGAGGAAGCTCAGAAACCCCGTCATCCCCCCAAAAACCATCAGGATCAGGCTGAGCGGCAGCAGAATCACAAATGTCCCATGCATGGCTTAGAAGAGACAGAGAGGATACCAGGCAGAGGACAGTTACTAACATCCTTCATTCAATCAACAAACACTTCCCGAGCACCTACTAGAGCTGGGGAAAATCCACACTGTCACTGCCCCTACGACGATTACTTCTACTGTTTCTGATGATGATGATGACCATGACAACAGTGGTTGAGGCTCATCTCGTGCAAGGCTGTGTGCTTTGTTCTTGTTGTTTGTTTTGTTTTTGAGACAGGGTCTTGCTCTGTCACTCAGGCTGAAGTACAGTGGCACGACCATGGCTCACTGCAGCCTCAACCTCCTGGGCTTAAGGAAACCTTTCACCTAAGCTGCCCAAGTAGCTGGTACTGCAAGTGTGCACAACCACACCCAGCTAATTTTTTTATTTTTGGTAAAGATGAAGTCTTGATATGTTGCCCAGACTGGTCTCAAACTCCTGGGCCCAAGCGATCCTCCTGCCTTGGCCTCCCAAAGTGCTGGCATTACAGGTGTGAGCCACTGTGCCTGGCCAGAGCTGGTTTCTAACAAGAGAGAAGCCGCAATGCAGATGATCACACGCATCATTAATTATTCATTACAAGAGCCAGGGTGTTAGGAAGAACTTGGGATTGGGGGATGGCTGGCAGTGGTTTGGGCCTTGGCTCTGCCTCCACAGCCGTGGGACCTTAAGAGATCTAAAAACCCCTGTGGTCCTTAGCATGGCATTTTGGGGACAGCACTTGCTGATCATTTGGAAGTTATCCTTCTCCCAAGGCTGGCTTCACTGACTGGAGTGCCGGCCCCGTTCTCTACAAGAACATATTTGTCACCACAAGGAGGAGCCTCATGCAAGCTTTCTGGGTTTTGTTTTGTTTAAAGTTTTTGCCAGCACCTTGATTGCATCATGCAAGCTTTTTGGATGGGAAAAAGCTTTTTGGGGGAGCAGGGACTGTGTGGATGAAGGGCTTTGGGCATTGAGAGAACTAACGGGGACACTGTTAATCTCAGGGCTTGAAGACCACGTGATGTGTGTGATAACCAAAGTGAAGGGAGACATGCTGCCCCCGGGTTGCAGAGCCAAACGGATCCACCTGGAGAACAGTCCCTGCATTGAATGTATTTCTCTTGCCTCCTCTCTAGTAGGATCTGGGGCCATTTCTAGAGAACTCCCAAGCCCAAACAGTCAAAGATAAATAATAATACAACTTGTAAAATCAGCAAGTGGAAAAGACGAATGACAAGAAAGTCAAGACCCATGATGAGGGGTGAATGGAGGAGGAGGAAGTCTAAGGTTTCAGGGTCTATACCTCTGTCACTATTTGACTCTGAGCTTCCCAGCAGCCAAAGAAAAAAGGGAAACAAGTGCAAAGTTTTTTTTTTATCCATCCTTCATTTACCAAATGTGTATTGGTTGTTTACTATGAGCTGGGTGCCAAGCATCTTTAAATCCTTTTGGCAATAGGATAGGTATGAAAATAAATACTTTCCTATCCTTCAGTGCAGGCTAAGCATCATTTGTTCTGGGAAGTCTTTCCTTACACTGCATTCACCACTGTCCACCCAGTCAAGTGCCCTTCCTCTGTGCCCCCTCAGCACCCCATAGGGACAGGCATTTATTACCTAGTGTTGAGGGCATCTGAGTCACTTTTATGTCTCACCTGACAGAACATGAGCTCTTTGGCAAAGAGGATCTTATTTCCCTGTGCACAATTGTATCCCTGAGTTTCTAGCAGAGGTTCTGTTCTGGGACATGGTAAGTGCTGAAGAGATATGTGTTGACAATGTAGTGAATGAATGAGTGAGTGAATGAGTGAATTTTGAGCTAGACAGTGTGGCTCTCAGGCAGGAAACTATGTCAGTTTCTAGGAAATAAGAAAAAAACTGAGGGAGCCCAATAGATGACCTCATGGCGATGAAGAATATAGACGTCAGAGCCGGATTATTTGCACTCTAATTCAGGCTGACTGTGGGGTCCTGGGCATGTCATTTAATTACTCAGAACCTCCATTTCCACTTCTTATGAAATGGAGGTAAAAGTATACGGCTCACAGAATTATCATGAGAATAATACTTGTAAAGATCATTGGGCAACACGGGGCAATGTAGTAAGATGTGCAGTGTTGCGTCCCGTAGAGCAGGCACTAAATAAATCATAACTCTATCAATAATAAAGATGATGGTGATAATCATAACTTGGTCCGTGACCTCCACTCTGACCAAAATGTTTTGCCTTCAGTCCCTCAATTGGCACTAACTTTGGTGAGTCAAGAAAACAAGACTGAACTTCCTCCCAAGGCTGTCCTGTGATAAAATGTGATTACAGGGGATGAGACCTGTGGTCTTTCCTTCTTTCTTTCTTTCTTTCTTTCCTTCCTTCCTTCTTTCTTTCTTTCTTTCTTTCTTTTTCAGGGAAAAGTCTTGGGCAGGGAAGTACCACAGCTCATGCAAAAACCTAGTCCTTTAAAATCCATCCCCCCACACACCATCATCTCAGACTGTGGCCAAGAAAGGAAATCATTTCTCGTTCAGAAATTAATGAGGTTTCCCAGAGTTGGTGCAGCCATGGCAGCCCCATGTGAGTTTCCCAGTCGTGCTGCAAGCTGCCTTGATGTCCACATTCGATTAAACGCCTGGGTAAGAGCAAGCCACCCAGGAGAGAGCTATAAAATCTCCTGCTGAAATTTGGTTTAGCTTTCTTTGTGTGTGTGCCCTATTCTTTGCTACATTTTTTTCCCAGGATTGTGGCTTTGGAACATGAATATTGATTCCAAGTTCTGTTCTACTTAGAAATGCTCCCATCGCTAGCCACATCTCTGAATGCACTTGGGGAAGATAGTCCCCTTTGGAATGTGGATATGATGAAAATAATCATCATCACCAATTTTGTGGGGGCTGGGTTACTTGGGAAGTGGTGGATATGTAGTTTCAGAGTGAGGGGTTACAGTCAAAAGACCACTGAAAAAGAGTCTGTGACATACAAGCTGTGTGACTTTGGACAAATGACTGGACCACTCTGAGCCTCATTGGCAAAATAAGAGTAAAAACACCTGCCCACTGATCTAGAACTTATTAAATTCAGCAAACATATTAAGAGTGTCTGCTGTGAGTCTAGCTCCACACTGAGCACTGGTATGAAGACAAAAATAAATAAGTCGCAGACAGTTCCTCTCTTGCACGCATGTTGACAGAGTACCCGTATGATTGACCATCCAAATCACACTTTTGAGAATCAAACAATCATCAACTGTATTAAATTATCTACCATGACCATAGGTGTCTACAGGGACCAGGCAGGATAAACCAGGACAACTGGTCACCACACTTCTCCGTTTATTGTTTCAGTAAACAATGATGCAACACCTGCCACCTATGCTCACCAGGGTTCCAATGTCAGCCCTATCACTTCCAGCTGAGGGTCTGTAGGCAAGTTACTTTATAACCTTCAAGCCTCAGTTTTCTCATCAGCTAAATGGGAATACTAAGAGTATGCACTTTACAGGATTGTGTACTGAGGAAGAGGTAAAATGGACAAACTTCTTAAAATGGTGCTTGTCACATCATAAACCTAATACAAGTGTTCATTGTTATTGTTTCTCAGCTTGGTATTGGGCTATCTAAATGAAATAATATGCATGAAATCTTGTAAACCTTTTGGTAATGTGGAAAGCCTGTTACAACCAAACACAGATCTCTCAGGCCGGGAGACCTGATTCCCATTCATCAACAAGCCTCTAATGAACTCCTGTGATGGAGAGAAAGAAAGAAACAGTTTCCAGCTTCTGGGAACTGGCATGGCGCTCATAGCTAGACTGCGGTGTTCTGCTGGATATAATCTCTTGGAACTCCGACATCAGACGAGGTCATCTGAGACCACAATACAATGAGACCCAGCAAGGGCACCTCACAGGCTGCCCAAGCAGAGGTGTAAACAAGGTCTCTGTGCCACCCACAAAATATCAAACGCCTCCTTCTCCCAGCTCATATGACTGTCCCTGCTTTCTCAATCACAGCCAGTCTGCCTCCCTATAGATAAGATGGAGATATTTGGTCACAGAATTGTCTCCACTTCCTGATATTACCCAGTCCAGAACAAACCTCCACATCCTCAGACCCTCCAAAGACACCCCATCAAAGCCCGAATCCCGTAAGTCCTTCCTGGCAACCTCTTGCTGAGACACCCCACAGCTCCCCATGGAGTGTGTTCTCCTTTGCTGCACTGAGTAATAAACCCCAACTTGAACTGCAGGGGTGTCCCCACTGGTCTCTGGCTGGAGGGAACTGGCAGGGGCCAGGGGCTCTCCCAGGCACTGGCAAGCGGGAAAGGATATGATGGAGCAGGACAGAGGTGGCAGGAATCAAAGGCCAGCAGGACCTGGAAAATTTCTTCTTTCTTGTGATGTATTCTTGCACATCCCTGAATGCCCAATAACTTGCAACACAGAACCTAGAATGTAGTACATGCTCCCTGTGCAATGGATGGCTGAGTTAATGAATGAGAGCAGGAAGGAAGGAAGGAAGGAAGGAAGGAAGGAAGGAAGGAAGGAAGGAAGGAAGGAAGGAAGGAAATTGAGCATTTACTGAGCATCTAATAGGTGCTTTATTTTGGGATGGGTATTGTAGAGGTACAAAGTTGGATCAGACATAAATCCCACCTCCTTGGAACTTATAATTCAGAAAGGAAGTTCACATGTAGACATAAATTGCTGTAATGTCAGGTGAAAGTGGTGCCTTAAGAGACTCAGACAGCCATGTGTCAATTCAGAGATGCCAGGCTAAGTCCACATGATCATAGACCTTCCATTTGAGGCAGTAAATTTTAAAGGAAAGCATGGAGTATTTAGAGTCAGACCTGAGCGTGGTTCTTACTAGCCATGTGACTTCAGAGGAGCTGCCTCAATGAGCTTCAATTTTCTCATTTGAAAAATGGAACTGGACCATATTCATCTTGACATGAGGACCATAGCAGATGACTTGGGCTCAAGCCCTCAACGAAAGCCACTTCCCTTCCCTCTACTCTGCAGATCTAATTGGCCCTTTCCTTCTCCCACAGCCCCTGCAGCTGTGAAAGGTGTCTGCCTTTAACAGCTAGAGAGGGATGATGTGGGGACAGCTACTGCGCTGGACTCAAAAGCAAACTTCCTGAACCTTGGATTTCCACCTCAGTTCTGTCATTCCCTGTTGATGTTCTTGGGAGAGAAGGATCTTGGGTCTGAGGCCAGCCAGACACTCTTACTCACCATGTGACCTTAGGTAAGTCCCTTCACCTCTGTGAGCCCTCATTTCCTCATTTGTAAAAAATATTTAAGACCTAAGACCTCCCTGCAGGGTTGTTTTCCTGATTGGCAATGTTTTCTTTTTTCTTTTTTGATTTTGTTTTTTGTTTTTTGTTTTTTTTTTGAGATTGAGTCTCGCTCTGTCACCCAGGCTGGAATGCAATGGTGCCATCTCAGATCACTGCAACCTCCACTTCCTGGGTTCAAGCAATTCTCCTGTCTCAGCCTCCTGAGGAGCTGGGACTATAGGCGCCCGCCATCCCTCCTGGCGAATTTTTGTATTTTTTTTAGTAGAGACGGCATTTCACCATATTGGTCAGGCTGCTCTTGAACTCCTGACCTCAAGTGATCCACCCACCCTGGCCTCCCAAAGTGCGGAGATTACAGGCATGCCACCGGCAGTGTTTTCAAAAGCACTGAACTCAATCCTGAGCGCATGCATTCATTCAGAAACAAATGCCTTTGGGTCCCCAGTGAGGGCCAAGCCCTGTCCTAGGGCCTGGGGACACCTCATCGAACAAGGCCACTGCCCTCATGGAGTTCACAGATGGGCACAGGAGACAGAGTAGACAGGAAGCAAGGAAACAAAGATCATTGCAGGCTGTGACGTGTCACAGAGGAAATAAGTGTGAGGATGCAGAAAAATAGGTGGGCAGTGGCGGTGGGGGGGCCTTGTTCTTAGATCAGGTGGTGGTATGTATTTCCTGTGGCCACTGTAACACATGAAGGCAAACTGGGTGGCTTCCAAGCAACAGGAATTTAGTCTCTTACAGTTCTGGAGGCCAGAAGTACAAAATCAAGATATCAATGGGACTGTGTTCCCTTTGATGGTTCTAGGGGAGAATCCTTCCCCGCCTCTCTTATGTCCTGGGAGCCGTTGGCAATCTGTGATGCTCCCTGGCTTGTGGCTATGTCACTCCAATCCCTACCTCCATCCACACGTGGCCACCTTCTCCCCTTCTCATAAGGACATTTGTCATAGGATTTAGGGCCCACCAAGTTAGTCCAAGATTATCTCATCTCGAGAGTCTGAATTACACCTGCAAAGATGCTCTTTCTGAATAAGTCACATTCGCAGGTACTGGGGCTTAGTACATGAGCATATCTTTTTAGGAGTGACACCATCCACACAGTACCACGTCTTGGATGGCATACAGTAGGAACTCAATAGATGATACCTGTGGTTATTACACGGAATTACTAGTAATATTAAAATGTTGGCTGGGTGTGGTGGCCCACACCTGTAATCCCGGCACTTTGAGAGGCTGAGACAGGTGGATCACCTGAGGTTAGAAGTTCAAAACTAGCCTGGGCAACATGGTGAAACCCCGTCTCTACTAAAAACACAAAAATTAGCTGGGCTTGGTGGCACAGGCCTCTAATCCCTGCTACTTGGGAGGCTGAGGCAGGAGAATCGCTTGAACCTGGGAGGCGGAGGTCACAGTGAGCTGAGATTGTGCCACTGCACTCTAGCCTGGGTGACAGGGTGAGACTCCATCTCAAAAAAATAAAATAAAATAAAATATTGGCAGGCCATTGTTTCATCAATGGTAAACGTGTGTGCCCCAGTGCAGAGATATTTTAGACGCAAAAATGCTTTGCTACAAGTCAAGGGAAAAGCAACCCCAGAAAGAAGCAAAGATGTTCACACCAAAAACAAACAGAAAAAGTGTTTGTGACTGCTTCATTATCATGCTGTTCAAAGAGCTGCTCAGTGGGGAAAGCAGTCTTCCATGATGCTTGTGAGGTCAGGAAGCCCCGAGCGGTCAATGCTCTTACGCAGAGCAGGGGATGTCTCTTACCCCAGGAACATCAAAAGCTCTGGCAAAAGAAGAAGGTCCCAGGATCCACTTACTACAAGGAAGAAATTTCACCACCTTTATTTCCTAACCTTGTCAGTGTGACTTTGAGACTTCTGGAAGAGCTCAGAGCTATGCAGCCCTGTTATGCCTGGTAAGGCAGTAGCTTTTAAAATTTTATATATATATATATGTGTGTCCTTGAGTCTGTCCTGGAGGATGGGGGCTGCCTCTTCATGGTCTCCAAGAGGTATTGTTAGGATATGGAAAGAGCAGGAGTCTCCGAGCAAAGACGTGGGTTCAAATCCTGACTCCGCCTCTTACCCAAGCAAACCACATCATCGCTCAAAAGCCTCGTTTTCGTCACCTGTCAATTGGACTCTGACCTTGCAGAGTTGTGGGCACTGAATATGAGAATACTTGTCTCTTTCTCATCATCAACTTAGACTGTACCAGGTGGGAGTTTTTAATTCCCATTTCACAGGTGGGAAAATTGAGGTTCAAGGAACTTATATCAACTACCCCAAGAGCCAATGGCCATGAAGTGTCAGAGCTGGAATGAGATTACAAAAGAAGTGGACAAAGGGGTCGTGGGACTGCAGACATGGACACGTACTCCAGCTTGAGAAGTTAAAGCCTTCCTGAGTGGGGAGAGGTCTCAGCTGAGACCTGGAGGCGAGACAGTGAGGCGTTAACTGGGCTGAGAAGTAGGAGAGGGATTCCCAAAAGTGGGGACAGAAAATGCCAACATCCAGAAGTAGGAGACACCCAAAGTAGCAATACCTCAGCTCTTGCAGCTGGAGAGGTGAGCCAGGGTCACAAATAGCCCCACAAGCCACACTAATGAGAAATCCAACCACAGAGGCAGCCCTCTTGGAGCTTGCTTTACATCAACACATGATAACATTCTTCTTAGAAAAAATTAAAACAAGGCCCGGCACGATGCATGCCTGTAATCCCAGCACTTAGGGAGGCCAAGGCAGGCAGATCACTCGAGGCCAGGAGTTTGAGATCAGCGTGGCCAACATGGCGAAAACCCGTCTCTACTAAAAATACAAAAATTAGCTGGACGTGGTGATGTGCACCTCTAATCCCAGCTACTCGGGAGGCTGAGGCAGGAGAATCACTTGAACCTGGGAGGCGGAGGCTGCAGTGAGGCGAGATCACACCACTGCACTCCATCCTGGGCGACAGAGAGTGACTCCATCTCAAAAGAGGTAAAAAAAAAAAAAAAGAAAAAAAAAGGAAACAAGACCCTCTTGGCCACCCCAAGCCCTGTGTCTTCCTCTCCTTTCCAGAGTGACCCTCTGTAAATGACTCAGTGTGCATCTTCCCAGTTTTTGTCCATATATTTATAATTTTTCTATATATTCACATATTCCTCAAATTCTACAATGCACACTTGATTATACTTTTTTTGTTGTTTGTTTTTGAGATAGGGTCTCACTCTGACACCCAGGCTGAAGTGCCGTGGGCCTTATCTCGGCTCACTGCAACCTCCATTTCCCAGGCTCAAGCAACCCCCGACTTCAGCCTCCCAAGTAGCTGGGACCACAGGCGCATGCCACCACGTCCGGCTAATTTTTTGTATTCTTGGTAGAGACAGCGTTTCACCATGTTGCCCAGACTGGTCTAGAACTCCTGAGCTCAAGTGATCCACCTGCCTCGGCCTCCCAAAGTGCTGGGATTACAGGCGTGAGCCACCATGCCCAGCCTTTATCATACTTTAACAGATCTGAAAATAGAGTATGTTTGACCATCCACAGCACCCCACAATCATAATTGGCAGTATATTTGTCTATCTTAATGGCACATAAGGTAAACGTGCATCTTAAAATTTTGTTATATACCCACAGAAAAGGTGTAATATTGGGGAGTTTCTTTGAGGGGGGATAATAAATGACATCCTGCTGCCCATAACACTCTGTAACTTGCTTTCTTCATTCCACAGTACATCTTAATATATTCTTTTTATAGGCTATGTAATATTAACACTAATATGCATTAGTATATTCTTTTTACAGGCTATATAATATTCCACAACATGAATATACACCTATAAATGTCTAGCCATCTCTCCATCTGTGGGCAGTGAGGCTATACAGACCTTGTTTTTCACTGTTTCAAACTGGTATGGTGAACTTTTTAGAAGACTCACATGGCCGATACTAAGAAGTGGACTTGTGTGTGTGTGAGAGACAGGGTCCCACTCTATTGCCCAGGCTGGAGTGCAATGGTGTGATCTCGGCCCACTGAAACCTCTGCCTCTTGAGCTCAAGCAATTCCCGTGCCTCAGCCTCCCAAGTAGCTGGGACTACAGGCGCATGCCACCACACCTGGCTAATTTTTGTATTTTTAGTAGAGACAGGGATTTGCCATGTTGGCCAGGCTGCTCTCAAACTCCTGACCTCAAGTGATCCGCCCACCTTGGCCTCCCAAATTGCTGGGATTACAGGTGTGCGCCACTGCGCCCAGCCAGAAGTGGACTTACTTTAAATTTGAACTTTTGTTAGTTTAAAATGTGGCCTTTATTTTTTAATGGGCACCTCAGAAAGGCAGCCTGAAGCTCAGGCCCTTGTGCCCAGAGGATTGAAGATCCACAGGCACCTGCTCCTTCCCTGACTGCCTGCAGCACAGCTATGCATAAATCACACTGAGAGTTCCTCCCTCCTGGGCTCAGGCAGCCTCTTCAAGCATTTATGTCCCCATCCTTGCTCTGTCCCTCACCTCCTCCACTCTTGCAATTTGCACCAGGCATCGTGGGTGGGCTGGTTTTAATTGTCCATGTCACTGCAACAGCCCAGCACCCAGAAAAACTGGAAATCCAATCTTGTGATTTTTCCAACCTCGCCTCCTCAGAGGACAGCGTGGCCAGACCACTTCCTCTCAGTTCAGCTTCCACCGCGGGCATGCTGTGTTGGACAAGGCATTTGACCTCTCTGGGTCTGTTGTCCTCATCTGACCAGCCTGGCCTCTCTTATGGGCTCTTAGGAGACACAGCTGAGGTAAGACATAGAAAAAAAAAACAGGAAGTGCTCTGAAGAAGCATTTTCCACACCACCCTCCAGAAACACCAGCCTTCCTGCTATTTCTGGAACATACCAAGCTCAGTCCTGCCTCATGGCTCTGAACCTGCTGTTCTGTCTCGTAATGCAGGTCTCTGGTTTCCTGTCTGAAAGAGGCAATGTTGGATAGCAGGACTCTGAACCCCAGAAACAGGCTAGGAGCTCCTCTGGTCTACCATGACCTCTAATCTTAATATACACACATCACACTGAAACTATACTCAGAGTTGCATTGCTTCAATGGAGTAGAAACAAACTGCTGAGTAGGCTGGGTGCAGTGGTTCATGCCTGTAATCCCAGCACTTTGGGAGGCCGAGGCGGGTGGATCACTTGAGGTCAAGAGTTCGAGACCAGCCTGGCCAACATGGTGAATCCCCATCTCTACTAAAAATACAAAAATGATCTGGGCATGGTGGTGCACACCTGTGGTCCCAGCTACTCAGAAGGCTGAGGCAGGAGGCTCAGGAGAATTGCTTGAACCCAGGAGGTGGAAGCTGCAGTGATCTCAGATCTCAGCACTACACTCCAGCCTGGGCAACAGAGTGAGACAAGAAAAGAGAAAGGAAGGGCAGGGAAGAGCAGGGAAGGGCAGGGAAGGGCAGGGAAAGGCAGGGAAAGGCAGGGAAAGGAAGGAAAAGGAAAGGAAACTGCTAGGGTTCAAATCCTAGAAGTTCTAGTTACTGTGCAAACTTAGATATCATACCTGACTTCTCTATGTCTCCATTGCCTCATCTGCAAAGTGAGGATGATAATAATAGTGCCTCTTGGGCTGTTGTGAAGATTAAATGAGTAGATACAAGTCAAGAGCTCAGAATGGTGTCCAGCACACAGCAACTGTCTCATCATGTTCTACACCAGGCAGCTGGCCCAGTACTGGGGATGAAATCAATATGTACTGAGCAAATAAGTGCATCTGGTGGGTCTGCGATGATTAGCTCTATTTCATAGATGAAAAGCTTGAGGCTCAGGAAGGCAATGTGAATTAGAGCAGGAAGAGGAGGCAATAAGTGAGCTCCTACTGTGCACAGAGTCCAGGGCTGGCTGCTTTGTTTATGTGATCTCATTTCATCTTAGAACAGCCCATTTGTGGATGCAGGTGACTCATCAGAAGTCACACAGCTGGCCGAGCACAGTGGTTCAGGCCTGTTATCCCAGCACTTTGGGAGGCCAAGGCAGGAGGGTCGCTTGAGCCCAGGAGTTTCAGACCAGCCTGGGCAGAATAGTAAGACCCCCATCTCTACAAAAAATAATACAAAATTAGTTGGGTGTAATGGTGCACATCTGTGGTCCCAGCTACTTGGGAGGCTGAGGCAGGAGAATTGCTTGAGCCTGGGAGTTCGAGGCTGCAGTGAGCTATGATTGTGCTACTACACTGCAGCCTGGGCAACAGAGCAAGACCATGTCTCAAAAAAAAAAAAAGTCACACAGCTAGCAAGAAGGCCAGGGTTTGAACCCCAGTGATGTAGGCGCGTGTGGGTTTTGCCTGCCCCTACACCTGATGACAGCACCTTGAGCTGCCTGTGATCATGTGACCAATCCTCCCCACCTTCCCACCCTTATCTGTGGAGCTGATCCCAACCCACTCCAGTTACAAGTGGGCACATGACTCAGCCCGGCCAATCAGCATATTCCATCCCCTTGGCTGGAGGGATTGGCTCAGGACTGAGCATGTCACCCAATGTGGTCCAGTGGAAAACCTAGCTGCAAGTTTGGTGGAATTCATGAGAAACAGAACGTCTCCCTTTTTAGGGTTGCTAAGGTGGGAGAGGATTTAGCTGAAAGCAGAACCCAAACAGAAGAAAGCAAAGCCCAAAAAGAAGAGGAAAGAAATTGAGTTTAACAGTGGATTCCAGCAGACATGAGCTTTTCAGTTACATGAACCAGTGATTTCTTTTTTTATTGAAGCCAGTAAGATTTGAGTTTCTGTCACTTGCCACCAAAAAGTTCCTGGCTGATACAGCTAGACTGGATCATTCTAGACCATAGCTCTTTAATCTACACTGTGCTGAATTTGAAGACCTCCTTTCCACCAAAAATAATTCCAGTCCCTAGCCCAAGAAACAAACCCACGACTTCCCCAGAGCTAACCTGGAAGATGAAACACTTCAGCAAAGTGGATTTTGCTGACAAGGAACCTGTTTCATTGAAAACTTCTCTCTGTGGCTGAAAGAGTGGAGGTTATTGGGATGTACCTGTTTAAGGACCTGATATGTCTGCTCAACTCCACTCTCCCAAGGTAGCTAAGCAGAATTAAGGAGGTGTGTTAGTCTGTTTTCATGCTGCTAATAAAGACATACCTGGCTGGGCGTAATGGCCCACCCTGTAATCCCAGCACTTTGGGAGGCCGAGGCAGGCAGATCACCTGAGGTCAGGAGTTTGAGATCAGCCTGGCCAACGTGGTGAAACCCCATCTCTACTAAAAATACAAAAATTAGCCGGGTGTGATGGTGGGCATCTGTAATCCCAGCTACTTGGGAGACTGAGGCAGAAGAATTGCTTAAATCCAGGAGGCGGAGGTTGCAGTGAGCCGAGATCGCGCCATTGCACTCCAGCCTGGGCTACAAGAGTGAAACGCCGTCTCAAAAAAAAAAAAAAAAAAAAGAAGAAGAAGAAGAAAAGAAAAGAAAAAGAAAAAGACACACCTGAGACTGGGTAATTTATAAAGGAAAGAGGTTTAATGGACTCACAGTTCCACATGGCTGGGGAGGCCTCACAATCCTGGCTGAAGGTGAATGAGGAGCAAAGTCACGTCTTACATGGCGGCAGGCAGGAGGGTTTGTGCAGGGGAACCCCCTTTATAAAACCATCAGATCTCAGGAGACTTGTTCACTATCACAAGAACAGTATGGGAAAGACCTGCCCCAATGATTCAATTACCTCCCACCAGATCCCTCCCACAACACATGGGAATTAAGGAAGCTACAATTCAAGATGACATTTGGGTGGGGGCACAGCCAAATCACATCAGGAGGCAAGTTAGATCATGGGACTTCCCTAACAGTCCTCCATCTGCCAGGTGATTACAGTAAATTACTTGGCACTGAAGTGGTCTCTCTGTGAGGGTTTTCTTAGAGGAAAAATCAAGGTTTCTTCCCATACACCCCCACCAGGATTTATCTAGGAGGCTGAACTTAGAGAACATGCTGCTTGTCGAACGTGCTGCTTGTCAGCTAGCTTCTCCTCTATGGCCTCTGCAGCAGGTCCTTAAAGGAATGAAACATCTTCATATAATAGAAGAGCTTGGACCAAACTCAAAATTCATTTTGGAAGAAAAAGACATTATGCGGAGAAAAAAAAAAAAGCTCTTTCTGGGGGTGATTTGCAAGGAGTACATGGTATGAAGGGGCAGCTTGTCCTTTTTCATGGAGGATATAATGGGAATAATAGCAGCTACCACTTACAGCACACTTCCGGAGGCCAGACACCACATTAGGCTCTTTAAATACACTGTCCTGTTTTAGCCTCACAATAACCTTACAAAAAGAGATGACAATTATCCTCATTTTGCACAGGAGGGAACTGAGGCTCAGAGAGGTATAAGGAAATAAGGAAAGGCCCATGGCCACATGCCTACTTGGTGGTGAAACTGCGGGTTAGCCCTAGGACTGAGGGTGAACGAGTGAATAGACTGTGGATGTGAGTTCTGCTCTGTCTCAAAATCCTGAAACAAGCATGGTTGTTGCACTGTCAAGATTGAAGAGGAAGCCAGCCCAGTGCCTATTGTGGTTAGCCATCCAATTGACCCATGGATGTGATAAGTCAGCTGAATGTGCACACCCAGCTTGGCAAAGGATCAGCACTCCATTGATGTTACTACCTCTAGAAGGAGGCTGGAAGGAGGGGCAAAGGGAGAGCTCATGCTTACTGAGCACTTACCATATGTCTGGAAACTCGATGTCAAGTCATTCCTTTCTGACAAGTCTGGTCATTCCTTTATGACTGGTCCTAGGCAAGGTCCGTTTTGTTTATCCATTTTTATTCCCTCTCATGGAAGTCTAACCATATCCCTTGATGGTGTCCACATCTCATTTTGACGGATGTGAACATTGAGGCTCAGAGAGGTTAAGACACCTATCCCAGGATCACAGAAGGCCTCTGTTTTGTAGGGGTTTTACCTGGGACATGACCCTCATCTCCCTCACTTCCATGACCGGAATTCTTATCATTCTTTTTTTTTGTTTTTTTTTTGAGAGAGTCTCACTCTGTTGCCCAGACTGGAGTGCAGTGGTGCAATCTCAGCTCACTGCAACCTCTGCCTCCCAGGTTCAAGCGATTCTCATAACTCAGCCTCCTGAGTAGCTGGGACTACAGGCAGGTGGCACCACACCGGGCTAATTTTTGTATTTTTAGTAGAGATGGGGTTTCACCATGTTGGCCAGGCTGGTCTCAAACTCCTGACCTCAGGTGATCTGCCTGCCTCAGCCTCCCAAAGTGCTGGGATTACAGACATGAGCCACCACGCCTGGCCGAATTCTTATAATTCTTGAAACAGTGCTTCAAAGACACTCACAGTTTCCCCTTGTGCAGTTTGGGGCTCAGAACAGAGCACACGGTACCTCCACCTTTCCTCAACTCCCACACATTCCAGGTGTCTAGGGTATGTCTCCTTTGGTGGAACTTAACTCAGTGGTGTGCTGGAGCTGACTCATATCAACTCACAAGAGCCAGTTAAGCTTTTGAGAATTTTGTGAGCCAGGTAACATCATGTTGGTGTCTTGAAATTGGCCATGGTGGAAGTATTTGCACCACAGAAATAGGCAAATGCTACAAACCAGGGCTTTTTTTTTTCTTTTAATTTTGCAGAGATCCAGTTGTTCAATATTTCCCAGCATGCCTCTGGACTTTAGAGAAACAGTTCTGGTTCACCATAAACCCATATATTCATACAATAAATACATATATTGAGCTCCACCTACAATATAATATAATTTGCATTCACTAACATGTTTGTTCAGCAAACTTTGACTCATGGGCTACTATGTGCCAGGTTCTATGCTAAATATTGGGAATTCAGCAGTGGCAAGATAGACATGGTCCTTGTCCCCATGGAGCTTTCAATCTAATGAGGGAGTCAGATTTAAACCCCACCCCACAAAAAAGTCATACAATTTGCACTTAGCAGTTAGCCAAGTCAAGTTGGTGGGATAAAAGCAGGGAGATTCCAGGTGGAGGGAACAGCATGTGCAAAATATTTGTGGCAGGAGGAAACTTAGCATGTTCCAAGAACTGGCCAAGGCCAGCACAGCTGGAAAGAAAGGAGTAAAGCGGAGAATGGGGCTGGAGAGGGACCCTACCAAGCCTTGTGGGCCATGCTAGGCACTTGTCTTTATTTTTTTATCCCCAGCCTCAGTAAGTCTATCAAAAACTGCTCATGCCTATAATCTCAGCACTTTTGAGAGACTAAGGCAGGAAGATTGCTTGAGCTTAGGAGTTTGAGGCTGCAGTGAGCTAAGACCGTGCCACTGCATTCCAGCCTGGGCAACAGAACAAGACCCTGTCTCTGGGTAGGGTTGAGTGGAGGGAGAAGGCCAGGCACAGTGGCTCACACCTGAAATCCCAAGACTTTGGGAGGCCAAGGCAGGAACATCACTTGACCCAGGAGTTCAAGACCAGCCTGGGAAACATAGTAACTATGTTTCCTATCACTATTAAAAAAAAACTGATACCAATGCAGTGGCTCACACCTGTAATCCCAGCACTTTGGAAGGCTGAGATGGGCAGATCACTTGAGGTCAGGAGTTCGAGACCAGCCTGGCTAACATTGTGAAACTCCATTTGTACTAGAAATATGAAAAATTAGCCCGACGTGGAGGCAGGCACCTGTAGTTTCAGCTACTCAGGAGGCTGAGACAGGAGAATCGCTTGAACCTGGGAGGAGGAGGTTGCAGTGAGCCAAGATTATGCCACTGTACTCCAGCCTGGGCAACAGAGCAAGACCCTGTCTCAAAAAAAAAAAAAAAACCTGCCCACATTTTCAAAGTCTATGAAACTCAGTCTTCATTTCCTCATCAGATCCTCCTACAGAACCTCTCTGGGCCTCCTCATTGGAAAAATGAAGGCAGAAATGACGATACTAATAACTTCATAGGGTGTGGCTGTGGGAATCAAATGAAGACATAGATGAAAAGCAGTTCGCTCCACGTCTGGCTTATCTCAAGCCTCAATGAATTGAACTGTTAGGTTTATTTCCCTCCCTCCACAAATGCTCATTCATCCCATTTCCTTTCTTGCTTTCAGTCCTCACAACTTTTACTGAGTTCCAGGCACTGAGCTGGGTACTAAGAACCAACCAGGAATAAGAGGGACGCAGTGGACCTGAGAGGAGGGGCTGTTCCCACCTCCTAATTGCCTGGCTCCAATCATATATTTATATGCAAATTTCTATCGCACCCCACTACTGCAAAGCCCTTGTTCTAGGCAATGTGAATACAAACAACGCTGGCATGGAATCTGTGGAATGAGACCTCTCTTTCACCATTCACCTCCCGAGGCTAATTTAGGTCCCTGCAGGGGCTTCCCACCTTCCCTTCCTCACGCTGCTGGACTCTAACTGCGCGTCTCCACATTTGTCCCAGCACCACTGTGAGCCCCTTGAGGGGATGGCCTGTGTCTTAACCATCCATCAAAACGGTGCAAAGAAAGCCATTAGTCAACGTGAGCTGAATGAACCCTAAACCACAAAACGTTACAGGTGGATCAGGAGAGACCCTGCCCCCCGGTCTTAAGCCCACTCCATTCTCAGGCTGGGCTGTCAGAGGCCACCCCAGCCGCCCTCTCCGCAGGCCCCGAAGCCCGGCTGTTTTGGGAAAGGCTCCAGAACTCACGGCTAGGACCGGGGCGCTCCCTCCATCCTCACCCTCCCCGGACTCACTGAGAAGTTGCCGGCTCGATTCGCTGACTGTCACGTTCTCCAGCCTGAAGGGGTTCATCAGCGGTGTGCACGGGCTCTGCACTGGATAGGACGGAGGAATCCATGGGTGCAGGACCCCGGAGTTCTGTGCAGCACCCTCGTCTGCGGCTTTGCCCCCATGCTCACCCTAAGTGCCCCACCCGGGGAGGGCGCGGGGAGAGCTAGAGCAGTTGGGATCGCAGCCGGGTGCCTCTCGGAAGGGTTTTCGCAGTCCCGGCCTTCTGCTCACCTTCCCCCCGAGTCCCTAGACATTGTATTTTAGGGACTTGGGGGAGGAGTGCGCGCCAAGCAACAGGTCCCAAGGGAGCAGGGCACCGCGCAGGGGGCGTTCGCAGCCACAGCTCCCAGCCACGGGGTGCACCCTTACCCCGGCAGGTCCGCCAGAGGCCGGAGTGGGAGCTCAGAGGCTCGGGCTGGCTGCGATTGATGGACCCCAGCAGGTCCTGCGCCCCCGGGCCAGTCCTCTCCAGCCGCTCGGTGTCAATGATATACCAGAAGTCCGTGCCGATGGCGGCCGCCAGGAGCACAAAGCTGAGCGCCCCGGTCAGCGCAGCCGCGCCGGCCAGCCCGCCCAGGTGCACCCGCATCGCCGAGCCCAGGACCAGCAGCCGCGGGTTCCAGTGGCCGCGGCGCGACCCCTCTGCTCCTGCCCCCGTCCCCAGCCGGCCACCGCGGGCTCCCAGCTCCACCGCCGCCAGAGCCGCGGAGCTCAGATCTGAAAGCCTTTCCTTTGGACCCCGGGCCCTAGCTTAGACCCTGGCTCCTCACCTGCCGGCTCCGACCTGCACGCGCCCCCCGCTCAGCCGCCGTCCACGTTCCCACCCCTCCAATGCCAGCTCTACCTGCAGACCCCCTCACTCTCACTTGTGCTGTCCGACCTCCACCTCCGCCTTCAGACCCTCCTGGAAGCTCTAGTCCTTCCCCACCAGCACCTTAACCCACCTCGTCCCTCAGCCCCACTCCACCCTCGGCCCTCCACGCCCAGCCCAAGCGGACTCTCTCACTTCAAAATCCTCACTTTCCCCAGACTCCTACTCCCTCCATTCCCCTGCCTCACTCTCCACGAACCCTCCCCACGATCCCAGATGCTCCCCTCTCTGCCTCTGTCTCTGGATTTCCGCCCCAGCCCTTTTTCTTGGCCCCACACTGCCAGATCCCCACTCCCAGCCCTGCTCTCCAGGGTCTTCCCGCAGCTCCTGCTCTGGCCGGGGCGCAGCTGACCCTCTGAGCCCTCCTCCTCGCCGAGGAAAAGCTCGGAGTGCGCACGCAGCATGGACGGGGGCGGTCCCCAGCCCTGGAGCGCTGGAGGCTGCCGGTGTGGAAGGGCAGGCGGCCTTGGGACCACCTGGGGCAGAAAGAAGGAGGGGTGTGGCGGGCCTCACAGTCCCGCCAGGATTTGCAAATCATCTCCAAGAGCCCCTCCAGCTCCAAGTACCCTTCCTCCAAAATCCACCTTCGAGTGTAGTCTGGGCTGACTAGAATGTGAAAAGGCACATTAATTTTTCATAAAAGTTCTCTAAAGCACTGAGGTAGTCCAGGTCCTCAGAATCTATCATTTCTACCCCCAAAGTCTTTCTTCATTATCATAGCCACCAGCATTGCCACCATCATCACCACCACCACCATCACCATCATCAACATCACCACCAACAACAACACAATCATCACTACCATCACCATCATCATCACCACCATCACCAGCAGCAGCATCACCAACAGCACCACCATCACCATCATCATCATCACCAACAACAACACCGTCATCACTACCATCACCATCATCATCATCACCACCATCATCACCAGCAGCAGCATCACCAACACCACCACCATCACCATCATCATCATCACCACCACCACCATCACCATCACCACGGACAACACCACCATCACCACCATCACCATCATCACCACCAACACCGCCATCATCACTACCATCACCACATCATCTTCACCACCATCACCACCACCACCACCACCATCACCACCATCACCACCACCACCATCATCGCTATCACCACCATTGCCATCGTCATCACCATCATCATCACCACCACCATCACCACCACCACCACCATCACCATCACCATGGACAACACCACCATCACCACCATCACCATCACCACCACCATCACCACCACCATCACCATCACCACAGACAACACCACCATCACCACCATCACCACCACCACCACCATCACCACCATCACCACCATCACCACCACCACCATCATCACTATCACCACCATTGCCATCGTCATCACCATCATCATCACCACCACCATCACCACCAACCACCACCATCACCACCAACCATTACCACCACCATCATCACCACCATCACCATCATCATCACCACCATCATCACCACCATTACCACTATCACCACCATCATCATCACCACCATCATCACCACCATTACCACTATCACCACCACGGTCATTACCATCACCACCACCATGACCATCACCATCATCATCACTACCACCACCAGCACCAGCACCACTCTCCTCTTTATCATCACCATCACTCTTATCAATTCCACCATCTTCTTCACCACCATAAAACCTTTTACTCCTTCAAGAAATACTTCCGGTACCTTCTATGTGTCTGATGCTATAGTCTATGTTAAGAATATAGGCATGAACAATCCAAAAACAAGTCCTGCCCTTAAGAAATATAGGATTCAGGCTTCCCAGACTTTTACAAAGTAGGGGACACAGAGAAAATACCTATATTTGCATGGCTCATTAACAGAAGAGGCTTCCAGATACTGGGGATGACCAATCCTCAGGAGTTACAGCTACTAAAGACCCCTCAATGCTGACCTTATGGCTGAGGAATCAAAATCTTGGCACTCCTGTGATCCATTCGTAAGGGACCATTGTATCAAGGTCCAAAAGTTGGTAAGTGCTGGTCAGGTTGGAAGAGAATCATCAAAGCGTGCTTACGACAGGGTGCTATGAGAGAAAGTATCAGAGGGGAGATCTCACTGGGCTTCTCTGAGGAAGTGACATTGATGCTGAGACATGAAGGTTATAAAAGTATCCGTGTCTAGAGAATGGCTTATAGAGGGGTTTGGTCCATTCTAGAGAAATCGAAAGAAGGGCCATCAGGCTAGAATGTAGTAAGGGAAGAGCAACCAGAGGGAAATGAGATTGAGGGTATAATAATTTGTCAGGTCATGCAGCTCTTGAGATCCATGATAAAGAGTTCAATTTTAGTCCAAACCACTGAACCGTTTTCAGCACAAAAGTAAAATGTTCTAACTTACGTATTAAAAAAATCTCACTATGCTTGCTGTAGTGTGGAATATAGAATATAGAGAGACAAGAAAGGGAACAAGAAGGCCACTTAGGAGGACATCGTAGAAGAAGAAGCAAGATCCTGCTGACTTGGGCTAGGGTGGGGGCAGCAGCGAGCAGAGAGTGAAGTGGATAGAGTTTTTAAAAGTTGAGGGAGTAGAGTTGTTAGGGCTCGGTGATAGGCTGGGGTTGAGAGTTATCCTTTCCCTTTATTCTTCCTTCCCAATACCACCTTAATCTACATCACTGTCATCCTCATCTTCATTATCAAGGGCATCAGCACCCTGGCAGAGCTATCACCAGCAAGAATACACTCTCCCTTGATTCTGCAGACCATTCTGTTTCATCACCCCGCCACCACTATCTTGATGAAGATAGATCTTTTCCAAAACCATCATCACTGATAATTTTGCTGTCACCTCCATCACACTACTACTGTTATCTTTACTTCCACCATCATTAAAATAGTCCTCACCGTCGACTTGAGAGATGTAGGTAAAATTCAGTTGAGGCTGATCCCAGGAGCCCTTACAATGTCTTTGAGATTCAATCTCTTCCCTCTTCCTCTTCTTCTTGCCACCTCTCAGTTGTTTTCCTCTTGCTTGACTTCATTTTTCAAGCAGGCTCTCATTTGTTCAATCATAGGAGCCAGTTTCACAGCTTAGCAGCTCCAAGAAAAAGAAATAATCTCTCTCTCAATAGTGCCAGATCCCCAGAATTAAATCTCATTGGCCTGTTTTTGGTCATGTGCCCGTCTCTGAATCAATCTCTATCATTCAAAGGGACCAGATGTGCTAATTGGCCAAGCCTCAGTCACCCGTCTACTCTTGGAGCCAGAGTGGGAGAAGTCAGACCCACCCTAAATATTTGAGTCCAACTATGATAGCAAAGATATAGAATCAACCTAAATGCCCATCAATGGTAGATTGGATAAAGAAAATGTGGTAGGCTATACCATGGAATACTATGCTGCCATAAAAAAGAACAAGATTATGTCCTTTGCAGGAACACGGATGGAGCTGGAGGCCATTATCCTTAGCAAATTAACACCGGAACAGAAAACCAAATATTGCATGTTTTCACTTACAAGTGGGAGCTAAATGATAAGAACACATGGACACATAGAGGGGAGCAACAAACACTGGGGCCTACCTGAAGGTGGAGAGTGGGAGGAGGGAGAGGATCAGAAAAAAAAATAACTAATAGATACTAGGCTTAATACTGGGTGATGAAATACTCTGTATAACAAACCCCTGTAACATGAGTTTATCTACATAACACACCTGCACATGTACCCTTGAATTTAAAATAAAAGTTTATTTTAAGCCATTTGAGCTGAAATACATTACGATTGCTAAATGTGGCAAATAAAAATATAGGAAATCCAGTTAAATTTTAATTTTAAATAAATGGTGAATTATTTTTCAGTGTATGTCCCATGCAATACTTGAGGTATACTAGAAAAACTTCGTGTTGTTTATCTGAAGTTAAAATTTAACCAGATGTATCCAGCAAACCTAGCTGGCTCCCACAAGAAAAAGCGAGGTGCCATTATGAGAACCAAGAGAATGGACAATGGCAGGCCAAAACAGGGGATGCCCCCTGCACCCACCATGGGCCTGTCCCTTCACTGGGTCCCACGTTCCTCATCTATACAAGGAGACCTTCTTCCAGGCTCCTAGGCAACCTTATAGGTTTCGAAATTGTATTTTCCCTGAGGGTTTTAATGTACTCCACCTAAATCATGCTCAGTCACTCTAAAAGGAACAGAAAGTAATTTTTTTTTATGATTCTGGGGAGGAGAGGAGCACGTCAAACATCACGTAATATCATTACTCAGCCAGTCAACTGAAGAAGCATGATAAAACCTGAAATCTCCCAAGGCCAGATCCAAACAAGCCACGGCATTTAAGATTAAGGCTACACCAGGCACCGTGCTATCTCACTACAGCATGGGGGAGCACAACGTTCATCAGGGATTGCAGAGGCTGGTTTTGAGTCTTAAATCAGCATCTGACAGCTGTCTGAGCCCAGAGAAGTTATCTATTATCTGGGCGTGGTGGTGAGCACCTGTAATCACAGCTACTCGGGAGACTGAGGCAGGAGAATCGCTTGAACCCAGGAGCCAGAAGTTGGTGTGAGCTGGGATTGTGCCACTGCACTCCAGCCTATGTGGTAGAGTGAGACTGTCTCAAAAAATAAGATAAGTGGAAAGCACTTTCAGAAGTGTGGAGGGAAATGCACGTTAAGAATGAAAAGAGGAAATATTAAAAGAAAGAGAAGGAAAAGGCTGGGAATAGTGGCTCATGCCTGTAATCCCAATGCTTTGGGAGTCTGAGATGGAGGGATCGCTTGAGGCCAAGAGTTCCAGAACAGACAGGGCAACATAGCAAGACTCCATCTCTACTAAAAAAAAAAAATTAAAAAATTAGCTAGGTGTGATGGCACACCTGTAGTCCCAGCTACTTGGGAGGCTGACGTGGGAGAATCGCTTTAGTCCAAGAGTTTGAGGCTGCAGTGAGCTATGATCATGCCACTGTACTCCAGCCTGGGCAACACAGTGAGACCCTGTCCCTAAAAAAATAAAAAATATTTATTTTTTAAAAAGAAGGAATAAAGGAAGAGGGAGGGAGGTATCAGGGTGTAGGGAAGAAGGGTTACCTCTTATTATGAAGCACTGAGGCATCACAGGGAAAAAAATGATATTTAAAAAACAATTAATGAGACCTGGATTTGGCTGTCAGCTCTTTTACTCACCAACATGTGAATATGAGTAAGTCCTTTTTTCCTGGAGCCTCAGTTTCCCTATTTCTACATGTATCTTAAATATAGAGTTGCAGAGGGATTCAATAAGACAATGTATAAAAAGCGTCTGAAACATAGTAGATGTTCAATAAGTCCATGAATTCCCTTCCCCTTTCCCAGTTCCCAGAAAGCTCTGTGGCCTAGACGGTTTGTCCTAGCCCAGACTGAGCCCAGATGGGTCATCAGGGAAACCTGGGGGCATCAATTAAGCATCTAAGGCAGAGCACATTGGCTCACACTTGTAATCTCAGCACTTTGGGAGGTCAAGGCGAGAGGATCACTTGAGCTGAGGAATTTGAGACCAGCCTGGGCAACATGATGAGACCCCTGTCTCTACTAAAAATACAAAAAAAAAAAAAAAAGTCAGAAGTGGTGATGTGCACCTGTGGTCCCAGCTACTCAGGAGGCTGAAGTGGCAGGATTACGTGAGCCTAGGGGGCGGAGGTTGCAGTGAACTGAGATTGCGCCACTTCACTCTACCCTGGGTGACAGAGCGAGACCCTATCTCAAAAAAAAAAAAAAAAGCATCCACCCCAGGTCATTGCCACACCCACAAAGTCCTCACAACTATTCAATCAGAGAGATTATGCATGCCCATTTTACAGATGCAAAAGCTGAGGTTCAGAGTCTGAGCAACTTGCCCAAGGTCAATAACTTTGCAGAGATGGAATAACTGTCTGACTCAACAGATGACCACCCATGAGTGCCCTGAGAACTGAACTGTTAATCTCCTTCTCGATCTCAGGGCATTACCTCCTCAGGAGACAGAGCTATCATCTCCTCTGTTGCCTTCACAGAAATATGGAAGCCATTCAGTGCTCTTCTCACCCGAAAGGCCCACAACCAAGACATCACCAACTCCTATCAGTTCTACTTCCAAAATGTATTATGCATCTGCAACTCTCCATCTTCACACTTATGTCATTAATACCAACCATGATTGTTTCTTGCCTGGATGCTATAAAACCTCCTACCTGGTTATAACCAACTGTCATTTCCAAACATGGTAGCAACAATATTGCCCATGCCACAGGCTCTTCTCCAGTGGACTTTGCCACTCTCCAGCAAAATGATGACTGTACTTCTCCACTGCCTCAAAGCTGAGGAGGCCTGTGCTTGTTTTCACCAATAGAATTTGGCAGAAGGGATGCTGGGCCAGTTCCAGACACCACCCTTAACTGGCCTGGGAGCCTCCATTTTCAATCTCTTGGAAGTTGGCAACCATATAAGGATGGAAATTCCTGGAGACCACCCTTCTGTGAGAAGCCCAGGCCATGAGGAAAGGCTGGAGGATGAGATGCCAGAGAGTGGGTGGGTGGGACCAGGAAACACCAAGGTGCCAGGCTTTTGAGTGGAGAAGCCATCTTGGAAGTAGACCCTCCAGCTCCAGCAGCTCCATCTGCTGCCACATGGATTAGAGATGAACCACCCAGCTGAGCCCTTCCTGAATTCCTAAACCAGAAAAGCATTAACAAAATAAAACAGTTGTTTTCAGCCAGAGAATTGGGGTGTAGCTTGTTACACAGCTATTGATAACTTGAACACTGGTGTCCCTGCGTCTGCTGTTGTCTGCCATTGCCACACTGCCACTATGACCATCCATTCTTACAAGAGCCTGCATGGTCATCATGAAACACAACTCAGAACATGTCATTCCTTTTCCCACAGCTCCTTTATGGCTTCGCATTTGCTAAGGCAATCCTACCTGAGGCCTGTCCCCACTCCCAGCCTGTGTTACTTCAGGTCTTCTAAGAAGCAGACACAGACAGGGTTAGATCTACAAGGCTTTCTTTCACTAGGAGAAATACCAGTGTGAAAGGGAATAGAGTGGAGGATAAATAGCCCCCAGTGATCTCACCCATTAGGGCAGGGGAAAGCTCTGAGCATGTTCTACTCTGGATCCCAGAGGTTCCCAGGGAGACTGAGTTGCAGCTCCCCAAAGTGGTGACCTGCTCAATAGCACATCTTATATTGATTTCCTTTTCTTCTCCCTCCTGCATCTCAATTCCCCACTCCTGTACCAGGGCATCCTAGGATAACCCTCCAAATAAAATTACTTGCCCTCGGCCAGGCATGGTAGCTCATGCCTGTAATTCCACCACTTTGGGAGGCCAAGGCAGGTGGATCACTTGAGGCCAGGAGTTCGAGAATGGCCTAGCCAACATGACAAAACCCCATCTCTACAAAAAATTAGCTGGGTGTGGTGGCACATGCCTGTAGTCTCAGCTACTCCGGAGGGAGGCTAAGGCAGAAGAATCGCTTGAATCTGGGAGGTGGAGATTGCAGTGAGCCAAGACCAAGCCACTGCACCATAGCCTGGGTGACACAGCGAGACTCCATCTCAAAAAAAAAAAAAAAAAAAAAAATTACTTGCCCTTAAATCCTTATCTCAGGGTCTACTTCCAAAAAACCCAACCTAAGACCTGTTATCTAGCACTCTTACACCTTCAAAGAGACCTTCCTAATAGTAATTAAGGAATACTTAACAATGAAGTTATTTGCTAGCTACGTGTCTGCTCCTTTGGACTATAAACCTCATTCAGGCAATATGCTAGATACTATAGGATGGCTCACTCAACACCATTCAGATTCACTTCCCTTTCACATTTCTAGATCCGTTCCAGCCAGTAGTGGCCATGTGACATAATTCAGACCAATCAGATAGACACAGAGTCTATTGGGAATGGCTCCCCCAAGCAAAACGACAAGGCCTTGGGAGAAGGCTTTTTGTCCATCTGGAATGTAAATGTGATGTCTAGAAGTGCAGCAGCTATTTTGCAAACACGAGGATAAACCATCCGTGATGGCAAAAACAGAAAGCGGCAGAGACTTGAGCACCCAATAGTATCATTGAACTTTGCAACTCTCCATTGACTGAACATATGAACACCCAATAGTATCATTGCCCCATCTTTGATTTGCCTACCTCCAGAATTCTTGTTACAAGATAAAAATGAACCCTTATCTATTAAGCCATTAACTTAGAGTTGTCTGCTATTTGCAACGGAATGCATTGTGAATTGATGCAGACAGGGATTGCATTGGTGCTATCCAATGGGCATCATTGGCTTCGGGGTTAGTATGTGACACACAGTATGTGTGTAATAGAAATTTGTTGATTTAATAAACGAATCCTGCAAAAAGTCTCTTCTTGCAAGCACAGAGCTTATTTTGTGGGGCTGTAAGGAACTGTAAGGAACCAGCTGAAGGCTTTAGAAATATAGCTGGGATGTGGTACAGTTATTAAGATTGCTGCACTAGAGAGAAATGCCTCCTCTCTGTATTAAGTTTCATGAAGTCATGATGTTCTGCTGGTGAACTGGACTCCCTGGACCTGACCTGTGCATAACCATTTAAGTGTAAAGCCTTTATCCGTCCATTAAGGACATCTAGAAGAGCTAGCTGCCACTCTCCATACCCTAGGTGATGTAATTAGCTTAAAATGAAAAGAGATCAGTAACCCACTGGTCTAATTTTGCCATTACCCACCTGGCATAACACCAAGAGATTAAAGCCTGGGTCTGAGCTCTCTTTCTTTGGGGAAACTTCTTCCCAAATTGGAATAAAAATCCTCAACCAGAGAGAAGCTTCTTTCAGGTATCACACAGCCGAAGGGAAAGAATTTAGACCAGGAACCAGGACAGCTGGGTTCCAGCACCAGCTCTGCCACTAGCCTGCTGAAAGGTCCTGATCTGGTTACTTCTCCTTTCTGGGCCTCAGTTTCCTCATCTGTAAGAGGGGCTAGTAAAAGCCCTTCTCTAGGAATCTATTCCAGTGATAGCTGATATGTGCTGGATTGTGACAATGGGGCAGGCACATCAGGCACATTCCTGTTTGAAGCTTCACATCAATTTTGGGAGAAAAGTATGCCTAATGCAACCATGTTACAGATAGAAACACCAAGGCTCAGAGAGGTTGAGTAAGTGAATCAATATCACACAGCTATTAAGTACAGGATCCAGGATTCAAACACAAGCTTGTCTAACTTCAAAGCCATGCTTTGAATGTGGGATTGGTTTCATGCATTTCGGTAAAAGAGCATAAAGCAAGACTAACATGTAAGAGATACTCAGTCCATATTTATTTATTTATTTAGAGACAGAGTCTCGCTCTGTCGCCCAAGCTGGAGTGCAATGATGTGATCTCGGCTCACTGCAAACTCTGCCTCCCCGGTTCAAGTGATTCTCCTGCCTCAGCCTCCCAAGTAGCTGAGATTACAGGCACCCAACACCACATCCAGCTAATTTTTGTATTTTTGGTAGAGACAGGGTTTCACCATGTTGGCCAGGTTGGTCTCCAATTCCTGGCCTCAAGGGGTCCACCCGCCTCGACCTCCCAAAGTGCTGGGATTACAGGCATGAGCCACGGGGCCTGGCCTCAGTCAATATTAACTCATATGGCCTGACAATAGCTTAATGTGAGAGATATAGTGGAAAGAATTGAAGTATCAAAGAAACCTCACTTCAAATGCCACCTCCACCCCTTATTTGCCAAGGGACACTGATCAACAGTTTTAGTTCTCTGAACTTCATTTTCCTCTTCAGAAGAATGAAAGTAACGATACCAAACTCACAGAGTTATCGTCGAAATTAAATTAGACAATATATGACAGGCTGGGCATAGTGGCTCACACCTATAATCCTAGGATCTTGGAAGGCCATGGCATGGAGGATGGCTAGAGCCCAGGAGTTTGAGACCAGCCAGGGCAACATAGTAAGACCCCCTCTCTACAAGTAAAAAATTTAAAAATTAGCTGGACGTGGTGGTGAGCACCTGTGGTCCCAGCTACTTAAGAGGCTGAGGTGGGAGGATCACTTGAGCCTAGGAGGTCAAGGCTACAGTGAAAGAAGAGAAGACATAAAGACAATCCTGACTGTGAGATTATAAGGACATGACTTGGAATCACTCATGCCAAGTCCTGAGCAGAGTCTCAGGCAGCCCATAAAAACAGCTAGTAAACATTAGCTCCAGCTATTAGCTCAAGTCCCTCTCCTACGAAACGCCATACGGCAGCTCAGAGTTTGACCCAGCAAGGTCACACAGCTAATAAGGCATGGACTTGGCATTTAAACACAGGCCTAGCTCCAAATTCAAGGCTGTTGTTGCTACCCGGGTATTAATCTGAACGATTAGGTCTGACACCTTCTTCTGTGTCCAGTGCCACAGACAGCAGACAGCCTACCCATCTCCTCCACGCTGAAAGCATTTGCAGTTTGCCAGGAGTCAGCATCTCTACAGATTGTTAAAGCCAGAATTGCCACATCAACGCCCAGCGTCAGCCTCCAGCCAGCTCCGCCCACCCCTGCACGCCCTCCGTGGCCAGGGCATACAAAGGCTATGCTAGAAATTCACTGACAGAGATTCTGAACATCACAGGGGATGGTGGGTGTGGGGACAGGAGTCAGCCAGGTGTCCTCAATCATGTTGCCTTGAAACTGCTTGCTGCTGTGGCCACTGGCACCCCACTCCCCCAGCCCAGGCCTGCAATGACAGCCTTTGAGAGACAGATTTTGTCCTTCTCCCTACTGTTGCTTGGTGGGGATCCAGGAAGGGGCCAAGCACTAGAACCACAGAGCTGGGAGAACCCTTAGCATCTGCCCATCATATTACAGAGAAGAAAAGTGAGACCCAGAAAAGAAATAGAACAGTTACTCAAGCCCTCACCAAAGACAAGAAGAAAGGTTTCTTGGTTCAGCCCAGCCACGGCCTTCCTCCAGAGCCCATTATGCTGACTGTAGACCCCACACCTCCTCTGATAGAAACAATATCTGCCTCCCAGGATTGTTGGGTTCATGAAAGATGATGGCTGCAACCAGTGTCTGACACATAGCAGGCATTCACGTCTAGTAAGTGGTGCTGTTGTGATGACTATCACTGTTGTCAACCCCAATATTGTCATTGCACCATCATCATCGTCACCTTCATTCCTGAGCTCCTCTCATCCTGTTCCCTCTTGTTCAGGCCTACGTAAGTCAGACATAAACGTCTAAAAATCTGTCCATGTATTTAAAGCACTTCTTTATTGAGCAACTACTATACGCCAGGCACTAAGGATACAACAGGAATAGGACAAGGTCTTCTGCGTCCTCCAGGGAGCTCACAGTGTCCTGCAGAGAACAGAAAAGGAAAGAAATACATGTAACAATGTGTCACACCTGTAGTCCTAAAAATAAGTCAAAATAATACAATTTAATGATAACCACCATTTGCTGAGTGCTGAAATAAAAAAGGGCTTCCCATGCCAGGGTGTTCACATAGCCCCCACTCCTGCCTTCATCCCAGTGACTTTCCCCCATAACCTGTGAGATTTCGTCTTTACAGCAACCCTATATTAGTTTCTCATGGCTGCTGTGTCAGATTATCACACATTTTGTGGCTTAAAACAACACAAATGTATTCTTAGAATTCTAGAGCTTGGGAGTCTGAAATCAGTCTCCCTGGGCTAAAGTGAAGGTGTGGGGAGGGCTCTGCTTCATCTGGAGGCTCCAGGGGAGAAATCATTTCCTTGCCATTTCTGGCTTTTAGAGGCCACCTGCATTCCTTGGCTTGCGGCTCCTCCCTCATCTGCAAAGCTGACCTCTGCTTCCACCCTTCCATCTTCTCTTTCTGACCCTCTTACCTGCCTCTTAGAAGGTACCTTGTGATCACACCAAGCCCACCTAGTTAGTCCAGAATAATTTCCCCACCTCAAGATCCTTAACTCAATCCCACCTTAAAGTCACATTGCCATGTAAGGTAACAGAGTCACAGGTTTGGGGGATTAAAATGTGGACATCTTTGGTGGGCCATGACTGTGCCTTCCACAAACCCTAATAAGGTAGGGACTCTCGATCACTCCTGCACTAGAGATGAGGAAACCGAGGCCTAGAGAGATAATGTGGCATGCAAAGTCACAAAAGCAGCAGGGATTGGAAACCAGGTTTATCTGAGCTGTGAGAGTTGGGTCTGGTTTCCACTGTGCTACAAAAGGCAATGCAGAAGTCAAGAGCAGGCCAGAGAAGAAGGCTTCCAGGAAGACAGGGACCCGAGGCAAGTTCTGTAAGATAAACAGGGCATTCCAGGGTGGCAGTGCCACACTCTGGCTCTCCAGAGTGACATCTATGCATGCGACGTCCCCAAAACACACCAGGCCAGGTTCCCCTGTAATTCCATAATGTCAAGGCAAAAATAGTAGCTTCAGTAAGGGCTTCAACAGTTCAGCTGGTGATCTCCATTCCGGAATTCATTTTAATGTTTGGGACCTTTCTTGAAGATCAGTCTCCTGTCTGAAAACTGGGCATTATTAATGCCTGTTAATCCAAGCACATTAGCCATCCTCCTCTACCTGCTTTCTTTCTTCTCCCTGACCCTGGAGAGGGTTTTTTGTTGTTGTTTTGTTGTTGTTGATGTTTGAGACAAGGTCTTACTCTGTTACCCAGGCTGGAGTGCAGTGGTGCAATCTTGGCTCACTGCAACTTCTGCCCCCGGGGCTCAAGCAACCCTCCCATTTCAGGCCCCCTGAATAGCTGGGACTACAGGCACACCACCACACCCGGCTAATTTTTATACTTTTGTAGAGACAGGGTCTCACTATGTTGCCCAGGCTGGTCTTGAACTCCTGGGCTCAAGCGGTACTTCCACCTTGACCTCCCAAACTGCTAGGATTACAGGCGTGAGCTCTCTCGCCTGGCCTTGTTTTTGTTTTTGTTGTTTTGTTGTTGTTGTCGTTGGTTGGTTGGTTGTTTTTGAGATGGAGTCCTTCTCTGTTGCCCAGGGTGGAGTGCAGTGGTGTGATCTCAGCTCATTGCAAACTCTGCCTTCTGGGTTCAAGCAACTATCCTGCCTCAGCCTCCTGAGTAGCTGGGATTACAGGCATCCACCACCATGCCCCGCTAATTTTTGTTTTTTAGTAGAGACAGGGTATCGCCATGTTTGCCAGCCTGGTCTCGAACACCTGACCTCAGGTGATCTGCCCACTTCGGCCTCCCACAGTGCTGGGATTACAGGTGTGAGCCACAGCTCCCATCACTTGTTTGTTTTTTAATAATTTTTTTTATTTGTATAAATGTAAGAGATCCAAGTGCAACTTTGTTACAGGCGTGTATTGCCTAGTGGTGAAGTTTTGGCTTTTAGTACATTCATCACCCGGGTAATGTACATTGGATCCATTAAGCAATTTGTCATCACCCACTCCCCTTCCGCCTCCAATCTTCCAAGTCTCCAATGTCTGTCATTTCACACTCTATGTCCATGTGTACATATTAGTTAGCTCCCACTTACAAGTGAGAACAGGCACTGTTTGGCGTTCTGTTTCTGAATTTTGTTTCACTTAAAATAATGGCCTTCCGTAATCCCAGCTACTCGGGAGGATCACTTGAGCCTACCACCAGCCTGGGAAACATAGTGTGACCCCATCTCAAAAATAAATAAATACATAAACGGTTTTTTTAGAAAAACTTTAGTTTCAGAGAAAAACTGAGCAAAAGATACCCAGACTTCCTGTGTACCTTCTTCCCATCCCTGTATAGCCTCTCCCATTATCAGCATCCCCCACCATCTGTTGCAATTGATGAACTCACACTGATATATTATGATCTCCCAGAGCCTGGGGTTTTGTTCAAAAACATTTTCCAGTATTAAGGAGCATCTTGTTTCTACAGCAGGAGAGGGAAATAAACTGTCTAGACACAGGCCAGACTAGCCTGGCCTTTTCCAACCTTAGCCATTACTTAAAGTCTGAATAGAATCCCCCAGAGAACTTGTAAGCGGAGACTCCTGGGGTCGTCCAGGCTGGGAAGGAGCAAACATACTTATTATAAAAATAGTATGTAACTTTTTTAAACTTTGCGGAAAATAAGAAAATAAAAGTCACCTATGATCTCACAACCAGAAAAGACTCTATTAACATGTCAGGTGCATTTCTTTTACAATGCTTTTTCTATGAGTAAAATAATGACAATAGCATCTACTGAGCTTATTCTGAATGCAGGGCCCTGTTTTAAGTGTTTATGTGCTTGGTCCCAATCCTCACTGCCATCCTTCCAGGCAGGGACTATTATTATCTCAGTTAACAGGTGAAAATATAGAGGCAAAGAGAGATGAAACTATAAAAGGATGGATAGATGTAAATATGTATGAATGGAAATGGAAGCCAGGATGGTAGATAAGAGTATGGTCTTTGGAAGAAGACCACTTCCTATTTTTCTCTAATTTTACATATTCCTTATATGGTAATATTGACACAAGTTGTAAAATGCATGTGTTTTAAAATTCAAAAGGTACAGAATGTCATACTGTGAAAAGTCCCCTTCCCTCTCCTGAGCCCAGCTAATCAGAGGCAACCACATTTAGCAATTTCTTTGTATCTTTCCAGAGTTGTTTTATGCAGACAAATATAGCTTTGGAGAGGTGTGTGTGTGTGTGTGTGTGTGTGTGTGTGTGTATCTGTCTGTGCATGCATTTCTCTCCACACAGGTGACAGTATAGTCTATGCTTTGCTTTGTTATAACAAAACATCTCACAGGTCATTACGTGTCAGTCAAGAGTGGTTTCTAATTTTATGAGTTGCATGGTGTTGAGAGGATATTTAATGAGTTCCACCTCCATTTGGGTCATTGTGAGAAGTAAATAAAATAATGCAGGTAAAACACCTACCCGGAGCCTGTTAGATAGTAAGTACTCACATGTAAGATATGATTATTACAATTTTCACCATCCTACATGTAGAGTTTTCCATTTTGTGCTTTATGACTAAAATTATGTCATTCCATTGGATATCACTTGAAAAAGTAAAAATAAACCTCTGTTCTTACCTTGTACCATATAGAAAAATTAACCGTAAATGGATGCCAGATCTAAATGTAAAAGCAAAAGCTATAGAGCTAAAAGAAAAATAGGAGAAAATCTGTGTGACCTTGAGTTAGCAAGGATTTCTTAGCTAGGACACAAAGAGCACAATTCATTAAAAAAAAAAAAGTGGTAACCCCCAAGTGATCGCTCATCCTGGTATTCATCCCCTCTTTGTGAATGTGTGGTTGAGTTCTGTAACTTGATTCTATGAGTAGAATGCAGCAAAGTTGATGGGATTTCATTTCTGTGATTATGTTACATGGGCTTGTAATTGTCATCTTGCTAGTGGTCTCTGTCTATTTGCCTTCTTAGCTTGTTCACTTCATGTTGGACAGGCCAACATGGCTAGAAACTGAGTCTGGCCAGCAAGGAACTGAGACCCTCTGTAAGCAGCTCTGGAGGAACTTAATTCAGCAACAACATGAGTGACTTGGAATTCAAAAGGTACAGAAAATTCCAAAGGTACAGAAAGCTCCTTCCCCAGTTGAGCTTTCAAATAAGACACTGGTCCCAGCTGACAACTTGATTGCAGCCTCATAAAAGATGGAAAAGCAGAGGACCCAGACAAGATGCTCCTGACCCACAGAAACAGTGAGATAATTAATGTGCATTGTTTCAAGTGACAAAGTTTATGGTGATTTGACCCACAGCAACAGGTAACTAACACAACTGGTATGATTCTGGAGAGTGGTTTGGTCCAGTGAGTCAAGGACCTAAACAAACAAATACCCTTTGATTCTGCAATTCCACTTTGGGAATTTATCCTAAGGGAAAAAAAAAGAGGCAATTGCACCCAAAAGTACATACAAAGATATCAATCACAAAATTCCCCCATCAAAGAAAATGCTGTAACATTTATTGTGGGCCAACTATGTGCCAGGAACTCTGTATTCTTGGCTTCACTTGAACCTCACAACAGTCCTATTCTTATAAGATCACCCCCATTTTACATACCAGAAAATGAAGTCTCCAAGAGGTAAAGAACTCACCCATGACTAATCAGACATGCTTATTAAATTCTAAGTACAATCTCTGGCACAAGGCAAATGCTCAATAAATCATACAGTGTTAGGAAGAATTCAGCTTCAAGTTGTAGAAACCTAACCCATAATGTCTTAAGCCAAAAAAGCTCATGGAACTGGATAGTTTAGCAGTGCAGAAGTGCAGCTGGCTCCAGGCATGGCTGTATCCAGGAGCTGGAAGATCATCAGGGCTCTATCTTTACCAATCTATTAGCTCTGCTTGCTTCTGTTTCTCAGGCTCTTACCACATGACAGGCAAAGGCCCAGACTTATTTCCTCCTGGCCAAGAAGTCTACAGAACAAAAGCATCTCTCTCCCCAAATCTGGAGACTAATCCCATAGAAGAATCTGATTGGCCATGGGACTTGAATCTGATTGGCCATGGATTGCATGAGCCCAGGAGGTTGAGGCTGCAGTGAGCCATGATCGCACCACTGCACTCCAGCCTGGGTGACAGAGCGAGACCCTGTCTCAAAAAAAGAAAACAAAGAATAATAAAAGCAGGCAGTGGGGCTGGATTTGGCCTATGGGCTGTGGTTTGATAACTCTTGTTCTACATGAACACTTCAGGGACTGTTGTTTAAGGAGAGCAGAAGACAGGAAGACGTGACCAGCCGTGGTGGCTCACGCCTGTAATCCCAGCACTTTGGGAGGCCAAGGCGGGAGGATTACTTGAGTCCAGGAGTCCTAGATCAGCCTGGCCAACACAGCAAGATCCCATCTCTACAAAAAATAAAAGAAATTAGCCGGGCACGGTGATGCATGCCCATGATCCCAGCTACCCGGGAGGCTGAGGTGGGAGGATCGCTTGAGCCCAGGAGGTTGAGGCTGCAGTGAGCTATGGTGGCGCCACTGCACTCCGGCCTGGGGGACAGAGCAAGACCCCATCTCTAAATAAAATAAAATAAAGGAAAATGCGTTAATTGAACTATTATCTACTGGTACCAAGCTGAGCTGTTTCATTTAATCCTTAAAACAACTCTGTCAGCTGGGCACTCTTACCCTCATTTCACAGATGAAGGAAACTGAGGCTCCCATTGCTAATAACTTGTCCGAAGTCATGTAGCTCATTAGGGAAAGGGGCAGAACTTGAAACCAAGACTCCAGAGCCCAGGTTTTGTGCCCACATCACGCTGCCTCCCCTGGATATCCCGTTACAGGTCCTTCAGCCCCCGAGTGCCCCCAGGCATCCTGGCCTCCCACATCCAACTCCCCCAGGCTCCCTCCCTCCCAGCCCACGCCAGCTCTCTCGCCTTCTTCTCCACAGAGCTCAGCAGCGTTGCTCTGTCTGCACACATTTTCCCAGATGAGAAAGAAAAAGTCGAAAATTTTGTTTTCGTACAAGCTGCCCTTTTTGCCTGTGGCTAAAATTCCCCTCAAAGAACAGGAATAACAACCAAAGTCATACAAAAGGGAAGCTGGCAACTTGGCCCTCCTTCAGGAATAGTCCTTAAGCTTGCACCATGGCCAGCCGCTGCCTGGGGGCTGGAGAGATGAGGAGGAAGAAAACCAAGCCTCCTCGGAGAGCTGATAGAAACAAGCACAGGTCCCCCATAGAACAGAGTCCGCTTAATTCAGCCTGCTCAGGCAATGGACAAAACTGTCCAAAGGATGGAGAGCTTGAAGGATGTGTAGAAATTCATCAGTGGGCAAGTCAGGAGGCAGAGCATTTCAGGTGCAAAGATCCAGAGGGAGGGCATGGTCTCTGGAAAGCAACCAACAGCCCAGTGTGGCAGTCACACCAGGAGTGACCAGGGGCTCTGTGGGGGGCATCTGAGCATTGGAGCTGCCCAGCACCTTTTCTTCCTTCTTCAGGTAATGGTACCCCAATTTTCCTTAAGGGAACCATCCCTTCCCACTGCACAGTCTTAGCGGGACTGCCAATCAAGTTGACCCACTCACCTACAGCCAACGTAGACCGGATGCTTTCTCTCTGGAATTTGCATCATAAACAGAAAATCTAATGATGGAAAGTATTTGGGGCATAAGGTTTAATCATTTCTGAGACAATGCCTTGAAGAAGGTCTCTGCTTTTGTCCTAAATTTCCTGAGGCTTTCTGGACCCTTTCTTTTTCAAGGCTTCGGTTTTCCAGCTTTTCTTTCCATTTGATGTCAGATACGCATCATTACATTTTTTAGCACATATTAGCCATCGCTGGTTTCAGGGGCTTCCAATCAGGCCATGTAAACAGACACAGAAATACATCTAGCCAGGTGTGAGGACTCAGTCACATGGCCATGGGGAGAGACAGAATGGATTAGACACTATAAGGAGTGAGTTTGGGATCAGAAATGCCAGGTAGGTGGCGACTGAAGACATACACATGAGCAACTAGGTGGCCCGAACTGTGACAATGACCTTTGGGATACAGAGAAGGGCTCATGGCCCAACCCAAAGAGTAGGTGCATGTATCACTCATTCAATCACAAGCATTTCTTAAGCACCTAAAGTGTGGCCAATATTTGCCCATCTTTGTGGCCACCTGCCTGTTTCTTTGTCATCTGCCACTTGTCTCCTGGATCAGCTACCTATTGCTGCATAATACGTTACCCCAAAACTTACTGGCATAAAATCATAATGATAAGGAAGGTCCATTGTCTTCTGTGGGTCAAGAATTCAAGACAGTCTTGGGTGGTCTCATGAGGTTGCAGTCAAGATGTCAGCCAGAGCTGCCATCACTTGAAGGCTTGACTGAGGCTGGAGGATTTGCTGCCAAGGTGGCTCCTTCATAGGGCTGGCAAGTTTCTGATTGCTGCCAAGAGGTGGTGAGGAGAACACCACCTCCAGGAAATGGCCTGGAGCATGACCAGCCATGTGGAGAGAGAGACCAGGAGCCATCGATATAACAGACACATGAGTGAAGAATCCAGCCCGGAAGTGGATCCTGCAGCCCCAGCTATTCTGGCCTATACCGTGTGCATCAGAGAGAAACAGCCCAGCCAAACCCTTCCTAAATTCCTGCCCCACAGATCTAGAAGCAAAATAAAACAGTTGCATTAAGACAGTACATTTTAGAGTAGTTTTTTTGTTTGTTTGTTTGTTTGCTTGTTTGTTTGTTTTTTTTTGCGACAGAGTCTCGCTCTTTTGCATAGACTGGAGTGCAGTGGTGCAATCTTGGCTCACTGCAACCTCTGCCTCCCGGGTTCAAGCGATTCTCGTGCCTCAGCCTCCCAAGTAGCTGAGATTACAGGTGACCGCCACCACACCTGGCTAATTTTTATATTTTTAGTAGAGTCAGGGTTTCACCATATTGGCCAGGTTGGTTTTGAACTCCTAACCTCAAATGATCTGCCTGCCTAGGCCTCCCAAAGTGCTGGGATTATAGGCATGAGCCACTGCACCCAGCCTAGAGTAGTTTTTTACTCAACGTTAGATAATGGAAACATACATTTGATTCCCTATTACCATGTTTTGCATCTACCTACAGGGTCTATAAGCTTGACTTCTTCTAATAGACTTTCTTGAGGGGACGGGAGGTACTGGATTACTCTGTCTACACTAGCAGAAAGCTGGTAGTGCCTGGGGGTTCACATCCTCCCATGGTGCCCCTTAGCCAATCACCGACTAGAGTAGGAGTATGAAAGCCCAGTTTCCTTGCTCTCGTGGGTTAAATGGTGCCCTCCAAAAAAATAGGTCCACACATGGCCGGGCATGGTGGCTTATGCCTGTAATCCCAGCACTTTGGGAGGCCGAGGTGGGCTGATCATGAGGGGAGTTCAACACCTGTCTGGCCAACATGGTAAAACCCCATCTCTACAAAAAATACAAAAAATTAGCTGGGTGTGGTGGCGTGCGCCTGTAATCCCAGCTACTTGAGAGGCTGAGGCAGGAGAATTGCATGAACCCGGAAGGCAGAGGTTGCAGTGAGCTGAGATAACACCATTGGACTCCAGCCTAGGCAGCAGTGTAAGACTCCATTTCACAAAAATAAATAAATAAATAAATAAATAAATAAATAAATAAAAATAGGTCCACACAGAAACTGTGCATCTGGCCTTAGTTGGAAAAACGGTCTTTGTAGATGTAATTAAGTTAAGGATATTGAGATGAGATAGCCCTAGATTATCTAGGTCAATGAGCCAATGGCAACTGTCCTTATAAGAACAGAAAAAGACATCAACACAAAAGATAACAGAAGGCCATATGATGATGGAGGTACACGTGGAACAGATGTGTCTACAAGCCAGGGGACTCCCAGGATTGCAGGGCCACCAGGAGCTGGAAGAAAGGCATGGAACAGATCCTCCTCTAGAGCTTGTAGAGGAAGCCGACCCTGCCAACACCTTCATTTCAGACTTCTGGTCTCTAGAACCGTGAGAGAATAAATTCCTGTTGATTTTTTCTTTCTTTTTTTTTCTTTCCTTTTTTTTTTTTTTTTTTTTTGAGATGGAGTCTTACTTTGTCACCCAGGCTGGAGTGCAATGGTGCAATCTCAGCTCACTGCAACCTCCATCTCCTGGGTTCAAGCGATTCCCCTGCCTCAGCCTCCCAAGTAGCTGGCATTACAAGCATGTGCCACCACACCTGGCTAATTTTTGTATTTTTAGTAGAGACGGGGTTTCACCATGTTGGCAAACCTGGTCTTGAACTCCTGACCTCAGGTGATCCACCCGCCTCAGCCTCTCAAATTGCTGGGATTAGAGGTGTAAGCCACCGCATCCAGCCAATTCCTGTTGTTCTAAGCCACGCAGTTGTGGTAATTTCTTAAGACAGGTCTAGGAAACCACCACACTTGCTTCAAGGCAGGACAAATGCTAAAATGTAATTTATGCTCCAGAAACCCACAGAATCAGACTGAGGATGGAATCTCACTTGAACTTGCCCTTCCCCTTCCCTAGTCTGCTTTCCTCACTCCACTTCCAGTTTCTCCTGGGAGCCCTTCCTCAATAAATCATTTGCATATCAATTCCCATTTTCAGTCAGTTCTGGGGCAATCTGACTTAAGACAGGTAATAAGGGGCAGGGCTAAGATTTGCACCGAGACTATCTAACCTCAGAAAGTTAGAAGACTCATGTCATTTATTTCAGAATCAGACCTACCTGGGCCAGCCCCCTAGGAGCTGAATGACCGTTAGGTAAGTGGCTTAGCATCTCTGAGCCTCAGTTTCCTGATCTACAAAATGGGGCCAGTCTTGCTATCTCCCCCTCAGGGCAGCCAGGATAATTAGAGATGGTGCATGTAAGGATGCAGCGGGAGTCCAGGCCTTGGACACTGTGTTCTGCATCACTGGGTGGGTATGGGGCAGATACATCTAGCCGGGTGTGAGCACTCAGGTGATGCAATCTCATCCCCAGGCAGTGCTCTGGAAGATGTGGACCCTCCATGAGCCCTCAATGTCCTGTATTGATTAGATTTGGTTTGCGTAGTGTTCCCAAGATGAAAGGAACTAATGGTGAGCCATCTTATCAAAGCATATCTGTTAGATCTGAAGGCTTGTGGTGTATCATCAGCTGAAAAAGAGAAAAATGCGAGGGGGGAGGGAAAAATCACAAAGGCCAGGAACACAATGAAAAGGGCAGTCTGTGTTCTAAATCTCTAACAGCAGCCCCACTCTTGTTCTCAGGGGATGGTGCTGATAGGGAAGGCATTTCAGATAGGGAGGCATTGACTAAGCCTGTCCCATTTCACTCATGAGGAAACTGACCCTCAGAGAGGTTGCCCAAGGTCTCACAGATGGGGTTGAATCCAGGTCTGCTCAAATGCAGAGGCCAGATTCTCAACCCCAGCCTCCCTTAAACTGGCTAAGGTCTCTCCTGACCTGATTCCATTCTTCCCTTCACCCTCCAGCCTAGTCCCTATCCAGCAAGTCCAGCATTTCAAACCACAACATGTTCTTGGAGGTTTTTACTCAATGCAGCTATGACACCCAGAGGAGTCTCAGAAACAAACAAGAAAGCCTGTCTATGAGCAGAACCACAGTCACCCACCCCTTCATGATCATGGATTCACAGTCATCTATCATGGCCCCATGTCACTAAATGTCAAGACCATGCCTGCACACCTGCACTGGAGATTTCAAGATGCCACTAAGAAATAGGAACTAACACTCAGCACAAAATGTTCTCTGGAGCTAGTTTGGACATTCTCAGTAAAGAAGAGACCTAGTGGGATAATCTGAGATGCCTCAGTGTTTTATAATTATATGAGTCATTTCCACCCAGATAGGACTGGATAGAGTTTAGAATGTTACTTGCACTGTGTGCTACTATACCCCTGAAAGAGGGGTGGAACTTGCTGGAGCAAATTAACTGTGGCATTTTTGCTCCATGTGGGGTCAACCCAGCCTAATACTGTGGCAGGAACAGAGATGAAATAGCTAAAATGGAATCAACCCAATGTCCATCTCAGTGGTTTGAATAAATCATCGTATTACATTCATTCCTTGAAATATACTGCTATGAAATGAACAAACCATATGGGACCAAGCATAGATTCATCATATATATATGTGTGTGTGTATATATATACACTTCATCATATATATATGTGTATATATATACATCATCATATATGTATATATATGTGTATATATATACACATCATCATATATGTGTATATATATGTGTGTGTGTATATATACATCATCATATATATATACATCATCATATATATATATATTTTTTTTTTTTGAGATGGAATCTCTCTCTGTCACCTAGGCTGGAGTGCAGTGGCATGATCTCGGCTCACTGCAACCTCCGCCTTCCAGGTTCAAGCGATTCTCCTGCCTCAGCCTCCCGATAGCTGGGATTACAGGCGTGCACCATCACACCCAGCTCATTTTTGTATTTTTAGTATAGACAGGGTTTCACCATGTTGGCCAGGATGGTCTCGATCTCCTGACCTCATGGTCTGCTCGCCTCGGCCTCCCAAAGTGCTGGGATTATAGGTATGAGCCACCACGTCCACCCAATTCATCTTATAATATTGAGTAAACAAGAAATCAAACACAAAAGAATACAACACAGTGTGATTCTATTTAAGGTTCAAAGCAAGCAAAGCTAAACTATATTGTGAGGGTGCATGCTTAGGCAGTAAAACTATAAAAACAAGCAAACTACTGAGAACCACGGAAGAAAGGATGGTGAGTATTTCTAAGGGAGTGAAGGGGAAATAAACAGAAGTTTCTGGGGTTCTGGCAATATCTATAACTTGAACTTGTTGGTAATTACATGGGTGTTTCCTTTATAACTATTTGTTATACTTTATATACTGTATATGTTGCATAGATGTGTTATATGAATGCTATATATCACAACAAAAATGTTTTAAGACTGTCATTTGGGGCCAGGCATGGAGGCTCACACCTGTAATCCCAGCACTTTGGGAGGCCAATGTGGGAGGGTCACTTGAACCCAGGAGCTTGAGACCAGCCTGGACAACATAGCGAGATCTTGACTGTACTGAAAATAAAATTTAAAAAATTAGCCAGGCATGATGGCATGCACCTGTAGTCCCACCTATTTGGGAGAAAGAGGTGAGAGGATTGCTTGAGTCCTGGAGTTTGAGGCTGCAGTGAGCTGTGATTGCACCACTGCACTCCAGCCTGAGTGACAGCACAAGACCCTGTTTCAAAAAAAAAAAAAAAATTAAAGAATGTCGTTAGGGAATTACAAATTATAGACAACAATGGGATATCACTATACACCTATTAGCATGGCCAAAATCCAGAATACTGACAACCCCAAATGCTAGCAAGCATGTGAAGAAACAGGAATTCTCATCCATTGCTGGTGGGAATGTAAAATGGTACAGCCACTTTGGGAGATGGTTTGGGAGTTTCTTACAAAGCTAAACATACTCTTATTATATGATTCAGCAATTATACTCCTTGATATTTACCCAAATGAAGTGAAAATTTACGTACACATAAAAACCTGCACACAGATGTTTATAGCAGCTTTACTCATGATTGCCAGAATTTGGGAGCAACCAAAATATTTTTCAGCAGGTGAATGGATAAAAACTGAAGTACATCCAACAGTGGAGAATTATTCAGTGCTAAAAAGAAATGAGCTATCAAGCCATGAAAAGATACGGACAAACTTTAAATTCATATTACCAAGTGAAAGAAGCCAGCCTGAAGAGGGTACGTATAGGATGATTCCAACTCTAGGACATCCTGGTATGGAGACAGTGAAAAGATCAGTGGTAGCCAGGAGATGGGGAGGAAGAAGGGATGAACAGGCAGAGCAGAGGATTTGTAAGGCAGTGAAACTCTTCTTTATGATACTTTAATGGTGGGTACATGTCATTACACATTGGTCCAAACCTACAGAAGGTACAATACCAAGAGTGAGCCCTAATGTAAACTATGGACTTGGATGATAAATGATTGATATGTTTTGGCTGTGTCCACAACCAACTCTTACCTCGAATTGTAATAATCCCCACGTGTCAAGGGCAGGGCCAGGTGGAGATAATTGAATCACGGGGGCAGTTTCTCCCATACTGTTCTCGCGATAGTGAATAAGTCTCATGAGGTCTGATGGTTTTATAAACGGGAGTTTCCCTGCACAATTTCTCTTTCCTGCTGCCATGTGAGATGTGACTTTGCTCCTCATTTGCCTTCTACCATGATCGTGAGGCCTCCCCAGCCATGTGGAACTGAGTCAACTAAACCTCTTTCCTTCATAAACTACCCAGTCTCAGGTATGTCTTTATTCACAGTGTGAGAACAGACTACTACAATGATGATGTGTCAATGTAAGTTCACCGATTGTAACCCATGCACCACTCTAGGGGGTAGGGAAGGAGGATGTTGCTAATGAGGGAGCTTAAGGGCAGGGGCAGGGAGAATATGATCCACGCACAGGGAATCTCCGTATTTTCCACACAGTTTTGGTGTGAACCTAAAACTGCTCTAAAAATAAAGTTTATTATTATTTTTAAGTTTTAAGAAATAAAGAGAAGGCAAAGGAAGAAAAGAAAAGGAAAAGGGATCTTGGGCACATAACTTACTCTCAGCACCTCGTCTATAAAATAGGAACAAGAATATCTTACTCACAGAGTTGTGAGGACAAAAAGTGAGAAAATATGCTAGCTGTCCAGTGTATCTTCCATTCATCTGGAAGTTACTGACCAGGACATGAGTTCATATTCCAGAGCCACTGCCCCCTTACTAGCTAGAAAAAAACCAACTGGCCAGGAGAAGTAGGTCAGACCTGTAACCCCAGCACTTTGGGAGGCCACGGCAGGAGGATCACTTGACCCCAGGAATTTGAGATCAAGCTTGGCCTTAGTGAGACGTCATTTCAGTGGCACATGCCTTTAATCCAGCTACTCGGGAAGCTGAGGTGGGAGGATCACTTGAGCCCAGGAGATCCAGGCTGCAGTGCGCTGTGATCTTGCCATGCACTCCAGCCTGGGTGATGGGATCTAACCAAAACAAACAAACAAACAAACAAAAAACACGCCCACTAACTTGAAGGAAACAGATGTAGTTTATTTATTTATTTTTTAGACAGGGTCTTACTCTGTCACCCAGGCTGGAGTGCAGTGGCATAATTGCAGCTCGCTGTGGCATTTATCTCCCAGGCTCAAGTGATCCTCCCATTTCACCCTCCCCAGTAGCTGGGACTACAGGTACATGCCACCACACCCAGCTAATTTTTTAATTTTTGTAGAGAAAGGATCTCACTATATTGCCCAGGCTGGTCTCAAACTCCTGGCCTCAAGAGATCCTCCCACCTTGGCCTTCCAAAGTGCTGGGATTGCAGGAGTGAGCCACTGCACCTGGCCAAGATGTAGTTTAAATAAAATAGGATAAATAAATAAATAAAATAGAAACAGAAATCAAATGAAAGACCCAAAGGCCGTCAGACAGTGACAAGTTCAAAAGTGGCTAATCCTTCCCTGGGGACAAAGGTACATTAGCCTCCCCACCCCTCATCTCACACTCTGGTTGCTCTGTGTAGTTGAGGCTGAGGATTGCGGTCTGCTGGGATTCTACAATCAGTGCTAGGATTCAGGGAGGAGAGGCTGGTCAGGAAGAGACACTGCCCACGATCCTCTACCACATTTGTGGCCTCCCCAGGGTCTTGGGGGTAACCTAGAAAGAAGATAAACAGAGCAGGCTTGTGACAATTGAAAATATCTATTTTTCTCCCAAAGCCAGACACAAGAAGGAACAGGGTGACTTCTTCAGCTCATCTCAAGGGAACACTTTGATCCAGGTCTAATGGATCACTAAAGTCTCTTCTCCCCGCTGAGTGGGTGGAATGTCAACAGCCCAGAGCAACAGTACCCCCAGTTGTGTTCCAGATGTCTTCAGTCTCTCATTCATTCTGCAAATAACCCCACCTCCAGGTCCAGCCCCTGTGATGTGCCAGGTGCTGGCATTATAGCAGCCAGGCAAGGCTCTGCTCTCAAGCAGCTAACATTGTAGCTCAAATAAAAAATAACAAATAGGCCAGGTGCGGTGGGTTACCCCTGTAATCCCAGCACTTTGGGAAGTCGAGACAGGCGGATCATGAGGTCAGGAGATCAAGACCATCCTGGCTAATGGGGTGAAACCCCGTCTCTACTAAAAATACAAAAATAGCAGGGCATGGTGGCACGCACCTGTAATCCCAGCTACTCAGGAGGCTGAGGCAGGAGAATCGCTTGAAACCAGGAGGCAGAGGTTGCAGTGAGCCGAGATTGCACCACTGCACTTCAGACTGGGTGACAGAGAGAGACCCTGTCTCAAAATAAATAAATAAATAACAAATAGGTCATTCCAGAGAGTGACAGATCTAAAAAGAAAATATAAGTTGCCAGGTGCAGTGGCTCATGCCTGTCATCCCAGAAATTTGGGAGGCCAAGGTGGGAGGATTGATTGAGCCCAGGAGTTCAAGACCAGCTTGGATAACACAGCGAGACCCCATTTCTACTTTTAAAAAATGAAATAAGAAAGAAGATTAAAGGGTGTGTAAAGGAGAGCTACTTGGGCAGATAGTAGGGGTCAACACATGATGGGATGGGCAGGGAAGGGCCAACTGAGCAGATAATATTTAAGCTATGGGTCGGGCACAGTGGCTCATGCCTGTAATCCCAGCACTCTGGGAGGCCAAGGTAGGTGGATCACCTGAGGTCAGGAGTCGGAGACCACCGTGGCCAACATGGCAAAACCCCGTTTCTACTAAAAATACAAAAATTAGCCAGGCGTGGTTGCTGGCGCCTGTAATCCCAGCTACTCGGGAGGCTGAGGCAGGAGAATTGCTTGAATCCAGGAGGCAGAGTTTGCAGTGAGTAAAGATCGCGTCACTGCACTCCAGCCTGGGTGACAGTGAGACTCTGTCTCAAAAAATAAAAATAAAATAAAATAAAAAATAAAAATAATTTAAGCTATGTTGGACGAGAAGGAACCAGTTGTGACGATGGAAACTGGGCTGAGAGTGGGCTTTCTGAGCCAAGGGGAATGCAAATAAAAAGACCAGTAGGCACAAATTAGCTAAAACCTTGTATTAGTCTCTTAACTAAATAAAACTGGGTGACTTTAACCAACAGACCTGCATTCCCGCACAGTTCTGGAGGCCACGAGTCCAAAATCAAAGTAGCAGCATGGCTGGGTCCTTCTGGAGGCTCTGAGGGAGAATCCGTTCCGCGTGTCTGTCCTGACGCATGGAGGCTGCCGGCAATCCTGGGCGATCCTTGGCTCTTACATGCCTCACCCCATTCTCCGCCTGACTCCACATTGTCTTCTTTCTGAGTCCTCTCCTCTTGTGATAAGGACAGCTGTCATTGGACTTAGGGCCTGCCCTAAATCCAGGATGATTTCAAGATCCTTAACTACTTGCATCTACAATGACCCTATTTCTTTTCTTTTTTTTTAATACAGGGTCTCTCTCTGTTGCCCAGGCTGGAGTACAGTGACGCAAACACCACTCACTGTGGCCTCAACCTCCTGGGCTCAAGTAATCCTCCCTCCTCTGCTTCCCAAGTAACTGGGAACATAGTCATGCACGAACATCCCCAGCTGATTTTTTAAAGCTTTTTTGTTTATTTTGCTTTATTCCTTTTTACAGCTGAATAATAATCCCTTGATGCATACACCACATTCTGCCTAGCTTGAGAAAACATATAATTGTGAGGGTTTTTTTATTTTACATAATTGATCTTATACAGTATGAATGGCACTGTAACTTATTTTGTTTTTTGTTTTTCATCTACCAATGTGACGTGGTGAAGTGAGTAAAACTGGTGGGTTCTTTAAAATATAACAGACACTGTCAGATTATCTCAAGAAATGGAAGGGAGTTATTGTCTGGAACTCTCCACGGGTGATATGCCACTCATTCTCACAACACGCCAAGAAAGGTATTATCAGTATTTGAGCCACTAGGAAATTAAGTTTCATAGAAGTAAAGCAATTGCCCAAGTACCAAGGATATGAAAAGCTCTTCAAAATTAGGTAGTGAATGGATGAATATAATTAATCAGTGGCCGAGCTGGGGATTTGAACTCAGCTCTGTGCTCTTGAAGGTCAACCTCCTGCCTCTGCACACAGAACCAGGAACCAGAGCGCAGACTGCTGTGCATTCAAAGCAGCTGCCGTGATATGCTGATGGGAGGCGGGGGCAGAATTATCATCACCCACTTTCAGCAGTCCTGGAGGACAAGCTCTCTCTCCAGGAGGACAAAATTTTCTGGGGCTGACTGGGAAAACACATCAAGCATTTGGTAAATGCACGACCTTTGGAGAAAGGGCTGTTCTGAATAACCCAGCTAATAATAATCACCCGACAGCAATTTCCTGCAAGCTGGTTTCTTAATACACATCTGGCAGTTCATCCGCCTTCCCTCTGCTGCAGACATGGTTTGTCATTAGTCCAGGTGGTGGGAGTGATGGACACTCCAGCGTGTGTGAGCATGCACCTTAACCCTTGCTTCGCCAAGTCTGGGGGAGACTCTCAAAGCAAAAGACCTGCCTGGGACACTAGGGAGGGCATTTAACCCTAAGGCTCCACCCAGCAGACTCACTGGGACATTTTGAAAATGTGAGTCTGAGGCCAAGTGTGGTGGCTCATGCCTGTAATCCCAGCACTTTGGGAGGCCAAGGCGGGCAGATCACGTGAGGTCAGGAGTTTGAGACCAGCCTGGCCAACATGGTGAAACCCCGTCTCTACTAAAAATACAAAAATTAGCTGGATGTGGTGGCACACGCCTGTAATCCCAGCTACTCAGGAGACTGAGGCAGGAGAATTGCTTGATCCAGGGAGGCAGAGGTTGCAGTGAGCTGAGATGGCGTCACTGCACTCCAGCCTGGTCGACAAATGGAGACTCTGTCAAAAAGAAAAAAGAAAAGAAAAGAAAACGTGAGTCTGCGTCTCACTGGCTAGGTAACACTGAGCAAGGCACTTCACCTCTCTGAGCTTCGGAATGGGTGTGAGAATGAAACAAAACCACAAGATGAAGGGGCCAGCAGTGTGCCTTGTTTATAACTGAGGCTCCGGAACTGAGGGCCCCCTCCCGCACTCCCCCAGCTACCATCTCTTTGCAGCCCTGCCAAGAAGGGCTGGCTTTCTTTCCCCTTACCTGGTGACCTATTACTGTGTTGCAAACCACCTCAAAATTTGTGGCAGAAATGATAACCCTTTTGGGGCCATCTGGGCTGCTATAACAGAATACCATACATGGGGTGGCTGATAAACACATTCATTTCTCATGGTTCTAGGGGCTGGAAAGTCCAAAATCAAGGCACTGGCAGATTCTGTGTCCAATTCTTGGTCATAGATGGCTGTCTTTTTGCCGTGTCCTCACATGACAGAAGAAGTGAGGCAGCTCTTTGGGGCCTCTTTTGTAGGGGCACTAATCCCCTATAAAAGATTATAGGTTTGACAAGAGGAGGAATGTGATCTTTTGATTTTTAAGGGTCATTCCCCCGGTTTAAATTTGAAGACAAAACTCCCAAGGGTGTGAACAATGCCTTCCTAGTGCCCTCCCCACCACTCAACATCCTCTGGGGATAACTAAGAGAACCCTCAGCGAACTAGAGAGAAAACTATGAATAGAATCTGGTCCCAAGACACCCAACTGGCTCTCTGTGTACTGTCCTGGGGGATTTCAGGAAACATAATCTGTTTCTTAAAAAAAAAAAAAAAAAAAATTCTTATTTGTGTCGCTTAGTCACCCTATCAACTCTCCACGTTTTATCATCAGTAACCATGAAATTGATGTTGATTTAATTCTATTTTGAAAAGAGAAAAAAAAGTAATTTAGACAAAGGTTGCCAGCTGAGGCCATGTGTGTGCGTGTGTGTATATGTGAACACACAGGGATATAGATTTTACATATGTGGACTTTACATATGTTCCTGTGTGTATATTTGTATGTTCACTGACATGTCTGAGAGTGAGCACCACTGTGTGTGTCTGGGCATGTCTGTGAACACGTCAGTGTGGTGTATATCCCTGGCAGCTCCCCATCTCACGCACAGTAAAATCCAAAGTTCTTAGAATGTCACAAAAGTTCTAACCCTGGCTACCTATGTATCCTCGTTTCCTGCGGCCCATCCCCTGGCTTACTCCATTGTGGCCAGGCTGACTTCCATGATGTCACTGAATATATAGATTGAGAAAAGGGCCAATATTATTGACTGTACTTTTTCTAAAAATGCAGTGACTCAGGCAAGAGACGTGAGAATCTGTGGTCTATCCTGCTCATCCTCTTCAGGGGATTCTTCTGAGGGCTGTGCTCAGTCACGGACTCAGAGGCTTTCTGAAATTCTGCAGGCAAGAAAAAACGAGCAAACATGGAGTCTTATGTTTGCCACTCTGTCTCACCCCCTTGGTGTTGGAAACTTGATGAGCATACGAATTAACGAAATCACTACCACCTAATGAAATCACTACCACCTATTAATAATAACAAGTACTGGCTGGGCGTGGTGGCTCATGCCTGTAATTTATGAGCTTTAGGAGGCCGAAGCAGGAGGACTGCTTGAAGCCAGGAGTTTGAGACCAGCCTGGGCAACACAACAAGATACAGTCTGTACAAAAAAAAAAAAAAATGGTGCCACGCAACTGTAGTCCCAGCTACTAGAGAGGCTGAAACAGGATTCCTTAAGCCCAGGAGTTCAAGGCTGCAGTGAGCTAAAATTGCGCCGCTGCACTCCAGCCTGGGTGACAGAGCAAGACCATCTCAAATAAACAAACAAACAAACAAACGAGTACTAAGAGCATGGATGACGGTAACACCCGTGATAATAAATACAGTAGCATGCTGGTTAAATAGCACCGGCTCTGATCCCACACCCCGGGTTCGAATCCAGGCTTTACCACTTAGTAGCTGGGAGAGTTATTTAACTCCTATTTAAGTCTTTTAGAGGAATGAGTTTAGCCACCTAGGCGGGTCCCCCCAGCAAACACGCCTCGCCCGCGACCAGAGCGAAGGCTACAGGTGCCCGCCGGCAACCCTCGGACGCATGCGCGGCCCGGGCAGGTAGGTGGAGCCACGGTGCGGGGCAGTCGGATGGTCGCACGCGGGGGCGGGGCCGCGCCTGCGCAGACCGCCTGTTATGGCGGCCGCCTAAGTCCCACAGAGACGGGAGTCGGGTGGGATCCCAGGCTGGGCCCCGCGGCGGGTAAGTGCCTGGGAGAGGCGGCGGGATAGGGTAGGGTGCAGGGAACCTCCTGGCGCCGAGCCTGACTTTGAAATCCGAGCTCCCACAGATCGGAGGCCCAGATCCCTAAGGCCCGACCCCACTCTTAGCGTCAGTTTCCCCTTCTCAACACGGGTGTTGGGGAAAGAAGTCCACGTCCTCACCTGGGTTTCCATCCTGGGTCCAGGCACCTCTCCTTCGGTTCTAGATTAGGAAGGGAGGGCAGTGCCCGACCTGTGACTGTTTTTTGAGAGGGCAATAGTTAACCCACAAGGGTGGCGTCAGGAAGGCGACAAGACAAAGAGAACGAGTAGCCCCACGGGGGACGTCCCCGGAGCCCCTCACTACCACTCTACGCACCGTGGCCAGGCCACGTCTTTCCTGCCCCCAGCCTGGGCCTTCACACCCTGCCCTCCCCAGCTCCTGGCCTAAATCGTCATGGGATCGCGCCAAATTATTGATTGTTGAGTGAGTTGCAGTTATCAGAAAGAAAGATGAGGAGGGAAGTTATTTCAACACCGTGATCCCAGCACACTGCTTATTTGGGACAACTGACTGGGGACCTATAGGAGAAGAAAGCTGGTAGCGTCTCAGTCTAGCCCCCACAGCCTTAGAAGAGCCAAGAACACGTTAGCTCCTGCTGCAGGGATGAGCCTGCAGCCCTATGGAGAGGTGGTGGGGCAGGTCCCCATCTGCAACCTGGGTCTCCTTTCTCAGCTCTGCCCAGTAAAGAGAGGAGCCCGAAGCCCATACAGACCCTGCATTTCCGGAAAGAGACTTTTCCTGACTAGAGAAACTGTTACCTTTTTTCTTTCTTCCCAGCATTCACTTTAATCATTATTATATTACTATAATGATAGTATTTACTATTGTTGCTTATTGAACGTTTACTATATGTCGTAAGCCCGAAAAGTGGTAATTGTCTCATATACTCCTCTGAGTATATGAGGGCCTGAGATAGGTTCAAGAGGGCCTCCTTATTCCCAGATAGCTGATTCTAGGGAAAGCCACTTAAAGGGAATCTCCTTCATCTGGAACTTACATTGCAGCGTACATTTCTTGGGAAGCCTGGTTGGGTTGAATTTAAAAATGGAAAATTCAACTAGAGATTAAGAATTTGAGTTTTTTTGTGTGTGTCTATACTTAAAATTTGGTGTGTAATATTATGCTCACTTTTGGAAAAAGCAAAGAACATTGATTTTTCTGGGATGTAAGTTTTCCAACAAAATTGCGCTATAGGCCATGCCTGGTGGCTCACACCTATAATCCCAGCACTTTGGGAGGCCAAGGTAGATGGATCTACCTTGGTCAGGAGTTCAAGACTAGCCTGGCCAACATGGCAAAACCCCATCTTTACTAAAAATACAAAAATTAGGTGGACATTGTGGTGCATGCCTGTAGTCCCAGTTACTCGGGACTCTGAGGTAGGATCACTTGAGCCCAGGAGGCGGAGGTTGTAGTGAGCCGAGATGGCACCACTGCACTCTAGCCTGGGCAACAGAGTGAGACTCTGTCTCAGAAAAAAAAAAAAAAATGCGCTATGGCAAAAAAAGAAATGGCATCCTTTGGTTCACTTTTGATTTTTACAGCAATATTAGAGAGGATCTTCCCCACCCCCTTCAAAAAAAACTGTATGTGAAAGTCCTCAGTTTTCCCCCAGGACATCTCTAAGTCCTGAGAGAGCTTGATCTGCCTTTGAAATGAGTGGTAGGTATAAGCTGTATTTTCTCTTCTGGAATCTGGTGTGGTTTTGCCAGTCCGATTGATTGAGTGTTGGCCTTCAGGTCCAGCATTTCTCCATCACTTTCAATGACACCATGAAATTCTGCATTGATTTGCCAGATTCACAGACTTTCTTTACAACCCACTTGCATTTTGATGGCTTTATGGTGTTGAGTAGGAAAGCTAGCATGGAGATGAATAAGGAATCATCTTTTTCTTAAAAATTTTTTTGTTGGGACAGCTTTTGCTGCCCCACAGCAACCACTTAAATGTAGGAACTCCAGCAGTGTACTGGGATCATTAGGACAGCCTGAGTCATGATGACCTCATTTTGCAGTTGAAGAAGTGGGGGCCCTGAAGATTTCATGACATCTACCCAGGTAGGAACAGCTCCTATAGGCAGTCAGGGGTTACAGGCAGGTTTGGGTCAAATACCTGAAACCAACCCCAGGACAAGGAGGTTGCTGGTGTTTTATTAACACCTACTGTGAGCCAAGGACTCTGCTCAGCAGTTTACCCACCCAGTAACACTGCGTGAGATTGTGGCTGAAGAAACAGATGCAGAGAGGCGAAGTGATTTTCCTGAAATCACATGGCTAGAAGGTGAGAAACCAGGGATCCCCACCTGGTCTGTCCAGCTTCAAAGCCCATCAGACTACTGCTGTTTGATGATGCTTTTTGATTAGGTGAAACGGTTGGAGGGAGGTCCCACCTGTTCTTGACCACTTTGCCTCAGCCATGGTTTTCCAAGTTTTAGTTATTAATGTGTCACCTGCATAATTTTGCCATATCTGTGTATCACCAGTGTAGTGACTCCCTTACTACTTTTCCTTTAAATCCACTCACTCTTTTTTTTTTTTTTTTAATTTCTTTTTGAGACAGGGTCTTGCTCTGCCACCCAGCCTGGAGTGCAGAGTGCAGTGACGCATTCTCAGCTCACTGCAACCCCTGCCTTTTGGTGTCAAGCGATCCTCCCACCTCAGCCTCCCAAGTAGCTGGGACTACCAGCGCGCGCCACGACACCCGCCTAATTCCACTCATCTTTTTAAATTCAGTAGCAGAGCTTTAAGCCAGGCATGATGGCTCACGCCTGTAATCCCAGCACTTTAGGAAGCTGATATGGGAGGATGGCTTGAGCCCAAGAATTTGAGACCAGCCTGGGAAACATAGTGAGACCCTTGTCTCTACAAAAAAAAAAAATTTAATGCCAAGTATGGTGGCATAGCTGTAGTCCTAACTATGAAGGAGGTTGAGGCAGGAGGATCGCGTGAAGTTTGAGGCTGCAGTGAGCCATGATTGTACCACTGCACTCCAGCCTGGGCAACAGAGCAAGCCCCTGTCTGTAAAAAGAAATGTTTAAAAATAAAACATTGTTTAAAATAGGAAAGCTTTATAACAACAAATGATGTGGGGACAGTTGATAACAGCTTCTAGAATAAAAAAGAAAGAGTAAAGGGCCATAACAACTAAATGCAAAGTGCAGATTGTGATTGGATACTGGTTTCTGGGGGAAAAAAAACCTCAAAGACCTTTGGGAGACAGATGGAGGAAATTGACTTTAATGCTATTAGGGAATTATTAATTAACTTAGATTTGCTAATGGTCTTATGATTATATAGGGAAATGCTCTTAGGGGACAGACATTAAATAATTTAGGGGCAAAATGTCATGATGTCTACAATGTACTCTCAGCTCAAGGAGAAGAAACCAGAGAGGGCAGGCACGTGTGGCAAAATGGTGAGGATCATTGAATCTAAGCAGTAGTTCTACGGTTATGATATTCCCCTGTATCCTTACTGTTTGAAATTTTTTTGTAATAAGTTGAAAAAAAAGGGAAAGGAAACTTTATAAATGGAAATTCATATCCCTTTCTATAAATAAAAGGTTACTATGAAAATGAATATAATGAATATATGAATGAATATAAAATGAATATAATGAGTGAAATGAATATAAACAAAATAACGCATTAATTTCCAGCTGGATTCTCTTCCCTGGCCAAGTCTCTGAGATCTTCTCCCAGGGCGATGCAAAGCTACTCGCTACCAGCTTGGACCTGTCTGCAGTATCTCCTCTGGGACCTGCCATGCTGAGGACCCATTCTCACCTCTGAGGGACTCCTGTCCTAGGACTAAGGTGGAGCCTGGGCCATGGTACAGCTGGCTCCTGCGGCAGCCATGGACGAGGTCACCTTTAGGAGCGACACTGTGCTGTCAGATGTCCACCTCTATACCCCGAACCATAGACATCTCATGGTACGGCTGAACAGCGTGGGGCAGCCAGGTAAGGTCCTGGGCCCAGGTGCCCTGCGGATCCTATTTTGTTTTCTGCTTTCTCATACTCATCTTTTTGGGGAAAATATTGGGAAGACTGGATTACGTAACTGTTATCCTCAGACCACTTTTTAAGTGCCCTTTTTTTCTTTATGATTTTTTAAAAACCTTGTACTCTGCAATTTTTGTATGTGGGGGTTTGTTTTGCTTTTGTTTTTGCTTTTCTTAAAGACAATCTCACTCTGTCACCCAGTCTGGAGTGCAGTGGCACAGTCATGGCTCACTGCAGCCTCAAACTCCTGGACTCAAGTGATCTTCCTTCCCCTGCCTCCAGAGTAGCTGAGACTACAGGCTCACATCACCACACCTGGCTGGTTTTTATTTTGTAGAGCTGGAGTCTTGCTAGCCCAGGCTGGTTTTGAACTCCAGGCCTGAAGCAACCCTCCCACCTTAGCCTCTTGAGTCCCTGGGATTACAGGCAAGCTGCTGTCCCCCCACTTTCATTAAGCAAACTCCTGTGGTTTCCTGAGCACCTATTGTGCGCCTGACCCAGGACTTGATGCTGGGAATGCAGATACGAATGAGCCAAACTTTGCCGTCAGCAAGCCCAGGGTCCACTGGGGAGACAAAGTGCTGGGGCTCCATCTGTCCTCTGCTCTTTTTTTTTTTTTTTTTTTTGAGACGGAAGCTCGCTCTGTCACCCAGGGGGCAGTGCAGTGGCGCGACCTCGGCTCACTGCAACCTCCGCCTCCCGGGTTCAAGCAACTCTCCTGCCTCAGCCTCCCGAGTAGCTGGGATTACCGGCACCTGCCACCACGCCCAGCTAATTTTTGTATTTTTAGTACAGACAGAGTTTCACCATGTTGGTCAGGCTGGTCTTGAACTTCTGACCTCAGGTGATCCTCCCACCCCGGCCTCCCAAAGTGCTGGGATTACGGGCATGAACCACCGCATCCAACCCTGTCCTCTACTCTTTTTTTTTTTTTTTTTTTTTTTGAGGCAGTCTCGCTCCCTCACCCAGGCTGGAGTGCAGTGGCATGCGATCTCGGCTCACTGCAAGCTCCGCCTCCCGGGTTCACGCCATTCTCCTGCCTCAGCCTCCCAAGTAGCTGGGACTACAGGCACCCGCCACCACGCCTGGCTAATTTTTTTGTATTTTTGGTAGACACAGGGTTTCACCGTGTTAACCAGAATGGTCTTGATCTCCTGACCTCGTGCCGCCCGCCTCGGCCTCCCAAAGTGTCCTCTGCTCTTTATCCCCACTCCCTTTACCCTAGTCCAGCCACCTCTGTTGCTTGCCTGGCTGCCTCTGTCTTCTCCCACTGAGTTCACTGCTGCACACCCTCCCCGCTTATCTCTGCAGCAGCCAAGGACGTCTTTTGAAAATGCAGATCAAATCACAGCACTTCCTGAGTTAGACCTCCAGTGGCTTTCCGTTGCTCTCAGAATAACATCCAGGTTCCTCAGCTTGGTCTGTGAGGCCAGCCTGACCCAGCCTCTGCTTGTGTGCCTACCCTTATGTCACTCTCTCTTGCTCTTCTGTGGCCACTCTCAGGTTCTTTCTGTCCCTCAAACACAGGGAGGGGAGAGAAGCAACCATAAGATACAAGGCCAGGGAGAAAACACCTGCTTTCCTCCCCTCCTGGCTCCTCAAGTATCATCTCCACAGACAGCCCCTCCCTGGCCACCCTCCCTAACCCCAACTACCCTGTATTAGCTTGTTATGGTGTGATTATTAATAATTCCCATTGACCTCCTGCCCTAATTTGGATGGTACATTATACCAGGGGTATACAAACTGCAGCCTGTGAGCCAAATCTGGCCTGCAGCTATTTTTATAAAGAGTTTTATGAAGCCACAGCCATGCCCAGTCATTAACGTGTTTTTACAGCTGTTTTTGTGCTATAACGGCAGAGTTGAGGAGTTGCAACAAAGATCACAGGGCCCACAAAGCTTGAAAATAGATACATTTTATGAGACAGGGTCTCATTCTGTCACCCAAGCTGGAGTGCGGTGGTGCAGTCTTGACTCACTACAGCCTCGACCTCCCCAGGCTCAGGTGATCCTCCCATCTCAGCCTCCCAAGTAGCTGGGACTATAGGCACATGCCACCATACCTGGATAATTTTTTTGTAGAGAAGGGGATTTACCATGTTGCCCAGGCTGGTCAAATTCCTGGGCTCAAGAAATCTTCCTGTCTTGGCCTCCCAAAGTGCTGGAATTACAGGTGTAAGCCACCATGCCCAGCCAAAAAACTTTTTTATCTAACCTGTTACAGGAAAAGTTTGCTCACCCCTGCCTTATGTGGTTGCCACATCTGTGTCACACAGAATGCAGTTTTACTATATTCCTGGTAATTAACACAGCCTGTAATTATCTTGTTTACTTGCTTAATGTTTCTTCCCCAACTTCACTCCTAAAATGTAAGGCCCTAACATACCAAATCCTGCTTTGTACCCCCAGCACCTGGCATGGTACTTGGCACACAGTGTTCGGTGATGAATGAATGGATGATCGGACAGATTCAAAAACTGGCATAAACCCGGGATGCTGTGTGAGCTTAGAGGAGAGGCCCCTGAGCTCATTCCTAAAAGTTGTGTGGCCTTGGTCAGCTTAGTCCTCTAAGCCTCAGTTTCTGGGTCTGTAAGATGAAGCTGATAATGGTATCTTCACAGCAATTGTGGAGATTGAATGAGCTGATATGAGCCAAGTGCCTCATAGATTCTCATGAAATGGCGGCTGCTCTTGGTGGTGGCCCCAGCCTCCTGGCTGGTGGTGGTCACAGCTGAATCAAGTGGGCCTTTTCTGCTGGCATTAGTATATCTCTACCTGGCCTTTAAAAATCTTTCCTATTGGTAATCAGATATTCTCAAAGAAGAAGAGGAAGGTAAAAAAGAAAACATCTTGGAATTCTCATTTTGCGTTCTGTCTTGCCTTTCAGTTTTCCTGTCCCAATTCAAGCTTCTATGGAGCCAAGACTCTTGGACAGATTCAGGAGCCAAGGGTGGCAGTCACAGAGATGTTCACACAAAGGAGCCTCCTTCTGCTGAGACAGGCAGCACAGGGTCCCCTCCAGGAAGTGGCCATGGTAATGAGGGTTTCTCCCTCCAGGCCGGGACTGACACCACTGGCCAGGAAGTGGCTGAAGCTCAGCTGGATGAGGATGGGGATTTGGACGTGGTGAGAAGACCACGAGCCGCCTCTGATTCCAACCCAGCAGGGCCTCTGAGAGACAAGGTACATCCCATGATTCTAGCACAGGAAGAAGACGACGTCCTGGGAGAGGAAGCACAAGGCAGCCCGCACGATATCATCAGAATAGGTAAATAGAGGTGTGATGTGGCCCACCTGTCACCAAGGCAACTCCGCAGTGTCACTGCTCAGGGCTCAGTATGATCTGAGCGTGGACTCTGCAGGCCCAGGCAGCACAGGTTATGAGAACCAGCTCGGGTGAGACTGGGGAAGCTCTCCACAACCCCGTCACTCCTGCCCGGCTCACACCACCACAGCCTCACCCTGTGCGCTTTCTTCTCTGTGCTGTGCCTCCTTGCTGGAGTGCTTGCTCCCAGCCTCTGCTCCCTTAACATGTTCCCCATTGCCGTACAGTTTCCAGCTCAGCCACACCTCCTCCAGGAAGCCTCCCTGCTGCTGCCTCCCACATCTGTGCTCTTGCTCTAACTCAGCGTGTTGGGGGTGTGGGACAGGCTTGGCCTGGCTGGGCTGGCAGTAGGGAGCCATGGGAGGTTCTGGAGCTGGAGTGTGGCAGAGGGAGAGGGATGTAAATGAAAATGAATGGGGCGTGGACCAGTCAGATGGACTGGGAGCTGGGAGCTAGAAGCCAGGTAAGAAAGGGGAGTGATGAAGTGGCGGGAAAAGTGGGACAGGAGAGAGGTTTGGACAGATACTCAGAGGTGGGATCAAAGAGGAACTGCTACCCAGGTATGGGGGCAGAGCAGAGGGGTTTGCTGACTCTAGGATTTGAAATCTAGGGACCTGGCACTCTAGAAACACCGGGAGCAGTAGGGAGCTGGGCCAGGAAGTGATCGGTCCTGGTTAAGCACCTATCGTGTTTTGGATATCTTCACTAGTATCGAGTGGCCTAGTCTGCACAACCCCTCCTGAGGGGGTGCATGGATGAGGAAGTGAAAGGCCTAGCGCCATGCTGCTTGGTGGTGGTGAGCGAGCTTCGAATCCACACAGTGTCCACACCAGGGCTTTGCCTCCCCCTGGCGCTGCTCATTTGGGGAGCGGAGCTGTGATTTGAGGCCGTTCATTGAGATCCAGGGTCCCCGATGGTGTCTTGAGTTCCCAGGGAAAGGCCTCCCCCAGCACTGGCCTTTGGTCAGAGAATGGGGGTCAGTGGGTCACTCTCAAAAACAGACAAAACAGCAGCTCTGTATCTATCTGCTCAGCAAACAGTTACTAAGCGCCTCCACGGTGGTACCAAGCAGCCTCTGTTCTAGACTGTCCCAGAGAGGGCAACGTGGAACTCATACCAGAACCCAGTTCCATGTATCCCATGGGTGACCTCTGCCCTCATGGCCTCTGCAGATAGGGATGAGTATTCCCATTTCACAGAGGAAGAGACTGAGGCTCAGCGAGGTTGAGGAACTTGCTGGGGTCACACAGCTAGTCAGTGGCAGAGCTGAGACTTGTACCTAGGTCTGTCTGACGCCACAGCCTGTGCTGTCATTCCACATCATGGGGGCAGAGCTTTCGAAAGAGGCTTGGAAAGTCCTGCTTCTCAGGGGGGCCGACGATGGCTCATTTCCCTCTGAGCCCTCACTGTTATTAGCCTCCCCAAGCTGGGGAGCAAACCTGTCAGTTACTCCACAGTGAATTGTTGTGTCTGTAGTGAATGTTCTGGGAATTTACCATTGTATGAGCTAAGAACAAAGTCCCTCGGGAAGAGGCTGGCCTGTGACCAGCTTCCCCTCCTGCCCTGTTCCGGTGACCTCACGGTGAGGCCCCCTTGTCTGTATACCTGGAAGTTCACTTTTTCAGCTGTCAGTCACTCACTACCTGCCCTGACGGAGGAGAGTGGAATGGTAGCTAATGCATGAACCTAGGTAGTAATTCGTGATTATTTCAAACTGGCTAGAGCACTTTCATCTGCAAAACTTGATCTAATCCTGCAGGGCTGGATTTTGAGCCCAGCTCCATCTTCACAAGCCAGGTGACCAGAGACAAATGTCTTACCCACTCAGAACCACATGGTCAGAACCACGTGATCAGGGGAACCACTGTCCCTGGGTTTTAGTGATAATTTATTGAAACATGCCCAGTGAGCGCCAGGAGCAGGGCCTGGCGCAGAGTTGATGGTAAGCAGACGTCATTCGCCTCACAACCCTTTTCCTCTGACCCGTAAATCAACCCATTTTTTTCAAGTTATAGACCCATTTGAGAAACTGGTTTTTCTAAAGAAAAAGAAAAATAGGTGTTTTCTTAACTATTCCAAGGGATTGACAAAACCTTAAAAAGTTTATCCAGGGATCTGCCAGGAATCCACAGACCCAGGATTCAAAAGAAATTATGTTCAATTCCCCCACTGTAGAAATAAAGTGAGACCCCAAGAGAACTCGAGAAAGGCAGGGCTGGAACTCAGGCCGTCAGATTCTGAGTCCCGTGCCTTCCTGCTGGAGAATCGGGCAAGTCGCTTAGCCTCTCTGAGTTCAGTTTCCTTGTCTGTACAAGGGGTACAACCTCCTCCAGTTGTAAGGAATTCAGAGAGACAGCACATACAAAGCTCTTAGCGTAATGCCTGGCACGGATTCAGTGTTCCGTAAATGTAAGCCTCTGTCCTGGGGACTGGCCCAAGCTGGGAGGAGGGAGACTGGCTGACGAACAGTCTAGGTTCCTGCAGGTCTAGAGACCCAGTTTGCAAATGAGATAAGACGTAATTCTAGAATCTGATAAGGACAGGTGAGATTCTAACACTGTCTCATCCCATTGCTAGCCCTAGAGTTTCTCATGGGGATAGTTCCTCAGGCTGGTCTTTTATGTTCTCATGATACCTTTGGGATTATTTAAATATAAACTCTGACTTTTCACAGGAGTGGGAGCCCCAAGATGGCCCTGGGTAGGGAGGTCCCTAAGTCACCTGGGCCTCCACCCCTAGACTGAATCCTTCTTCCTCACCCCTATGCAGCCACCTGGACCGCGCCCGGCCCAGGGCTGACATACTGGGCATTTGTTGTGATCTCTGACTATCCTGATGAGTCATGAAGAAGCATATTTACCCATTCGAACACTAGCAAGTGCCTGAAACGGGGCAGGGGTCGGGTAGACCTCGGAATCTCTGCACTCCGGAGTCGAGGATGTCAGACACAAGAAAGGAGAGTGCCCTTAAGGTCGGCCACACTCAGCTTCCTGGGGAATTCATTCTGGCTTTTTCCATCTGGCCCCAGGGAGTTGCACAGCATCCGCTTCTTCCTTTGATCCATCCCTGAGCCTCTTGTTCTCTCCCTTATCAATTCGCCCTGGTGTTTTCTCGTGTTATCAGCATCAGCAGAAAGCACATCTTAGATCAGTTCTTGGTCAGACTCCCAAATGACTTCATTTTAAATCCTCTTTTGTTTCTATTTGGCTTTAGAAAAATATGGGTCTCACTTTGCACTTCGTTACCCAGGCTGGTCTCAAACTCCTGGCTTCAGGCGATCCTCCTGCTTTAGCCTTCCAAAGTGCTGGGATTATAGGTGTGAGCCACTACCCGGCCATCTCGACACATTTTGATCTAATTAGATGTTTTTTTCTCAGACTATGACCCTGGGCTGGTCATGTCCCCCTTCTGGGCTTCAGTGATCTCCACCTGTGCAAGGGCTGGGGTCCTTGACCACCTCAATGGTTCTCAGATGTCTGCCGAGCCTGTGCTCTCTCAGAAGCGCTGTCTGGTTAAACACTGTTACAGCCTTAGAAATGAGGGATGAGGCTACTTCTGCATTTTGCAAAAGAGGAAACTGTAGCTCTGTCTCCAAGAAGTTAAGTGACTTGTCACCCAGCTAGGAAATGACAAAACTGGGTTGTCATACAGGTCTCTGACCTCAGAGTCCTCATTCTCCCTCAAGGGAAGCTAGCCACCCATTGAGGACAGCTGGGAGGCAGAACTTACGTCCACGAGACCCCTGGAAGGAAGTGACCAATCACATAGGACCAAGATCACTATGAGAAGGTTCCCCTGGCAGCAGGAACCCTTAGGACAGCTGGGGTTAGGGAGCAGATGGCAAGGAGGAAGCTTTCCCAGGCCAATGGAGGGAGAGGAGAGGAGAGGAGGCTACGAGCCACACCCAGGAGATGGCATGGGTGGGACTGGGGAAGAGGAACTGGGCAGGGACGCTGACACAGAGGGCCTGGGGTCTGTAGACCACAGACACCCCTTCCCCTCCACGCACAAGCACACAAGCCTTCAGCCTGCCCAGCGAGTCCCTGTCCCTTTCATCCTGGGAGGCTCTGCCCCAGGCTTTTTAAACCGTGTCCCTGGCATGGTTCAGATTCTACATCTCCCTTCCCCAAGCAGGCTGAAGAGCTAGAAAAGGCCGGGCACGGTGGCTCACACCTATGATCCCACTTTGGGAGGCCAAAGCAGTGTATCACTTGAGCCCAAGGGTTTGAAACCAGCCCTGGCAACATGCTGAGACCCTATCTCTACAAAAACTACAAAACTAAAAAAATTTAGCCTGGCATGGAGGCATGCACCTGTAGCCCCAGCTACTCGAGAGGCTTAGGTGGCAGGGTCACTTGAGCCTGGGAGGTGGAGGCTGCAGTGAGCCTTGGCCGTGCCACCACACTCCAGCGTAGATGACAGAGTGAGACCCTGTCTCAAAACAGAAAGAGACAGAAAACTGCAGATGACCTGACTTGGAACCCCGCATCTGCCACTCACCCTCTCTGTGACCACAGCCTGCTAACCTCACCCAGCCACCTTTTCCTCATCCAATAATACTCGAAGCTGTCATTGGGTGATTTTGAGGATTAAATGAGAAAGCATTTAGCCCAGTGCCTCATGCAGAGAAGGTGCTTTTTTTTCTATTAACTTTACAAACAGTAATGCTGAACCTTAGTCAGTGTCTTTCTCTGTAATATACATGTGAGCCAATCAGGTAGAATCTCAGTGGCACCCAGGGCTTGCTCACAGAATGTGTCTGTCTAGTGAATGTTGGTTCAGTGAAGGAACTTTGCATCAGGTGGTTCGGCAGGTGTATTTCTGTTCCAGTTTCAAACCAGGTGACTACGTGTTAGGACGTAGCAATCTGAAGCCCTTCTGAAAGGAACATGTTTTATTAAAAGTGCCTTGTAAGCCACCATGTCAAATCTAGCCAAGATGCTGGTGGACAACCCATTAGTCACTTTATTCAGAGATCAGATTCTAACTGCCCATAGGGCTGAAATCTTTGGCCAGATTTTCCCAGGAGGAGCCCTCAGAGAACAGTGGCCCAGGTGCCCAAGAGGACCCTACACAGTCGATTTCTTTCCTGGTTCGGGGACAGACAGAGCGATTGGCGATAGCTGTTACCATCTCACTTAAAAATACTTGAGCAAGTTATTTTCCCTCCTCGGGAGCTCTTAGACAAGCAAGTTCTTACTTAACAACAAAAAATGCTTTGCTTCATTCCTTTTCTCCTTGATCTTATATTTCCATTGTGTTCCCCCCTCCACCAGAATTTGATCCTATTAGGGTATATTATAAATACAAAATATATTATATTTTGCACTTGAGAATACTTATACTACTTTTCAACGTTTTTAAAAAGGATGTAAATTTAAACTTATTTTTTTGTTAACTTCTAATGTAGATTTCTAAGTATGAGAAAATAATGAAGTTAAGTATGTTTCTCAGTATAAGAAAATACTTTTGAATGAATTGTGATTATTAGTAGTATATAAATTAATATATTATGATTGTAACTTTGCAATTATTGGTCATGAAAAAAGTAGTGCACTGCATGTGGGTGCAATTAAATTGCGTGAAAACCTAATTGTGACCCTCCCTAGCCTTGGGCTGTAGGGCAGAGATACCCAGTTACATGAAAGAGTGTGAGCCCCATTCCAAAAAGCTCCCATCCTCTGAGTGGTGCTCAAAAGTCGCCTCCTAACCAGTAGCACAGCCTGTGTTTCTGCTGCTCTCTAGAACGCCTCATTCCAACCTCTGACGCCCATCTGACCGTGCTGGCGGTTGCCACACTGTCCTGTCTTGTGGTTTTCTGTCCATCCCCATTTCACAGTGGGCATTTCTCTTGGTTTCTGTCCCATCCAGAGCACACCATGGCCACGCCCCTGGAGGATGTTGGCAAGCAGGTGGGTAGGTCTTGTCCGCTTCCTGTGGCCCTGATGGGTCCCTGCAGAGCCTCACGCTGCTTGTCGCTCCTTGTCCTCTTCCCTCCAGGTGTGGCGGGGCGCCCTGCTCCTGGCAGACTACATCCTGTTCCGACAGGACCTCTTCCGAGGATGTACAGCGCTGGAGCTCGGGGCCGGCACGGGGCTCGCTAGCATCATCGCAGCCACCATGGCACGGACCGTTTATTGTACAGGTAATGAGGTGACATCTCAGGCTGCAGGGAAGTAGTCACCTTCACAAAGCATGCACTGACTGTATAAAAAAAGAGGCAGAGGCACTGGAAATTGGATGTTAGCTGTTGTTGATTTTGCCATCCTGGTCCCCTGGCCCTCTCCACTCTCCATTTATTCTCAGTGACATCAAAATGACCCAGCAATACCCACTCAGCAGCAGCAGCGTCACCCAGTGGCTATAAGGCCATTGAGCTTCAGGAGGTGCCTAGCGCCCCTGCTGGTACCTCTCTCCCCACTCCTGAGAAAGAGCAAATATCTCCAAAAACAGGAGGAATATACCCTTTTAGAAGCCTTTGAAAGCAAGTTTATTATTTTTTTCCTGGGTATAGAAGCCTTGCCCATTCTTTGTAGGAGGTTTTTAAAACAGTACATAAAAATTACTCATAATTTTACAATCCCTAGATTGAATCAACAATATGCAACTTATGGGTCACCTCCCGTGTGCCACTCATTTCTAGATGTAGGAGGCCCTGCGGTGAATGGAGCTGACTAGGCACTGCCCTCAGGGCGCTTACGTTGTAAGAATCTCCTCCAAATGATAGCTGAAATCAAGCTGCAGCAGCACTGTATTCTGCTGAAAATGTTGAAAAACATTTTTAAGAGCATTTTCTTTTTTAAATATGTATATATTTAGGGGGTACAAGTGCGGGTTTCTGATGTGCAGCTATATTGCAGTGATGACATCCGTCTGGGCTTTTAGTGGACCTTCCACTCAAATAGTGAACATTGTACCCAATAGGGAAGCTTTAATCCCCCACCCCTCCCACCGTGTCACCTTCTGGAATCCCCAGTGTCTGTGTTTCCACTCAGTATGTCCATGTTTACCCGTTGTTTAGCTCCCACTCATAAGTGAGAACATTTTAAGAGCATTTTCTCATGCCATTAAAAAATTATTATATAGGCCAGGTGCGGTGGCTGACATCTGTAATCCCAGCCCTTTGGGAGGCTGAGGCAGGCAGATCACCTGAGGTCAGGAGTTTGAGAACAGCCAGGCCAACATGGTGAAACCCTGTCTGTACTAAAAATACAAGAATTAACCAGATGTGGTAGCGGCGGGCACCTGTAATCCCAGCTACTTGGGAGGCTTGAACCTGGGAGGCAGAGGTTGCAGTGAGCTGAGATTGCACCACTGCACTCCAGTCTGGGCCACAGAGTGAGACTCTGTCTCAAAAAAAAAAAAAAAAAAACAAACTTTATATATGACTTTTAATGACCAGATAATATTTCATCTTCTTTGTAACCCTTCTCCTATTGCTGAGCATTTTGGCCATTCCTATGGGTTTTGGTTTTTTGGTTTTTGTTTTTTTTTGCATTTGTCAGTTACACTGTGATGAACATCTTTGTATATTGTCTAATAATCTGTCACCTAGGTTCCTAGGAGTGGGCGGTGTTAGTTACATTGCAATGAACATCTTTGTGTATCGTTGTCTAATAACGTGTCACTAGGTTCCTAGAAGTGGGTGAGACTATTCTTAAGCTTTTGATGAACATTACCAACTAATTTCTTTTTTAGTATTTAATTTTGAAATAATTTCAGACTCAAAAGGAGTTGTTAAAATAATCCAGCAAGTGCCATATGCCCTTCCTCTGGCTCCCCAGTGGTGACATCACACACAACCATAGTACAGTGATGAAAACCAGCCAGTGAAGTTAACTAAACTCCTAACGTGCCAGAGTGCTTTCTTTAGAACAAATATACCTGTTTACAAGAGAGTAGTGATCTCGTCAAGTGAACCTTGTTGTTATATTTTAAATCTTTAGTATCTGCTGGACAAAAAGAGGTATCAGCTGATGTGGTTTACACCTCATTGCTTCCTAGTGAACGTTACCTGGCACAGACTTTTGTTTCTGAGATAGGAAGGAAGAAGCTAGAGATCACCAGTCCCTGAGGCACTGTTTTCAAATATGCTGTTAACCACTGGTCAGGAGTCTGCAGTGCAGCCACGCTATTGGCTGCTTCTTGACAATGTCATGTAAATTATCAGTGAGCTCTTCTCAGAGTCAAGCCGTCCAAGAGCTTTGCTTCGTCCCTGGTGCCTAATAGCAGACTATAAAGAAGTCTTATCCCTGAGAGAGATTTACCAGCATGGGGAAGAAAGCTTGCATTTAGATGCCATGTTCCAGTTGGAAAAGTCCTTTCAGATGCATCAGTGCCTGGCTGTAACTTCACAGTGACTCTGGGCAGAGCCCAGGGTTCCTATCTCTGTTGTCCAAATGGGCAGACTGAGGCTGGCCCAAGGTCATCCACAGCTGCTGATGAGACCCGAGGCCCTTGATGTGGACCTGCTGGCCCACAGGGCAGTGTGCTTGTCACGTGGTGGAATTTCAGATTGTGTTGCATGGAACAGAGCTCCCACAAGCTGGCCGAGGGATGCTGGGGAGAACGCACTCAGGGCACCAGGGCTCCTACCCCACTCAGCCAGAGCTGCTCCTCTCTTACCTGTTTTATAGGTTAAAAGCTTTTGACAGAAACTATCATAAAGGTTTAAAAACTGCTGACCCTGGCCAGGCGTGGTGGCTAATGCATGTAACCCCAGCACTTTGAGAGGCCGAGGCAGGTGGATCACCTGAGGTCAGGAGTTTGAGAGCAGCTTGGCCAACACGGTGAAACCCCATCTGTACTAAAAATACAAAAAAAAAAAAAATTAGCCAGGCATGGTGGCGTGTGCCTATAATCCCAGCTACTTGGGAGGCTGAGGCAGGAGAATTGCTTGAACCTGGGAAGTGGAGGTTGCAGTGAGCCAAGGTTGCACCACTGTACTTCAGTTGGTCAACAAGTGCGAAACTCCGTTTCCAAAAAACTGCTAAGCCCATCGTGTGCTGTCAGGTACATATCATCAGTATTCTCTTGGCCTAGGAGATAGGGTAGATCCCTCCCTTCTGCAAGCAGGGAGCTCCTCCCGTACATGGCTCTGTGTGACCCCTGGGGTGCAGATGTTAGTCCCAGGGAGATTGCACTGTGGGTCCACGCCCACAGTGGACCAAGCAAATGTCATTAACAAGACATCCTGTACTTTCTACATGCACATTCTTCTAATTAGAAGTTTATTTTTGGTAAAGCACTGCTTCTGCCAGTGAGGATTCACTGTACCCCAAGTTAGTTCTTGAAATGATGAGAAATCCCACTTGTCAGAGTAGCAGGCGGCTGGGAGGGAGATCTGGGTGGCAGCAAAGTGAATCGCGCTCAAGAGAGTGGGCTCAGCCTGTTTGAATCTGCTCTGTGTTCTGACGAATCATAAGAAAAAATCCTTCTGACCGGAAAACTGGTCCAGTCAGTTTTCCTAGGGTGTCAAAGAACGAGCCTAAATTTGGAGTTAGAAAAACCTGGATCAAATCCCAACTCTTGCTCTCAATAGCTGCATGACTTTGCTCAAGTCACTTAATCCGTGAAATGGGATTCATGATCCCAGCTCCTGTGTGGCCATAAACATGAAAACGATGAACTAGGGAAGTGCACGCGTGTTGCATGTGCTCGGATGATGTTGGGAGCTCACACTCCTTCCCTCTGGAATGCGCACTGTCTCTCCCCATCAGGAGGAGAATCTCTTATTTAGGGAACAAGCCAATGAAAAGAGCCTTAAGGTGAGGGTATTTAATTTTGGCAGTAAGACACATAGGAGAAACGTTTCTCTAATTTCTGCAGTTGTGCTGTTGATCACAGCTCTCTCTAGGCAAAAAACATGGAGATAAAAGTGTCGTAGTGGCTGGCACTTTATGGCTTGCCCTCTGTCATTCCAGATGTCGGTGCAGATCTCTTGTCCATGTGCCAGCGAAACATTGCCCTCAACAGCCACCTGGCTGCCACTGGAGGTGAGGCCCAGGGGGTCTTCTGCCAGGGAGGGAGGTTTCTCTGTTTAGCAGATAGGACAGACACCCAAGACCATGACATTGGGAGGCAGGGCTCCGTCTGTGTCCCTTGCAGCAGGTGAGTAAGGGGAGCAGGCGTCGTCTGGGCATCACAGAGCTTCAGAGCATTGAGGACGCTCCTTGGGTCACCTCCTCATTCCCAGATCCACTGCGTCATCCTACTCCAGCTCTTTCTCTCCCGGACACTGGCGGCGGCCCCTGAGCTGGTCTCCCCAGCTCCTTAGTTGACCCGTCCAAGATGTCCTCATGAAACATCCAGAGTGCCCTTTCTCAGATGCAAGCCAGTCCACTTCACTTGCTGCTGAAAACCTCCCAGGGGCGTCATCACCTGTGGGGTGAAGTCTGAGCTCCTTGAATTCCCAGGCCTCCCTGGCCCAGCCCCGGCCTGCTCTCCTTGCCTCCTCCTGACAGTCTCCTTTCCAGCCCTGCATCCAGCACGGCCAGGACTCACTCACAGGCCAGTCCCCCTGCGCAGATGGGCCTCCGCCTCCATCTGCCTGGTTCTCTGCTCCCTGCACGGCCTGCAGGGATGAGTGTATGTGATGGGTGACGACAGTTATGTCCTAACGCCTCCTCCGAGCAGCCCCCCAGGCTTCAGGCCCTTCAGTGGTTTACTGTTGCTTGTCTCATGTTCTTGGGGATCTGGCCCCTGTCTGTCTGCAGCGCCCCCCACCACCAACAGCCGACCTCACCGTCTTTCAAATCACATTCCCTCGAGTCCTTTGCCCTTGCTCTTCCCTCTGCCTGAGTGCTCTGCCGTCCCTCCTCCCGGCAAGTCCTCATCACCCTCGGGGCTTCAGACCTCCAGATTTGAGGCCAGAGCCCCCAACAGACTCCAGGCACACGTTGCATGATTGCATTTTACCATCTGCTCGTGTGACTAGTTATTGGTGTTTTCCATTCCCACCGGACTACAAGCTCTGTGGGTGCAGGTACCCTGTCTGCATTTGCTCTGCACTGTCACAATGTTTGTTGAGTGCTCAGGGTACAGTAGGCAGTCAGCAGAGCTGGGAGGATGGAGGGAGCATGCTGGTGGAAGCCTTCCCTGACATCCGCTGTCTGACATGAGTTCCTCTCTCTCCTCCTGTGCGTTTGCCTCATCCTTCTGGCATCACCCAGCCACACAGTCTTGCCGTTGTTGGTTAACCTGCCAGTCTCTCCTAGGGGAGCTGGTCTGCAAGGATGGGGAGCATGACTCTTAAATCTTTATTTTCCCTATGTCTGGCACCGTCCCTGACACGTAGCACTCAAAAAATGCTGGAAGAATGGACGGATGGATGGAGGGAAGGGACAGAAAATGGATGATGGATGAGGAGGGAAGGAGGATAATAAGGATGGGTGGGTGGATGGGTGGGAGGGCAGAAGGATGGATAGATGGGTAGATGAGAGGATGGATGGATGGATGGATGGAAAGATGGGTGGATGGGAGGGAGGGAGGGAAGGAAGATGGGTGGGTGGATGGATGGATGGATAGATGGAAGGGCAGGAAGATGGGTGGGGGGGTGGGTGGATGGATGGATGGATCGATGGATGGCTAGAAGGAAGGATGAGAAGATGGATGGGAGGGAGGCAGGGAGGGAAGGAAGATAGGTGGGTGGGTGGGTGGGTAGATGGATGGATGGATGGATGGATAGAAGGAAGGGCCGGAAGATGGGCAGGTGGGTGGGTGGGTGAATGGATGGATGGATGGATGGATGGATGGATGGATGGATGGATGGATGGATGGGTGGGTGGATGGCTGGCTGGCTGGCTGGCTGGCTGGCTGTAAAGATGGAAGGGCAGGAAGGTGGATGGGTGAGAGCAAGGGTGGGTGGGTGGATAGATGGATCTTCATATATAGTGTAAAAGTTTATCTTTTTTTCCTGATGATGTTTAGAGTTTGGAAAGTTCTCTTTTTGTTTGTTTTTACAGGTGGTATAGTTAGGGTCAAAGAACTGGACTGGCTGAAGGACGACCTCTGCACAGGTGTGTGTTTCTCTCGGACGTCCCCCAGTATGATTCAGTGATTCCTTTGTAATACCTCAGTGCCCCTGGCTCTGTGGTTTTGACAGAGCTGTAGTCCCAGCTGCTGCCACAGTCCCATCGGCGCATGGCAGCTTCTCTCCATTGGCCGATGAGCACCAGCTGTCATTCTCTGAGCGCCTGCTGCATGCTGGGCACCTCACGTTCATTTTCTTCTCCAGGTGTTGTGGTTTCCCTGTGTGGTAGCATGATAATCCCTGAATTGTGAGTGCAGACTGCCCATGGGCACAGCTGGTACACAGCAGGGTAGGGGCATAGACCCGAGTTTGTCAGACTCTGGGGCACAGACCATTTCCCAACAAACAGTGGTGCCAGGAAACCCCCCGGGTAGGACAGTTTCCATATTTCTTACACAGACTACTTCAGACCTGGGTGCTTGCTCTTTCTTTGTATAAAGATGTCTTTTTTTTTTTCCCTGTCAGATGGCAGATGGGAAAAGTCGTTCCTTGAGTACTGGTCACCTGCCTAGCACTTTGCGCACCGTAGGCCCTTCGGCCCTCCCAATAGTCCTGTGAGGAAGTAGTACTGTGCCCTTTCTGTGAGTGCAAAACTGAGGCTGTTTTCCTGGGCCACCCAGCAGGCAGAAGGGGGAGATCATGTCCTGCACTGGGCCACAGGCCAAGGCAGCGGGTGAGGCTGAAATCCGCCCGCTGCTCACTGGCTAGAGCAGACACTCAGCAGAAAAGGCACCTCTTCCACCATGACTCTGCACCCGGGCAGCAGTGGGCCTGAAGCAGGGAGTCTGGTCTGCCTGGTGGTGCCCACTGCACCGAGCTACCCCCAGCCCTGTTTCTTCTCTTGAAGTGCCTTTTGGTCAGTCCCAGTGAGAGTTGGTGGCCAGGAGAGAAGGCAATGGGCACAAAGTGTGCTTTTGTTCTTTCTTAGATCCCAAGGTCCCCTTCAGTTGGTCACAAGAGGAAATTTCTGACTTGTACGATCACACCACCATCCTGTTTGCAGCCGAAGGTAAGAAAATTTCTCCTTCGCCGTACACGTCCTTTGTTGTAGCATGAAGTCAAGTGCAGTCTCTCCTCACTTCCCCCGGGAGTTCAGTTTTAGAAGTGACTTTCTGGTACATGCCACCACATCTGCAGTTTTAATTCTGGAAGCTGCTGCTGTTCCGTGGTGATAAGCATTCTCTCTGTGCGGATTGCTCTGAAAAGTCGATTTCTGTAATATTTGCGTGTTTTCCTCTAATGCTGGCCTTTTTGCTTCCCACAGTGTTTTACGACGACGACTTGACTGATGCTGTGTTTAAAACGCTCTCCCGACTCGCCCACAGATTGAAAAATGCCTGCACAGCCATACTGTCGGTGGAGAAGAGGTGAGCTTTGCGCCACGGGAACCGTGCTGACGTCCCGAGTGTCAGCGGAACTCTCACCTCCTAATTGTGTCCTTGTCAGTGTCATTATGATTGTTACTCAGTGCCACTTATTGAGCACCTACTATGTGCCAGGTCTGTGCTCATCCTTTGTGTACGTTACTGCACTGAATCTGCATCCTAGCCCTGTGTGCAGGCGCTGCTGTCCCACTTGACTGATGAAGAGAGGAAGGCTGGGAAGCATCAGGGGCCTTGGCCAGGGCACGGCTAGTTAGTGATAGACAAGGACTTGAATGCAGACTGTACTGGAACCTCAACGCTTGGCCAGCACACACTGTTGAGAGCTTCTCTTCCTGAATGTTCTCTCTGTGGTGCCGTCTGTCTCTTCAGCTCCCCCAGGTCTCTTTCTCTTGCTGAATCGGACAGCTCCTCACCCAACAGCCTCACCCAGACATTTCCACTAGAATATCCTGAAATGTTAGGTTCCATTTATTGAGTGCCCACCTTGTGATAGCTACACACATTCTCCTGTAATACTTAACAGTAGTCCACAGCTTTTCTGAAGATCGTTCGGAATCCACAGCAAAAGCTGTAAAACGAAACAGACTTCTTCACCCAGCAATTCAGCATCTGGAAATTCACACTCAGGGTTGTGTACAAAGCTGTATGTACTTGCATATTTATTGCAGTGTTACTTATACCAATAATACCGAGGGCTTGCTTTGAGGCACACACTGAGCAATAGCAATGTACAGACCTCATTTGGATCCTGATTTCATAAACTGTAAAGGAAAAACATCAGGACAGTTGGGAAAAGTTGAATACTGAATATTTGATGTTAAAGGGTGATTGTTAAACTTTAGTTGAAGAGGTCTTCATCTTCTTGAGACACACACTGACATTTCCAGCTTCACAGAGGAAATGGGTTGGTGTCTGGCATTTGCTTTTTAATAACTCAGTGAGGGCAGGGGGCCCCGGGAAGAGCCAAGGTGGCAGAGTGGCTGGAAGTGGACAGTGGCTGAAGCTGGTAATGGGTTCATTAGACAGTTTTGTTTTTTTTGTTTTTTTGAGGCAGAGTCTTGCCCTGTCAGCCCAGGCTGGAGTGTGATGGTGCGATCTCGGCTCAGCACAAGCGCCACCTCCCGGGTTCACACCATTCTCCTGTCTCAGCCTCCCAAGTAGCTGGGATTACAGGCATGCGTCACCACACCTGGCTAATTTTTGTATTTTTAGTAGAAACGGGGTTTCACCATGTCGTCCAGGCTGGTCTCAAACTCCTGACCTCAGGTGATCTGCCCTCCTCGGCCTCCCACAGTACTGAGATTACAGGTGGGAGCCACCACGCCCAGCATAGACTGTTCTTACTCCTGTTGCATGTCTGGAATTTTTCTTGATAAAAAAATTTGGAAAGAAAAGGGAAAAAGGCAAAGAGCTTTAATTTCAAGTGAAACCATCTTGTAGACTAAGGTTTTGAAAGGCAAGTGGCAGGGTTGGGAGACCTGTTTCTGAAGGTGCTCACTCTCTGAAATCTCTCAGACCCCAGCTTCCCAGCAGTTTTCTCTCTGTTCTCTGTGCTCCCGGAGTCCTCTGCACCGCCCCCTGCCACTGCCTCTCATTCATTCATTTCTCAGATAGTTATGCGCAGCTCCAGGCACCAGATTCTGTGCTGGGTGCAGGCAGGACCTGGAGGGCGTCCTCAAGTGTTGATCTGCAGGACTGTCTTGATCTTTCCAGCAGTGTCATTGTGGGCACGTGACCTGAGCTTTCTGAGCCTGTTTCCACATCTGTAAAGTGCTATCCACTTCCACCTCCTGGGCTGTCGTGCAGATGTAGGAAGGAATTGCACTCACACACTCAGCATGAGACAGGCGCTCAGTAAAAGCCCGTCCAGGGGATATGAGATCAGTGAGGGATAGGAAAGCAAGGTGGGCAGAAACAGCAAAACCCTTCCCATTGATGATGGCAGTTTGTGCGTCCGACTGGCTGGTTTGCAGGCTCAACTTCACATTGAGACACTTGGACGTCACATGTGAAGCCTACGATCACTTCCGCTCCTGCCTGCACGCGCTGGAGCAGCTCGCAGATGGCAAGCTGCGCTTCGTGGTGGAGCCCGTGGAGGCCTCCTTCCCACAGCTCCTGGTTTACGAGCGCCTCCAGCAACTGGTAGGTCCAGGCCCCGAAGCAGGGCCGTTGGTTGCTTTACTGTGAAGCGGGTGACTCCAGGGCAAAGAGGTGATGAAGCAAGCCCTCCAAGCACAGGCTCCACCCTAGTCCTGCAGGGGGTGAAGCCTGCGTGCCTGGCACCATCTGTAGTGGAACCTGTTGGGGGAGCTACATCCTGTTCTTAGCAGCCACCATGTCTGGAGACGGGCCTACAGGCGAACCTTGTCTTTTACTTTATAGCACATATTCCCCCCGTTGGACAGTTCAGACTCCAGAGGAGGCAAGACCGAGGCAGAGGTTGTTTGGGGAACAGGAAGTCAGTGGAGGGAAGTTTGTGGGTTGCAGATCTTGGTGCAGGCGCCCCGCTGTGGTGGCCGCTGCTCACATCTTCACTGTGGAAGGATACCAGCCCCTCTCGGACTGAACTGGCTTTTCTATTAACTGGAGTCCAAAGATTGAGAATTAACTTCTTTTGTTCTGTTTGCCTTTTGGCTGTGGCCTCCCTTTCTCTATGTCTGTGGAGACCCGGGCCTAGTTCTAAGGAAAAAGGGAGGAAGAGGGAGTCACGAGGAGCTGCCGCCCTTGCACTCTGTCTCGCGTCCTGAGGGAGGGCAGCATGGAATTCGTGTGGTTTTGTGTGCGAGGAGGATCTTGTATTTATTGCTCTGCCACTTCTGGGCAGCATTAAGAGTAGCGTCACATGACCAAGAACACACATTTCTTACAAGTCAGCAGCCCCAATACATGATGCCTAAGACGTCCCAAAAAGGCCAGGTACGGTGGCTCCCACCTGTAATCCCAGCACTCTGGGAGGCCATGGTCGGAGGGTTGCTTGAAGCTAGGAGTTCGAGACCAGCCTGGGCATCACAGACCCTATCTCGACAAAAATCAAGAAAAAAAATTAGCCATGCATGGTGGTGCACACCTGTGGTCCCAGCTACTCTGGAAGCTGAGGTGGGAGGATTGCTTGAGCCCAGAAGTTCAAGGCTGCAGCAAGCTGTGATGGTGCCACTGCACTCCAGACTGGGCAACAGAATGAGATCCTGTCTCTAAAATAAAATTGTTTATAAAGATCTCCCCCAAAATGGAGAGATACGGCAACTCACTGCTATTCTGGTCTCTTCTGATTGTTTGACATCCTCTGATGCACCTTCCGTTAATGCTGGGACTTCATCCATCCAGCCTCTCTGCCACAGTAAAATAGAACAGCCCAGAGCAACAAAGAAAGGAGGAAGCCGCCCGTCCGCTCCTGCCCCAGCTCGCCTGCTCCGTGGCTGACGTGTTGTCTAACTACTCTCCTTGGTGAATCACTTTCCTTAATGAAATTGTGATGCTCTTGTATGTGCACTTCAGAAACCTGTTCTTTTCTCTGTTTGCTGCAGGAGCTCTGGAAGATCATCGCAGAACCAGTAACATGACCCATCGCCTCCACAAGGCGCGGCGTCTCGACTGTTCTTAGAGTGTATTTCTAGTAAAATCAGAAGCTCACCAAAGCAACATGCTTGAGATTTTGTCATTTTAAAAATATGGTTACACGTACCTTAGATGACCCAAGATGGTTTTCTGGGGTCTGTCCCTGCCTCCCAGTTGTAGCCAGAGAAGGTTGTTGCTGTGGGCTGGAGGTCACTTTAGTTGCCTGTTTCTCATGGTTGTGATGTGTGCTCCAGGGTCAAGCCGAGCCACGTTCCTTCTCAGCTCAGTTCCACCCACGTCAGTCATTTCAGCTGTGTGCTTTACTTGCGGTTGCGGCCCTGGCTGTGAGGTGGATTCTTGTACTGCCCTCTGTCAGCTGTTTACAGATGGGTTGACTACCACTGCCAGTATTGCCATCATATTGCCGCTCGGCACAAAAGCCTCATTTCCTCCCAGGGTTGGGTATGCTCCACCCCATCACTCTGGTGAGGGCCCCATGAGAAGGAAGAGGCAGGAGCTGGCGCCAGGAATGGACTGGCATTGGCCTTTGTATTTAATTTTAACTCTTTATCACCCAAATCAGGTACGTTTGGAATAAACCTAAGAGCCACTCTTTGGGGTCATGTGCAGCTGACCAGGGTTTGTGCAGTGATCTTCCTCAGAGGTGTTCCCTTCCGCCTGGACTCATTTTCCCTCCGCCCCTTGGTCTCTCTGTCTTATCACGTGTGTACATGTCTGTCTGTCTGGTTTTTTATCTTCTCCATCTGTGCCTCTCTCCTCCCATCTCCACCCCTTCCTGTCATCCTCTATGTCCCACTGTCTCTCTCCTTCTCTCCAGTTTTGGTCCCATCTTCCTGCTACCCTTGGCCCTCCCTGCAGCCCCTTTCCCCTGCCTTGCTGCTGCCGCACACTTTGCACCAGGGCCTTTCATGGCCCCTTTCCGCCTCCCTTGCAGCTCAGGTTTCCTGGCTTCTCCATGCACTGTCCCTGCCCACACTCGCTTCTCCCCAAGCTCCCAGGTTCCATCCCTAGGCCCATCATACCCCTGGCATTGGCTAATCCCTCATGCCAGGGGCCAGGCACTTGCAAGTCTAACTTCATCTTCCCAACAAATTTAGGAGGTCCGCAGCCTTGTGATACCCACATTACAGCGGAGAAGACTGAGGTCCAAAAAGGAAAAAGTCTCCATGAGGTCAGGGACCTTGTTTGTCTTAAATATCACTACATCCCTGCTGTATGGTCTGGCAAACAGTAGATGCTCAACACATATTGTTGAATGAATTGCTAATGTAAGTTACTAATTAGGTCATTATTTCCTATTTGTGAGTGATTTTGCCTCCAGGAACATTTGGCAGTGCCTGGAGACATTTTCGGTGGTCACAAGTAGGGGAGACGGGTGCCACCAGTATCCAGTGGGTGAGGCCAGAGATGCTGCTGAACGTTCTATAATGCGGTAATCACGGAGCATCCCCCACAACACAAAATGATCCAGCCCAAAATGTGAGTAGCGCCGAGGCGGAGAAATCCTGACTTGGAAGAAGAAAGCCAAGTACTTTAGAGAAGAAAAACGGTCTCAGCTGAACCTGTAGTGAGAGCATGCAGGAGAGTGACCTCACCCTGCCCCTCTGGGAGCAAGAAGAAAACCTATGCATGTACGTTATTATAAATCTTCAAAGAACCTAAAAGGCAGAAGTGATCCCTATTTTGCACATGAGAAATCCAAAATTCAGAGAGGTTCAGCAACTTGCCCAACATCACACAGCAACCAAGGGCAGAGTCAGGTTTAGAGCCCATGTCCACCCATGTCCATCTGACTCCTGAGCCTGTGCTTTTCCCACATTCCCGCTGGAGCAGCAGCAGCATCTGTGGCATCACGTGGATGCTGGTTAGAAATGCAACATCAGGCTGAGCATGTTGGCTCACTCCTGCAATCCCGATACTTTGGGAGGCCAAGGCAGGAGGATCAATTAAGGCCAGGAGTTCAACCAGCCTGGACAACAAAGCAAGACCCCATCTCTATTAAAAATTAAACAGCCAATTAGTCTGGCATGGTGGTTTGCGCCTGCAGTCCCAGCTACTTGGGAGGCCGAGGCAGGAGAATCGCTTGAACCTGGGAGGCGAAGGTTGCAGTGAGCCAAGATCGCAACACTGCCCTCCAGCCTGGGCAACAGAGCCAGACATCTCAAAAATTAAAAAGCCAGGCGAGGTGCCGGGCATGGTGGCTCATGCCTGTCATCCCAGCACTTTGGGAGGCCGAGGCGGGTGGATCACCCAAAGTCAGGAGTTCAAGACCAGCCTGGCCAACATGGTGAAACCCTGCCTCTACTAAAAATACAAAATTAGCCGGGTGTGGTGGCTCATGCCTGTAATCCCAGCTACTTGGGAGGCTGAGGCAGGAGAATCACTTGAACCCAGGAGGCAGAGGTTGCAGTGAGCCAAGACCATGCCATTGCACTCTAGCCTGGGCAACAAGAGCAAAACTCCATCTCAAAAAAAAAAAAAAGCCAGGCGTAGTGGCTAACGCCTGTAGTCCCAACTACTCAGAAGGCAAGGTGAGAGGATTGCTTGAGCCTAAGAATTTGAGGCTGCAGTGAGCCATGACTGCACCATTGCACTCTGGCCTGGGCAACAGAGAGAGATCCTGTCTCCAAAAAAGAAGAAAAGTATCAAGCCTCAGCTCAGGACGTGATTCCGAATCTGCATCTCAACGAGACCCTGGGTGATTTGTGTGCACAGTAGTTTGAGAAGCTCTGGGGCCTACCACATAGCCCTCAACCTATTGCTGTTTTCTAAAATTCCTACACAAACTCCGTTCCTGACAGACTTGCCATAATGGAGCAGCATTGCAGATCACTACAGGGAATATTAATAATGAGTCTTCAAATCAGAACCCCACTAGACAGAGCCAACAACTGGCAGTACGTCAGCACTAATGGTGACAATTTCCTAGCACTCCTGGGTACAAGTCCATAAATGTAATTGGCACCAAGCAATAGAGTTGTCACAGCTTTCACCTGCCGCATTAGGGCAAACTGCTTTTATGTCTAAACCACTGGGCCTGAAAGCTTCCTCTAAGTAGAGCCTGGAATTAATCTTGATCCACTGTAATTCAAAGTATCGTCAGATTTTCATTTCCCAGAGTGGGAGCGCGCCCCCATTGCCATGTTTTATGGCCTTGTTTGAGCCTCTACAAGTGCTTGTTTGGCAGCGATATTCAGAATCACCAAACCATGGGGATGTTCTGCTAGGTAATTAGCCCAGGCCAGTGGACTCAATTTTTTTATAACATTTTCAGAAAAATATGTGACCCAAGGAGGGGACTTGGCTGTTCAGCTGCAGCCTGCATGGGAAAGAACTGTTAAAACCAACAAAGCCAGGCACAGTGGCTCACACCTGTAATTCCAGCATTTTGGGAGGCCGAGGTGGGTGGATCACCTAAGGTCAGGAGTTCGAGACCAGCCTGGCCAACATGGTGAAACCCCGTCTCTACTAAAAATACAAAAAAAAAAAAAAAAATTAGCTGGGCGTGGTGGCGGTCGCCTGTAATCCCAGCTACTTAGGAGGCTGAGGCAGGAGAATCTCTACAACCCGGGAGGTGGAGGTTGCAGTGAGCCAAGACTGCGCCATTGCACTCTACCCTGGGCAACAAGAATGAAACTCCGTCTCAAAAGAAATTAAAAAAAAAAAACCATTAGTGAAACTGTGGTCCCCAAAGCTTCTCAAACTAGTATGCACACGAATCACTTGGGATCTTGTCAAAATACAGATTCTGACTCAGGCCCTGGATGTGGCCTGATGCTGCAGTTTAACAAGCTCCCGGGTGATGCTGATGATGCTCGTCTGTGGGCCACACTGTGAGGAGTGAAGTTGCAACATGTCATCCCTGGTTAAGAGCACAAACTCTGGGTTGGATGTGGTGGCTCATACCTGTGATCCCAGCACTTTGGGAGGCAAAGGCAGGAGGATTACTTGAGGACAGGAGTTTGAGATCAGCCTGGGCAACATACAGAGACCCTATCTCTAAAAAACTTTTTTTTAATTAGCCAGGTGTGTCATGCACCTGTACTCCCAGCTACTCAGGAGGCTGGGTCGGGAGCATCGCCTAAGCGAAGGAATTCTAGGCTGCAGTGAACTGTGATTGTGCCACTGCACTACACCCTCACAGCCTTACAGACAGAGACGCTATTTCTAAAGAAAAAAAAACCCACCAACTCCGGAGTTGAGCAAGCCAGGGTTTAAATCCTGCCTCTGCTGTGTAACAGCAATGACCTTGGACAAATGACCTAGCCTCTCTGAACCTGAGTTTCCTCACCTGTAAAATAGTAAAACTTCTTGATAGGTTGGTGAATGGGTACAAACTTAGGGAAGAAATACCTTCTAATGTTTGGTAGCAGACTAGGGTGGCTACAGTTAGCAACAATATATTGTGTATTTCAAAGTTGCTAGAAGAGAGAACTTGAAATGTTCCCAACACATAAAATTATAAATTCTCAAGGTGGTGAATACCTCAAATACCCTGGCTTGATAATTACACATTCTGTGTATATAAAACACATTCATATGCACCCCATAATATGCAAAATTTCATTTATCAATAAATGAAAAAAAGCCAGATGTGGCTCATGCGTGTAATCCCGGCACTTTGGGAGGCCAAGGCAAATGGATCACCTGAGGTCAGGAGTTCAAGACCAGTCTGGCCAACATGACAAAACCCCGTATCTACTAAAAATACAAAAAAATAGCTGGGCATGGTGGCGTGCCTGTAATTCCAGCTACTCTGGAGGCTGAGGCAGGAGAATTGGAACCTGAGAGGTGGAGTTTGCAGTGAGCTAAGATTGCACCATTGCACTCCAGCCTGGGTGACAGAGCGAGACTCCGTCTCAAAAAATAATATAAATAAATAAATGGGAAAAAAAGAGGGTAAGAATTCTTTCTTCACAGAATTATTGTAAAGATCATACTAAATGGGCCAGGCGCAGTGGCTCATACCTGTAATCCCAGCACTTTGGGAGGCCGAGGTGGGCAGATCATGAGGTCAGGAAATCAAGACCATCCTGGCTAACATGGTGAAACCCCGTCTCTACTAAAAATACAAAAAATTAGCCAGGCGTGGTGGCGGGCACCTGTAGTCCCAGCTATTCGGGAGGCTAAGGCAGTAGAATGGCGTGAACCCGGGAGGCGGAGCTTGCAGTGAGCTGAGATCGAGCCACTGCACTCCAGCCTGGGCAACAGAGCAAGACTCTGTCTCAAAAAAAAAAAAAAAAACATACTAAATGATCCATGAAAGATGCCTAGAGTCATACTTGGCCCTGGTGAAGTTTTCATTAAATTGCAGACTTAGTCCTAAGGTAGAGTTTTTGGCTTGGCGGAATTTTCAACTTGCACCTTGCAGCCTGTGTGATTTGTAAGGTTGGATTGTCTCACATCATCACCTGCTAGAGACATCACTGGGAGCAATCTCTCCCTCTCTCTATAAATAAAAGGGATCCTGTTTGCCACCCTATCCTGAAGCAATAGCTGGACAAAAAGCAAATCTGAAAAGTCAAATGGAAAAAGCCTGACTTCAATTTCAGGTTCCGTGTTGTACACGAGCATGATTTTGGAGGACCTGGGCAACCCTCAGAGAGAGAGAAAAGTCATGCTTTTGTTCTTACTCATAAGTGGGAGTTGAACAATGAGAACACAAGGACATAGGGAGGAGAACATCACACACCGGGGCCTTTTGGGGGATGGGGGACGAGGAGGGAGAGCGTTAGGACAAATACCTAATGCATGCAGGGCTTAAAACCTAGATGACGGGTTGATAGGTGCAGCAAACCACCATGGCACACATATACCTATGTAACAAACCTGCACATTCTGCACATGTATCCCAGAACTTAAAATAAAACAAGCAAAAAAGAAAAGTCATGCTTTATCCTGCTGATCCCAGCTCCACTCCACTTCCACGGGCTGCCAGTTGGGGGAGAAATGCTGCCAGGGACACAGCCTCAGAGTTCATGCTCTTCAGTATAGAGTCCAGATAAAAGTGAGATGTAGGCCGGGCGCGGTGGCTCAAGCCTGTTATCCCAGCACTTTGGGAGGCCAATGTGGGAGGATCATTTGCGGTCAGGAGTTCAAGACCAGCCTGGCCAACATGGTGAAACCCCATCTCTACCAAAAATACAAAAATTAGCCGGGCGTGGTGGTGCACAGCTGTAATCCCAGCTACTCAGGAGGCTGAGGCACAAGAATCGCTTAAACCGAGCAGGTCGAGGTTGCAATGAGCCGAGATCATGCCGCTGCACTCCAGCCTGGGCAACAGAGGGAGACTCCGTCTCAAAAAAAAAAAAAAAAAAAAAAAAAAGTGAGATGTAGTGTGTGCCCTTGCCCTTGCTTGCTGTGAAACCCTCATGTGTGGCCAGGTGCAGTGGCTCACACCTGTAATCCCAGCACTTTGGGAGGCCGAGGTAGGAGGATCACTTGAGCCAGGAGTTTGAGACCAGCCTGGGCAACATAGTGAGACCCATTCTCATGTTATTTAAAACAAATAATTATTTTAAAAAAAAAATTTTTTTAATTTTAGACTCATCTAAACTAAGGGAGCTGGGAGTAGGTGGCCATACCTTGGCCCTATGTGAGTGACTGTGATGGAAATATCAGTAGGTAACCAAGCTTATGGGTCTGTGCATCAGTGATCCACACACAACACACATCTTGGCTGTCGGCTGCAGCAGCCATGTGTCCCCTGAATGGGGAAGGGCAAAAGGAGCTATGGCTATGTGCCTGGGAGGTGGTCTTCCCAACGGGATGATGATGCTGTGTTTCCTGTCTGAGCCTTCTAGATGCTAAGTAAATGTGCTCTTAGATTAAAGCCTGTTGCATCTCAGGTGACTGCCAGTTCAAACCCACTTCTGCTGCTCAACCAATGCATGCGCCGGGCAAACGGTGGTGCTGCTGATATTGGAAGCAGGCAGTGGATCCCAGCTTCAACCAGGGAGGCCTTCCAGACTGTGCTGTTTCTTACATGGCAGTGTGGTACAGTGGCCCCAAGCAGGTGTCAGCAGGAATTTGCTTTTCTAACACTAGTTACTGATAAACAGACTGATGAATCACTCTGACAGTTTTGTGAATTTTAACCCTCTGTTAAAATCACAAGGGACAACGCTAAGTTTTAATATCTAAACTGGAATTTTAGGGGGCAAGATCAGCCCCTTAGATTGAAAGAGACCTATGGAGTTGGGTGATGTCAGGTGCCTCGGAGTCTTGGGGACAGCACCGATCTCTGTCCCCACATGGGCACACACTCTTGTCAGGCCTATCTGGCATTCAGTGATGACTTCTGTGTTGACAGGAAAATATTGATGGGATGAATGGAAAGGGTATAAAACATGGAAGAAGAAACTATTCTTTCATCAGTGATTAAAGGCAGCGGAAATAAAGCCAAGTAAAGTTCAGTGTACAAATTAATAAGGCAATCAGTCTCTATTGATTACTAGATGCCTGGTTGAAGTGGATCTTGAATTGGTTTCCCATGGGAAGGATTTGGAGATTTTAAGTGGCTGAGTGGTAATGATTAAAATCCAACTTTATTCTAAAGCTACCATACATAGTAAAGCCTTAATTAACTAAGACTCAGTTAGTTAAACCTGCTTCCCCATCATTTCCAAGGCTCAAGCTACTGAAACGTTTCAGTAGGACCAGGACTTAGAGACAGGAACACTGGGACCATCTCCTATATCTAAACACCTGGGTAGTGAGAACCCAGGAAGAAGGATGATATCAGGGAAGAATTTTGTGGAAAGCCTGACTTCAGAACCAAGCTCAATGTGGGAAGCTGAAATTGCAGTGACCCATGAGTACACCACTGCACTCCAGACTGGGTGTCAGAGCAAGACCCCATCTCAAAAAAAGAAAAAACAGGCTCAAGCAAAATGGGAGATCTCAGAGGATCGAGATGGTGATAGCCAACTGTCCTAAACATTTTAGATACATTAGCTCAGTAAATATCCCTCCACTCACGTGAGGCCCCACTTCATAGATGGGTAAACTAAGGAGGGAGTAGGCAAGGGGGCCAGGTAACTCTCCCAAGGTCACATAAGTTGTGAGGGATAGAGCCAGGCTTTGAACCTGAGAAGTTTGGCTTTATAGTCTAAGAATTTATCCCCCAGGCTCTTCACCACTCCTGGTAATTTGCTCATCATCACATAACTTATAAATGGCAGCTCTAAGGTATGTGTTTATAGGTGGAAAGTTACATACCACATGGTTAACCTTGATTAACCCCAGGGCATGGAATTGGGGGAATGGAATTGATGAGACTTTGCCCTTTATGTTATATACATGTATTTTGTTTTTACAAACATGGGTTATTTTTGTGTCTTTTTTACTAAAAATAAAGTTAAAAGAAATTAAGTACATGTGCACACATGCACGCATGCATACACACACAGCCAAAATGCTACTCTCTAACAAGAGCTGTATTTGAAAACAGATAGATCAAGCCAAGCTTTTGGGAAATAAAATTTATTTTAGCCCAAAGGTTCTAGAAAGACTCAGAGAAAAGTTCAGAGGGCAAATCATCCCTTGGGTGGGTCTGGGGCTACAAGACCCTGGGCTTGGTGCTCCTCCAACTGAGCCTCAGAATGCATAGAATGAGACTATGCCAGGCTCATCTGAACTCCATGTTGTCTGGTTCCCCAGTGGGAAATTTGTCATGTCCAGACCCAGGGGAGTGTGGCCGTGATCTGTACTAAAGGCTGAAGTTCCACCATAAGTTTTATCCATGTTTCTAGCCCATTACATTTTTACAGAGAACGCTAATGGACATAGCAGCAAACTGAAGGTGGACATAAATCCAGCCACCATGTGGGAAGGGAAAAAAGGGAGTAACTCAAACCTGCTGGGCCTCTTCCCAATAGTTAGAAGACTCTAAAATAAGCCAAGCCCTGTGTGGGGCATTGGGGAAAGGAACTGTATTATCTATTTGCTGCATGACAAAATACCCCAAAACTTAGAAGCTTAAGACAACAAACATTTATTATCTTACAGTACCTGTGGGTCATAAATCTGGGCTTAGTTTAACTGGGTGCCTCTGTCTTAAGACCTCTGCTAAGGCTACAAGGAGTTCAGCTGTGGTCTCATCTGAAGGTTCAACTAAGAGTGGATCCACATTGAGGCTCCCTCTTGTGGTTGGTGGCAGGATTCAGTTCCTCACCTGCTATGGGTCTAAGGGCCTCAGTTCCTCACTGGCTGCTGACCACAGACTTCTCTCATTTCTCTGCCATGTGGGCCTCTCTAGGGGGCCTCTGATAAAGCCAGGACATGACAGCAGCTTTCTCAGAGCAAGCATACAAGAATAGAGAGAGTTTACTGGGAGGTAACCTAATCTGAGAAGTGACACTCCGTCACTTTTGTCACATTCAGTTCTTCAGAAGTGAGTCACTAAGTCCAGCCCACACTCAAGGGGAGGGGATTACACAGAGTGGGAATACCCAAAGGTGGGATCACTGGGGACCATCTCAGAGGCTGCCCACAAGAGAGATGCAAAGGACACATCCTTGCCCTGAAGAGGCACTGAATCTGGAAGGAAGTGGGCAAGCCCGCCAGCATTGTGATGCAGAGATCGTGTTCTCATACCCACAGCTGATGTCCATTGAGCACCAACTTCCATCCAGGTGCTCTTCTAAACAAAGCCGTTCAATCTATTATCCACCTAAATGTGCAAACTAAGATTTATTTCTGAGGCATTTGGGGGATTCAGGAAGAGGAGAGGGCTGAGGGTGATGCCTAGCTTTCTGGCTTGGAGGACTGTGTCTTCTGACAAGACATAGTTCTTGAAGACTCACCACCATGCCCTCCACCAAGGTAAATTCTCCTGATGACCACATCTTTGCTCTAACACAGTGTTCTCCAAAGTATGGCGAGTTAGGATACCAGTGGTATGTGGCAGGTTTTTGTTGTTGTTGTTTTAGAGACAGGTCTCGCCATGTTGCCCACTGGAGTGCAGTGGCTATTCACAGGCATGAGCATAGTGCACCACGGCCTCGAACTGCTTGGGCTCAAACAGTCTTTCTACCTCAGCCTCCCAAGGAGCTAGGACTACAGGTGTGCACCACTGTTCCTGGCGCAGAGAGGTTTTAAGAGAAAAGCATTTTGAAGTTTATCCTATTGACATGTATGTAGCAGGATGCCACTTCCAGGGATTAGTCCTTTCCTCCACCCCCACTTCCTAAATGATTTTATTTGTACCCTGAGGGCCTTTTCCCCACTTCCCCCACAGACCTGCGTGAGTAGACCTCAGGCACCAACTGCACAACTAACTATTGGAGAAGCAAAGATTAAGCTCCAGCACAGCCACTAGGCAAAACCTGGGACACAGGGATTCTAATGTGAACTTGCAGAGTAAGATTCTCTGCTTCTGAGAAAACAGCTGTGTGGGCTGTGAAGATGGGAGAGGAGGTTTGAGACTCCAGTTACCTCAGCAGGAGAGCAGCCAGTCCCTGTCACTCCACCTTCATCTGCAGTGAGTGATGTTCCAGCAGTGCTGGCCTGGGCTGGGCTGTGCCCTGCGGCTCCAATGCCCTCCTGACAACCCAGGAAGCTGTCTTACTCCATTTTGTGCTGCTATAACAGAACACCACAGACTGGGTAACGTAATTAACAGAAATGTATTGGCTCACAGTTCTGAGGCTGGGAGGTCCAAGAGCTAAAGGCCAGCATCTGGCAAGGGCCTTCTTGCTGCATGATAGCACAGCAGAAGGCGCCACATGGTAGAACAGTAAAGAGAGGATGAGAACGAGAGAGAAGTAAACATGGGTCAAACTCGTCCTTTTATAAGGAACCCACTCCCGAGAAGACAAACCCACTCTGGTGATAACAGGATTAATCCACAGAGTCCTCTTGCCCTAATCACCTCTTAAAAGTCCCACCTCTTGATACTGTTACAATAGGAATACACTTCATCATGAGTTGTTTGGGAGGGAACAGACATCTAAACCACAGCTGAGCCCTTCTTACAGCAAGATAAGAGAGGAAGATGCCACTTCAGGGAGGATCGATGTCATTACAAGACCTCACAAAACCTGTTTGAAGTCACCCTCCAAGCTAGTCCAGTTGTTGAACCACACCATCATGCCCTGTTTTGTGTATTCTGGGAGAAAAATGTATCTTGCATTTGAAAACCAGGGACATGAAGGATATTATTCTCGGTTGAGGCTAAGTTAATAATTTGTGCGTAGTTAAATACAATATTAAGTAATAATGTAAGTGGGAAGCAGGAATAGCAAATGTCACAAAGATGGTGATCTTGGGGGCTGAAGTTTGCAAAACACCAACAATAGCTTTGCCTGTGGTTTCAGCCTTTGTCCTGTCCCTCTTTAACTAAAGGCAGGAAGACTTGTCCCCCATAAAACCAGGTTCCTTTTCGTCTACTATATGGAGTTCAAAACAATTTCAGTCAGTCCTGAGAAACTGAAGACAAAGGATGTTTTCCACCTTTTTGAAACTATAGTGGGTTGAATGGTGGCCCTAAACAAGCTATGTCCACGTTCTAAACCCCAGAACCTATGAATGGGAAACTTGGAAACATTTGAGAAAGGGGTCTTTGCAGATCTAATTAAGTTAAGGGTCTTGACAGTCGTCCTGGATTTAGGGCGGGTCCTAAATCTAATGACTGGTGTCCTTCTTTTTTCTTTTCTTTTCTTTCTTTTTTTTTTGAGACAAGGTTTCTCTCTGTCACCCAGGCTGGAGTTCAGTGGTGTGATCATAGCTCAGTGCAGCCTCAACCTCCTGGACTCAAGCTATCCTCCCATCTCAGTCTCCTGAGTAGCTGGGATACAGGCGTGTGACGCCATGCCTGGCTAATTTTGTCTGTTTTTAGCAGAGACGGGGTTTCACCATGTTGCCCAGGCTGGTCTCAAACTCCCGAGTTCAAGCAATCCTCCCACCTTGGCCTCCCAAAGTGCTGGGATTATAGGCATGAGCCACCGTGCTCTGCCCCTGATGTCTTTATAAGAGAAAGGAGAGGGAGATTTGAGAACCACAGTGAAGATGGCCTATGAAGGCAGAGATCAGAGTGATGCTGCCACATGAAGGAGCACCCGGGATCACCAGAAACTGGAAGAGGCAAGGAAGAACCCTCCCCTTGAGCCTTTGGAGGCGTGAGTCCCTGCTGACACCTTGATTGCGGACTTCTGGTTTACAGAACTGAAATAATCCATTTCCACTGTTTTAATCCCCCAGTTTGTGGTCATTTGTTACCAAAGCAAACTCATCCAGAACCCAAGGGATATAGGCTCAGAAATGTGCACCTCATGGTAAAGAAACACTACAAGCCACTGCAAAGCTGAAGGAGACAGGGAATGGGGAGGAAGTCCCCAGGCTCAATCTCAAAGATCTTGGCTGAAGCCCGGTTGCTCCTCGGCTCCAGAAGAGCTAGGTGGACATGGTATGCCTCATATCCTCAGGTGAATACTTGGCATCGGTCAGAAGGATATCCTGAGATGCTGTGAGGGATCTTTGAAAATATTTACTCTCCAGCATGTAAATATACCGAAAGATCTTCCTGCTATTAACATATCTCCGTCTTTGGGAGGGCGGGGACTTGGCTTTTCAGTCCAGATTTGACCAGAGTGCACGTCAAGGCTCTACTGTAGACACCCACTCTGGGAGGTCATTGCACAAAGCCCAAATCCCTTTGCAGGGCCCACAAGGCCCTCCAAGGCCTGGCCCCTGCCTCCCTTCCCAGCCCCATCTCATCCACCATATTGAATCCTCCCCACTCCGAGAATGCACCACTCTCTTGGCCATGTGCCTTAATGCAACCCCTCCTCACCCTCTCAAACCACCCACCCAGCCCCTCTCCCCTGCCCCTTCTTCCACAAAGCCTTCCCCAGTGTCCACAGCCCATTTAAAACTTGGTGTGATAATCAGCCAGGCACGCTGGCTCACACCTGTAATCCCAGCACTTTGGGAGGCCAAGGTGGGCAGATAACTTGAGGTCAGGAGTTCGAGACCAGCCTGGCCAACATGGTGAAACCCCATCTGTACTAAAAATACAAAAATTAGTTGGGCACAGTGGTGTGCCCCTGTAGTCCCAGCTACTTGTGAGGCTAAGAAGGGAGAATTGCTTGAACCTGGGAGGCAGAGGTTGCAGTGAGCCAAGATTGCGCCTCTGTACTCTAGCCTGGGCAACAGAATGAGGAAAAAAAAAAAAAACGAACAAAAAAAACTTGGTATGATAATCATCCATCCTTCACCAGATCATGAGTCCTGGAATGACAGAGCTGGCATCATATGAATTGCCCAGCCTGACCCTCCCAGCCATTCTGCAAATATCTACCAAGGAGTGTCCACATGCTGGATATTTATGAGGTATTGGGAGGCAGCAGGGAGCCAGGCATTACACCTGTCTGACCTCACGAAGCCTACATTCTAGAGGAGGCAACCTGCAATAAACAAATAAATGCAAAATATAATGTCAGGTAGTGTAAAGAACCACAGTCCAAAAGCTACAAGTGAGGCAAAAAGGTGACTGCATGCTAGAGCCATCAGGACAGTGCAGCACTTGTGTATACAATTGATTAAATTGATTAGGGCGCAAGGACTTCGCTTTTTTTTTTTCCAGACAGCGTCTTACCTTGTTACCCAGGCTGGAGTGCAGTGGCGCAGTCTTGGCTCACTGCAGCCTCGACCTCCTGGGCTCAAGCGATCCTCCCACCTCAGCCCCACCAAGTAGCTGGGATTACAGGCACAAGTCACCATACCCAGCTAATTTTTTGTATTTCTTGTAGAGACGGGGTCTCACTATGTTGCCCAGGCTGGTCTCAAACTCCTGAGCACAAGCCATCCTCCCACCTCAGCCTCACAAAATGCTAGGATTATAAGTGTGAGCCACCACATCTGGCCACATTTTTCATTTCTGTTGAACTGAAATCATGTGATGCTTTTCTCTTCTGTCTAGTAGGAAAATCACCCCAAAGGGTACAGTGATTTTTGCCCTGTAGGACATTAACTGACTTTATGTGTAACATGGCCTGTTTTTGTTTTTGTTTTTGTTTTTTTGTTTGTTTGTTTTGAGATGGAGTCTCACTCTGTTGCCCAGGCTGGAGTGCAGTGGTGTGATCTCAGCTCACTGCAGCCTCCGCCCTCTGGATTCAAGCAATTCTCGTGCCTCAGCCTCCCAAGCTGGAACTACAAGCGCACACCACCACACCTGGCTAATTTTTGTATTTTTTTTTAGTAGAGATGGGGGTTTCACCATGTTGGCCAGGCTGGTCTCGAACTCCTGACCTCAAGTGATCCGCCTGCTTCGGCCTCCCAAAGTGCTGGGATTACAGGTGTGACCCACTGCGCCCAGCATAATATGGCAATTTTATCTCCTCATTTTTCCTACTTCCTAGAAGAATCCCTGTTTTTCGAATTCTCATTGGAGCCAGCTTTGTCATTGTGCCTAGGCCCTCATTAGTAAAGTAAATAAGACTTTTAATACATACTCACTACTGACTTTAAGATAATTATGTTTTAATGGTTTGAGAATTATAGCCTTGGCAGTGTTGGTAAGTACTAGAAAGAACAATAGAGCCATCGGGGGCTGGAAGAGTGTGAATGAGGGCGGTCGCTGCTTCAGGTGGGGAGATTGGGCCGGCAAGTGGGCAAGTCTTGGAGGAGGAGGAGGAGGAGGAGGAGGAGGAGGAGGAGGAGGAGGAGGAGGGGGAGGAGGGGGAGGAGGGGGAGGAGGAAGAGGAGGAGGAGGAGGAAGAGGAGGAGGAGGAGGAGGAGGAGGAGGAGCTGTGCTGAGTGGGTGAGCGGATGAGTGAACGGAAACCCAGAGCTACCAGGGATCCGGACTCTGGCCCGACCAGTGGGGAAGACAGGTGATGAGTTTGGTCTTGGCTTCAAGTCTCCCAAAGGGTCTGGATGTCATGTTCTCCTCCCCCAGGTTCCGCGGCTTGAGGGAAGCAGGGCCGTCAGGCACCTTGCGTCCCTGCTGGCCCCTGGCAGGATTCTCACCACAAGGTGGTGCCCCAGCCTCATGAATCCAGGGCCAGACGTGCCAGAAAGGAATCCAAGGTAATCATCAGTCCTGGCAGCCATGCCAACGTGTGGGTCTACAGTGACTCTCGGGGGACCCTAACTAACCTGCTATACATTGTACAGCAGCACGTGAGTTCTGAGAGCCGCCAGTACCCAGCTAGCCCCAAACCCGAATTCAGATAAAACCCGCCTTTATTAAGAACTTACCGTTGGCCGGGCGCGGTGGCTCACACCTGTAATCCCAGCACTTTGGGAGGCCAAGGCGGGCAGATCACGAGGTCAGGAGATCGAGACCATCCTGGCTAAAATGGTGAAACCCCGTCTCTACTAAAAACACAAAATATTAGCCGGGCGTGGTGGCGGGCGCCTGTAGTCCCAGCTACTGCGGAGGCTGAGGAGGAGAATGGCGTGAACCCAGGAGGCTGAGCTTGCAGTGAGCCGAGATTGAGCCACTGCACTCCAGCCTGGGCGACACAGCGAGACTCCGTCTCAAAAAAAAAAAAAAAAGAACTTAAAATTGATCTCATTTATCTGCCCAACAACTTTGTACTCATATTATTTTATTCTATTTTATTTTATCACTATTATTATTATATTTTTGTAGAGACAGGGTCTCACTATATTGACCAGGATGATTTCGAACTCCCGGCCTCAAGCAATCCTCCCACTTTGGCCTCTCAAAATGCTGGAATTACAGGCATGAGCCACTGTGCCCAGCCTCCTGTACCCATTTTAGGGACACGTAAGCTAAGGCTCGAATCTTTACAGAGGCTGTCTGAGGTCACAGGACTCAGAAGTAGCAAGAATGGGCTTGGCATGGTGGCTCACGCCTATAATCCCAATACTTTGAGAGACAGAGGTGGGAAGATCACTTGAGTCCAGGAGTTCAAGACCAGCCTGGACAACATACCAAGACTGTCTCTACCAAAAGAAAAACAATCAGCTGGGTGCAGTGGCACGTGTCCGTAGTCCCAGCTACTCAGGAGGCCAAGGCAAGAGAATTGTTTGAGCCCAGGAGTTTGAGGTTACAGTGAACTGTGACTGCACCACTGCACTCCCGCCTGGGCAATAGAGCGAGACTCTGTCTCTAAAAATAAAAATAGCAAAGAAGTAACAAGAGGTGGGATCTAACACCGGTTCTGTCTTTCCATTGGAAACCCAGAGCTCTTTCCATGACCCCTGCCCAGGGTGAATATTGTTTGTCTGAAGGAATCCAGGAGCCTTGTGGATTGGAGCTTATGCTGTGCCATTGTCTTTGGATGGATTGAAGGGTTTGACATGCCAGGGCTGGGACATGATGACAGTCTTATTCTGCCTGCCTCAGGCTTCAGGAAACAACTGCTGTTAGAGCCATGTGGGAGCGTTTCTTGGGGGTGTTTCTTTGGAGCGTTTCTTCTAGACCAGGAAGGTGACAACCTTCACAGTGGGATGCATGGACTGGTGGTGGAGTTTCCAGCTTCAGAGCTCACCAAGAAAGAGCATGAAGCTGATGGTTTGGGTCCTGGAGACAGGGACAAAAGGAACAGAGCCTTCCCCCAGCACCCCTTTCCACTGGAGGTTCCTCAGAGGCAATAAAGCTTGATGGTTAGAACATGGCACCTGGCATCTGAACTCAAACCAGCCCGAACACTCACCTCTCTGAGCCTCAGAATCCTGGTCTGTAAAATGCGCACACTACTAGTACTTACTTCTCAAAGTTGGACTTGGTAATGTCTGTCAAGCACCTAACATATAACAGGGCAAGGAAGAAAAGCTCAAGCAATGGTAGCCATCACCAGGCGTGGTGGCTCACACCTGTAACCCCAGCACTTTGGGAGGCTGAAGCGGGTGGATCACCTGAGGTCAGGAGTTCGAGACCAGCCTGGCCAACATGGTGAAACCCCGTCTCTACTAAAAATACAAAAATTAGCCGGGCATGATGGCAGGCGCCTATAATCAGCTACTTGGGAGGCTGAGGTAGGAGAATCACTTGAACCCGGGAGGCAGAGGTTACAGTGAGCCAAGATTGCACCACTGCACTCCAGCCTGGGTGACAAGAGCAAAACTCCGTCTCAAAAAAAAAAAAAAAAAAAGGTAGCCAAGCCATCATCATCATCATCTCCCTATTATTATTAATCTCTGTTGCATTTCTATTAACTGTGTGTCTTGGGAGAATGGAAATTCCCCAAGTAGGCGTCCTGCTCAACAGTTAATGATGGTAAAACAGTCTCACTTGCCTAACCACTTCGCCTAAGTGTTACTTGACTGACAGGGTGGGTTATTTTGGGGAGAAAAAAAATCAGTCAAGCTCTCGAGTGCACCGTCCCTGAAAGGTTTCTATGACAACACATACCTGGATGTTCCAGTGGGAGGGTCACCTGGGGAAGAGTTCAGAGCTAAAATCAAGAGGGGGCCCCACCCAGGTGGGGGCCCCACCTGGAGGCTGGGGGAGGTCCTCCCACTCCTCCTATTTTTCTGCCTGTGTTTTCCCAGCCCTGACTCTGTATCCCTTTTAAACCTCTTCACAGCCCTGTGGGGTAAGTACTATTATTCTTACATCCATTTTACAGATGAAGCAACTGAGGCTTGGAGAAATTAAAGCTTGCCCAAGGTCAGTCTGCTGATCACATCTTGGATCATCTTAGACCTTTCTGGGTTTCATTTGTCAGACTAGAGGAGTTACACTAGAGTGAGGTTTCTCAGTCTCAGCACTGCCAACGTGTTGGGCTCAGTAATCCCATGTCATAGGAGACTGTCCTATGCATTGTAGAGCATTCAGCAGTCCCCTCGGCCTCTACCCACCGGATGCCAGGAGCACCTCCCTGTCTCCCACCCCCGACCACAGTCATGACAACCAAAACTGTCTCCAGCTGTGGCTAGATGGCCCCAGTTAATAACCACTGGGCTAGGCAATGATCTTTCCTCTTTCCTTACACTTGTGCATTCTAAGTTTTTTAATTTTTTTTTTTTTTTTAGATGGAGTCTCGCTCTGTTTCCCAGGCTGAAGTGCAATGGCGTGATGTCGGCTCACTGCATCCTCCGGCTCCTGGACTCAAGCGATTCTCCTGCCTCAGGCTCCCAAGTAAGTGGAACCACAGACATTTTCTATTTCTTTGCAAGCATTTTCTATTTCTTTGCAAGTTCACCTGTCTGTTCACCTGTGACACCATGCCCAGCTAATTTTTGTATTTTTAGTAGAGACAGGGTTTCACCATGTTGGCCAGGCTGGTCTCGAACTCCTGACCTCAGGTGATCCACCTGCCCCAGCCTCCCAAAGTGTTGGGATTACAGTGTGAGCCACCACGCCCAGCCTACATTTTATTTATGTATTTTTTTTTTGAGATGGGGTCTTGCTCTGCCACCCAGCCTGGAGTGCAGTGATGCTATCACGGCTCACTACAGCCTCAGCCTCTCAGGCTCAAGCAGTGCTCCCACCTTGGCCTCCTGAGTAGCTAGGACCTAGGCACATACCACCACACCAGGCTAATTTATTTATTTTTTGTATTTTTGTAAAGATGGGGTCTCCTTATGTTGCCTGGGCTGGTATCAAACTCCTGGGCTCAAGTGATCTTCCCACCTCAGCCTTCCAAAGTGCTGGGATGACAGGCATGAGCCACCACGTCTAGCCCACTCTAAAGCTCTTTCCCAGGACCCATCTCAAGTGATCCATGTGTGTTCATGTGACATTGAGGTCTTTCATGCAAAGATCCTTATCCAGGGCCCTAGAGCAGCCCGCACCTGAGCCAGGTGCTCAGGAAATCAGAATGAAAATCATCTCACCTGCTTGGTTGTCTGGCACGTCTCACTGTATCACCCTGCTTTAAAGGCACAGAAACTGAGGGTCCCTGGGGAGGAGGGACTCACTAGGGATCCCACAGTCTGTGAGCGAGAAAGCTGGGTGGGAGCCCTGATGGGCCTGACTCTAGGGCAGGAGTTTCCACGGTATCCTCTAAGGAGTTTGAGACCAGCCTGGGCAACATGGTGAAACCCCGTATCTACTAAAAATACAAAAAAAGTAATAATAATAAACAGGCATAGTGGTGCACATCTGTAGACCTAGCTGCTCAAGAGTCTGAAGTGGGAGAATCACTTGAGTTAAGGAGATCGAGGCTGCAGTGAGCCAAGACCGCACTGCAGCCTGGGTGATGAGAGTGAGACGCTCTCTCAAAACAAAATAAAACAAAAATAGCTGAGGCTGAGAGAGACAAATGCCTGAGAAGGAACGGTGGGTCTGACCTTGAACCCTGGTGACTCCAAGTCAGGAGCTGCCTCTGGGACCCAGCATACAGCCTGGCACCTTCCAGGCAAAGCCCCTCCCTCTGCTGCCTCTGAATTCAGCAGGAGACTGAGCGTTTGCATACACTTCGTGTCTGAAAACTTCCAGGATTCCCAAGATTCATTTCACAAAGACTTTTCTCGTAGGACAGGTATTTGAAACATCTGGTTAACAAGTACCCAGCTTGAAGAAAGCCTGGATCTTCACAGCACGCTCAGTTTGTAGAAGAGAAAAACCCTACTCTGGGCTCTAATTTGCTTCAGCTCCATTAAACACATCCTGAGCCCTGCTGTGTGCCAGACGCTGTGCTGAATACCTGGCACCAGAAGACCAATCGGGCCCAGGGCTTCTCCCCAAGGAGCTTCCTGGCCAGGCGGAGACACCCCTGGAATAGACCATTTAGGAGCCTGAGGCCTGCATGTAGCATTTAGTCAGCAGTTAAGTGTGGAAGTATAAGTGAGTAAATGGATGAATACCTGAGGGTGCGAATGAGCTACAGAATTAATGACTGAATGAATTAATGAAGTTGACAAATGCTATTACAGAAGTGAGCACAGACTATGATAGCCCAGCAGAGAGGCATTTAGAACCTTAGCTGTGGCCACAGGTGATGGTGCAGGAGGAAAAGCCAATATCTGTGCAGCATTTTCCATTTCTTTGCAAGTTCACCTGCCTCTATCATCTGAGACTCACCCTGAGGGTGTTCTTTGGTTGCCTGAGAGTCTGCTCAACCTGAAAGGGACAGGTGGCCAGAAGTGCTGGGGAGTTGACATCCTGAGCAAGCAGTTCTTGGCCAATGACGGGGAGTAGTTGGTGTATAAATACCCCAGCTTCCTTGCTCCACGGTGGGATAATCCTAAAGTGACTGTTCTGTGCCGGCTCCCAGTGTTCCCCAATGGAACGGAGCTGCAGTCACCCACAGTGATTATTTGCTAGATAACCCACACCTTATTATCGACCCACCAATATCTCCTGGAATCATCCTGAGATCACCTCCCAAATAAAGCACTCAAATCTTTGTCTCAGAATCTATTTCTAGGAGAACCCAAACTACAAGAGTGATGATTATGAAAACATTTATGGTCATAGCTAATATTTGCTGAGTGCTTACTACATGCCAGCCACTGCCTGCTACGTGCTCTAAGGCACTTCTCCCACTTAACACTCATGAAATCTCTGAGATGCAGACATTATGATCATCATCCCATTTTACAGATGGGACTGAGGCTCAGAAGTGAAGTCATCTATGTAAAGTCATGTAATTCTTTATCGTCACAGCCAGAATATGAGCCCAACTCTCTTTAACTCCAGAGTTTGAGGATATAACCATTCTGCCATGCTGTCTCCTGATTTTCTTTTCTTTCTTTCTTTCTTTCTTTTTTTTTTTTTTTCTTTGAGATGGAGTTTTGTTCTTGTTGCCCAGGCTGTAGTGCAATGGTACCATCTCGGCTCACTGCAACCTCCGCCTCTCGTATTCAAATGATTCTCCTGCCTCAGCCTCCCTAGTAGCTAGGATTACAGGCACCTGCCACCATGCCCAGCTAATTTTTTTGTTTTTTGTATTTTTAGTAGAGACAGGGTTTCACTATGTTAGCCAGGCTGGTCTCGAACTCCTGACCTCAGTTGATCTACCCACCTCAGCCCCCAAAAGTGCTGGGATTACAGGCCTGAGCCACCGCGCCCGGCTCTGTCTCCTGATTTTCATCTTCCATTGTCTGTAGGGAGGAGAGATGAGGACGAGAGGGAGAAAGGATGCCTGGGCTTGCTTTCTCAGTGGGGAAGAGTTCAATCTCAGTTCAGGTTTTCTTTTAACAAAATTTTTATGTTAATAAAATTAATAAAGTTGTTTTATTTATTTATTTTAAATTTTTATTTTCTTTATTATTTTGTTATTTTATTTTAAGTTCTGGGATACATGTGCAGAATGTGCAGGTTTGTTACATAGGTATACATGTGCCATAGTGGTTTGCTGCACCTATCAACTCGTCATCTAAGTCTTAAGCCCCGCGTGCATTAGGTATTTGTCCTAATGATCTCCCTCCCCTTGCCCCCCAATCCCCTGACAAGCCCCTGTGTGTGATGTTCCCCTCCCTGTGTCCATGTGTTCTCACAGCTCAACTCCCACTTATGAGTGAGAACACGTGGTGTTTGGCTTTGTGTTCCTGTGTTAGTTTGCTGGGAATGATGGCTTCTAGCTTCATCCATGTCCCTGAAAAGGACATGATCTCATTCTTTTTTATGGCTGCATAGTATTCCATGGTGTATATGTGCCACATTTTTGGGGTTTTCTCCTCCTCTGTAAAGTTTCAGCACAGAGTTCCTGGACAGCGCCTCAGGGCCAAGAGCTCCCCAAGAGCTCCCCAAGAGCTCTCCAAGATGTCCTTCCTCAGCATCCTGCTGTCCTTTTCATGCAGTGAAATTGATACGTATTCCTAGAACTCCTACTGCATGCCAAGCACTGTCAGAAGTCAAGTCATCAAAGAACTCAGAAAAGAAGTACATGTTTAGCTATTTTTTCCATCAGTCTCGATGAGGGAGCTACACTCCAACTGATCCCTGGAGATACCACAGCCATGTATTGTCAAGAAGAATTGGGGTAAATAGGCAGGGTATCTCTAGCCACAGGAGGAAGGGACCCAGGATGTACTAAGCTCCTTCTATATTCTTGGAACTACATACACATTAACTCAGGCAGGGTTTCTCAAGCTCGGCACCACTGACATGTTGAGCATGAGAATTGTCTGTTGTTCACTTTCTGCCTTTAGGAAGTCCTGCAGAGCATGGGGGTGGCAGTATGACCCAGCTCCCCTGTCATTTCACTACATCTTGAGCCAGAAGGGGGACTGCACTGCCGTGCATCCTTTGGGCTGGCAATGCTGGCGGTCCCAGTCATCACAATGGCAGCAGAACAAAGCCCTGACATGTGTGTGACGTGTCAGATGCAGCAGCTGCCTGTTGGGCCTGGCTCACTTTCTCATGCTTTCCCCATATTACCTGAGATGTTCAGAGGAGGAAAGCTGGAGGCAGCCCTTGGGTCTTCTAGGAGCCTAGCACGAGGGCCAAAATGCATGAGAACAAGCACAAGATAATCCCATAGAAGCCTTCCTCTTAGCATTCAGGCCTCAGATTAAATGTCACAGCCTTGTGGACAACTCCCTGAGCATCATGGCTGGTGTACCCACCCTGATCCCAGGAACATCATCTTATTTTGCATTTCCCTAAAGCACTTATTATCAGAAATTAGCTTCTTAGGCTGGGCACAGTAGATCATACCTGCATTCCCAGCACTTTGGGAGGCCAAGGTGGGAAGATCACTTGAGACCAGGATTTCGAGACCAGCCTGGCCAATATGGCAAAACCCCATTTCTACTTAACATACAAAAACTAGCTGGGTATGGTGGTACACGTCTGTAATCCCAGCTTCTCGGGAGGCTGAGACACAAGAATCGCTTGAACCGGGGAGGCAGAGGTTGCAGTGAGCCAAGATAGCGCCACTGCACTCCAGCCTGGGTGACAGAGCAAGACTCCGTCTCAAAAAGAAAGAAAAAAAAGAACGAATGAAAGAGAGAGAGAGAAAAAAAGAAAGAGAGAAAAAAATGAGAGAGAGAGAAAGAAAAGAAAGAAAGACAGAAAGAAAAAAAGAAAAGAGAAGAGAAAGGAAAAGAAAAAAAAAAAAAAAAGAAAAGAGCTTTCTTAGTTACACATTCATCTTCTTATACACTGTCTCCCAGCTGCAGAATGGAAGTTCCATGGGGTCAGGACCACAATCCCCAATGCCTGGCACGCAGTAGGTGCTAAATGTGTATTTGTTGACTGAACAAATTGATGGAAAAATTACTAAATGAATGAATGAGCTCTGGCCCACCTCTCACAATCAAGCAGATAGTTTGGTGAAACTAGTACAACTATGTACAGGGCTAATGCACAGTGCCCAGCAGGGACCAGGAGCAAACTTCCCTTACTTACCCAACCAATGACCTACTGTGGTACATACTTTTTTCCTTATTATGGTAAAATACACATTGCACAAAATTCACCAATTTTTACCATTTTAGAGTGTACAATTCAATGGCATTAAGTACAATCAAAATGCTTTTTTGTTGCTGTTGTTTTTGAGATGGAGTCTTGCTCTGTCACCCAGGCTAGGTGGAGTGCAATGGCACAACCTTGGCTCACTGCAACCTCTGCCTCCCAGGTTCAGGCAATCCTCCCACCTCTGCCTCTTAAGTAGCTGAGACCACAGCCACACACCACCACACCTGGTTAATTTTTGTATTTTTTCTAACAGTGGGGTTTTGCCAGGTTTCCCAGACTGGTCTCAAATTCCTGGGCTCAAGTGATCCGGCAGCCTTGGAGCTCCCAAAGTGCTAGGATTACAGGTGTGAGCCATTGCACCTGTTCCCCCTTCCCATGTTTTCTTCTAAGAATTTTATAGTGTTAGGTCTTATATTTATTTAGGTCTTTGATCCAATGTTGAGTTAGTTTTTTTATATGGTGTGAGGTAAGCGTCTATCTTCTTTCTTTTACATGTGAAAACGTGGTAGATACTTTATTCAATTTACAGATTAGAACATAGAGACTGAGAGGGAGTAAATGACATGTCCAGAGTCACATAGCCATTGGGAGTTGGAACTAGAATTCAATATTAGGTCTGACTCCCAAGTTGATCCCCTTTCCACCACATCAAAATGCCCTTTATTATTTTGTATAGATGATATCTCTTTATTATTTTGTGACCAGGGATGTGGAAATCACAGGCCTAGTCAATAAAATATGTGCTTTAATCTGGCTCTGGACAAGTTATTCCTCCTCTCTGGGCCTCAGTCTCCTCTTCTGTACAATGGGCTGCTGATCTCTAAGAGTCTCTCCTGTGGAGACAACTGGTACCCTTGGAGCCTCATTCACCCTTGCCTTTGTTTTCATTTCTCCTCTCCAGAGTGCAGTGGGGGCCCTCCCAGCTACAGCTGCGCTTCTGGAAGGAGCTTATTGATAGGCACAGAGTATGGGTGAGTCTTCATCCCAGGCCTCAGCCAAACTCTGGGAAACACTCTGCATTCCCTGGCAGACAGCTGCAACCCCAAGCAGCTCCATAGGAAAACTGCAGAATGGCAGAAAATGCAAGGGAAGCCAATATGGAAAGGGCTTTTTCCACATGCTGACAGTTTTCTTCACAAGTATCACAATGAAGCTATTTGAGAATCAGCTTGCAAAGCACCTGGCTCTAAATAGCCTTCTCTCCCTAGTCCTTAAGTAGAGACAAAGCAGCTCCTTTTATCCTCTAGAAGTGCCCTTTCCTAGGGCCTGACCCACAAATGGGTGCTCAAAACCTAGTTGAATGAATGAATGAACAGATGAATGAAGATGGCTACACACACTTCTTATTTCCCTTGATTGCCTTAGACCAGGACACGGCAGATTTTTCGCAAAGGGCTGGAAGGTAAATATTGTTGTCTTTTCAGGTCACAGAGTCTCTGTCACAGCTACTCAGCTCTGCTGTTGTAGCTCACAGACAGCCATAGACAATGCATAAATAAATAGGCCTGGCTGTGTTCCCATAAAATTTTATTTATGCACAGTAAAATTTGAATTTTATGTAGTTTCTATGTGTCACATAACATTATTCTTCTTGTGAATTTTTTTAACCATTTAATATGTAAAACCAATCTTAGCTCATGGTCATAGGAAAACATGATGAACTACATTTGGTCTATGAGCTATAGTTTGTCAACCTTTGGCTTAGACTCTTTTTTAAAAAAAAATTATTTATAAATAGAGATGGGGTTTCGCCATGTTGGCCAGGCTGGTCTCGAACCCCTGGCCTCAAGTGATCTGCCCGCCTCAGCCTCCCAGAATACTGGGATTACAGGTGTGAGCCACCACTCCGGGCCCTTTGGTTTAGACTTTTCCTTTCTGTTTTTCATTTTAAATATTTTCTTCTTAGTACCAGAGTAATATATATTCATTACAGAATAATTAGAAATTAGTGACATTGTAAAGTTTATCCTCTATTAAAAATAAACCCAAGGGGATAAAAAGAAATTACTGACATGGACATGCAAATAAAGTAATATTAGAATAATCTATAATTTCAATACACAAAAATAACCATTCTCCTACTGAACACAGTTTTTCACTCAGCATTGCTAGCTAGCTATATCGGTGCCTTTTAATATGATAGCCACTAGCTACCTGTTACTGTTACACCTTAAATTAAAATTAGATACAGGCTGGGCGTGGTGGTTCACACCTGTAATCCCAGCACTTTGGGAGGCTGAGGCAGGCAGATCACTGGAGGCCAGGAGTTTGAGACCAGCCTGGCCAACATGACGAAACCCTGTCTCTACTAAAAATTAAAAAATTAAACAACGAGCCAGGCGTGGTGGAGCACGCTTGTAATCCCAACTACTCAGGAGGCTTAGGCAGGAGAACCGCTTGAACCTGGGAGGCAGAGGTTGCAGCGAGCTGAGATCACACCACTGCACTCCAGCCTGGGTGACAGAGCGAGACTCCGTCTCTAAAAAAATAAATAAATAGATACAATTAAAATACAGTTATTCGGTTAACTAGTCATTGCTTTTTCCAAAATTTTAAATTTATTTTTCCCTTTTCCTTTTTTTATTATTTCTTTCTTTCTTTTTTTTTTTTAAACATCTTGGATACCAAAATTAGTCATTTCAGGTGTTCAATACCTCCATGTGGCTAGTGGCTACCACACGGGACGGCACAGATATAGAGCATCATAGAAAGTTATATTACACAGCATTGATCTAGCTCTACCTGGTAGATTTAACAAAAAGTAAGATGTTTAACAAAAAGTAAGACAGTACCAAATATACTGTTTTTGCAAATAACTTAACATTTTGAGATTTGTTTTGTTTTGTTTTTGAGACAGGGTCTCACTCTGTCACCCAGCTGGAGTACAGTGGTGTAATCTTGGCCCACAGCAGCCTCAACCTCCCAGGCTCAAGGCTGCCTCAGTCTCCTGAGTAGCTGGGACTACATGCATGCGCCACATCGCCCGGATAATTTTTGTATTTTTTGTAGAGACAGGGTTTCACTATGTTACCCAGGCTGGTCTTGAACTCCTTGGCTCAAGCGATCCTCTTGCCTTGGCTTCCCAAAGTGCTGGAATTACAGGCGTGTCACCACACCCAGCCCCATTCAATATTTCATACCTATGTTTATTGTTCAATTTCATGCAACAATTTCCCTCTGAGTCCCTGCTGTTGTGCATTCAAGTTGTTCCCAGTTTTTCCCTGTGATAAACAAAATGGTAGTAAGCTACTTTATCATTAAATCTTTGTACCTTTAAATGTTTTCAGATAAGTTCATAGGGATTGGATTGCTAGATCAAAGGGTCAACTTACTTTTAAGATTTTTAAAATAGAAATACCCAATTTCCCTCCAGAAAGGCTGTGATCTTTCTACTGCCATCATCAATACATGAAACTCCTTGAAGTCTTTGCAAAGAATAGTAATTATAATAATAAAAACAAGGTCATTTTGGTAGGTAAACTCTTTCCCTCTTTTGGTTTTAACTTGCCTTTCCTTTTCAAAGTGTCATCTCCCATGTTTATTGGCCGTTGTATTTCTTTGGGCAGGTCAAGGGTAGTAAAGGGGATTATGTTCATGGCTTTGGTTTTAAGAAAAAATTGCTAGATTTTCAGCACAGGCCTCATCAAGTTCCTCAAGCAAGGTGACAATCACCCAGGCTAGAGTGCAGTGGTGCCATCTCACCTCAGTGCAACCACTGCCTCTCCATTCAAGCGATTCTCATGTCTCAGCCTCCCAGGTAGCTGGGATTACAGGCAGGTGCCACCATGCCAGGCTAATTTTTGTATTTTTAATAGAAAGGGGGTTTCCCCATGATGGCCAGGCTGGTCTCGAGCTCTGGGCATCAAGTGATCTGCCTGCCTCGGCCTCCCAAAGTGCTGGAATTACAGGCGTAAGCCACTGTGCCAGGCCTCAATTATTCTTATTTACTGCTCTGTGTGTGTGTGTGTGTGTGTGTGTGTGTGTGTGTGTGTGTGTTGGGGGGGAGGGTCCCCAGAGGTGACACTAGGAGGTGAATGATTTGTTTGGCAGCTTTCTATTTATCTATGTGTTTACTTTATCTTAATTCTTTAATTGCAAGGACTATAGCGCTTGTGTAATCAGAGATAGGGCAGCCTGGATTCCTGGACAGCAGGAGGAGAGACCTCAGGGTTCTACAAGACTCCACAGACCAAGTTATCAGTGATCAGGGTGAGTGGGGAGAACCAAGCTGAACTCTTTCTCTGCCTTTAAGGTCTGTACTCTCCATCCATCCATTCATTCATTATGAGGACTTGGTGATCGCCTGTTGTCTTGATGAGCAGTTCTTTGTGTCTTTGATTTTGTCACTGAAAGATTGCATCCTCTTTCCAAATACCTCTAGAAAGCTGTGGGGGGGCTATCCATCCGTCACACCTGAGTATTAATTATCTTCCACACAGCATTTTATACAACGGTAGAAAGGCACCTTCATCATATCTAGGGTCTCGTTTATACCCACGAAGGAGGTACAATCTCTGTTGTCCCAATTTCAGGAAATTGAGGATCAGGAGGCGCAGTGACCTGCTCCAGGTCATGCAGAAGGAACCACCTCTGACTCCCAGCGCCCTGTTTGTCTTCCGGAGCGCTGGGGCCAGGCGGAGGAAAGTAGCTGGGAGCAAGAAGGGCTGGCAGGGCCCTGAGCGCCGAGATGGGGAGTGAGGTGGGGAGGGCGGGATGCTCCTTCCCTTCTCCGCAAAGGAACCCCTTCTGATTCCGACTCTGGAGCTCCAGAGACCGGATCCGAGACGCGGGTGGAGGTGGAGTTACACTCGCCTGCAGCCCTGAGGGTGTAAATGGCCCATTAAGATCCAGGTTAAATCAACCTATGGAGCTGCCCCCCAGAGGGTCAGGGTCCCCACAACTTGACGGGGGTCCTCAGCCGTCTCCTCCCCAGTCCCAGGACTCCCTCCCAGCCCTCGCGGTCCCTCTGGTGGGTCCCGCCCCAGCCCCCGTCTCCCCCGCCCCCGGAGGCTGGACTCTGCCCCCGCCCCGCCTGCCACCTCCCTCCTGGGGGCGGTGGCCCGTGGCGGGCGCACCCATTGGCTGTGGCGAAAGCGAGGGCCGGGGCTGGCGGCGCTGATTGGCCGGGACGCTCGGCGGAGCCAGGGAGTCCGGCGAGTCGCTGGGGGAAGTCGAGCAGACACCCAGCGCTGCCGGAACTCGGGGCGCGCATCCCGCAAGTCGGAACCCGGCGGATCGGATCCCGCAGATCGGAGACGGGGCCTGGAGGTGAGCGCGAGGCGCCGGGTGGCTTGGGACGGGCCCTTCCGAGGGGAGCCGAGAGGAGGTCCTTCTGCCCTGCCCCCAGGAGCAAAACCTGGGCATCTTCTCCTGGAAACGGAGCCCTCATCTTCCCAAGACGCGGGGCCCTCCCCCGAAAAGACAGGGGCTCCCACCCCCCAGAGAGCAAAATACCTTCCTTTCTCCTTCAGAAATGGGCCCTTCCTCCTGGCTCCAGCTCTAGACAGAAGTCCTCTCCCTTTTACCGCTTGAAATAGAATGCGGCCCCAAAAAGTGGTCTCCAGGTCTCTAGAGCCCCCTCACCTCTTGGGAGACTGATGCCCCTTCCCCATCCTTAGAAAACTAAGTTTGGGTGTCTTCCTTCTCCCCTCTCTTTCGGAATAATGGGGGTCTTCTCAGCTTATAAATTACAGTGACCTCCCCCTCCATGACAAATGGAAGCTCTCCCCCCATCATAAGACAAGGAAATCCCGGAGCAGAGACTCTGCAAGTCACCCTCCCACCCCAGATACTGGGCTCTGGAGAGATAGATGATTCACCCTTAGCCCTGCCGGAGACCCCTCCCTACCCGTCAGAGAGGCAGGGTGGCCTCTGACACCACCACATTAAAGGCTTTTGGGGATTTCCCCTCTCCTCCCCAGTAAAGATGTAAAATGAGGGACCTTCATACTCAGGAGCAGGGCAAAGGTCTGGCCACCCCTCCAAGTCATCCACCTCCCTCCACTCCACCCAAGCCCTTTCACACAAACCCCATCCTAGTAACCCCCTGCACCATCCTCCCACCGCTCCCAATCCCATCCTTCTCCACCTCACCCCAACTCCACTCCCACACCTGGCTGCCCCACCTATTTCACATCCTCTCACCTTTCCTCACCCACCCTGGCCAAGGTAAGACTAGAGGGGGTTCAGCGAGATTTAGTAAGACTGGAGCTCTTAAAACTGGGATCTGGGGCCTAGAGGCCCTTCCAGGAGTCTTCAAACTCTGACAACAGAGATGGCCTCTGAGGCAGCAGGACCAGCAGAGACCACCCGCCACCTCTCCCCCGCTCCCTGCCCCAACACACGCACAAAGGCTGTGTTCAATGCATTCTCTCTTGCAGTCTGGGAGGACAGCTGGCCCTCTTCCAAGAGGGCCCGCATTTCCCCCCTAAAGTGTGCACCCCCGCAAGCGCCTGTGGACATTGCCTGGTGGAATTCCCTGGGCACTCAGCCAAGAGAAATGGGTGCTGCTGGGCCCATCCACTGGGGAGGAGACAGTGTTGGCTTTGCTGCTTTGATGAAGCTAGACTAAGGGACAGGATGTTGGTGACCTGGGGGTGGGGAGGGGGTGGGAAGAGCTCTTCTCTGGTGGGTCAGGTTGGGAGGCAGGAGAGAGGGAGGCAGTGAGTTGTGTCTTGCTCTTTGGAGCCTGTGTTGCGGCGTGGAGTCATAGAGAAATGTGTTTTCTCGAGGCCCAAAGAGGTTAGCCACGGGGAGAGGTAAATGGTCCAGTCTGGAGTCCTAAGACCTAAAAGGGCTTCTGCATTAAAGACGTGGCCCCTTCATTTGACAGTTAAACACACAGAGGCACAAAAGGGGAAGAGACTTGCTCAAGGTCACCCAGCCTGTGGGAGACAGCTGGCCCCAACCCCTCCAGGACCCTTAAGGTGCTAGGATCCCTGACACAAGCCCCAGTCCTCACATTTACAATGGGGACTTGGGGACTGCTGGGTCCCAAGTCCCCACTTGTCAGAGGAAGCGCCAAGGCTCTGCAAAGGTCATGAAGCCAGGAAGGGGCAGAGCTGGAACTCAATGCCATCCCCCAGCAGGCTGCCTCGTGGAATCCATTCCTGGGTGTCAGCGCATCCCTGCTTACCCCGTGCGATCTTTGTGTTGAGGCCATTGCCAAATCTAGGCTTGCCAAAATCCAAACTGACCCAGGATAGCTAATAAGATCAGTTGCAGCTAATGAGAATGAGATGCTGGAGTGGAGGCTACTGCAGGAACCTCACTTGCATAGCTGGGTTTGCTCCAAGAACTTTGGACAGGTCCTGAGGATGTCATATTCCTTCCCTCCAAGGTCCCCTCCCTCTTAGCCCCTGCCCACGCCCTCTGGCTTTGAGTTCCCTGCACATTGTCTCATCTCTGTTCAGAGGCCTGCGTCTTTTCTCCTGGGGCATTGCATGGGAAAAGAGCTGAAATTCTGGCAGATTCTCTAGGACCACCCAGCTGGGCAGCATGGTCTGAAGTAGAGGCTCTCTCTGTTTCTGCCCCCACCCAGTTCCCAGCTAAAGGATTGGTTGTTGTGCCCCAACTTTGCCAAGGCGAAGTTCAAAGCATGAGGAGGACCACGGTAGAGAGGCCGAGAGGTTGGTCCCTGGAGACCTCTTATCTGGGTCGAGAGCACAAATCTGCCACTTAGTGTCTGATCTTAACCTCTCTGTGACATATCCTTGGGGTAAAATGAGTTAATCCTCATAAAATGTTTAGCACACAGCAAAATGAGCAGAAACAATGATTACAAGTGCAAAGTCATAAAACCTCTAATCATGAAGTGGGGAGGTGCTTATGCCTTAAGGCAAAACTTGTAACCCTTGCCGTAGATAATCTGCCAGGGCCAAGGTGCCTGGGGACAAGGGGATGTCTTCCTAGAGAGACAGTGTAGTATGTGGAATGGACCACAGACCCTGAAGCCAGATGGAGTAGAGAGTTGGCCACTGGTAGTGGCTGTCTATGGAAACTTAGGCAAGTCATTCATGTCTCTGAACCTCAGTTCCTCGTCTTTGAATGAGGTTTGTTGGGGTTGGACATCAGAAAAGAGACAGGTCTAGATGAGGGGTTCTCATTTTGGGCACTGTTGACAGTTGGGTCAGAGGATTCTTTGTTGTGGGACTCCCCTGTGTATTGTAGGATATTCAGCAGCGCCTCTGGTCTCTACCCACTAGATGCCAGTGACACTCCCTACCCCATGAGTCATGTCCATCAGAAATGTCTGCAGACATTGCCAGATGTGCCCTGGGGAGCAAAATCATCCTTTTCCTTCGCTATTGAGAACTGCTGGTCTAATACATGGCCTTAAACATAGTTGATACTTAATATAAAACAGCTTCCTAGCTGAGGCGGGTGGATGGCTTGAGCCCAGGAGTTTGAGACCAGCGTGGGCAACATGGCAAAACCCCATCTCTGTAAAATACAGGAAAAAAAAAATCAGCTGGTCATGGTGGCATGCGCCTGTAGTCCTAGCAACCTGGGAGGCTGAGGTGGGGGGATTGCTTGAGCCCGGGGAGGTCGAAGCTGCAGTGAGCCATGATCACACCACTGCATTCCAGCCTGGGTGACAGAGTGAGACACTGTCTCCAAAAAAAAACAAAATAAAAACCAAAAACAGCTTCTTTCTTGCACAAGCTCCTCGTTTTGGTTTCTGTGTAATGAGGAGAAGGAGATGTGTCTAGCTGTGGAGCCTTCCAATATTAATAACAATTTTTAATTTCTCACATTTACACAAGACTTTCTTGTCTGGTTTTTGTTTTTCTCTTTAGTAGAGACAGAGTCGGGTGGTCTCTAACTCCTAGGCTTAAGCGATCCTCCCGCCTTGGCTTCCCAAAGCACTGGGGTTACAAGTGTGAGTTACAACCAAAGCGCTGGGGTTACAAGTGTGAGTTACAGGAATAAGCCACAGCACCCAACCTACACAGGACCTTATCATCTCCAAAGCACTGTTGTGTCTATGACACTGTTTCTCACTCTACAGATAAGCAAACTAAGCCTCACAAAGGTTAAAAGACTTGTCTAAGACCATCACCCGCTTCTCCACCAGGCATCAGAGAAACATCCATGCCAGAAATTGTTTGAGAAACAACTGAGTTCTGGGCCTTCTTCAGATTAGTTATCAGGGTCTTTCGAAACTTCAATGGCATGCTCTTTGGTCCAGCAATCCCACTTTGAAAAATCTCACACAGAAATGCTCACACTTGCACTGACATAACATAAAAATGTCCATGGCAGAGCTTGCAACACTGGTATGGGAAGGGATTACAGTATATGCATTCATGTGGGAGAATGAGTAGATTTTAGATGAATGAGGTGGATCCACATTCCTGACCTTGAAAGGTTCCTGAGTCATATTATTTAGTGAAAAAGATAAAGTCACAGAATCAACATAGCCAGTATGATCCTATTTTTTTTTAAATGTAAATATGCATGAACATGGATAGTTAGGGAAGTGGGGAATTAAAAGGACCTAGATAGTATGTATGTATGAGAACATATTCCTGGGGGAAGAAGAAGAAAATAAATCTCCGCCAGCTTCCCATGCATTAAAAATGAGCAAAGTGGGCTGGCCACCTTGTCTCACGTCTGCGATCCCAGCACTTTGGGAGGCTGAGGCGGCAGAATCACTTGAGCCCAGGAGTTTGAGGCTGCAGTGAGTTGTGAGTGAGCCACTGCACTCCAACCTGGGCAACAAAGGGACACTGTAAATAATTAATCATAAGATAAAAATTAAAATGAATAGAGCACAACCCACAGAGGTTGAGAGACTTGCTAACACCAGAAGTTGCCAGTGGTGAAATTCAGCTTTGAGTTTGCTGATAGTTACGGGGCCAAGAGACAGGAATCTGAGGCTCATCTCAGCAGGCCAAGCCTCCTTCCTTACTGTGGGGAAATTCCTTCTCTGAGCACCTAGAGGGATCCTGGTGTCAGACTGACCTCACCTGAATCAGGCTTCCACCCACGTGATGACCTCAGGCCAGCCACTTTAACTCTCAGTGCCTCATTTCTCTAACTTTAAAATAGCTAAAAGGCAAAGGAAAAAACATGAAAGCCAAAAAAAAAAAAAAAGGTAGAAGGAGGAGGCAATAGTAGAACCTCTCTCATTGGGCCGCTGTGAGGATTACATAAAACCATGTGTTCCGACCCCCAGTACTTAGTAGGTGCTTAATTAACACGAGCCCTGGTCTCTCCTGCCTTTTTCTCTGCTTGCCTGCTCCTTGCCAGGATGCAGAAGACAAAAGCCTCAGAAAGGACAGTGGGGGCTCCTGAGGCCCCAAGAATGCTTAGCAGGCTGAATCAGTTGTCCTCACTTCTTCACTTTGCCCTCTGATCCACCATGACCACTCTGCTGCAGGAGCTTTTAACAGAAAGCCTGGGAGAGCATTCTGAGGGGGTCTGTGCTATAGCTCTTCCTCCCTGGGGTCTAACCATCCTTGCTTTCTCTAGACACTCCACACATTAAACTGTCTTGCCCGTTGCAGGGATGGGATGGCATCATGTGGCCTCTAATTACACATCCCTTCAATAATAAGATTGACTCTCCAAGGGCAAGTTTTCCTCCTCCTTCAAAAGCTATCTCACATTGCGTCTTTTACAGGTAGTCTTCCCCGACCCTCCCCCACCTCCAGCCAGGAAAACCATTTCTCCTCCTCCCAACTCCTGTCATCCACATCCTAGACTTCCTGGGTCTGCCACATCCTATTCTTCCTGGGTCCATCACATCCTAGATTTCTTGGGTCCATCACTGTTTGCTGGATTTCTTCCCAATCCATAATTGCCTGGAAGCAGCCATCACATCCATCACATTTATTCTTGTGTCTTAAATGCATAGCACACTTCCCTATGCACACAGTAGATATTCAAGGAGCATTGACTGAATGCAGAAAAGTATTTTTTAAATTGGGGTAAAATACACATAACATGAAATTGACCATTTTCATCATTTTATTTTTATGTATTTTTTTGGGGGGCAGGGGGAATCTTGCTCTGTCACCCAGGCTGGAGTGCAGTGGTGTGATCTCGGCTTACTGCAACCTCTGCCTCCTGGGTTCAGGCAATTCTGACTCAGCCTCCCAAGTAGCTGGGATTACATGTGTGGGCCACAACCACGCCCGGCTAATTTTTTTGTATTTTTAGTAGAGACGGGGTTTCACCATGTTGGCCAGGCTGGTCTTGAACTACTGACCTCAAGTGATCCGCCTGCCTCGGCTTCCCAAAGTGCTGGGATTACTGGCATGAGCCACTGCGCCCGACCTCCATTTTTTGATTATTATCATTGGGGTCACTGTGGCAGGTGTGAAGCAATACCACATTGTGGTTTTGATTTGCATTTCCCTAATGACTGATGGCATTGAGCATCTTATGTGTTTGTTGCTTATTTGTATATTATCTTCAGAGAAATGTCTACTCAAGTTCTTTGCCCATTTTTGAATTGAGTTGTCTTTTTGTCTTTTTGTTCTTGAGCTGTAAGAGTTCTTCTTTTCTCTTTTTCTTTTTCTTTTTATTTATCTATTTTTTTTTTTGAGACAGAGTCTCACCCTGTCTGTCACCCAAGCTGGAGTGCAGTGGCATGATCATAGCTTACTGCAGCCTTGACTTCCCAAGCTCAAACAATCCTTCTGCCTCAGTCTTCCAAGTAACTGGCACAACAGGTGCCACCACACCTGGCTAATTTTTTAAAAAGCATTTTTTTGTTGTTGTTGAGATGGAGTCTCCCTATGTAGCCCAGGCTGGTTTTGAACTCCTAGGATCAAGCGATTCTCCCACCTCGGCCTCCCAAAGTGCTGGGATTACAAGTGTGAACTGCCTCGCCTGGCCCAGAGTTCTTTATATAAATAAATGTTTCTTTGTGTCACTATTTCTTCATCCACTTAAATATTTGCTCAGCTCCTGTAGGTCACACACTATCTTGTGATCCTGGGAATACCACCAGTTCCTGCCTATCAGGAACTCACAGTCTACTGCAAAGTTTCTCAGCCTCTACACTTTTTTTTTTTTTTTTGAGAGGGAGTCTTGCTCTGTTGCCCAGGCTGGAGTGCAGTGGCATGATCATGTTTACCTGGAACCTATGAATAGGACCTAATTTGGAAATAGAGACTTTGCAGAAATAGTTAGGTTGAAATGAGGTCTTTCTGCATTAGAGTGGCCCCTAATCCAATGACTGCTATCTTTTTTTTTTTTTTTTTTGAGATGGAGTCTTGCTCTGTTGCCCAGGCTGGGGTGCAGTGGTGCAATCTCAGCTCACTGCAACTTCTGCCTCCCGGGTTCAAGCGATTCTCCTGCCTCAGCATCCTGAGTAGCTGGGATTACAGGCACCCGCCACCACACTCAGCTAATTTTTGTATTTTTAGTGGAGACAGGGTTTCACCATGTTGGCCAGGCTGGTCTTGAACTTGTGACCTCAGGTGATCCACCCGCCTCGGCCTCCCAAAGTGCTGGGATTACAGGCTGAGCCACCTCTCCTGGCCCACCTCTATACTACTGACGTGGAAGCGAGGCTGTCCTGTGCCGGATGTTTAGCAGCATTCTTGGCCTCCACCCACCAGACGCTGGCAACATACCTTCCTCCACGTTGTGACAGCCAGAAATGTCTCCAGGCATTATGAAGTGTCCCCTGGGGAACAAGATTGCCCCTGGTTGAGAATCACCGGTTAGAGGCTAAGACAGCCGTGTATATCTATAATTTCAATCAGATTGCTTGTGCCTAACAGGATACACACACACACACACACACACACACACACACACACACACAGAGGAGGCATTCAGGATGTATTTGTTGGATGTTGGATGGCTGGGGGTGTAGATGGATGCATGGATGGACAGACACAACCCCTTTGTTGGTTGGCTAGATTGATGGATACATGTGTGAATGAATGGATGAATAAATGAATCCAATTTACAAATTCCACTGTGGGAAAACAGAACGCTATTCTTCCAACCAGAGTAGCCTGCCCCTTTATCTCTGTCTAGCACAGTGTTTTTCAAACTTTAGCATCAGAATCCCCTCAAGAGCTTGTTAAAACACAGATTGATGCCCCTGCCCACCAGAATTATGATTTAGTAGAATCACCGGCGGCCAGAATGCTCCCAACTCTATTTCCATGTTCTCTAGGAATCCTGGACCAGCCCCCGACCCCTGCCAACCTTGTCCTTGTCCAGAGGTCCCGTAATCTTCACTGCCAGCATCTCCCATTTAGGTGCTAACATCTATTATCTTGGATATCAGCAACTTGCCAGCACTCTGTCCCTGGGCTGCACTGAGAATTCCTTCAAAGGTGGGACCCACTGTATTCTAGTACCTTACTACTGAAAGTGTGGTCCAGCGGCCAGCAGCATTGCATCTTCTAGGAGCTAGCTAGAAATGCAGAATCTTGGGCCCCACCCAGAACTACAGAATGTGAATCTGCGTTTTAACAATATCCCCTGGGGTGATTTGTGTGCACTTTTAAGTTTGAGAAGCGTATTTTAGACAGATCTGTAAACCCCACACTCAGAGCTAAGCTAGGGATAGCTTTGCTGATAAGTTACATTGACAGCATCTGTTACCATGTAATTGGTGCCTGAGCTGAAGCATCTTTCAGGCATTACTGGCCATTTGTACCTTTGCCTGACGTTATCTCTTGAAATGTCTACACTGGCCTCGCTTTACCCGTGGGAAACCAGAAGCCCAGAGGAGCAGTGCCTTGCCCAAGGTCACACGATGACCATGAAAGCAGAGTGGAGATCACTCTCCACTCCTTAAAGGGAATGGGATCAAGAGGATTGAAATGCTGTATCCACTGAGCAGGGCGGCACATGCCTGTAGTCCCAGCTACTCGGGAGGCTGAGGCAAGAGGATTGCTTGAACCCAGGAGTTCTGGGCCGTACTGTACTATACCAGTCAGGTGTCTGCATTAGTTCGGCATCAATATGGTGACCTCCTGGGAGTGGAGGACCACCAGCTTGCCTAAGAAGGGGTGAACCAGCCCAGGTCAGAAACAGAGCAGGTCAAAACTCCTGTGCTGATCGGTAGTGGAATTATGCCTGTAAATAGCTACTGCACTCCAGCCTGGGCAACATAGTGGAACCCTGTTTCTAAAAAAAAAAAAGAGAGAGAGAGAGAGAGAAAAGAACTGAAATGCTGCTATGATACTGAAAATATGGGGTGTAGGGGGAGCATTCTGAAGCTACTTAGGTCTGTCCTCTGAAACTGGAGAAAGGGGAGATGACTTGAAAGTGATGCAAGAACAAGAACTTAAGTTGTATTCTTTTGTTCATCCAACCAGTGTTTATTGAGTACTTACTAGACTCCAGGCATGGTTGTCTGGTATCTATAGTATTGAACAAGAAAAGCCAGGCCTCCCTTTTGATGGCTTATCTGGAGTGGACAGACGTAGCCATCTGGCATTCATTCGTCAATGAGTGTGTTCATTTATTGCATGATTTCCATGTGCTGTGTACAGTAGTAGGGGTGTGTGCGTGTCTATGTGTCTGTGTGTGTGAGAGAGACAGAGAGAGAGAGAGAGATGGAGGGAGAGACAAAGACTCAGCTACTACACCAGCGCCTCTTCTAGACTAGCCATGCGGAAACAGGCCCCAAAACAAGGACCACACAGTGAGGAGAGTGCCGAAGGTGTGTGGGAGTGAATACAGGTTCAAGCTCAAAGTAAAAAGAGGTTACCACTCCCTGTTCCTGGGGATTCTAGGGAAGAAATTTCAGGAGGAAAAGGCAGAAAAGAAGAGAAAGAGACTCTGTGCAGGGAGAGCATCATGAACAGGCCCAGAGAGTTCATAGGAAGCCGTTCCAAGAAAATCGCAGGGGAAAAAGGAAGGATAGACAGCGTATGGTGGCTCGCACCTGCAATCCCAGCGCTTTGAGAGGCCGAGGTGGGTGGATCACTTGAACCCAGGAGTTCAAGACCAGCCTGGCCAACATGGCCAAACCCCGCCTCTACAAAAAATACTAAAATTAGCCGGGCATGGTGATGCATGCTTGTAGTCCCAACTACTCAGGAAGCTGAGGCAGGAAGATTACTTGAGCCCAGGAGTTTGAGACCAGCCTGGGCAACATAGCAAGACCCCTCAAGACCCCTTCTCTACAAAAAATTTTAAAAATTAGCCAGGTGTGGTAATGTGCACCTGTAGTCCCAGCTACTCAGGAGGCTGAGGCAGGAGGGTCGCTTGAGTCAAGGAGGCCGAGCCAGGCTGCACTGAGCCATAATCATGCCACTGCACTCCAGCGTGGACAACAGAGTGAGATCCTGTCTCAAAAAAAAAAAAAAAAAGGTGGAGGGTAAAATCATGAATCTCATACAGATACAAAAACACTCAATGATTTTATTAGGCTCATTCAATGAGGGAACCAGGCAGACATTAGAACCAGTTCAAAGGAAAAGTCAAATAAAGCACAAATATGTAAAGAGTAAAGGGAGGTCTAAATAGATTCAAAACAGAGGCAAACATGGTTGGACAAGGCAGAATTTGCTTGTCTATCAGTTTTCTACAACTTACAAAGGAGTCAGCAAAGTAGTTTGAAAATAATGAACAAGGCCAGGCATGGTGGTTCATGCCTGCAATCCTAGCACTTTGGGAGGCCGAGGTGGACAGATTGCTTGAGCTCAGGAGTTCGAGACCACCTTGGGCAACATGGTGAAACCCTGTCTCTACCAAAAATACAAAAAATTGGTCAAGCATGGTGGTGCGTGCCTATAGTGCCAACTACTCGGGAGGCTGAGGCACAAGAATCACTTGAGCCTGGGAAGGGGAGGTTGCAGTGAGCCAGGATCACGCCATTGCACTCCAGCTTGAGCAATGGAGACCCTGTCTCAAAATAACAATAATAATGAACAAGTGAACAAGGCTAGAATCAGATAATCCAAAAATTTGTGTTGTAAGTAGGTAGTGCATAACTCTTTTTCTATAAAAACAATGTTACGCCGGGTGTGGTGGCTCTCGCCTGTAATCCAGCACTTTGGGAGGCCGAGGCAGGCAGATTGCCTGAGCTCAGGAGTTCGCGACCAACTTGGGCAACACAGCGAAACCCTGTCTCTGCTAAAAATACAAAAAAAAAAATTAGCCTGGCGTGGCAGCCTGCGCCTGTAGTCCCAACTACTTGGGAGGCTGAGGCAGGAGAATCGCTTGAACCCGGGAGGCGGAGGTTGCAGTGAGCCAAGATTACGCCACTGCACTCCAGCCTGGGCAACAGAGCAAAACCCTGTCTCAAAACAAAAACAAAAAAACAAACAACAGCAACATCGAAAAAACAAAAAAACAAAAAACCAATGTTCAAGTGATGGAGAGGCATGGGTGGATGAGGAGTGGCAAGAGGAGGCTGTAGGAAGAGTAGATCATGTCCCGCCAGGTGACCCATGATCTTGAATTTGGACTTGACTCAGAGACCCATAGGGAACCATGGAAGAGATTAAAGCAAGGCAGTGATGTGATTTTGTTATCACTTGAGAAAGATCCTCCTGGAAGCTGAATGGAGAGTAGACAGACACCTTCTCCCACTAGCCTTTGAGCTCAGATTTCCTTAGGGAAACAGCCAATCCCAGGGGCAGATTGCTGACCTTCCTGCAAAAGGTTTTAGAACGTGGAAGCTCCTTCAGGGCAAGGTTGGCTGAACACCAGCCAAAAGAGCAAGGCACCACCCCGGCAGGACAGGGCTGTTTTGTGCACGGGAACAAAGCCTGCCTCCTCTCTCTGCCCAGAGCTGTAAATAGCACTCTGCTGGCTTCGCAGGCTGAGCGCCGGTCTGGGGACAGGCTGAAAATGCACACACCAAGGAGCATTTGTGCAAATGAATGCCTGCATGCAAATTTGCATGCCTGGCATCCTGCCCCAGCCCTAAGTGTCCAGTCCTGCAAGGGGCTGGAAGCAGGGCTCAAAAAAGAGCCACACACAGAAGAGTGTGGACATTCTGACCTGGGGACAGGTTCCAGGAGGGATTCAGAGGCAGGCTGGCAGGGTGAGTGGGAGAAAACATGCAGAGAACCCTGGACAGAGTTTTGGCTCCAGCTTTACCCATGATAATGACAATGACCCATGAGTAGTAGCCACTCACATTGGCTGTGTATTTGTGTGTAGTTGCTCACCTTGTCGCTCACAACAGCCCTATGAGGAAAGGCTGATCAGATTTCAGAGACAGGAAATGGAAACTCAGAAAGGATGACTGACTCGCCCAGGGTCTCCTACTGAAGGGAGCATTTCTAGTGAGAAACCGAGGCTTGAAGACTCTGGAGCCCTGGTGTCTAGGACTGACCCACATGGACGCCTCTGCATATGCCCACTGCTGGCTCTGACCTCAGTTTACTCCTCCATCAAAGGGTGCAATAATGTCTTTGCACCTAATGATCACAGCAGAGTTTGGGAAATGAACTACCCCTGCAAATGAGAAAGACTTGAAAAGTCATCAATGCTGAATATGAACTGATGGTATGTGGAGAAAGTCTGAAAGTGCTTTCCTTAGCCCCAGAGACAGGGTGTGGAGTGCAAGGCCAACCTTGTTTGTACTCAGGGGCTTTGGAAGTGCAGAGTGGCCTTGGATGGGTGGAGGTGAAGGCATGCTGAAGCTTGCTGAACCACTCCCGGATCATAGGTGAGCCAGGTTGGGTCTAGTCTGTTTTTTTTCCCTTGAGAGGAAGAGATGGTGGGTGCATTGTGGAGAGAGAGGGAAACAGTGACCCTGAGGTGGGGACGCACATCTGGACGGAAAGTGTTTGCCGAGAGCACTTGGCCGCCTGCCCTCCCACGGAGCAGGTGCTAGTCTTGGGTCCCGCTCTTCCGGGTTCTTCAGAAGCTGAGCTCCGGTCTGTAATCCCAGCACTTTGGGAGGCTGAGGCGGGCGAATCACGAGGTCAGGAGATGGAGACCATCCTGGTCAACACGGTGAAACCCCGTCTCTACTACAAATACAAAAAAAATTAGCTGGGTGTTGTGGCGCATGCCTGTAATCCCAGCCACACGGGAGGCTGAGGCAGGAGAATAGCTTGAACCAGGGAGTCGGAGGTTGCAATGAGCCGAGATCGCGCCACCGCACTCCAGCCTGGCGACAGAGTGAGACTCCATCTCAAAAAACAAAAAACAAAACAAAAACAGAAGCTGAGCAGCTTGCTGTTTGTTTGGACTGAGCAGTCCTTCCAGCAGCAGCCACCTGTCAACAAATCAGATCATTTGCGGGTCATCCATCAGGTCCCACGCGGTGCATCCCCTGAAAGGCCTGTGGTGGGGCTTGGGCTGAGGCCTGTGTCTTAGACCTGTGAGATCAGGGGAAAGTCCTGAGTCTGGAAAGCAGCTGTGCTGCTGGCTCCCTGAGTGCCCGGGAGCCAGTGATTTCTGTCCAGGCCTCAGTTTCCTCACCTGTAAAATGGCAACAACAAAACTACCTTTTGAAACATTATATGAATGGTTGTTAAATTGGAAAACTGGATGATAAGAGTTGAATGCTCTTTTTTTTTTTTAAGAGACAGGGGTCTCACTCTGTTGCTCAAGCTGGAGTGCACTGGCACCATCGTAGCTTACTGCAGCCTCGGCCTCTAGGCTCAAGGGATCCTCCTGCCTCAGCCTCCCCAGTAGCTGGAACTATAGGCCCGTTCCCTGCCCCGCTATTTTACTTATTTTTTATTTTTTTTGTAGAGGCAAGGTCTTGCTATGTTGCCAAGGCTGGTCTCAAACTCCTGGCCTCAAGCAATCCTCCCAAAGTGCTGGGATTATAGGCATGAGCCACCGCACCCGGCCAAAAGTTGAATGCTTCCTACCTACAAGACACTGGGTAACACTGGGTACTACTTGGACTATCTCATTTTTAACCTCTTAGTAAGGTGGGAAAGGTCTTCTTCTTTTAAGCTTCTTCACCAAGGTCACAGAGGTAGCAAGAAGTTGAAACAGGACTTGAACTAGGATCTGCCTGGCTCCAAAACCTAAGTCTCCAAACATGGGGTTATTGGAGGACCTCCCAGGGCCAGGGACTTAGAAGCCCTCCTCCTTCCCTTCCTGTACCTTTATTCCTCAAGTCTGTATAGACTTACTCTGTTTTTTTAACAATTTACTTTTTGAATAGGCAATCATGGCACGTGGTAAAACACTCAAACACTGCAACTCAATCTACAGAAAAAAAAGTAAATTTTTCTCCCTCATCCCCATCCTGTGGACCCCTTTGCCTCATTAGAGGCAAATAGTCACCAAGGCCAGGGTCTTACTATGTTGCCCAGGCTAGTCTCAAACTCTTGGCCTCAAGTGATCCTCCCATCTCAGCCTCCTGAAGTGCCGGGATTACAGGCATGAGCCACCAAGCCTGGTCTTCCTTTATGGTTAATGCTTTTTGTGTCCTACTTAAGAAGTCCAGCTGGGCATGGTATCTCACACCTGTAATCCCAACACTTTGGGAGGCCAAGGCAGGTGGATCACGAGGTCAGGAGTTCGAGACCAGCCTGGCCACCATAGTGAAATTCCATCTGTACTAAAAATACACAAAAAAATTAGCCGGGCGTGGTGGCAGGTGCCTTTAGTCCCAGCTACTTGGGAGGCTGAGGCAGGAGAATCACTTGAACCCAGAAGGCAGAGGTTGCAGTGAGCCGAGATTGCACCACTGCACTCCAGCCTGGGTGATAGAGTGAGACCCTGTCTCAAAAAAAAAAAAAAAAAAGTTCAACGTCATTTGTGTTGTTTCTTCTATTATCTTCTGGAAGCTTTCATGTTTTGCCTTTCATATTTATCTCCAGCATCCACCTAGGGTTGATTTTTATGTATTGTATTAGGTAGAATCATGATTAATTTTTTCCTACATAGATAGTTCATTTGGCCCAGTATCACTGCCTCCATTGTCAAAAATCAAGTGTCCATATATGCATGTATGTGTTTCTATTCTCTGTTCGGTTCTATTAATCCGTGTGTTTAATCTTTGCCCCCATACCACATCTTGACTGCTGTAGCCTTAGAATATGATAGGCATTGCCTCGTTGCCCTCTAAAGAGACTGCACCAATCAAGACTTACTAACAATTTGACAAAAATGTATTGGGCTTCCAGTACAGTGCCAGATGGTATCATGATGGGAATTCAAGTCTAATCATATGCACAACTTCTACCTTAAAGTGTATAGTCTTATAAGTGACAAGACATGAACCAAATAATTCCACAAATAGAGGTAACATATGAATGTGATGGGGCCACAAAGGGGAGCTGTGTAGGATTCTGTGCTAAAAGGAAGATTTGATCTGGTGGGAGAGGTTCAGGGAAGTCTTCTCTGAGAAAGTGAGTCATGAACTGATATCAGAAGTGTGAGTAGAAATGAAGGAATCAGAAGCAAGGGAAAAGCATTTTGGGTGGTGGGAACAGCATCTGCAAAGACTGAGTAGAAGCCTTCCCAGGACAAACAGTAGATCCTCGTGGCCAAACCCAGAGTCAGGAAGGTGCTATGCACAGAAATTGGAATGGTGATAGGGACCAGACCTCAAGGCCTTTAAACTACATTCAACAGCTGGTTTTTATACCTAGAACAACTATCCTAAGAACAATAACAAGAGTCACCTTGAATATTCCAGATTTAGGGTAGTTCCAAGAGCCTTTTCAGCACAACTAGGGTTGCTTCTTGGCAGGAGAAGAATGTGTATGGCAACCCCTGGAGTGACACATCAGTTTTATTAAGCTTCATCTCCCAGCTCCTGGCACTGAACATTTCATTTTTGCTAGCAGTGGAAGCAACAGTTTTACTGTGCAGTCAGCCCAGGTTCTGGCAGCAGCAGCATCTGCCTGGCACCATCTCAGGTCTGGAACTCTTTTCTCCCCAGCCTGGCGAGTGTCTTGCTTGCTGGAGTGTCCCTTAAGGTGGACCTGGTGCCAGCCGCAGTGCTGTGAACTTGAACTGTTTCTCCTCATTCACCATCATCTCTACTCCTCACCCGTGGAGGCATGATTCCTACTCTATGGATAAGAACACAGAAGCTTAGAGAGCTTAAGTCACTTGCCTAAGACCACACACCTTCCAAAGGGCAAATATAAAAGTCTCCAACAATATATTTTTCTACATTTTTTGTGGTACTTTTTTCCTTTTCAAAATATAGAGTGAGTCATACTCATCAGGAATTTTACGTACAGAATGACAACATTTCTGGGGAGTAGGACAGGATTCTGAGATGTTTCCAATCTGTGCCTTGAGCGGATCCGATGATTTATCCAGATCTAAGACCCTCATCTCATTCTCGGCAGTGCCTTTTAAATTTGGCAGCCAACATGGGGTTTTGGTTCTTTCTGCACCAAGTGGAGTAATTAAGAAGGTTTTCATCAAGGTAAATATCTGCTGGGTTTCTATAGAATTGTGGGGAGGAAGTTGAATATACACCAGCACCCAAAATCTCATTAAATGGGTCTGCCCCTTGTTCCAGGACAGGAGAGCCAAACATAGCGGACAGGATTGATGTTGTTTTCATGAATGTAGGTGGCCGCTGTGTTCTTTGTGGGTTTTCAAGGTGGGAATTTGTTTGCAAATGAATGTATGAAGAAGCCAGGAGTTAACACTGCTTCAGGGAGGTTTTAGAGCCTGGGGGAAATAATGTTGTTTTAGAATTTTTAGAATAAGTATTGGCAGTGTGTTGGGGGAAAAAAAAAAACCCTGAAAAATAGAATACAGATTTCAGTTAAGCTCTCCCTTCGTCAAACCACACTTGCCCATATTGGCACATAGCTTGATGCTACAGCCACACCTCCTCTGTTTATTATCTACTTAGTGCTTGGTAATATACTGTGTACTATGAGTACCCTCTCTGGGAACCCCACAATAACCCTTTGATGTGGTTTCAAACCCATTTTACAGATGAGGGGCTATTACAGAACTTGCACCAGGTCCTCAGAAACCAAGTGAGGGAGTTGGGATTTGAACCCCTTCACCTGAACACTTGCACCTGCCTGCAGTTAATACATCACATTGGAGCAGATAACCTGCCACATTTCCTGGAGAGCAGGGTTCTCTGCTGCAACTGTGCTCCCCAGGGAACTTTTTTTTTTTTCCAAGACAGACTCTCACTCTGTTGCCTAGGTTGGAGTGCAGTGGCACAATTTTGGCTCAATGCAATCTCTGCCTCCTGGGTTCAAGCAATTCTCCTGCCTCAGCTTCCTGAGTAGCTGGAATTACAGTCGTGCACCACCACACTCGGCAACATTTTTGTATTTTTAATAGAGAGGGGGTTTCGCCATGTTGGCCAGGCGGGTCTCAAACTCCTGATCTCAGGCGATCCTCTGCCCTCAGCCTCACAAAGTGCTGGGATTACAGGTGTGAGCCACCGCGCCCAGTGCCAAGGGACTTTTGGCAAGGTCTGGAGATGCTTTTGGTTGTTACAACTGGTGGGGGAATGAAGAATGCTACTGGCATCTGGTGGGCAGAGGCCAGGGATTCTGCTAACCATTCTAACTCCTCCCTCCGCAACAAAGAATTACCTGGCCCCAAAAGTCAATAGTGCTGAGGTTGCAAAACCCTGAATAAAAGAGCACAACTTCTATACCCCTTCCAGTGTTTTCACAGGAAGTTTCTGTTACGAACCACACCTGTTTTCAGTACCTTGTCCCTGGTGACTGGTTCTTATCGGGCTTCTGAACTTTCCTTCCAGTAGAGTGGCAGGACCTGGGTTCCATGTTAGAGTCAGTAAAACGTGGGCCAGTCGCCGTGGGCTCATGTCTGTAATCCCAGAACTTTGGGACGCCAAGGTGGGAGGATCACTTAAGGCCAGGAGTTAGAGACCAGTCTGGGCAACAAAGTAAGACTTTGTCCCTACAGAAAATAAAAAAATTAGCCAGGCACTGTGGTTCATGCTTGTGGTCCCAGCTACCCGGGAGGCTGAGTTGGGAGGATAAGCCCAGGAAATCAAGGCTGCAGTGAGCTGTGATCACACCACTGCCCTCCAGCTTGGGCGACAAAGCAAGACCCTATCTCAAAAAAATACATTATAATTAATAAATAAGTAAATAAATAAATAGAGTCCATAAAATGCTTTCGGCAACATGGCTAAGAAGGAGGCAGTTGAGCAGGTGAGGTTTGCCTCTTGGAAGCTGCATTCCAGGACATTTCCAGTACTGCAGACTCATACCTTTTTTGCTAGGGGGATTGAGAGGAAAATCCCCCCAAAAGGGCCTGAAGCTCTTAGCACTTGCCATGTCATATTTTCTTCCTCCTGATGGGAATGGAGCATGCTCACAAATTCACACCTTTGCTGCTGAACATGGTATGCCAAAGGTCACTGCACTCCGCTGGGCTAGCTATCTGCATTTCTATCTTGAAGGAGCAAGCAAACATGCAAATCTCTTGCCTTGCCCTTTGTGCGGGGGTTCGGCTACCTGGCTGACTGAAAGAACACTTCCCCTACTACATTTAAGGAGAACTTTGCTTGGCTCAGACCTTTGAAGGATCCAAAGGTACCTTTTTCTTTTTTGAGATGGAGCCTCACTCTGTTGCCCAGGCTGGAGTGCAGTGGTGCAATCTCAGCTCACTGCAATCTCCACCTCCCAGGTTCAAATGATTCTCCTGCCTCAGCCTCCTGAGTAGCTGGGATTACAGGTGCACACCACCACATCTGGCTAATTTTTGTATTTTTAGTAGAGAATGGGGTTTTACCATGTTGGCCAGGATGGTCTCGAACTCATGACCTCAGGTGATCCACCTGCCTCAGACTCCCAAAGTGTTGGGATTACAGGCTTGAGCCACAATGCCCAGCCTCCATGTGTAACTTTTGACTCCCCAAAAACTTTACTACTAATAGCATCCGGCTAACCTGAAGCCTACTAGTAACATAAACAGTTAATTACAAGATTAGCCTCTACGTATATTTTATGCATCCATGACATACCTAGCTTTTTCTTAAATTTTTTCAATGTTTCTAGGCTACACAGTTTGTCTTTGAGTTTTTCTAGTTGTCACAAATCTCCAAAAAAAATTCCAGTATATTTATTGAAAAAAATCCTCATATTAGTGGAGCCATGCATTTCAAATCCATGTTATTGAAGGGAATACTCTTTTTAGGTCTTTTTATTTTTAGTTTTTTGAGACAGACTCTGAGTGTCGCTCTGTCACCCAGACTGGAGTGCAGTGGCACGATCTCAGCTCACTGCAACCTCCGCCTCCCGGGTTCACGTGATCCTCATGCCTCGGCCTCCTGAGTAGCTGGGATTATAGGCATGTGCCATGATACTGGGCTAATTTTGGTATGTTTAGTAGAGACTGGGTTTTGCCATGTTGGCCAGGCTGGTCTTGAACTCCTGACCTCAAGTGATCTGCCTGCCTCAGCTTCCCAAAGTGCTGGGATTACGAGTATAAGCCACCATGCCCAGCTTGTTTTTAGGTCTTGAATTTGCTTGGAGGGTTTTATTTTGTTTCACTTTGCCCATTCTTTTAAGTAAATTTTTTGTTTTGAGATTAGTGTAGATTCACACACAGTCATAAGAAATGATACAGAGAGATCCTATGGGTCCTTCATCCTATTTTCCCCAACGGCACCATCTTACTAACCCATAGAGTACAATATCACAACCAAGATACTGACATTGATACAGTCCATCCATTTTAATTTTAATTTTTTTATTCTTTATTTTTATTTATTTGTTTATTTTTTGAGACAGAATCTCGCACTGTCACCCAGGCTGGAGTACAGTGGCACGATCTCCGCTCACTGCAAGCTCTGCCTCCCAGGTTCACGCCATTCTCCTGCCTCAGCTTCCCGAGTAGCTGGGACTACAGGCGCCCGCCACAATGCCCAGATTTTTTTTTTTTTTTTTTCAGTAGAGACAGGGTTTCACCGTGTTAGCCAGAATGGTCTCGATCTTCTGACCCGCCCGCCTCGGCCTTCCAAAGTGCTAGGATTACAGGCGTGAGCCACCGCGCCCGGCCCACTCCATCCATTTTATTCAGATTTCCCCAGCTTTACATGCATTCACCTTGCACGTTTTTTGTTTGTTTGTTTTGTTTTGTTTTTGAGACAGGGTCTTGCTCTGTCACCCAGACTGGAGTGCAGTGGTGCAATCAATGGCTCACAATAGCCTTGAGCTCCTGGGCTTAAGCAATTCTCCCGAGCAGCTGGGACCACAGGCACATGCCTCCATGCCTGGCTACCTTTTTTATTTTTTGTAGAGATGGGGTCTCACTATATCGCCCAAGCTGGTCTGGAACTCCTGGGCTCAAGCCATCCTCCCACCTCAACCTCCCAAAGTGCTGGGATTACAGGCATGAGCCACCGCACCTGGGGCCAGCTATGAAAGATTTTGTTTTGAGGTTCTCAGTTGCCATTGCCACTTTGCTGAAAAAAGCGGCTCAAATTCCAGTGGAGTGTGGAGTCAGTCATGATGGGTGCATTCCCAAGGCTGAGACATCCCTGGAGTAACTTTAGGTGTCTGTCCTGGGCTGTGTCCTGGCAGAGAAGGAAGCACGGGAGAAGGAAGGCAGGCCGCCGCATCCTAACACCTGAGTTCCGGTTTGGGACACACAGAGAACTCTGTGCTCCCGCCTACACTCTGCCTTCCCCGACTTCCTCCCCATTCCCGACGTTTCACTTGATTGTCAGGCCCAGCTGGCAGCATTCTGCTGGAGCCACTGGGCCAGCAAGCCTGAGAGGTGATGACCCTTTAGTACCTGGGGACAAGGGCATTTGACCTTGTCTGATCAGTGACTGTCCCTATGAGCTCAGTTCTTTGTTCTGGGTCTCGAGTCTGGAGAGCCCCAGCTTTGCTTGGGGACGTCCTTTGCAAGTAAGAGCAGCATGTCAAAGCTACGCGGTTTTGGGAGAAAGTGCTGAGTCTACAAGACATCTCCCCACTGGAGCTGGCATTGTGGGAGAGAGAGGAGAACTCTTCAGAGATTTCTGTTGAAAGACTGGAATGAGAAGCAGATGGTTCATACTGGTTAAGAGGCCAGCGCCTTGCTGTAGTTTTAATTTCCTGCAGGATCCCAATGATTGTAAAGATTGTGTTTCTCCACCTCTGCAGAATCACCCCTAAGCACTGCATTCATGATTCTGCAGAAAAACTAGGCAGCCAGACAGACCTGGTTCAAATCCCAACTGCCGCTTACTTGTGGCAAGAATAGGATGAGTTTTGCTCAACCTTATGTCAGCCTCAGCTTCTCAGTCTGCAAACTGGCACTACTCCACTACATCAGAAGACGTTTAAAAGCATCAGTGATGTCTGGAAATCAGTTAGCATCGGGTGAGTGTAGATAAAGCCTAATCCACCACAGGGCCTTTCGGCTTTCTTTGCCTCCGTTTTCTCATCTGCTAAGTGGAAAGAAATTTTCCTTGCATTGGAGTGATGTTAAGTCTGAAAATACATAGCACTCGAAGTCAGTAGAGATACAGAGCAGTTTTCAGTGGAAACTGAACAGAGTGGTTTGACTCCAGTACACCAGCTCAATGCCAGTTCTTGGGGCAGAGCAGTTGACCCGAGGGAGTGGATAATTAAACAATGCACAGAACCTTAGAACCTGGGACTATGAGGGATCTCTGAGCTGATTGGGTCTAAACCAAGTCCCTTTGCCTGATGCTTAAAGCCTCTCTCCTGCATCTTAGACAAGAAGGCGTCCAGCCTCCAGAGTGGATCCCGCTCCAAGGCAAGGAGCTTTCTTAGTTATTGAGCCAAAATCCGCCTTCGATTTTGTAACTTATTGAAGATTGCAGCCATAGTACAGGACAGAGCTGGGACTCAAACCCAGGTCTGAGTGCACAGCCCATGACCCTAACACCTGGGCCCCATTACCTCTGTAATCCAAGGTTCCTACTGTTGCACTCCATTCTGTCCAGGACTCAGCACAGCACTGGGAACCCAGGAGGATTAAAGAAGGGCCAGGGTGACTGTGCAGGGGGACCCTGGGGAAGAAGGCTGACCTCTGGTCGGGAACTCTCAAAAATTTTGGGATCAGGCTAGGCGTGGTGGCTCACTCCTGTAATCCCAACACTTTGGGAGGCTGAGGCAGACGGATCACTTGAGGTCAGGTGTTCAAGACCAGCATGGCCAACATGATGAAGCCCTGTCTCTACTAAAAATACAAAAATTAGCCGTGGGTGGTGCACGCCTGTAATCCCAGCTACTCAGGAGTCTGAGACAGGAGAATCACTTGAAAGGAGGCAGAGGTTGCAGTGAGCCGAAGCTGTGGAGCCACTGTACTCCAGCCTGGGTGACACAGCGAGACTCTGTCTCAAAAAAAAATAAATAGAGAAGTTTGGTATCAGCAACCTGACTGTGGTCCCTGAGCTCTGGCCAGCCCTTCTTCTGGCCTATAGATGCTGATAGGCCCATGGGACCATTACAGGAGTGAATAGGAAGTGTTCCCAGCAGCCGGGTGCCTGGGGGGCAGATTGGAGAAGCCTGGTCTTGGACAGGCCTCTTCAAGCTGACCCCAGGGCATCCACTTCCCCTGTGGAGGAAGCTCCTCAGGTTAAGTGAACATTCATTGATTTTAATTTTTTCTCCTGGAAAACTGGCTTGCTGCTCCCATCCCCAGAGGCATCCATGTCCCAGGGAATTACCAACTCTCAGCATGTAACTTACATTGCGCGTCGACTGTGAAATCAAGGAGAACAAGAGACGAGGAGCTTGCGTGCTGGCGGAGAGGGACCGATGAATCATGAACGAATGAGAAAGAGACAGATAAGGGTGACAAAAATAAAATGTGTTGGTCTGAAAGCAGTGGGACTACTTTAAGTTGGGGTCAAGGAAGGCTGTTCTGAGCAGGTGGTATTTGGGCTGAGGAATGAGACAGCCGTTTCGGGCCCCGGGGGAAACTCATTCCAGGCAGGGACACAGCAGATGCATGGCAGGTCCCACGTTGGGAGGACTTGAGGTCATCATTAGAAGGTTGGGTTTTATTCTCTCTGCAATTAGAGATGTTTGGTAGGTTTTTAACTAGGGAGTGACATGATGTGTTTCACTTTAAAATAATCCCTATGGCTGCTCCGTGCAAAGTGGATTGAACAAGACCTCGATGGGATCAGAGAGACCATTTAGGTGGCTGCCACAGTCAATTACAAGTGGAAGTGGCTTGGATTCAGGTGGAGACAGGAAGAGAGGATGATCTGGAAATGCCCGGAACAGTCCAGGCATGAGCAATTGCAGTCAGTGCCTGGGTTCAGATCCAAGCCTTTGGAATCATGTATGAATTTGAAACTCCCTTTCCTCCTGTGCAAGTTAAAGGTTTTTTGTTGTTTGTTTTTTGTTTTTTGGTTTTTTTTTTGGAGATGGGGTCTTGCTCTGTCACCCAGGCTGGAGTACAGTGGTGTGATTGCAGCTCACTGCAACCTCCACCTCCCAGGTTCAAGAGATTCTCCTGCCTCAGCCTCCTGAGTAGCTGGGATTACAGGTACAAGCGACCACGCCCAGCTAATTTTTTGTAGTTTTAGTAGAGAAGGGGTTTCACCATGTTGGCCAGGCTGGTCGCAAACTCCTGACCTCAAGTGATCCACCTGCGTCAGCCTCCCAAAGTGCTGGGATCACAGGCGTGAGCCACCGCACCTGACCCTGTGCAAGCTTTAAATTGCAGGAGGTGATCCTTTGTACATTGGAGGTGGTAGTAGTAATAGCTGACATGATCAGTAAAAATATTCATTGAGATCATACATTCACTTTCTGGAGCTGCCGCAAAAAAATTGTCACAAACTGAGTGACTCAAAACAATGGAAGTTTATTCTCTTACAGTTCTAGAGGCCAGAAGTCCAAAATCCAGAGATCAGTAGGACTGTACTCTCTCTGATGGCTCTAGGGTTCCAACTTTGCCTGCTGCCGGAGGAGTGGTTGAGAATAACTGAGTACATGGCCCTCCTTCAGCAATTGCTCTGTTCTGTTGTGTGGAGAGATCACATTTTGTTTATCTGCTCATATGCTCATGGACCCTTGGGTTTGTTTCCCCCTTCTGGCTCTTTTTTTTTTTTCTTTGAGACGGAGTTCCACTTTTGTCCCCCAGGCTAGAGTGCAATGGCACGATCTCAGCTCACCACAACCTCCGCCTCCTGGGTTCAAGTGATTCTCCTGCCTCAGCCTCCCAAGTAGCTGGGATTACAGGCACCTGCCGCCACACCCAGCTAATTCTTGTATGTTTAGTAGAGATGGGGTTTCACCATGTTGTCCAGGCTGGTCTCGAACTCCTGACCTCAGGTGATCCACCTGCCTCAGCCTCCTGAAGTGTTGGGATTACAGGCGTGAGCCACTGCGCCCGGCCTTCTGGCTTTTATGAATAGTGCTGCAATTGGCAGGGCACGGTGGCTTATGCCTGTAATCCCAGCACTTTGGGAGGCCAAGGTGGGCAGATCACGTGAGGTCAGGAGTTCAAGACCAGCCTGGCTACCATGATGAAACCCATCTCTACAAAAAAAATACAAAAATTAACCAGGCTTGGTGGCACACACCTGTAATCCCAGCTACTCGAGAGGCTGAGGCACAAGAATCACTTGAACCAAGGAGGTGGAGGTTGAAGTGAGCCAAGATTGCGCCACTGCACTCCAGCCTGGGCAATAGGGAGAAACTCTGTCTCAAAAAGAAAAAACAAACAAACAAAAAATAAGTAGTGCTGCAACGAACAGCAGCAGATAAGTATCTGTTTCAGTCCTTGCTCTCAGTCTTTGGGGTATGTACCTAGGGGTGGAATTGCTGGGTCATATGGTGATTCTGTGTCTAACTTTTTGAGGAACCGCCTGTTTTCCACTCTGTGCCACATAGTTTTGGTTGAAGTAGTTACAGAACCGCCCCAGATCAAATGTGGGAAGAGATAGATGCCACCTCCCAGTGAGGGACTACTAGGTCACAGAGGGAAGAGATTGGGGAGGGGAGATGCTGTTGCGGCCATCTTTGGAATGTACAAATGGCCACTTGAGTAGTGATTACTTCATTTATTTATTTTTGCAGGGAATTATTTTTTTTAAAGGGCCTCGGATCACCTAAGGTCAGGAGTTCAAGACCAGCCTGGGCAACATGGTGAAACCCTATCTCTACAAAAATTAGCCAGGCATGATAGCAGGTACGTGCAATTCCAGCTACTTAGGAGGTTGAGTCAGGAGAATCACTTGAACCTGGGAATCAGAGGTTGCAGTGAGCCGAGGTCGTGCCATTGCAATCCAGCCTGGGTGACTGACTGAGACTCCGTCTCAAAAACAATAATAAAATAAAATAAAACAGGACCTCACTCTGTCACCCAGGCTGGAGTGCAGTGGTGTGATCTCGGCTCACTGCAACCTTGGCCTCCTGGGCTTAAACGATCCTCCAACCCCATCCTCCTGAGTAGCTGGGACTACAGGTGTGCACCACCACACCTGGCTGATATTTTTTGGTAATTTTTGTAGAGGCAGGGTTTTGCCATGTTGCCCAGGCTGGTGCAGTGAATATTTCCTCTTCTCTTCTCTTCTCTCTCTTTCTCTTTCCCTCTTTCTTTCTTTTGAGACAGAACCCAGGCTGGAGTGCAGTGGCACGATCACGGCTGACTGCAACCTCGACCTCTTGGGCTCAGGTGATTCTCCCACCTCAGCCTTCCAAGTAGCTGTGACTATAGGCGTGTGCCACCTGGCTAATTTTTGTATTTTTTTTTGTAATTTTTGTAGAGACTGAGTTATACGATGTTGCCCAGGCTGGTCTTAAACTCCTAGGCTCAAGTGATCCACCCACCTCTGCCTCCCAAAGTGCTGGGATTACAGGTGTGAGCCACCATGCCCAGCCTGCAGTGAGTAGTTCTTGATGCTTGTCCTGAACGCACACTGTGCTGGGTGTAGGATACAGACATGAGTATTGCAGGTGTGGTTTTTGCCCTCTCACAGCTTGTGGTTACTTGGAGAAGAGCCATTAACTAAAATTGCAAAATTAATTTTGGGGAAAGGGGGCTGGACTTTCCTGATATTCTCTTCCTCCTTTTATCTGTAAGTTGATGAATAACTTAACATAGCAAAGTGCACTAAACTTACATACGCGGCTCCATGAATTTTTACCTGAGAATGCAACCATGTAACCAGCACCTAGATCAAGATCTAGACCGTCCCCAGCCCCCAGAAAGTTCCCTCATACCCCAGTGGGTAACTGCTATTTAACATCTTCACCATAGATTAGCTGAGCCTATTTTAGAACTTTATAAACGGAATCATACCGTAGATACTCCTTGATGTCAGGCGTCTCCCTCTGCACTGTTTGTGAAATCCCACAATTAATCCCTTTTTTAAAGAGACATTGACTTGCTGTCACCCAGGCTGGAGTGCTGTGGCTTGATCATAGCTCCCCTGCAGCCTTGAACTCCTGGGATCAAGCAGTCTTCCCACTCAGCTTCCCAAGTTGTTGGGACTACAGGTGTGCACCACTACACCTGGCGCATTTTAAAACATTTTTTTTTTAAATTTAGAGACAGAGTCTCACTATGTTGCTCAGGCTGGTCTTGAGCTCCCTGGCTCAAGCAGTCATCCTGCCTCAGCCTCCCAAAGTGCTGGCATTACAGGCATGAGCCGCCATGCTGGCCTTAATTCTTTTTTTTTTTTTTTTTGCTTTGTTTTGTTTTTTCTCTTTGAGATGGAGTGTCACTCTGTCTGTCACTCAGGCTGCAGTGCAGTGCTGCAATCTTGGCTCACTGTAACCTCTGCTACCCGGATTCAAGCAATTATCTTGCCTCAGCCTCCCAAGTAGCTGGGACTACAGGCACACACCACCACACCTGGCTAATTTTTGTATTTTTAGTAGAGACGGGGTTTCACCCTGTTGGCCAGGCTGCTCTCAAACTCCTGAACTAAAGTGATCTACCTGGGCCTCCCAAAGTGCTTGGATTGTAGGCGTGAGCCACAATACCAGTCTTGACCTTAATTCTTTAACAACAGCAGTATGGACTGTGAAGGAAACATGTTCTGTGCCACAGGAGCATATAGTAGTGAGCTGTAATCAAATCTGCAGTGAATAACGTGGTAGTGAGCTGTAATCAAATCTGGAGTGAATAACGTGAACACTGGGAAGAGAAGCACTCACCCTTACTAAGCATGCACTATTGGCCAGGCCCTGCCCTTAGAAGGAGAGGGTGAGACCTGCCTGGCCAGAGGCCACAAGCTCTGGAACAGTCCCCGATGGGTTGGACCCCACCTCTGCTCTTCACTATCCGATGTGACTGAGCAGGTGACTTCACTTTGCTGTGCCTCAGTTTTTCCTTTTGTATAATTAAAATACTGATGGTTACTGCATTATTCCCCAAACCTTAATGATCAATAAACATGGAGCTCTGTAATGAGGGAGCTTGCATTGTTCTGGGGATGCTGAGGAGATAGAGGTAAAATAGGAGATACCTGTTACGCAGGAAGAGGTGAGGGAAGGGGAGAGGGAGGGCAGGGGTGCAACTGAAAATCAGACAGCCAAGACCTGAGGAAGACAGGGCGGGAGCCCCTGGCTCTCTGTGGAAGAGATTTTTGGGGAGTGGAATGGGCAGGAGCAGGCTCTTGGGTCAGGCTCATCTGGCACGTTCAAGGAACCACGAGGGGGCCAGTGTGGCTGGAGCAGAGCAGGAGGGGGTGGCAGGGAGGGGAGGGACATGGAGGTGTAGGTGTAGGGGGGTCCTGCAGGCCTCCTGGAGGCCACTCTGATGGCATTGGCTGTCACTCTGCGATGGGGGTGTATTGGTTCGTTCTCAAACTGCTATAAAGAAATAACTGAGACTGGAGAATTTATAAAGAAAAGAGGTTTCATTGGATCATGGTTCTGCGGGCTGTACAGGAAGTATAGCAGCTTCTGTTTGTGGGAAGACATCAGGAAACTTACAATCATGGCAGGAGGTGAAGGGGGAGCAGGCATCTTACATGGCCAGAGCAGGAGGAAGAGAGAGAGCAGAGAGGTGCTGCACTCTTTTTTTTTTTTTCTTTTGGTGTTTTGCCCAGGCTGGAGTGCAATGGCACGATCTTGGCTCACTGCAACCTCCGCCTCCTGGGTTCAAGCAATTCTCCTGCCTCAGCCTCCCAAGTAGCTGGGATTATAGGCATGCACCACCACGCCCAGTTAATTTTTATATTTTTAGTAGAGACAGTGTTTCACCCTGTTGGCCAGGCTGGTCTCGAACTCCTGACCTCAAGTAATCCTCCCGCCTCGGCCTCCCAAAGTGCTGGGATTATAGGCGGGAGCCACTGCACCTGGCTACACTCTTTTAAACAACCACATCTCATGAGAACTCTATCACAAGAACAGCACCAAACGGATGGTGCTAAACTATTCATGAGAAGCCCACCCCCATGATCCAGTCCCCTCCCACCAGGCTCCTCGTCCAACACTGGGGATTACGTTTCAACGTGAGATTTGGGTGGGACATGGATCCAAACCATATCAGGGGACCACTGGAAGGTTTTCACCAGAGGGAGGACTGGTGTGATGTGACCTGACTTTTGCAAAGGACTGCTCTGGCTCCTATGTTGATTGCACACAGACCACAGCCCATGAGAGGAGAAGGTTGATGCTTAGGACACGGCGGGAGCCCTGGGGCTTGGATCACAGGGGAAATGATGGAGGCAGGAAAGTGGGCAGATTCTGGATCTGTTTTCAAGATGGAGCCAACAGGATTGACTGATGGACTAGGTGTGATGCATGAGAGTGTGCCAGGAAGATGCAGGCACCGAGATCCAGGTAGAGTTGACGAACACCTCTCTACTGTCAATGTATTGTTTTTACGGGTACCTTGTATTTATATGAAAGGATACTGGCTTTCTAGATACAGTAATGATATAAAAGTTTCCACTTAAATTACTGCTGTTAAGGGCCGGGTGCAGTGGCTCACACCTGTAATCCCAGCACTCTGGGAGGCTGAGGTGGGTGGATCACCTGAGGTCAAGAGTTCAAGACCAGCCTGGAGTTTCGGCCGACATGGCGAAACCCCGTCTCTACTAAAAATACAAAAAATTAGCCGGGCGTGGTGGTGTGCGCCTGTAGTCCCAGCTACTCGGGAGGCTGAGGCAGGAGAATAGCTTGAACCCGGAAGGCGGAGGTTGCAGTGAACCAAAATCGTGCCATTGCTCTCCAGCCTGGGTGACAGACAGAGTGAGACTCTGTCTCAAAAAAAAAAACCAAAAAATTATTGCTGTTAAAAAGCAAGATAATTTCAAGCAAAAGTCTTACAAATGTTGGTAAATAATAGAGCGTTTAGGTGGATGGCAAATGGTGACTTAGGGAAAGCACACACTTTGTGTGTTGCTGACATGTTAGCAGAAAAAGGAGACAGTGTCTGAGGGCAAAAGTGGCCCTCTTGGGTCTGTGTCCGTTCTCTAAAAACTGAACTCTGCTTGAAATTGAGTGAAATGGATCACCAGTTTGTTATTGGGAAGATAGGAAAGACCTATAGTTTGAAGGCTTGGAATGCCTACATGGGGGACCAGCAAACTGTTTCTGTAAAGGGCCAGACAGTAAGTATTTTTGGCATGTGGGCCATGTGGTTTCTCTTGCCACTATTCAACCCTGCCATTGTAGCGCAAAGCAGCCATGAATTAATAGGTGTAGCTGTGTTTCAATAAAGCTTTATTTAAAAAAGCAGGCCAGTGGCCATAGTTGTGGATCCTTAGCCTACAGTCTGCATCCCAGAGCACAGAGCCTCAAGAGCATCCTCTTTCCTGGCCTTCCAGAAATTTGAGACTTCTTAACTCCAAGCTTTCCTTTCTTCCACTATCTTGGGATGAGTCGAGAAGTTTCCCTTTGTGTCAACTGCAGGTGCACTAAACTCCCTGAATGTGCTGACCTACTTTCAACTTTAAGTATTTCCACCTGGGAACTAGAATCAAATTTGACTGGTTCAATGCTAGAAAGCTAATGTCCTTTTTATAGTCTGTTTGGAAGCTCATCTCCTCTTTCCACACCTTCGGAAACCAAACGGAACACAGATCAATTTCCAAGTGCCTCTGGGGCTCTCTGTTAATGCCACGTCAAGTTACTCAATAGTTGTTTTCCTATAATTAAATATCTGGACACATTGGGCTGCCATCCACTGAAGTTACTCTCATGCCCTGGTGAAGTATCTCTGTGCCTATTATTTGAGAATGCTAGAGAGACTTCTTTTCTCCAAACATTTGATAAAATTAATAATACAGGTTATTAATGAAGAATCAGAAACTACAAAAAGGTGGCAACAAATAGACGGCCATGCCATGGCCTCATATCCAAAATGCAACGGTGCTAAACAGAAAACACATGTCTTTCCAGCCTTGCTTTATTGTGTAGCAGTTTATGATTTTGTTTTTTTGTGCCTGTAAAAAATTGTAGCCAGACTGCATATACAATTTTACATTCTTTTTTTCTCTCATTACATGGCTTAAAAAATCACTTCCCTGTCTTTTTACACAGTTTTCAGTTAATGTCATATAATCAAGCTGTTGTACCACAACTTATTTGAGCAATCCTCTACCATTGGTCATTTACATTGTTTTCAACTGAGCACGCTTCTTTTTTAAAAAAAAATTTTTAAATTTTTGTACAAATGGGGGGTCTCACTATGTTGCCCAGGCTGGTCTCGAACTCCTGGCCTCAAGCAATCCTCCCACCTCGGCCTCCCAAAATGCTGGGATTATAGGCATGAGACACTGTGCCTGTGGCTTTCACTGCTCTGAACATCTCTGAGCATAGAACTATTCCTTCATGTAGTATTGCTTGCATTAGCTAAATTTCTAGAGTTGGGATTTTTTTTTTGATGGGGTGCTGTATTAGTCCATTTTCACACTACTATAAAGATACTACCTGAGACTGGGTAATTCATAAACAAAAGAGGCTTAATTGACTCACAGTTCCACATGGCTGGGAGGCCTCAGGAAATTTACAATCATGGCAGAAAGTGAAGGGGAAGCAGGCACCTTCTTCACAAGGTGGCAGGAGAGAGAGAGAGAGAGCACACAGGGAAAACTGCCACTTTAAAACCGTCAGATCTCGTGAGAACTCACTATCATGAGAACAGTATGGGGGAAACTGCCCCCATGATCCAGTCACCTCCCACCAGATCCCTCCCTTGACACATGGGGATTACAATTCAAGATGAAATTTGGGTGGGGACACAGAGCCAAACCATATCAGGGGCTTTCCAGTCTTTACCGGAAAGCCTGCTAGACAAATTTTAAAAGAGCTATAACACTGAGTTGGGATTTCTTGAGGTCAAAATATTTAATATCTCTTTATGTTGTTTTCCAAAAGGTCTGGATTCAGATACTCTCCAGCAGTGTCTGTTGGGAGAGAGAGAGCCAGGGGTGATGGTCTGGCTTTCAGACCTGAGATCAGACAGGCAGATAGCTGAACTCCCAGGCAGTTCGTTGGTTGGTGGTTGGTTTTTTGCTAGGTTTTAGTTGTTTTTTTGTTCTGAATCTCATTTCAAAGAGAGCAGATTGACTCCACACCTAATGCACATCCTCAGTTTCACAAAGCAGCTAAGAGCAAGTCAGGTTTCATAGTCCAAATGATGCTATTGCTTGAGTGTAATTGTGCACCAGCCATTAGCCCACATTTCTTGGTAGAGCCTCGGTGCCCTTGGATTATGAATTTGCACACAGTGGAATCGCAACAATTTGTTTTATAGTTCTGTCCTTTGAGGGAGTGACATTTCTTCCAAGGTCTCAGCTCCTTTAATCTATAAAATGGGAATAATAAGAATTCACTGGACAAATATTCAGTGTGCCTGTTGGGAGTGTTGGGCATGTGCAGTCCATCTCTGGGGCTAGCATGGAAGGCGTACATTAAAAAGATACTCATGCTGGCTGCAGTGGCTCGTGCCTGTAATCCCAACACCCTGAGAGGCTGAGGTAGGTGGATCACTTGAGACCAGTCTGGGCAACATGATGAAACTCTGTCTCTATAAAAAAAAATATATATATATATACAAAAAATTAGCCAGGCATGGTGGCACACACCAGTAGTCCCAGCCGAGAGGCTGAGGTGGGAGGATCACCTGAGCCCTGAAGGTAAGGCTGCAATGAGCTGTGATTTTACCACTGCACTCCAGCCTGGGCAACAGAGTGAGACCCTGTTTCAAAAAAAAAAAAAAAAAAAGAAAAGACCAGGCATGATGGCTCATCATGCCTGTAATCCCAGCACTTTGGGAGGCTGAGGTGGGTGGATCACTTGAGGCCATGAGTTCAAAACCAGCCTGGCCAACATGGTGAAACCCCATCTCTACTAAAAATACAAAAATTAGCCGGGTGTGGTGGCACGCTCCTGTAATCCAGCTACTGAGGAAGCTGAGGCACGAGAATCAATTGAACCTGGGAGGTGGAGGCTGCAGTGAGCCAAGATCGTGCCACGGCACTTCAGCCTGGGAGACAGAGCAAGACCCTGTCTCAAAAAAAAGATACTCATGCAAATAAATGTGTAAGTACTAACTGTGATGAGTGGAAAGAATTACGCAAGAAGCTATAAGAAATTACAGCAAGACAATTGTATATCCACAAGAAGGTTTATAAATGCTTCTCTGAAGAGATAACATGGAGTGTTTGCGACCTGAGTGATTCCTAGGTTTTGGCTAAGGAGGAATGAGGGAAGCAGACGGGGCTGCAAGAATGGCAGGTGCAAAGGCCCTGAGGCTACAGAGCTCTGTGCCCTCCCGGAATCAGAGGGTGGAATGGGTGGGGTGGCATGTCAGTACTCAGAAAAGAGATGCAGGCAGAGGTGGGTTAGGCAAGGTCCCAGATGCCTCATGAAAGGCTGGGAGCCACCACTGAGCTAAGAAGTGACAGGCTAGGGGAGTGGAGGCTGGAAGATGACTCTCTCCCTGTGCTAGTGAGCAATGCCCATGGTGGTCTAGCAGAATAATCACTTTTTTTGTTGTTTTTTTGAGACCAGGTCTCCCTCTGTCACCCAGGCTTGAGTACAGTGGTGCAATCATGGCTCACTGCAGCCTCGACCTCCCAGACTCAAGCCATCCTCCCACCTCAGCCTACCTTGTAGCTGGGACTATAGGCACACACTACCATGCCAGGGTAATTTTTTTTTTTTTTTTTAGCGGAGACAGGGTTTCACTATGTTGCCCAGGTCTCCAGCTCCTGGGCCCAGGCAATCCTCCCATCTCAGCCTCCCAAAGAGCTGGGATTACAGGCATGAGCCAATGTGCCCAGCCCAGAGTTAGAGACATTTTAGAGGCAAATGAGAGTCCCTTTTCTTCCTCCTTTCCCTAATTTCACCCTCAAGCTGATGACCATGTAATTGTGGTTATGTTCAAGAAGTGAGAGCTAAAATGGGATTTACCTTTACGTCAGTTTGCAAGAGGCAAGAGAGAAGCTTACATTTCTAAAACAGCAGCCACACCGTGGAACCTAAAAGCTAGCTGGACTTAACTCCAGTGCATCCTAGCCAGGAATTAGGGAACTTTTTTTAAACTTTATTTATTTATTTTGTAGAGACAGTTTCCCAGGCTGGTCTTGAACTCCTCAGCTCAAGCAAACCTCCAGCCTTGGCCTCCCAAAGTGCTGAGATTACAGGAGTGAGCCACTGCACCCGGCCAGGAGTTAGGGATATTGGCAACCCCAGGTTATCATCCCAGAACCAGTCATGAAACTCATGAAATCATCACCACCATCCCCATCTCCAAGAGAATCTCTCTAGTACTTGCATGTCATGATTAAAATCAGTGGTCAGTCTTGGCCTGAGTAGGAGGAGAAAGCTGGAACCAGTGGACTTCCTGATATGTGATCCCATGAAAGAGTGAAGTCCGTCTTGTGTTCCTATGGGTAGCTGCTCTGGAGGGTGGAAGCCTGAACTTGATCATTCCCTCTAATTCTCAGCCCATCTAGACAAAAGGAGTCTGCTGGGAGAGAGAATTTGTTTGGTTTATTATCAGTTCTGAAGGTCTCACGCTGGTAAGAAGTTCAGAGTTAGTTGCAGACTTTTTAACTCAAGAGACAGGATCTTGCTGTGTTGCCCAGGCTGGAGTGCAGTGGCATGATCGTAGCTCACTGCAGCCTCAAACTCCCGGGTTCAAAGGATCTTTCTGCCTCAGCCTCCCATGTAACTGGGACCACAGGTGCACACCACCACACCTAGCTAATTTTTTTATTTTCTGTAGAGACAGGGATGGCAGTGGTGGGGTGGTGGGGGGCGCAGGTGGCTCGGGGGCAGGGTTGTGTGTCTCACTTTGTTGCCCAGGCTGGTCTTGAACTCCTGAGCTCAAGCAATCTCCCTGCCTCTGCCTCCCAAGGTGCTGGAATTACAAGTGTGAGCCAGCGCACCTGGCCAATCAAATTCTTTAAAATTAAGTGCCACAAGTTAAATTCTTTTCTTAGAGGTTTAAATGTTACAGACACATGACTGACATGTAATAAATATTCAGCATTCATTGGCAAGAACAGGAGAAGCCAGATGGCTGGATAAGCTTTGGGCTTTGGTTCAAACTGCAGTTCCCCAGATAAATAGCTCCGGGATCTTGGGCATGTTCTAAACTACCTGGGCTTTATTTTTTCCCTCTGTAGCTTGTAAGAGCACCTACTCCACAGACTCATGAGAATAAACAGCAGGTGCTCAATAAACGGCGGCCAGTATTGTTATTTAAGGTTTACACTCACTTTAGGTGTATGTCAGTCCCACCTGAGCTACATTTGCCAATGAGTCACGCCTGGCTACCAAGTGCCCGAAATGGGGCTCATCTGAATGGGGGTGTGCCGTAAGCATAAAACACACATCCGATTTTGAAGACTTGCTATGCCAAAAAGGATAGCAAAATATTAACATTTCGCTAATTAGTTTTCATACTAATTAGTTTTATGCTAATTTATTACCTGTTGAAATGATGAGATTTTGAGGACACGTCAGGTTAAATAGAATTAACATTAATTTCTTTATTTTCAGTGCTTTATTTTTTAATGTATTATTTATCTTTTTTCAACTTTTGCCTTTTTCCATGTGTTCCAAAAGATTAATTTCATCTGTTTCTTTTCTTTTTTGATGTGACCACTAGAAATTTTTAATTGGCACATGTGACTCACATTTTTATTTATTTATTTATTTATTTATTTATTTATTTATTTTTGAGATGGAGTCTCACTCTGTCGCCCAGGCTGGACTGCAGTAGCACTATCTCAGCTCACTGCAACCTCCGCCTCCTGGGTTCAAGCGATTCTCCTGCTTCAACCTCCAGAGTATCAGGGATTACAGGCTCCTGCCACCATACCCAGCTAATTTTTGTATTTTCAGTAGAGACGGGGTTTCACCATGTTGGCCAAGCTGGTCTCGAACCCCTGACATCAAATGATCCACCCGCCTTGGCTTCCCAAAGTGCTGGGATTACAGGCGTGAGCCACCATGCCCAGCCTATATTTATTTTCAATAGTACAGGTCTAAAGACATGATATAGAAAGTAGGAATGGTTAAGGAGTGAGAAAAGCGTGGACTTGGCAATCAGAAAGATGTAGGGGCTTATCAGGGTAGCAGTACTCCCTGTATGCTATTAGAGCAGTCAGTTAACTTTTTTTTTTTTTGAGACAGGCTCTCACTTTGTCACCCAGGCTGGAGTACAGTGGCACGGTAGCACAATCTCGGTTCTCAAGCCATCCTCCCTCCGCCGCCTGAGTAGCTGGGACTACAGACGTATGCTGCCACTCATAGCTGATTTTTGTATGTTTGTATTTTTTTATACAGACCTGCTTTCACTGTATTGCCCAGGCTGGTCTTGAATTCCTGAGCTCAAGGAATCCGCCCACTTTGGCCTCCCAAAGTGCTAGGATTACAGGCATGAACCACCAAGCCCAGCCAGTTAACCTTTGTGTGCCTCCACTAATATCTGTGAAATGGAAGCAAAAATCCCCAGCACAAAAGCATTGTTTCAATCAATGAGATAATACATGGAAAGTACTTAGCTCAGTCCTAGGCACAAAATAGGTGCTCAAACACAAATAAAGGTTATAGCTTTTGTTACATGTATTAGGGATGTTTAGTATTCAGAAGGGGGCTAGGTAAACCCTGAAGACAAATGAATAACAGTAACTCTCATTGGTTTAGCAAGATAGACTTTTGCATGCCATTTCTACCTCCATGTTGACATTTGACCTTCAGAATGACCTTGGGAGGTATGATCAAGCCCTTAGAGAGATGAGAGGCTGGGCATAGTGGCTCACACCTTTAATCTCAGCACTTTGGGAGGCGAGGTGAGAGGATTGCTTGAGCCCAGGAGTTCATAACCAACCTAGGCAACACAGCAAGTCCCCGTCTCTACAAAAAAATAAAAACATTACCCAGGGGTGGTAGTGCATGCCTGTAGTCTCCCAACTACTCAGGAGGCTGAGGTGGAAAGATCACTTGAGTCCAGGAGGTTAAGGCTGCACTGAGAGAGAGACAGAGAGAGAGAGAGAGAGAGAGAGAGAGAGAGAGAGGAAATAGGCTCAGGAGCAAGCACCTTCACATCTGAGCAGGAACTAGAACTAGGCCTTCTTGTACCAACCCTCTGGATTCTCTCAACTTTCCAAGCCTCCAAAGTTTGTTTCTGTGTTTACTTCACTCTCTGGTTAGGTGGTTTCTACAGGAGTCTTTAGAACAAGAGAGAAGACCGACATTTATTACAACCAGCAACCAACATTAATCACTTTCCCATATCAGTACATAAAGCGCCATCGCATTCTTTTTGTTGAATGCAGGTTATTCTGCATGATGGATATACCCAAGTTTATTTTAACCAGTTCCCACTCATGGACAATTAGGTTATTTTCAATTTATATCAATGAGACAAATTCCTTCAAGTAGAATTATGCTAGGGATCAATGGTTTGCGCATTTACAATTTTACAGATTTTGACAAATTGCTCTCCAAGCCATTTGTATGAATTTCCTCTCCTGCCAGCAATGAATGAAGTGCCAGTTCCCCTGCATCGTGAATATGGCCAAATATTTCATGATAAAAATTCAGTGTGGAGAAAGCAGAGGAAAGGTGAGATAGCAGCTGGGAGGCCGTCAGGAGGTGGGGGCAACTGTCCAGGTAGGAAACGATGGGTACCTGAACAAGGACAAAGTAAGGAGGGAGAGGGTGGAGCCCAGAGCTACCGTGGAAGTCAAATTCCGTGGCGTGGTGGTGAAGGAAGATAACAGGAAGGAGGAATCAGATTTCTTGAGTTTCTGGCTTGAACAAATGAGTAGGCAGTGGGTCTGTTAATGGAGATGCTCAACATAGGAAAGGAGATAGGTGTAGTGAAGAGAAGATGATGACTGTGAGAACGTATTGCACTTGATATGCAGGACACCCTGCTGAACCAGGGAGAGGATTTGGGGATAGTGAATCATTTGTGGAAACCGTGAGTGTCCATGAGCTCTCCCAGAGATGGGTGGGTGGAAGGATGGATGGATGGATGATTGGATGGATGGATGGATGGATGGGAAGATGGATGGGTGGATGGATGGGTGGATGGATGGGAAGATGGATGGATGGATGGATGGGAAGATGGATGGATGGATGGATGGATGGATGGATGGATGGATGGAAAAATGGATGGGAAGATGGATGGAGAGATGGAGGGAGAGAAGGATAGATGGATGAATGAACAGACAGACAAAAAACAGAAACCTAGACTTTATTGTCTTTAGATTGAACCATATGAAATTACTATTTTTGGCCAGGTGCGGTGGCTCATGCCTGTAATCCTAGCACTTTGGGAGGTCGGGGGGGAGGGGCAGATCACTTGAGGATCAGCCTGGCCAACATGGTGAAACACCGTCTCTACTAAAAATACAAAAATTAGCTGGGCGTGGTTGCTTGTACCTGTAATCCCAGCTACTTGGGAGGCTGAGGCAGGAGAATCACTTGAACCCGGGAGGCTGAGGTTGCAGTGAGCCACGATGGTACCACTGCACTCCAGCCTGGATGACAGAGCAAGACTCCATCTCATAAAAAAAGAAAAGAAAGAAATTACTATTTTTGTTTTAAAAATTACCAAGTGCTTACTTTTATGCAGGTTGAAATATTTTGGGGGGAAGGATACTGATGTCTACAGTTAACTTTGAAATGCATCAAAAACAGGATGTGATAAAGCACATGTGGTAATCATGTTAATGGTAGAGGCTAGTAGTGGGTATATAGGTATTTACCGTAAAATTCTTTCGGCTTTGCTGTGCATTGGAAAGTTTCATAAAAAATCATGGGAAATGGTCTAGGCGCCGTGGCTCACTGGTGAATATTGTCAATTTCATGTGGTTCCCCTCAATTTATGTTTTATTTGGTCAAAAAGATCCTTCCAGGTTCCCAATCTGTAGCATCAACAGATCTGCTTTGTGGAGTCCCCTTTGGCCCTTGTTCTGCCCCGATTTGGGGGCTGGGGGCTGGGGGCTGACGTTTCTCCCTCTCAAAGTTCAGGTTGAATTGCCCTAACGTGCTGATTACTGCACCGAGGATGCCGGTATCTGGCTTGTAATAATTATAGATTTCCTCTGCGATTTGATCCCATTGGTTGCCTCGGCAACGGCGTAATAGCTCAACCGAAGCGCTGTCACGGTGATTTAGAACCAGTGTGTCTCTCCTGCAGCCTCCATTCTGGGTGCCTCCACCCCCTTGCCGTCGTCATGGTAACTGATGAGCAGCATGTGACCGAAAGCTCTCTGCCCCCCCAACCCCATACCCCCTCCCCATCTTGTGATCACCCTCATTACCTCTTCTGGGCCCCCTGTGGACCTGCGTTGACCCAGCATGGGCTACAATGGGGGAGTTGGGTAATCGCTCCCGGTAGGTTCCTCCCCAACCCCCGAGGCGGGGTCAGGTGGAGCGTGGGCGCCAGAGCAGCCCCTCTGCCTTGGGTGTCTTGGAGATGACTTGGCGCCCCCCGGAGCCCCGTCATGGCTGTGGCTGCGTCCACAACACTGCATCAGCAGAGTCCTGGGGAAGCCATTTAGGAATCTGAAGCCCGGGATTTCTGCTTTGTCCCTTCAGGGGTTCCTGAGCCTGTTAAAAAAAAAAAAAAATCTAGGAAGAGGCCCTGGAAGGAAAAAGGGGAGGGAGATAGCCTATTTTACAAGGTCTGAAATGATGTGTCTTATCCTTCTGGCTTAAACCAAGCTGGGCTTAAAACATCTTTTAAAAAAAATCTGTATTCTATTTTTTTCTCTCTGTTTATCGCTCTCCTTCTGCCTCTGTTAATCTTTGTTTCTGTGTAGTTGCATCCTGTTTCTGTCTGAAAACCCTTGTCTTTCTGAATCCATCTTTCAGTCTCTCACATTCTGTCTTTCCCCTCCTCCTTCACCTTCCCTCCGTCCCTCTCCCTTGCGCACTTGCCGGGTACCAGCTGAGTGCATCCTTTTCCCAAACCTGCTCTGCTTCCAAGGGGCCCTTTTCTGTCTCCTCCACCTGTCCCCATGTTTTGGGGACTGCCTGGAAATCCGGGACACCCTCCTGAGGAGGGAGCTGGTGCCCAACGGCACCTCTTAGGATGAACCCAGCCAGCTGCGTTCCTGGCCTCTGCAGAATGGCATACAGAAGGCATTTTAAGCAAGCGAGCTGAGCTCGCCGCAGGACTCCGACTACCAGGCACCGTGAGTGCAAATGTGTATGTGTGTCTCTGTGTGCATCCTTACATGTGTATGTATTTGCTGCCATGGGGAGGTGGTGCCAGTGTCTGTCAGTGCCTGTTATCTGTGGTGTTGGGGTGTGCAGGTCGGGGGGGCACACACCCTTGTGCATCTGTGTACATGCGTGCACATGTGCCTGGCTCTCTGTGTGTAGGACACACAAATGTACTTAACAGATTTTTCAAGGACACTTTGTGAACACAGCAGGAGGAGACCCTTTAAAGTGGGGACAAAATAATGAAAGATGGATATAGAAATGATGAGATAAGGAATTGCTCTTATCAATAGGCTTGCAACACCACAGTCCGCCTGCATCTGGTCCTAGGAAATGAAGTGAGGGTCACCTTGAAAAGGCATTTTTGTTCAAGCCGCTAAATAAATCCTTTCCCTTCGTTCTAAGGACAAGAACAGCACAAACACACACACCCCTTTCTCTTTGAAACTCAGGGGAATGGAAGGCTCAGGGGGCGCTGTCACTGGGCATTTCAGATAGAGTTTGCAGTGAGAATCTCAGTTGACAGCCAGGGCGGCTCACGCCAAGAGTAGATGTCAGGAAGCTCTGGACAGCCGCTCTCTTCACATCTTGTGGCTGATTAGAAGTTCATTTTGAATTTTTTCCCAGAAGCAGCCTATGCCCCAAGAGGCAACCAGAAGAAAGCAATTTTAGAAAATGCAATTTCATTTGCAGGGCAAGATGTGGGAATCCTGAAAGGTTGGCGCTGAAGATCCTGCAGTTGGTGTGTGCAAGCTGGCAGCCAGGCCGCTGCCGGAGGAAGGGGGTCCTCTGTGCTTTGCATGTCCCTGGGTATTTGGGAAACTTGGCAGCCGGTTGCTCTAAGTGAACCCTGACTCTGGAGTAGGCACTGGGCACCCTGGCGGAGAGGACAGAGCCGGAGACAAGGACTGGCCTCAGGGAGTTTCCAGTTCAAATAGGAACAGACCCGATCACACGCGATACGCTCACCCTCAGACACATTGCTGCTGCCTGCATTTCCTCCGGGCTGCCATCCCCCTTCCCCTACCCTGGCCTCTGTCTGCCACGACTGCCCTTGTCTACCTGCCAAGCTCTAATTATCGTTAAACATCCCGTCACTGCTTCCCGGAAATCTTTAACTTCCACCCAAGAACAGCTAACACTATACGCCCTCCTCTACCTGCAGAAATCACTTGGACCCTCTGACATCACATGTCCAACCGACCTCTTTCTCCACATTTGCCCGTGAGCTGCACTTCATTTTGCAAGGACATAAAGAAGACTATTCACGCAACTACATGCAAAATGACTGGCTGGGATTCCTAAAACGCCAATGTCTTTTAAAAGGCAAAAGGGCTGAGAAATGGTTCCAGGTTAAAAGAGATTAAAGAGCCATGAGCCCAAATGCAATGTTTGATCCTAGGATGAAGCCTGGATCAGGGGAACAGAAAACACTTGTGGGCTGGGCTCAGTGGCTCATACCTGTAATCCCAGTGCTTTGGGAGTCCGAGGGAGGAGGATCACTTGAAGTCAAGAGTTAGAGACTAGCCTCAGGAATATAGGGAGACCCCATCTCTACAAAAAATAAATATAAAAATAAACTAACCAGACATAGTGGTGTGTGCCTGTGATCCCAGCTACTCAGGAGGCTGAGGCAAGAGGATCACCTGAGCCCAAGAGTTCGAGGCTGCAGTGAGCCATGAGCCATGATCATGCCACTGCACTCCAGCCTAGGTGATAGAGCGAGACCCTGTCTCTAAAAAAAAAAAAAAAAAAAAAAACAATTAAAGAAGTTTTAGGGATAAGTGGGAATATCTGAATATAGATTGTATGTTAGATAATAGTATTTATAGTATTTTTATGTCATGAATATGCCAATAATAAATAAATTAAAAAAAGATAATAGTATTTTATTAATGGTACCTTCATGAGAGTGACTTTGTATCTCAGATCATTTGTACTGAGGTTATGTAAGAGAACATTCTTGTTCTTAGAAGATACAGGCTGAAGGATTCAAGGATGAAATATCACAATGTCCACAACTAACTCAAATAATTCAGAAGACAGATAATAGAGTGGGCACGAGTGTGGCAAAATGTTAACAGTTTCGAGGATTACAAGCGGCTGTGGAACTATGTTCATAACTTTTATGTGGGTCTGAAGATTTTCCAGTGCCCAGGCTGGGCACTCTGCTTAGCTTTGCGCGTGGATTATCTCATTTCATCCTCAGAGCAGCTTGGGGATGGGAGAGCTCTATCACACCCATTTTCCAGTGGAGAAAACAGAGGCACAGCTAGTTGTAAGCCCAGGCCACATTATGCCCCCACCCCCTGTTTTGTGAAATTTAGTACTAAAGATACTACATGGCTGTGTGATGTCGGGCAAATCACTTAACCTCTCTGTGATCTGTTTCCTTTTTTCTTTTTTTTGCTACGAGTGGATAATTATAATATCAGAAGGTTGTTCTGATGGGTATTATGATATATAAAGAACTTAGAACAGGGTTTGGCCTAAAGTAAGCGCTGAGCAAGTGTCTGCTGTTGCTGCTGCTAATTGTATTTGTTGCTGCAGTCGTGATCCCAGCACCCTCACCTTGGCCAGTGATGGGGAAACCTGAAGGGTGTTTTTTCTTCTGTACCCAGGGCGTGCTTCATGGGTTTGTGATCTATATGGTCACACAGGGTCCCGTGTTCAGAAGATCCCCCCATGTCACTGACTTGCAATTCGTAACCATTTTCTCACAAGGGGCCTCGAATATTTATTTTATGCACTGGGTCCCACACATCATGTAGCCAGCCCTGTCTGCTCTCCCTTTTTATTGGATCCCGTTGAGAGCCTCTCCTAGACTAAACTACTTGTGCCTACGTCATTGCAGCAGACAGGCCCAGGCAGGCCGTGGCATTTCAGCAGGTCAGATTGTATGTTCCTGTGACCACACTCCAATTCTGATGCAATGCGTCAGCCCGCACAGGCCAGTACAGTAGCCGTTCATCACATCTGGTCATTGAGCATCTGAGACGTGGCTATTCTAAACTGTGATGTGCTGTGAGTGTGAAATTCACACCAGATTTTGAAGACTTAGCACACATCCGAAAAAGAAATGCAAAATATCTTATTAATAACTATATTGATGGCCGGGCACGGTAGCTCGCGTCTGTAATCCCAGCACTTTGGGAGGCCAAGGCGGGTGGATCACTTGAGGTCAGGAGTTTGAGACCAGCCTGACCAACATGGTGAAACTTTGTCTCTACTAAAAATACAAAAATTAGCCAGGAGTGATGGCACACACCTGTCATCCCAGCTACTCGGGAGGCTGAGGCAGGAGAATCGCTTGAACCTGGGAGGCGAAGGTTGCAGTGAGCCGAGATTGTGCCACTGCACTTCAGCCTGGGCAACAAGAGCAAAACTCCATCTCAAAAGTAATAATAATAACTATATTGATTATGTATCAAAATTATTACATTTTAGATACAATGGGTTAAATAAGATACATGAAAAAAATTGGTTTCAGCTGTTTTTGCTTTTTTCATATGGCTACCAGAAAATGTAAAATTACCTATGTGGTTTGCATTGAAAGCTTGTGTTATATTTCTTTTGGGCAGTACTGTCTTAGAGCATACTACCTGTGCCTTCATTGTGACTCCAAACCAAACCAGACCAGCAGGTGACAGTGCAGTGAATTGATTTCTAAGTTACATTAATACACACTGGCCCTGGTGCTGTAGCTTAGACCAGAGTCTCCCAATCAATCCATCAGGCACCTCTTTCTGTTCCTTCTTTTCTGTTCCTTTCTCTCTTAAGATAGTCCAAGACACTGATTTTTATACCCAGTGAGTTTGTCAAGTAGCCTAAAGATATTTTTGAGGCAACGTATTGGGTAAAAAGAAACTGAAGTTGGAATCAGAAGGACTAATTTAAGAATTAAATTAAAATCCCAAATCACCTCTTTTTTTTTTTCTTTTAGAGATGGGGTCTCGCTCTGTCACCCAGGCTGATCTCAATCTCCTGGGCTCAAGCGATCCTCTCACCTTGGCCTCCCAACATGCTGGGATTACACATCAGGTCCCAGGTCACCTCTTCTCCATGAGGTGAGCTTGGGCATGTTATTTCTCTGTGCAAGGAAACAGAACAGCACTAGCTTTAAAGCCTCACAGACCCGAGTTTGAAGACTGGCTCTGCCGTTGACAAGCTGTGTGACACAGGATAAGCCACAACCCTCTCTGAACCTCAGTCTCATCCTCAGTCTCATAGCGCTGATGATGCATACTGTGTAATACTGTTGCAAGAATGGAATAAGATGAAGCAGAACAAATGTCCAACCCAGCAACTGGCACATGGCAGGTGTGCGCTTAATCCCTGCATTCTTAGTGGGATCAGTATTCCCAAGAGAGTGAACATTTATGGGAAAGAAAAGAAATCTTACTCTTTATGAATAAAGTACAGATATAAAATACAATACATAAGCAGATGTACAATTTATCTGTGGAATTAAAATTTCATGGGGTATGTAGCTAATAAAGAATCTTTAGGGGAATGGCAATGAAAAAAAGTTTGAGAAACATTGCATTAATCTGACGGATGGGACTCAGAGGTTGCTTTTCAGTTCAGTTCCTGTAGTTGTCAGAGTATAGGGCTGAAACTCCATGATTGAATTCAACAAGTGTTTTTGAGCACCTACAATAGCCAGACACCGTTCTGGACCCTGGAAATGGAGGGCACCCTCCAGGTACATGCTTCCCAGAGCTGGTCTCTGAGGTCCCCTGAGCCAGCCCCTGCCTCTGGGAAGATGACCCCTAAATGGCAGCCTCAGTCAGGGGGCAGGGTTTTAGAGAACAACAGGAATAGAAGTATTTGCCTCCCAGGAGTAGATAAGACGGTGTATGTGAAACCTTGACACGATTGGCATTCATTCGTAAAATCAGAGCAGATACCTGCACACACAGGCATAAATGAAAGATACTTTGAATTACAGAAAAGTTAAGGTCTTTGCAAGTGCATGTAGGAATGCTGCCAGGCACACAGCGTGACTCCAGCCACCAACAAAGTGTTTCCAAGTCTGGAGCTGTGTGGTCCTTGAAGGAAATATAAATGTTTCACTTGTTATACGCTGTGATTTTTGCGTACTTAGCGGTTTCTGGAGTCCGTGAAAGTGGTTTGTTTTCTCTGAACGGGAAGTGCGTTTCCTCCAATCACACCGACCTGATTTGTTTGTTGCTTGTTGGGCCTCCCCACGGGAACACGAGATCCCACAGAACACAGCAGGACGTGTCCTTGTTTACTGAGGAATCTCTGGGGCTCGGCACAGGTGTGCAGAAAGCATTTATTGAACTGAACAAACAGATTTTACAAGCCGGACCTTCTGTGGCGTTGGCCCGGGTAGCTACTTCAGCATGGGTCCAAGCATCCTTTCTAAGCCAATTCCATTCTTTCACTCCTCCTCCCTTGTAGGATCAGAAATCCAAAGCTAGCTTATCCTTTTGCAGATGTTTCTTTCCATATTATTTCCTACCTCCAGAACAAAGGCTATCTGTGTCTCACATTCGGAGGCTTGGATGTGAAGCCCTGTCTGTTCATTTTTCTCTCCAGTTTTTTCACAGGCTGGGTAACTACCTGCCTGCTAGCAACGATGTGTTCGTTCTCCCTGGATTCCTGATTGAGGTGGGCAGAGAGGACTCTGAGACAGGAGCATGAGGATGAGGCAGATCAGCTTCTTTCTCATGAAATCTGGATGTTGAGGCTGGTAGCAGGACCACCGCATGTGCCAATAGTCTTTAGCAGCTCATCAGGCCATAGAAGAAGTGCCTTTACTAACTTCAAGTCCAGCCTGGGAAACGTAGTGAGACCTTGTCTCTCCCTGTCTAAAAAAAGAAGAAGAAAGAAGGAGGAGGAGGAGGAGAAGGAGAAGGAAAAAAAGAAGTTGTTCACAATTTTTGTTTACTCGTTTACTTATTTTTGAGATGGAGTTTCACTCTTGTCGCCAGGTTGGAGAGCAGTGGCACGACCTCTACTCACTGCAACATTCGGTTCTCAGGTTTAAGCAATTCTCCTGCCTCAGCCTCCCAAGTAGCTGGAACTACAGGCACCTGCCACCACGCCCAGCTGATTTCTGTATTTTTTTGTAGAGTTGGGACTTCACCATTTTAGCCAGGCTGGTCTCGAACTTTTGACCTCAGGTGATCTGCCTGCCTCGGCCTCCCAAAGTGCTAGGATTACAGGCGTGAGCCATCGCGCCCAGCCAAAATGCACAATTTTAAAGAGCTCTTTGGAAACAGAAAATGGCCTGCAACAGGCATCTCTTCCACATCCTATGTACTTTCTTCAATTGACCCTAAGCCAGTTGAGTGCCTCCTGACCCCACAAATAGATTTCATTCTTCCCATTTTACAGATGCAGAAACTAAGGCACTGATGAGTTCAGCAACTTGCCTAGGTAATATATATGGCCCAGCCACACTTTAGACCCAATTTCTGGCTCTTGTTACTTTCCCCACATCATTCTCAGTCTTTCTTAGGAATGGACATTTGCCTGTTTCCAAGAACAGTATTTCTGTCTCCCTATACAAGTCACTGATAATTTTATGATGCCCAAGAGGCAGGTGATAGGAAGTCATGCCTGCAGGGAGAGAGGGCTGGGGCCCATGCGGAGGGGAAAGTCAGAAGAGGCTGTTGCAGCTGAAGTCGGAGGAGAAAAGTGGATGTGAGATAAAGCCTCTGTCCCTGTGCCACTGCCCCTGAATGGGGCCCTGTTAACCCCATCTGCACAGGCCCACGGCTCCGGCTTTATGGGTTGCTATGGCAACCCCTGGCCTTGACAACTGAAGTGCACTTGGCTGAGTGTGTCTTTGTGTCCCTTTGAGTCTGCAGAGAAGCCAGCAGCTGGGGCTGCAGACGGGAAAGGAATGTCCTCAGCGTCTGCCAGCACTTTTGTCTTGGTCCCAACGGCTGATAGGAAAATGAGAGGCAGGGTCTTTTCTAGAGAGATCTGGGGGGTCCATTTCTAGCCGATGATGCATGCAAAGAGTTCGTGTTCACAGGACCTGGGAAGCAGCGGAGTAGAAAGGTGAGTCAGACGCCATCTTCATAGGCTGCTTGTTGAGCATTTACTGTTTATTCAATGATTGTTTGCAGGCAGGCACTGCTCTGGGGCTGGGGAAACAGTAAGGACTTCTGCCAGCCCACAAAATAGTTCCAATTGCTATTACTCCCATTTTACAGATCAGGAAACTGAGGCACAGAGACGTTACTTAATGTGCCTGAGGTTATACGGCGGGTCAGTGAGAGGCCAGGGATGTCTAGTCTGGGGGTAAGATCATTTTGAAGGATGCAAGATTGGGGAGATGCAGGGAAGAAGCAGTTTCATATCCAGCACCTCACACTCTGCCTCCACAGGCTTTTTTCTCCCTGTATCCATGGGATGTTTGACCTCCAGTTCCAGGGATTTGAGGATCATGAAGTCCTGTGGTCATATGCAGGGCCCACCGTCCACTCTTTATGGTAATTAACAGTAGTTCTCAGCCTCCGAGCCTCCAGAGCTTCCCCCGGTGCCCAGGTCACACCTGTGAGACTCAGACCTACTTAGTCTGGGTGGGGCTTTGACACAAGTGTAAGCTTCTGGTGAGCGAGCGTCAGGTGCAGCCAACGCTAGAAATTTCTGGCTTTTGAGCTCTAAGACCTTGAACAAGCCTTTTAGGCTTCTGAACCGGTTTTATAACGCCAGCCAATCCTGCAGATTACCGAAAGGATCTATGGAAGGTCTATTGCATGTGGTAGGTGAACAGTAAGTAAATAAATGGGAGCTGGTACTTTTACTATGATTATTCTTTCTCCAGAGCAAATTGGAAGAGTTTGTTTCCACTTTCACCTGAATTCCTCTCACTTTTACTGATTTAAACATTGAACTCGGCCTCTTAGCTCATCTCGCCCCTCCCCGCAATGCACCAGACACACGAAGGAAGCAGAGAGAGCTAATTTGCATTTTAATCAAAAGAAAAAGGACGAGGAGAGGTGGGTGGGACTGAAGAGCTCACTATCTGGCTAGACCAGGGTTTTGACTTGTTTTGACTGAGACACACAGTAAGGAATAGAACTTACTTCAGGCCCACTGCACAGCTGAAACAAAAATTACCAGCATTTGCTATGTACCCTGACAATTCCTATTCTGTTTGATTTACTGATGGATTTAAATTTCTCTTTCAGTTCTGATCATGTCAAGGAAAAGGTCCCCATGTGATGCCAGCCTGCCTTTAACACCTGTCTGCTCTCTGCCAGTCTCTAGGGAAAGGAGGGGGCCAGGCCTGGGGCTATAGCCTTGGGCGGTCCACTCTGTCCGGCTTTTAATTGAATAACTTGCTTTGATTTTATTATGTTCTTTTCCTAGTTGCCTTCGTAGCAAATAAAACTTGACGGGGGAAGATAGCAATTAGGTTTTTTTATTTGTTATATTTTTCTTTGTAGAGACAGGGGTTTCACTATGTTAGCCAGGCTAGTCTCAAACGCCTGGCCTCAGCTGATCCATCTGCCTCGGCATCCCAAAATTCTGGGATTACAGGCATGAGCCACCACACCTGGCCAGAAGGTAGCAATTGGAAAGGATCCTAGGAAAATTACTTTTTTAAATTGAAAAAGCAAGTTGATTTCAAGAAAAATGTTAAGTCAACACAAGTCATATGAGACATAAGAGCTCAAAGGAAGGGTAGTATGCCAAGAACTGAGGTTCGGGAAATGCATGGGGGAGATTGGGGGTCTCAGAGACCAGGAGGGCCAACAACCAGCCTGCTGTAACTTCAGATTTTCAGATTTCTCCAACCTCCTTGGTCACAATTTCATGGCGTGCCAGTGCTCTGAAAGCACCTCCCTTCTAACCAGGAATCCTTCACCTGCTTCTTTCCCCAGATGCGCCCATCCAGGGTCTAGCGGATTGCAAAGGGCCTGGTAGAATCAAAGAGGGATATACTAATGCAACTTCGAGGTAGGAGCAAGGCTTGGGGAAAATGCTGTGGCAAATTCTCAGTAATATGGAACTCTTAGCACGCTTGTCAGGTGTTTCTTAGAGTCCGAACGGGCCTTAGAAACAATGTGATCCAGCCAGGCAAGGTGGCTCATGCCTGTAATTCCAGCACTCTGGGAGGCCGAGGGATCACTTGAGGTCAGGAGTTCAAGACCAGCCTAGCCAACATGGTGAAACCCTGTCTCTACAAAACATACAAAAATTAGCCAGGTGTGGTGGCGTGCCCCTGTAATCCCAGCTGCTCAGGAAGCTGAGGCAGGAGAATCACTTGAATCCGGGAGGCAGAGGTTACAGTGAGCCAAGATCACACCAGTGCACTCCAGCCTGGGTGACAGAGTAAGATCGTGTCTCTCAAAAAAATAAAGAGAGGAAGCCGAGAGGCTATTTAGGATATCATTGCCTTCATCCAGGAGAAGGATGATGGCAAGTTGGACCAGAGCATGTTGGAGACTTGTGCACCAGCAGGGATATACTGGAACCCTGGGCACCCAGCTCCCTTCTATCATCATTGGTGCTTCAGGCTTCTGTACCAAGAAAGAGAGCCTTCCCTTGTGGCAGCCTGCATCTGGGGTTTCCAGTGCAAGCCTGCAGGGAAAGTCTGCCTATCTGTGGGGCCTCTTTCCTTGGCAACTCCAGAAATCTCCAGGGATCTCAGACCATAGGGCTCTAGAATCAATGACTACATCTTCAGCAGCAAGTATAAGACAGGAGCAAGTCAGAGACAGAGTAAATGCAAATGACTTGTGTGCCTATGATTGTCCAGGATGTGTTCATCCATTATCCCTAATTCCCAGCGCAACCCTGCAGTGAGAGAGGCATCACTATCTCCAATCTACAAATCAGGAAACTGAGGCTCAGAGCATTTTTGTAAGTTTCACCCTGTTGTACAAGTACCTAAGATAGGGCAGTGGTTTGGATCCAAGCTTTTTATATATATATATATATATTTTTTTTTTTTTTTTTTTTTTTTTTTTTTTGAGACGGAGTCTTGCTCTGTCGCCCAGGCTGGAGTGCAGTGGCATGATCTAGGCTCACTGCAACCCCCACCTCCCGGGTTCAAGCAATTATCCTGTGTCAGCCTCCCCAGTAGCTGGGATTACAGGTGCACGCCACCATGCATGGCTAATTTTTATATTTTTAGTAGAGACAGGATTTCACCATTTTGGCCAGGCTGGTCTTGAACTCCTGACCTCAGGTGATCCATCCACCTCAGCCTCCCAAAGTGCTGGGATTCCAAGTGTGAGCCACTGCGCCCAGCCCCAAGCTTTATATTCTAAAACCCAGGCTCAAATACCACCTCCATGCACAACCCACATATCTTAATTATCTATTATGGTGCACATAACAGACATCACTAATCTATCACATTTTTTCCCCTGAAAACCTAAAAGAGTGCTTCCTGCTAACAGGTCAAAAAATAATGAAAAATAAAAAATAAGTAAAGCTAAAAGAGGCCGTAAAATCTTTTTGTTCGCTGCTCCAAATAGGCAATACTCATTGGCCAGCACTGGCACGTGTTGTAACATTTATTTGCCATTTCAATACTGCACAGAAAATTAGCTTCTCTCAGCTAGGCATGGTGGTTCACACCTGTAATCCCAGCACTTTGGGAGGCCAAGGTGGGAGGACTGCTTGAGCCCAGGAGTTCAAGATCAGCCTGGGCAACATGGTGAAACCCCATCTCTCCAAAAAAGAAATACAAAGATTAGCCAGGTGTGGTGGCATGTGCTTATAGTCCCAGCTACTCGGTAGGCTGAGATGGGAGGATCACTTGAGCCTGGGAGCCAGAGGTTGCTGAGATGGCACCACTCCACTCCAGCTTGGGCAATAGAGCCAGACCTTGTCTCAGGAAAAAAAAAAAAAACAAAAAAAAAAAAAAAAAAAAAAACAATGGCAATCTTGGGGTCACACAGCCTGTAGCAGGTGGAAATTGAAGAATAAGTCTGTGTGATCAGAGTGTGTCATTACTCTACACACACTTCTTTGGTCCTCTCCCTTCCCATCTACAAAAGACAGCCAACTCCAATATCTCTTTTTTCTTTTTTTTTTTTTTGAGATGGAGTCTCACTCTGTTGCCCAGGCTGGAGTGCAGTGGCGCCATCTCGGCTCACCGCAACCTCCGCCTCCCGGGTCCAAGCGATTCTCCCGCCTCAGCCTCCAAAGTAGCTGGGATTACAGGCGCCTGCCACCACGCCCGGCTAATTTTGTATTTTTAGTAAAGACGGGGTTTCTCCATGTTGGTCGGGCTGGTCTCGAATTCCTGACCTCAGGTGATCTACCCGTCTCGGCCTCCCAAAGTGCTACGATTATAGGCGTGAGCCAGCGCGCCTGGCTTTTTCATTTTTATTAAGATAAACATAACATTAACCTTTTTAAGTGAAAACTCAGACCCTTTTAGAACATCCACAATGCTGTGCAGCCACCACCGCTATCTAATTCCAGATTTTTTTCATCACCCCGGAGACCCCCGTACCCATTAAGCAGTCATCTCTCATTCCTCCCAGGCCCCTGCCAACCCCTGATTTATTTTCTGTCTTTGTAGATTCACCTACTCTTGAAGGTTCCTATAAATGGATTCGTAGACTATGGGGCATTTTACCTCTGCATTCATTCATATAGCATAAAAAATATTTTGAGATTTATCCATGTTGTAGCATGTGTCAGAACTTCATTCCTTTTTATGACTGAATAATATTTCGTTGTAAGGATAGACCATGTTTTGTTTATTCATTCATCCACTGATCGACATCTGGGCTTTTTCTACCTTTCGGCGCTTGTGAATAGTGCTGCTATGTGTATTTGTTTGAGTCTCTGTTTTCAGTTCTTTGGGTTGATGCAAAGGTCATTTCCTTTTGCACCAACCTAGTACTTAGGGGTGGAATTGCTGGGTCATGTAGTAGTAATTCTATGCTTAACTTTTTGAGGAACTTGTAATTCTTAAAAGGCCATGCCAACTCTAGGACTGAGGGTTTAAGAGCTAATCCCTGCCTTCTTACTCCTCATCAACTCCCACCCCAGTGGGTGCCCTCCAACACACCTGCCTCGAGAACCCCCTCCCCAGCTCAGTGACCCCAGCATCTCATTGACATGCTGAGTGCATGCTCCCTGCCCCTCCCTGGGAGCCTGCCTAAACACAGACCCTTCTATTCTTTCTAATTTTTTTTGTACCCATTAACTATCCACCTCCCATTCAACCCGCCACTACCCTTCCCAGCCTCTGGTAACCATCCTTCTACTCTCTATGCCCGTGACTTCAATTGATTTGATTTTTAGATCCCACAAATAAGTGAGAACACATGCCACTTGTCTTTGTGTGCCTGGCTTATTTCACTTAACATGATGATCTCCAGTTCCATCCACGTTGTTGCAAATGACTAGATCTTTTTTTTTTTTTTTTGAGATGGAGTCTCGATCTGTTGCCCAGGCTGGAGTGCAGTGGCGCCATCTCGGCTCACTGCAACCTCTGCCTCCCGGGTTCAAGCGATTCTCCTGCCTCAGCCTCCCTAGTAACTGGGACTACAGGCATGGGTCACCACACCCAGATGATTTTTGTTTTTTGTAGAGATGGGGTTTAGCCATGTTCGCCAGGCTGGCCTCATGGGATCCACCTGCCTCAGCCTCCCAAAGTGCTGGGATTACAGGTGTGAGCCACTGCGCTGAATAGTACTCCATTGCGTGTATGAACCACATTTTCTTTATCCATTCATCTGTTATTGGACACTCAGGTTGCTTCCAAATCTTAGCTATTGTAAGCAATGCTGCAACAAACATAGGAGTGCAGATATCTCTTCGATATACTGAGTTCCTTCCTTTTGTGTATTTACCCAGCAGTGGGATTCCTGGATCATATGGTAGCTCAATTTTTAGTTTTTTGAGGAACCTCCAACTGTTCTCCATAGTGGTTGTACTAGTTTACATTCCCACTAACAATGTACAAGGGTTCCCTTTGCTCCACATCCTCTCCAGCATTTGTTATTGCCTGTCTTTTGGATATAAGCCATGTTAACTGGGGTGAGATGACAGCTCTTTGTAGTTTTGATTTGCCTTCTCTGATGATCAGTGATGTCAAGCACCTTTTCATGTGCTTGCTTGCCATTTGTATGTCTTCTTTTGAGAAATATCTATTCAAATCTTTTGTCCATTTTTTGATCGAATTATGAGATTTTTTTCTATAGAGTTGTTTGACCTCCTTTTTATATTCTGGTTATTAATCCCTTGTGAGAGGAGTAGTTTGTAAATATTTTCTCTTGTTCTGTGGGTTGCCTCTTCGCTTTGTTGGTTGTATCCTTTGCTGGAGGACAGACCCTTCTGGATGCAACTAGAGCAGCTGGGCTCCCTCCTCCCTTTGAGAGGGTCTCCAGAGGGCCCTATCAATCAAGATCAGCCTAGAAATTGTTGCTCGAGTTGGCTCCAGATGACCGCACCTTCACCTTCCCTCCAAGTGCTCTATGATTTCTTACCACACCCACTCTCACTGTGCACCAGGATCCTTAGCTACTCCGTGTCATCATACACCTCCGAGCACTTGCCTTATCCCTGCTTTCTTCATTGCCTTCTGAAATCGCCTAACTTTTGAAGATGCAGCTCAGGCAACACCTCCCTGACATTGTCACCCCAGCCAGAAAGAATCTCCCCGTATTCCCTTAGCACTTCACTCACACCAGCAAAATAGTTGTGATTCTGTTCTATCTTATGCAGAATTTGTTGTTGACAGTGAACTGGAAAATTTTTATGTACATATCATGCTGAGTTATTTTAAGAAAGTATTCACATGATGGGTAAAGCAGCCTAGTACATTAAATTCTTCCATTTTCTTTCCGCTCATAGTTCTCTGCCACTAAATTATGAGCTTCAGAAAGAAAGCAATTTATCCATCTTGGTTTCTCCTAAGAGAAGTGATGACTTGGCCAGGAGCGGTGGCTCATGCCTGTAATCCCAACCGTTTGGGAGTCCAAGATGGTAGGATCACTTGAGCTCAAGAGTTTGAGACCAGCCTGGGCAAAATAGCAAGACCTCATCTCTACTAAAAATTTAAAAAAATTAGCCAGGCATGATGGCACATGCCTGTAGTCCCAGCTACTTGGACGGCTGAGATGGGAAGATTGCTAGAGCCCGGGCGATAGAGGCTGCAGTGAGCCCTGATCGCCCCACTGCACTCCAGCCTGGGCGACAGAGTGAGACCCTGTCAGAGAGAGAGAGAGAGAGAGATTGATTATATCTAAACGATGCAGTGCCTTGCTGATAACAGGTGCCTAATTAACTTGTGTTGATTGAATTAGTGGATGAGAGGGAGTGAATGAATGACGTTAACTCTTCCAATTGTTTGAAATATATTGTGCTAAGAATTAATGTCTAACAGAGATCAGATTTTGTTATAAGGTCAATTTTCAACTGCAGGCCACCAAAATGTCACCACGGTATATTTTCCAATGTGACATTTTGTAATTGAAAACGTGTGGGATTGGCTCTCACTTTTGCAGAATATTCAAATGTTGAGTTCTCTGAGACATTCGGAGTTTCAAAAACGTGTTTAATGGAAATTGAATTGTGTGACGCCTCAGTGCTCCCTGTTTCAGACAAGTGGTTTTAAGGGAAAGACATGAACTGCACTTTCTACACAGTTACTCTGTTGCTAAATTAATAGGCTTGCATTGAGTCGGATATCCTGGAATAGAAAAAAAAAATCCATTGAGTTATTAAGAAAAGAGTTTGGGCCATGCACAGTGGCTCACACCTGTAATTCCAGCACTTTGGGAGGCAGAGGCGGGTGGATCACAAGGTCAGGAGATTGAGAACCTTCTGGCCAACATGGTAAAACCTCATTTCTACTAAAAATACACAAATTAGCCAGGTGTGGTGGCACATGCCTATAATCCCAGCTACTCGGGAGGCTGAGGCAGGAGAATCGCTTGAACCAGGGAGTCAGAGGTTGCAGTGAGCCGAGATCACGCCACTGTACTCCAGCCTGGCAACAGAACAAGACTCCATCTCAAAAACAAAGAGTTTGGTTTCTCAGTTAATTCATGGCCACACTTTCCAAGCCCACACTTTCTCAGAAAGTTTCCTCTGGTGAAAAGCAATAAAATTTATTCTGTGAACTACGTCATTTTTATTCATGAAGCCTCATATCAACAATAGCTAGGGGCCGGGCACGGTGGCTCACGCCTGTAATCTCAGCACGTTGGGAGGCCAAGGCAGGCAGATTACTTGAGCTCAGGAGTTCAAGACCATCCTTCACAACGTGAGAAAAACCTGGCTCTACTGAAAAAAAAAAAAATTAGCTGGGCGTGGCGGCGTTCGCCTGTAGTTCCAGGTACTTGGGAGGTGGCAGGATGGCCTGACCCTGGGGGAGGCAGAGGTTGCAGTAAGCTAAGATTACACCACTGCTCTCCAGCCTGAGTGACAGAGCCAGACCCTGTCTCAACAAAAACAAAAACAGCTAGGAGTTTTGTTATTAGCTGGATTAACTGATGTTACAATGCATAGAGGCAGGGGCTTTGGGGTCAGACAGTCTCAGGTAAGCCTATGACTGAGGCCGAATGTCATAACCTCTCTGAGCCTCCCTTTTATCATCTCTGAACAGGGAGATTACCCTACTCCTATAGATGTTTGAGCAAAGAGAAGGGAGTAATGTACCCTTCAGAATGTCTCACAAAGACCAGGCACCATGCCTCATGCCTATAATCCCAGCACTTCAGGAGCCAAGATGGGAGGATCATTTGAGCACAGGAGTTTGAGACCAGCCTGGGCAACACAGCGAGACCCCTGTCTCTAAAAAATATATATATTTAAAAATTAGCTGGGTATGGTGGTGCATGCCTGTAGTCCCAGCTACTTGGCAGGGCTAAGGTGGGAGGATCTCTTGAGCCCAGGAGTTCAAGGCTGCAGTGAGCAATGATCACGCCACTGCTCTCTAGTCTTTCTTTTGTCTAGCCCTTTTTTGTCTTAAAAAAAAAAAAAAAAAAGACCCTGTTTGAATGCTGGATCATCTCAGTGGGTAGAGAGTGTCAGGACTCTGGCCCAGCCCTGTCTAGTCAACCATGGCCAGTAGGGCCAGGTCTATGCCCCCGCAGAGGAATGGGGAAGTATCTGAGAAGGGGGAGGAAGGAAGTGCAGAGCAGACACCCCAGAAGATACTTCCTGCACCAACCCCACCCCACCCGTGATAGTACCTCAGTTGCCTGAAGACAGGATAATGACCTGTCTCTGTCTTCTAGGAGCTGCCTCCTAGGGCTCTGGGGATGAAACGAGATGGTTCTACAGCACCAGCTGAGAGCCTGCACATAGCAAGTGCCCAGTACTTGATGATGCTTAGAGGGTAAGGACGGCCTCTAATTGATCTTTATGTGCCCTAGTGCCCAGTGAAGGGTCTGGCACACGGTAGGTGTACCATGAATGTTCGTAGCACAAATGCATCAATGGCAACCGCCTCCCTCCTTCATTCACTCTTTCCTTCTAATAATACAGCCAACATTCTATTAGCTCTGTGGGCAGCCACAGCGTGCTGGAACTCGCCATCCTGGGCTCGGTGCCTGATTCTCCACACTATTCCTGCCCTGTGCTGCTGAGCCCACGTGTTTCCCAGCACCTGAACCTGTACTCTGAACCCGCCTGTCATTCCTCCTTGCCCTGTTCTCTCTCCTTGGATACAGGCCTCCCCTCCAGCTGTGGGATCTCTCTAGGTCTGTATTTATCACCTCTGGTTGGCACTTCCTATATGCTGTCATCACAGAAGCAGGGGGTGGGAGAAGCCTCTTGGTCTTCATCCAGGTCTAGGATGGAATTTCTGTCCACTGTGGGGCTGGGTAGAGTTAGGCAGCCCAAGCCAGGGCTGCATGAGGAAAGGGCTGCGTCCCCAGGGTCTGTCACAGAGTAAGTTTCAGGTGTTGCAACTCGCAATAAATCCATGCATTAGGCACAAGCCAGGACTCCTGAGCCAGATATCTCTCAACCCCAACGCTGGCTCCACCAGCAACTTGCTGTGTCCTGGGTAAACCACATGGCTTCTTTTAAAAAAAATAGTTTTACTTTGTTTACTGTCCAAAGTACTCATTAATTGTTTATTTATCAAGAGAAACTATTTCTAATTTTTTGTGTGTGAGACGGTGTCTCACTCTATCACCCAGACTGGAGTGCGGTGGTGTGATCTTGGCTCACTGCCATCTCCGCCTCCCAGGTTCAAGCGATTCTTGTGCCTCAGACTCCTGAGTAGCTGGGATTACAGGCGTGCACCACCACACCCAGCTAATTTTTGTATTTTTAGTAGAGACAGGGTTTTACTGTGTTGGCCATGCTGATCTCGAACTCCTGACCTCAAGTGATCCACCTGCCTTGGCCTCCCAAAATTCCGGGATTACAGGAGTGAGCCACCCTGCCAGCCCAAAGAGAAACTATTTCTTAGCCCCCATATTCATGTTTCATAGTTCAGGAACACAGGTCAGTGATAAACTTCTAGGTAACTCAACCCAAAGAAATTCTTTATATTCCAAAATCACTTTGCACTCTGAACAATAACAGCCATCCTCATCGCTTCTACATATGCCTTGTTTCTTGGTTCAGCCACAGCAAACTTATAGAGAGCTGCAACTCTCAGGGATACAATGACTGCTCCAACAATGTGAAATGGCAGACTCTGGACCAGAAGGCCACACACCTGAGTTTTGTCAAAGCACTGGAAGCCGTGGTAGTTGTCTAGTTGTCCTTGATAGGTATGTCAACCTCAACACCAATGTCTTTCCTGGATCACTTTTCTTTTTTTTTTTTTAATTGTTATTTTAAAAATCACACAGATAACATAAAATTTACCATCTTCACCATTTTCAAGTATACAGTACGGTATTATAAGCACTTTTGTTGTATAGTGAAGCTCCAGAACTACTTCATCCTGCAAACTGAAACTCCAAACACACTAAACAATGTCCTTTTTTCCCTTCCCCCAGCCCTCGGCAACCTCTTTTTCCTCTTTTTCTGTTTCTCTTTTTTTCCTCCTTGAAACAGAGTCTCGCCCTGTCGCCCAGGCTGGAGTGCAGTGGTGCGATCTCAGCTCACTGTAACCTCTGCCTCCCGAGTTGAAGTGATTCTCCTGCCTCAGCCTCCCAAGTAGCTGGGATTACAGGAGCTCACAACCACGCCCGGGTAATTTTTTATGTTTGGTAGAGACGGGGTTTCACTATGTTGGCCAGGCTGGTCTTGAACACCTGACCTCAAGTGATCCACCCATCTCGGCCTCCCAAAGTGCTGGGATTAGAGGCATGAGTCACCATGCCCAGACCCTCTATCTGTTTCTAGGAGGTTGACTACTTTAGGTTTTTTTTGTTTTTTTTTTTTGTTTGTTTGTTTTTTTAATTTATTTATTTTTTATTGATAATTCTTGGGTGTTTCTCACAGAGGGGGATTTGGCAGGGTCATAGGACAATAGTGGAGGGAAGGTCGGCAGATAAACAAGTGAACAAAGGTCTCTGGTTTTCCTAGGCAGAGGACCCTGCGGCCTTCCGCAGTGTTTGTGTCCCTGGGTACTTGAGATTAGGGAGTGGTGATGACTCTTAACGAGCCTGCTGCCTTCAAGCATCTGTTTAACAAAGCACATCTTGCACCGCCCTTAATCCATTTAACCCTGAGTGGACACAGCACATGTTTCAGAGAGCACGGGGTTGGGGGTAAGGTCACAGATCAACAGGATCCCAAGGCAGAAGAAGTTTTCTTAGCACAGAACAAAATGAAAAGTCTCCCATGTCTACTTCTTTCTACACAGACACGGCAACCATCCGATTTCTCAATCTTTTCCCCACCTTTCCCGCCTTTCTATTCCACAAAACCGCCATTGTCATCCTGGCCCGTTCTCAATGAGCTGTCGGGCACACCTCCCAGACGGGGTGGTGGCCGGGCAGAGGGGCTCCTCACTTCCCAGTAGGGGCGGCCGGGCAGAGGCGCCCCTCACCTCCCGGACGGGGCGGCTGGCCGGGCAGAGGGGCTCCTCACTTCCCAGTAGGGGAGGCCGGGCAGAGGCGCCCCTCACCTCCGGACGGGGCGGCTGGCCGGGCGGGGGGCTGACCCCCCTACCTCCCTCCCGGACGGGGCGGCTGGCCGGGCGGGGGGCTGATGCCCCCACCTCCCTCCCGGACGGGGCGGCTGGCCTGGCAGGGGGCTGATCCCCCCACCTCCCTCCCGGATGGGGCGGCTGGCCGGGCGGGGGGCTGACCCCCCCACCTCCCTCCCGGATGGGGCGGCTGGCCGGGCGGGGGGCTGACCCCCCCCCACCTCCCTCCCGGACGGGGTGGCTGCCAGGCGGAGACGCTCCTCACTTCCCAGACGGGGCGGCTGCCGGGTGGAGGGGCTCCTCACTTCTCAGACGGGGCGGCCGGGCAGAGACGCTCCTCACTTCCTAGATGTGATGGCGGCCGGGAAGAGGTGGTCCTCACTTCCTAGGTGGGATGGCGGCCGGGCGGAGACGCTCCTCACTTTCCAGACTGGGCAGCCAGGCCGAGGGGCTCCTCACATCCCAGACGATGGGCGGCCAGGCAGAGACGCTCCTCACTTCCCAGACGGGGTGGCGGCCGGGCAGAGGCTGCAATCTCGGCACTTTGGGAGGCCAAGGCAGGCGGCTGGGAGGTGGAGGTTGTAGCAAGCCGAGATCACGCCGCTGCACTCCAGCCTGGGCACCATTGAGCACTGAGTGAACGAGACTCCGTCTGTAATCCCGGCACCTCGGGAGGCCGAGGCTGGCGGATCACTTGCGGTTAGGGGCTGGAGACCGGCCTGGCCAACACAGCGAAACCCCGTCTCCACCAAAACCAGTCAGGCGTGGCGGCGTGAGGCTGCAATCGCAGGCACTCGGCAGGCTGAGGCAGGAGAATCAGGCAGGGAGGTTGCAGTGAGCCGAGATGGCAGCAGTACAGTCCAGCTTCGGCTCAGCATGAGAGGGAGACCGTGGAAAGAGAGGGAGAGGGAGAGGGAGAGGGAACTGAATCTTAATCTACTTTAGGTTTCATATGACAGGAATCATGCAGTATCTGACCTTTGGTGACTGGCTTATTTCACTTAGCATAATGTCTTCCAGTCTCATCCATGTTGCAGCATATAACAGGATTTCCTCCTTTTTTAAGGCTGCATAATATTCCACTCTGTGGATACAGCATATTTTTTCCCATTCATCTGTCAATGGACGTCTAGGTTGCTTCCACCTCTTGGCTATTGTGAATAATGCTACAGTGAACATGGGTTAAAATACCTCACTTCTGGAGCCTCAGTTTCCTCATCTGTAAAATGGGGATAATCACGCCTGCCCCATTGTTGCTGGCACGTGAAAGAAGCCTGATAAATCATGCTCCTAGCACCTTTCACTTTTCCTTCAAGGCACTTCTCCCCATTATAATGATGCCCTTGTTTATGTTATGATTCATTTCATTCTCTTTGTTCCTCATGAAGATGTAAGCTCCAGGCCTGCCTCATTCATCCCTGTATGTCCAGTCTGAGAAACAGTACTTGGTACAAAGTCAGCACTCAATGGAGTACTTGTTGCAAAATAAATAGAGGGATTTTGTTGGAGTGTTTGGGCTAAGTGTTGCGTGACTGTGAGGTTTGCTGACTCTGGGGTCACACACATGTGAGTTCGGCTTTCAGATCCACCACTTAACCTCTCTGTGCCTCAATTTCCTCCTCTGTAAAAAGACCATGGAGCATGGTTGTACATGTTAATAATAGTAATAAATATTAATCATACTGTATGTAAAGCGTTTTGTGCAGCATGCGTCACACAGAAAGGACTCGGGAAACAGGGTCCATGAAGAGGAATGACTCATGAATGGTGCTGTCGCTGTTCTGAGATACAAATTTTGTTCTGAGATACAATACCATTTATGTAAAAAATACACATACCAATTAACAAAACAGGTTTTTAGCAGAAAGATGTACAGACAGAAGGAGGCACACAAAACACATTTAAATGGTGTTCTGGGGAGAGGGAACAGGGAGCAAGGAGAGATGATAAAAGGAAACAAACTGGGGGATAGGGGCTGCTCCAGGCTCCCAATAAGAATGGCAATCAGGGCTGGACACAGTGGTTCATACCTGTAATCCCAGCACTTTGGGAGGCCAAGGCAGGCAGATTACTTGAGGTCAGAAGTTCAAGACCAAACTAGCCAACATAGTGAAACCCCATCTCTACTTAAAAAAAAAAATCACTGGGCATGGTAGCACATGCCTGTAGTCCCAGCTACTCAGGAGGCTGAGGTTGCAGTGAACCGAGATCGAGCCACTGCACTCCAGCCTGAGCGATAGAATGAGACTCCATCTCAAAAAAAAAAAAAAAAAAATGTGAATTGAAGTATATATTCAGTATAATATAGTTTTGGGTTGGTTTTTTTTGTTTTGTTTTGGTTTGGTTTTTTTTGAGACAGGGTATCACTTTGTCACCCAGGCTGGAGAGCAGTGGCGCGATTATGGCTCACTGCAGCCTCAAATTCCTGGGCTCAAGCGATCCTACCACATCAGCCTCCTGAGTAGCTGGGACTATAGGCAGGCACCACCACACCCAGCTAATTTTTAAAGTCTTTGTGAAGATGGGATCTTGCTATGCTGCCCAGACTAGTCTGGAACTCCTGGCCTCAAGAAGTCCTCGGTCTCCCAGTGTGGCTGAGATGACAGGTGTGAGCCACCTTGCCTGGCCTAATATATAAAGTCCATGTTCAGTATAAAACCCAAGCATTTGACAATGTCAGAAGAACTTTCTCTATTAGGTGGGAAGTGGTGGGGATGGGATCTTTGGCTGAGAGGGGAGTGGTCTTCATGGGCCTAAGTCTGCATTTCTGGTTTCTTTCAGGGTGGCAGCACGCAAAGGGTGTCCCTGTCCCTCAAGGGGTCATGGCCTCCATGTTGCTCGCCCAGCGCCTGGCCTGCAGCTTCCAGCACAGCTACCGCCTGCTGGTGCCTGGTAAGCCCCGGGGGTCTTGATAAGAACTGGTACTAATGGAAGATACCATCCAGACTAGGGATTCCTGGGCTGGAAGAGCCCTTGGGGATAAAGGGACCAGCCAGTGAGTGTTTCTGGGACTGTCCCACTGTATTAGTCTGTTCTCATGCTGCTAATAAAGGTACACCTGAGACTGGGTATTTTATGAAGAAAAAGAGGTTTAATGGTCTCACAGTTTCATATGGCTGGGGAGGCCTCACAATCATGGCGGAAGGTGAAGGAGGAACAAAGGCACGTCTTACATGGCTACAGGCAAGAGAGCATGTGCAGGGGAACTCCCGTTTGTAAAAACATCAGATCGTGTGAGACTTACTCAATTGACTATCATGAGAACAGCATGGGAAAGACCCACCCCCATGATTCAATTACCTCCCACTGGGTCCCTCCCATGACGTGGGAATTATGGGAGCTATGATTTAAGATGAGATTTGAATGAGGACACAGCCAAACCACATCACCCACTATCCATAAAACTGTCACCATCGCCACCTCCTTTCTCTCTCCCATCTCTGTCATATGATCCTGTCCCAAGTGCCTCGGTCTGATGGGATTGGATCCACCCTGGAGCCACTCTGCCTGCAGGTAGGCGGTGGCCTCCACAGCCAGATGGCCCCAGGCCATCTCTGCAGGGACCGCTGGGGAAAACACACATCTGGGATCGCTGCTAAGGAACAAAGAAAGCCATAAGCGACTCTGAAATTGACCTAGAGCCCAGCTGTGCTTCAGGGTCACTGGATCACTGGATGGGAGGCACCATCTTAGGAATGTCTCACCCCCACTCTGCCCCACACCCATGGCCACTTGCACTGGCTCCTTCTTCCTTCTGTTTGACGTCTTTGAGACCTCCCTCCCAATAGTCCCATGAGGGAGGGAGGCTCAAGTGAATCCTATTTTACAGGTGAGAGAACTCAGGCTTAGAGAAGCAAAGCCATTTGCCCAAGGTCACACAGCCACTTGCAAGCAACTCTGTCCGGCTCCAATGCTAACTACTCCTCCGTGTGCCTCCATGTGGCTCTGGAGACAGAGCCGCCAGCAGGAGCCTCCCTTCACATGCCCCGAGAGTGGCCTCCTGCAGAGATATAAAGTGCCTGGCTCGGGGCTGGCCATGAAATAGGTTCAGAAAGACCAGTGAGCCTCCAGCCTGTCCCCAGCTCTCTCACAGCCCCTGTGCTTGTCATCATGGTGTCCCTTGTTGGCAGGCCTTACTGCCTTCTGAAGACAAACTGCTAGCCGTGTCCTTGGTCTGCATGTTGAATGCTGGTGTGTATGTCCTGGGTGGCATAAACAGTAGGAGCGTTCGCCCCTCCCCAAGGAGTATGAGTAGGCTTTATTTTAAAATAAACATCTTGGCCGGGCGCAGTGGCTCACAACTGTAATCCCAGCACTTTGGGAGGCGAGGTGGGCAGATCACCTGAGGTCAGGGGTCGAGACCAGCCTGGCCAACATGGTGAAACCCCGTCTCTACCAAAAATACAAAAATTAGCCAGGTATGGTGGTGGATGCCTGTAATCCCAACTACTCAGCAGGCTGAGGCAGGAGAATCGCTTGAATCCAGGAGGTAGAGGTGGCAGTGAGCTGGATCGTGCCACTGTACTCCAGCCTGGGCAACATCGAGGCTCTGTCTCAAAAAAATAAAAAATAAATAAATAAACATCTTATTTTTTAAAAATTTTAGATTTACAGAGAAGTTACAAAGATATTACAGGGAGAACCCATATGGCCCTCACCAGTTTCCTCCCTTGTTAACATCTTACATCACCAAGATGCAGTTGTCAACACTAAGAAACTAGCTGGCCAGGCGCGGTGGCTCACGCCTATAATGCCAGCACTTTGGGAGGCCGAGGCAGGAGGATCATCTGAGGTCAGAAGTTCGAGACCAGCCTGGGCAACATGGTGAAACCTCATCTCTACTAAAAATACAAAAAAAAAATTAGCCGGGTGTGGTGGCAGGCACCTGTAATCCCAGCTACTTGGGAGGCTGAGGCAGAAGAAGCACTTGAACCCAGAAGGCGGAGGTTGCAGTAAGCTGAGATTGAGCCACTGTACTTCAGCCTGGGCAACAGACTGAGATTAAAAAAAAAAAAAAGAAAGGAAAGGAAGAAAGGAAGGAAGGAAGGAAGGAAGGAAGGAAGGAAGGAAGGAGGAAAGAAAGAAAGAAAGAAAGAAAGGAAAGAAAGAAAGAAGGACAGACAGACAAGACAGTGGCTCACAGCTGTAACCCCAGCAATTTGGGAGGCTGAGGCAGGAGGATCGCTTGAGCCCAGGGGTTTGAGACCAGCCTGGGCAACATAGGGAGACCCTGTCTCTGTGAAAAATACAAAACTTAGCTGGGCATGGTGACATGTGCTTGTAGTCTCAGCTACTGGGGAGGCTGAAGCGGGAGGATTGCTTGAGCCTGGGAGATCGAGGCTGCAGTGAGCCATGATCATGCCACAGCACTCCAGCCTGGGTGGCCTTGTCTTAAAATAATAATAATAGATAAATAAGTTTTTAAAGACACTAAGAAACTGACCTTGGTATGTTACCATTAACCAAACTCCAGACTTTTATTTGGCTTTCACTCATTTTTCCTTTAATGTCTTTTTCTGCTCCAGGATCCAATCCAGGTACACACATTGCATTGATTTGTCTCATCTTCCATGGCCTCCTCTGGTCTGTGACAGTTTCTCAGTCTTTTCCTTATTCTTCTCGACCTGGGTGGTTTTAAGAAGTTATCAATGGCTTTTGAGGTTTTGCTTTTCCTTTTTTCTTTTTTGTTTTTGTTTTTGTTTTTGTTTTTGTTTTTTTTTTGGTGTGTGTGTATGTGTGTCTGAGATGGAGTCTCACTCTGTTGGCCAGGCTGGAGTGGTGCCGTGGTGCAATCTCGACTCACTGCAACCTCCACCTCCCGGATTCAAGTGATCCTCCTGCCTCAGCCTCCCAAGTAGCTGGGATTACAGGCACCTGCCACCATGCCCGGCTAATTTTTATATTTTTTGTAGAGACAGGGTTTTACCATGTTGGCCAGGCTAGTCTCCAACTCCTGACCTCAAGTGATCCACCCATCTTGGCCTCCCAAAGTGTTAGGATTACTGGCATGAGCCACTGCACCTGGCCAAGGTTTTGCTTTATTTATTTATTTATAAGAGAAGCATATTAATGTTTACCCATAATTATGCTAAACTAAATCAGAAAGATGTAGGTATGGAGGGTTCCAAGTCAGAAAGAGAGTCTGGCACAGATGATCCATTCATTCCATAACTAAGGCTGTTGGGCACCTACTGCATGCCAAGTGCTGTGCTGGGTATTAAGGATGTGGCAGTGAAGAAAGACATGTGGCTCTTGTGGAGCTCTAGCCTGGTGGCGCATGTGGCACCATCTTTAAAGGTCATTCTCCAGGACATCTGAGCTTTCCTAAGGAGACACCATGGGAAGAGCACTAGGTCAAGATTCATGTGATTGGATTGCTACCTTCACCACACATTAACCAAGTGAGCCTAACCGATATACCTTATCCAAGCCTCGGTTTTCTCATCAGGAAAACGGGTCTAATAATCATATCCTTCCTATTTCACAAATTTCTTGCATTAGAAGAAATGGTTCATATGGGCCAGGCACAGTGGCCCACACCTGTAATACCAACACTTTGGGAGGCTGAGGCGGGTGGATCACCTGAGGTCAGGAGTTCAGGACCAGCCTGGCCAACATGATGAAACCCCGTCTCTACTAAAAATACAAAAATTAGCTGCGCATGGTGGTGTGCACCTGTAATCCCAGCTACTTGGGAGGCTGAGGCAGGAGAATGGGTTAGAACCCAGGAGGCGGAGGTTATGGTTCATGTGAAAGCACTTTATTTGTATTTACAGTAAGGTGGGAAGTGTCCTAACTCCCATTTTACAAGCATGGAAATACAGGCACAATGCAAAAAACAAAAAAACAGAAAAAATAGAAATGGCTAAATCACAGAGTTTCTTACCTTTACCTCTTCTGCATTTTCTTGGCTGGAGCTGAATCTTTTTTGGCACATTTATGATTTAGAAAACCATATGGTGAGATTTTGTCTTCTCTTTTGACTTATTGATTTGGGATATCTAGTAAGCCAGAATATGGTTTTTTAAGAATACTAAAACACAGTGTTGGCAAAGATACAGGAATACGTGTACTCTCGTACACTGCTATTAGGCAAGTAGCAACCAGGGGAAGGATTAAAAAATGATAGGAATTACAGCTTACTTTTAACCCATTTAGCCCTCACCTCCACTCCTTAAGGTAAAGGAAACTTCAAGTCAGGGAAATTAAGTTGCCAGAGCCACAGAGCTGATGAGCGGCTGAGCCAGGCTTTTGAGCTAAGCCCAGTTGGCTCCAGGACCCGAGCCACTGTATTGATTATCTGCCGCCACGTAACACATACCTCCAGATTTAGCAGATTGGGATCCTATGTTTATTATCTCACAGTTTCTGCGGGTTGGGACTCCAGGGGTGACTTAGCCAGATCCTCTGGCTCAAGGTCTGTCATGAGGGTGTAATGGAGCTGTCAGCTGGGGCTGTGGTCTCATATGATGGCTCAACTTGGCGGTTGGACGATCTACTGGCAGTCCCACTTACGGGGTTGTGGCTGGATTCAGTTCCTTGGATGCTGTCAGCCAGAAGCCACTCTCAGTTCCTTGATACGTGGACCTCTTCACAGAGCCGCTTACAATGTGGCAACTGCTCCCTCAAAGCAAGAGAGGGTGCCAAAAATGGAAGCCTCAGCCTGCAGCCATACCCACAGCATTTTCCTGCTTCTCCATGGTGTCTCCACCAGGTCCCTGTGAGGCCATTAAAGTGACGATAGTTAACGATCTGACATGGTGTTCCCAATGGCATCATTTTATGCCTCCCCAAAATTAATAATCTTATGTTGGTAAATAGAATACAGAGAGTGGGAGACCACATCAAAATTGTTATTGCTGGGTAGAAAATTAAATGTGTTTTCTTTTTTCCATGTTGCTTATTGGTATCTTCCTCAATAAACATTTTATCACAAAATAAGTGGGGTGGACAGTTGCAGGAGCAGATAAAAAAAATTTTTTAACAGAAAAGCAGAGCAAACAACTCCAGTTGGACTTGACCTTCGTTCTGGCCAGGCTCATGTACAGAGCTTTGGCTGTTTGGGAACACGACATTCGTTTATCACTCTCGGTCTAAAGATCAAGAGAACATTAACAATGTTTGCTAGCTACTGTGTAGTTTGGAGCTAAAAATAGACTCTGGCTTGGCATGGCCATTGAGGGCTGTGAGCCCCAGAGGGCCAGGCTGGATGGACCATTCACATATTGTGTCTGGTCTTGTGTGTCAATAACATACTCTTGCCTTCTGGATGTGTTATTTTATTCAAGAATGAAAATGCTTGATCATTCAGTATTAATTCAAACCGGTTTTTTGCATCTTTGTGATCATGATCAAAATTTGCCTTTAGGAGAAGTGTGTTGTTTTGCTGCAAATGTTTCATTCAAAGGCTAGCACTCGATGAAATCAAAGATAGCCTCAGTTCCATTCATAGCTTCTAGGAAACAGGTCAGATGGGCAAATTTCCTGCTAACCACTTGCTAGCTGTGTGATCTTGGGCAAATTAATTAACCTCTCTGAGCCTCAGCGTCTTCTTCTGTAATGTAAGAATAATAACATTTACCTCATAGGAGTTTGTGAGAATTAAATGAGATAAGCCATGTAAATTGCTCCAGATGATTCCTGGTTGTTACCCTAAGTGCTCAGTACACACTTGAATCTGCTTCTGTGTCTTCATAGATGAGATCCAAGAGAAGGTTTACTTGTCCCTTCAATTTTTGTTCTGTTCTCTTGTGGTGTATTGTTATATGTCATCATTAAGAGAATATTCATTGTAATAGTATTTGGTTATTTTCCTTTTTTAAAAATGCCAACATTGAGATATAGAAGGAAAAGCAGAAGTATTGGGATTGCAAGAACCTGGGTTCCAATGCTGACTCTTCAACTCACTAGCTGTGTGACATCGGGAAAGTCACTTAACATCTCTGATCCTCAACTGTAAACTGTGAACAACAATACTATCTATATGGTTGTATTTAATTGTGGATTACTTAAAATAGATGGAAGTTTGCCTAAATAGGGCCAGCCTAGCATTTTAGTAAAGACTGAATATGTGTTAATTTCCCCATTCCCCCCCTTTCTGATAGCGCAGTTGCAAACAAACTTATGGAAAACATGATAGGAGCTGATACAGTTCTCGGAACAGACCCATCTGCCTTGGACCTGTCCTCAGCATTCCTGGCTTGTGCCCCATAGCGCCCAGTTAGCCAGTTCTCACCCTTTCTTCACCACCTCTCCCAGCTCCTGTTTCCCCATGGCCTTGACATGCTCATTATCGCAGTTCCACTTGATCCCACGCTCTCCAGTCATTTCTCTCTGGATCCATTCAGCCGCAGCTCCCCCTGTGTACTGCTCCCATTCCCAGTATTTCCACACTCCGGTTCCCAAGAAATCTGATTGCTACAATGCAATGTCAAGACACTTTCTGGAGAAAAGAAAGGAGGACGCGTGTGTCCTCATTTAAGAACAGCTTGCTAATTTCTGATTTTTCATTTTCCCCCTTTGCTGGAAACAAAGCAAGATCTGCACTGGTGAAGAGCTATTTTTATCAAAATATGCGTCCCTGAAGATCTAGTTGGAATCAATGCTGTCCAGTTATCCTGAGTTCTGGCAAAGGAAAAGATAAATAGTTTAGTGTAAAAAACTAGGGCCGGGTACGGTGGCTTATGCCTGTAATCCCAGCACTTTGGGGGGCCAAGGCGGGTGGATTGCCTGAGCTCAGGAGTTCCAGACCATCCTGGGAAACATGGCAAAACCCCTTCTCTGCCAAAAATGCAAAAAATTAGCCGGGCATGGTGACGCATGCCTGTGATCCCAGCTACTCAGGGGGCTAAGGTGAGAGGATTGCTTGAAACCGGGATGCAGAGGTTGCAATGAGCTGAGATCGCACCACTGCATTCCGGCTTGGGCGACAGAGTGAGACCCTGTCTCAAAAAAAAAAAAAAAAAAAAAGTAGCCGGGCGCAGTGTTGTGTGCCTGTAGTCCTAGCTACGTGGGAGGCTGAGGCAGGAGGATCACTTGAGCCCAGGAGTTCAACGCCAGGCTGGGCAACATAGCGAGACCTCATTTCTTTAAAAAAAAAAAAAAAAAAAAGTCATCGATATGTTCTAGGACCTTTAGCTCTCTTCTAATGGAATACTTTTAGGAATTCCCTTTTTCAGATCAAAGAGAAGAAAATAAAAGCTGTTTTTCTTCATCCTTATATAAGTATAGTGCTGTATTTTAACGGTACTTTATGTTCAAAAGACAGCATGATGTTACATAATTAATTCAGAAACCTTCTTTGATAACCAAAGCAATTATGGAAAATTAAGAGTGATTTTAAATATGTTTCAAAATCTCATAGCTTTGTATAGTTCGACAAGCTATCTGCATGTGTGTCTCTGTGTGTGTGTGTGTGTGTGTGTGTGTGTGTGTGTCACGGGAGATCTTGGCACATTTCTTAACTTCTCTGAGCTTTAGAGTCCCCTCTTGTGTAATGGAAACAGTTATATATATATATATATATATACACACATTTTATAATATATTATATAATATATATTTTAGTTATAATGTATTATATAATATATATTTTAGTTATAGTATATAATATGTATTTTAGTTATAATATATTATGTAATATATACTTTAGTTTTAATATATAATATATTTTAGTTGTAATATATAATATATATTTTAGTTATATGATATATATTTTAGTTATAATATATAATATATATTTTAGTTATAATATGTTATATATTTTAGTTATAATATATATTTTAGTTATATATGTAGTTATATAATATATATTTTTGTTTATTATATATATGAAGATGAAATTAGATTATTTATGTAATTTATATAAAGTGTCCACTGATTCCCTAGTTTGGTACAATTATGGCAACCCCAGTAAGAGGAACTAACATTTCCCAACCACCAAATAGTACCAGGAAGGTGAAAGATCAAGAGTAACACTGAAGGGATTTCTAGGGGTTCCTGACAGTAAACCCTCACACACTTGTCTTGGATACACCGCACCTGTCTTTCACTCAGGGATCAGCAAGGCTTGGGCTTGAGCTACCCTTTGTGTTTCAGCAACATGTGGAGCTAAAAAGATTGTGGGATTCACCCGGGAAATCAAACACCCTCTGTAAACTCATTACACATTATGTGGAAAATGTGAAATGCATTCAAACAAATGATGGGTGACCATGTATTAGTCTGTTCCCGCAATGCTACAAAAAAAAATACCTGGGATTGGGTAATTTTTAAAGAAAAGAGGTTTAATTGGCTCATGGTTCTGCAGGCTTTACAGGAAGCATGATGCTGGCATGTGCTCAGCTTCTGGGGAGGCCTCAGGAAACTTCCAATCATGGTGGAAGGCAAAGGGCAAGCGAGGTGCCTCACATGGTAGGAATAGGAGCAAGAGAGCAAGCAGGGAGGAGCCACACATTTTTTTTTCTTTTGAGATGGAGTCTCGCTTTGTTACCCAGTCTGAAGTGCAGTGGCACAATCTTGGCTCACTGCAGCCTCTGCCTCCTGGGTTCAAGCGATTCTCATGCCTCAGCCTCCCTAGTAGCTGGGATTACAGGTGCCTGCCACCACACCCGGCTAGTTTTTATATTTTTGATAGAGACGGGATTTCGCCATGTTGGCCAGGCTGGTCTTGAACTCCTGACCTCAGGTGATCCACCTGCCTGAACCTCCCAAAGTGCTGGGATTATAGGTATGAGCCACGGTGCCCAGCCAGCCACACACTTTTAAACAACCAGACCTCAGCCAGGCTAAAAATACTAAAATTAGCCGGGTGTAGTGGTAGGCACCTGTAATCCCAGCTACTTGGGAGGCCGAGGCAGGAGAATCACTTGAACCTGGGAAGCAGATGTTGCAGTGAGCCCAGATCGTGTCTCTGCATGCTAATACCATGGGCATCTTTCCATATCCACAAATATTTAAGATGTCAACCTCAAAACAATTAATGGGTGCATAATATTCCATGAAATGGTTGACTATGCCACATTCTGCTTAGCTGACCTCCGGTGCTGGACATGTAGGTTGTTTTCCCTTTGTTTTTTGTTTGTTTGTTGAGACAGCGTCTCACTCTGTTGCCCAGGCTGAAGTGCTGTAATCATGGCTCACTGCAGCCTCAACCTCTCAGGCTGAAGCAATCCTCCCACCTCAGCCTCCCAAGTAGCTGGAACTAAAGGCATGTACCACCACGCCCAGCTAATTTTTGTTTTGTGGTAGAGATGGGGTTTCACCACGTTGCCCAAGCTGGTCGTGAACTTCTGAGCTCAAGGGATCCACCCACCTTCGACTCCCAGAGTGCTGGGATTACCGGAATGAGCGACCCCATCTGGCCCTCTTTGCTGTTAAATAGACAATATATGATGAATATTGTCTACCTCCATCTTTGTGTACTGGTCCCATTATTTTCTTAGGATGAATCATAAAAACGAGATTACTCAGTTGAAAGCAATAGAAAGCTGGCATCAGATCAGGCATGGTGGCTCACACCTGTAATCCCAGCACTTTGGGAGGTCAAGGCAGGTGGATTGCTTGAGCCCAGGAGTTTGAGGCCAGCCTGGGCAACATGGCGAAACCCCGTCTCTACTAAAAATACCAAAATTAGCCAGGCATGGTGGTGCGTGCCTGTAATCCCAGGTACTCAGGAGGCTGAGGCAGAAGGATCAACTGAGCCTTTGGAGGTCAGGGGTGCAGTGAGCCTTGTTGGGGCCAATGCACTCCAGCCTGGGCAATAGAGCAAGACTCTGTCTCAAAAAAAAATGAATAAATAAATACAAAGAAAGCTGGCATCAGCTTGTACTCATGCCAGTAAAACAGGAGCATGCCTATTTGCCTACAACTTTGCTGACACTGGGTTTTCCCTTTTTTAAAATCTACAGTGTCCTTGTGGTGGCCCAGTTGGTCTGTCCAGACACAGTGTTCTGGGGTGGTCTGGCTGGGATGAGGCTAAGGTCCTGGCACTACCTCTGTTAGGGACATTGGGCATCTGTCAGGGCAGAATCCTCATGATCTCTGCTGTCACCAGGGATTTCTCATTGTCTTTGTTTACTGCAGGATCCAGACACATTAGTCAAGCTGCAGCCAAAGTCGACGTTGAATTTGATTATGATGGGCCTCTGATGAAGACGGAAGTCCCAGGGCCTAGATCTCAGGTGAGTTGAGCACACCTGAGTGGGGTATTTTGGAAAAGGGAAAAAGGCGCCTAAGAAGCAAAAGCACAGCCAAGCTTAGGGACCTGTATTGATTGTCAGCTGCTTTCAGAGAGTTCACCACCAGAGATCTGAGATACTCAATGAGGCCATTTTGCCATACAAAGCCAAAGAAGGGCTGGGCGCGGTGGCTGACGCTGTAATCCCAACACTTTGAGAGGTTGAGGCGGGCGGATCACTTGAGGTCAGGAGTTCAAGACCAGCCTGGCCAACATACTGAAACCCTGTCTGTACTCAAAATACAAAAATTAGCCAGGAGTGATGGCGGTTGCCTGTAGTCCCAGCTACTCGGGAGGCTGAGGCAAGGGAATCACTTGAATCTGGGAGGCAGAGGTTGCAGTGAGCCTCCTGAGTAGCTGGGATTTTAGGCACGCACCACCACGCCTGGCTAATTTTGGTATTTTGAGTAGAGACAGGGTTTCACTATGTTGGCCAGGCTGGTCTTGAAGTCCTGACCTCAAGTGATCCACCCGCGTCAACCTCTCAAAGTGTTGGGATTACAGGCGAGATGGTGCCTCTGCACTCCAACCTGGGCAGCAGAGCAAGACTCTGTCTCAAAAAAAAAAAAGAAAAAGAAGCCAACGAGGGCATCACAGAGGAGATGTATCAGTTTTCTCCTACCACAGTAATGCTTCATAACAAACAGCCACAAAAATCCCACTAGCATAGAGCAAGCCAATTGCTCGTGCATTTAAGGTTCATTGGGAGTTGGGTAGACAGCTCTGTTGAGCAGACAGCTCTGTTGGGCTCACCTCCATGCCTGGGGGACAGCTGGCTGTTGGTTGATCTAGGTTAGGCGTGGCTTGAATCACTGCAGTGATTTGGTTCTGCTCCATGTGTCTGCCATGCTCCAGAAGGCTAGATGGGGCTTGTCCTCATGGCAATGGCAAAGGTGTACAAAAGCAAGAGGAGAACATGGTATAGTTCTGCTGAGGCCTGGGTTCCGCATGGGTCCGCCATCACTGCTGCCTCCTTCTGCTGGCCAAAGCCAGTCATAGCTTGCCTTAAGTCCAGAGTCAAGGGCTGGGGTACAACATCCAAACAACAGTGAAAGAACATGGCAATGTTACATGGCACAGGGCTCAGAGATCAAATGCCCACCTTTCTAATGCAAATTTATTTTTTCTTTGCACATTTTGCATATTTTGTCCATAATGTCTTTTTTTTACTGTCAAAACATACTTCTTTTGTCATTGCAACTATTTTATAAATCCAGAAATCTTTGTACTAATATAAGTGATTGTAGTTATTTTGGATAGTGTTTTGCTAACAAAACGGGAGACATTTTAAATGCATGTTTCTATTGGGGAGATAGATTTTAATCTAGTAGTAGTAAAATTCTTGGAATACTTTTTCATATTCTTGTCATGAATATTATCCTGTATTTTTATTGGAAATATATAATTTTATGACACTAACTGCTAACATCTATTTTATATTGAATTACTTTTGGAATTGAAATCTTTGTAATATCAAAGCGGCTAGTTTCTAATTCCCTGTTTCTGTATAGGATAAAGTACAAGTGGTTTATGGAGTGTTTGGATTATAATTATAAATGGTTCTTTGATATGCAAGTTAATATTTTCAGTTATTTATATTCTTAATGAAGTGTTAACACCTTTTTTCCCCTAAATAACAGAGAATCTGTTTTTATGGACACTAGATAAACACCTTCAGCTTAAGATTTTCTTGCTAAATATTTTAGTTTATTTTATCTTTCAGGTGGCTGAATTTCCAGCCTGTCTATCGTACTAGTAATTTAAGCGTGTAATGGAATAGTTTCCTGCCAACTATTTATATCAAGTAATTTTAAAGTAATATGGTTGACTAATAAAATATTTAGTTATTGGCAAAAGAAAAAAATGCCAAGACTTGGGAAAACATGAAAGATTTTAAGCTATTTTGGCAAGAGTGTGGACTTGCTATAATGCTTTTGTTGTTCTTGCCTGCAGGAGTTAATGAAACAGCTGAATATAATTCAGGTAAGTGAGGAGGAGGTAACTTTCCTTCTGTTGCTTCTTTATCACAATTGAGCTAAAAGACAGATGCTTAATCTGTTCTGGCTCTTTTTTAAAAAAAATGTAGTTGACTTTTGTTCTAAACATTTTTTCTCATTTCCTTTGTGATTTCTTCTTTGACCCATTAGTTACTTACATGATGTTTAATTTCTACGCTTTGGTAAATTTCCCAAATTTCTTTCTGTTATTGATTTCTAGTTTCATTCCATTATGGTTGGAAACATATTTTTGTGATTTCAATCCTGTTAAATTTATTGAGCCTTTTTTTATGGCCTAGCGTATGGTCTAGCCTGGAGAATATTCCATATGTACTTGAGAAGAATCTATATTCTGCTGTTGTTGGGCAGAGTGTTCTATAGATGTTTCTTAGGTCTGGTTGCTTTTAGAATATTGTTCAAGTCTTCTATTTCCTTGCTAATCTTCTCCCTAGTTGTCCTATCCATTATGGAGTGCCAGATGTTGACATCTCCAACTATTATTATAAAATTGTTTTTCCCTTTGATTCTGTTTTTGTCTGTGTATTCAGGGCTCTGTTTTTGGGTGCAAATATGTTTATAATTGTCATATCTTCTTAGTGGATTGACCCTTTATAATATTCTCTCTTTCTCTCTAGTAATATTTTTATAGTCTATTTTTTCTGATATGAGTACAACCCCTTCTAGCTTTCTTATGGTTGCTGTGTGCATCAGATTCCTTTCTCCATCTTTTTACTTTCAAACTATTTGTGTTCTTGAATCTAAAGTGTCTCCTGTAAACAGCATCGAGTTGGTTCTTTTTATCCAGTCTGACAATCTCTGCCTTTTGATTGGATTGTTTCATCCATTCACAGTTAATGTTATTATTCATATGGTTGTGTTTACAGCTGCCATTTATTGTTGTTCTCTATATGTCTTCTGTCTTTTGTTCTTTTGTTCCTCTTTTTTTTTTTTTTTAGACGGAGTTTTGCTCTTATTGCCCAGGCTAGAGTGCAGTGGCGCAATCTCGGCTCACAGCAACCTCTGCCTTCCGGTTTCAAACAATTCTCCTGCCTCAGCCTCTCAAGTCACTGAGATTACAGGCACCCGCCTCCACACCCAGCTAATTTTTTTGTATTTTTAGTAGAGATGGGGTTTCACCACGTTGGTCAGGCTGGTCTCGAACTGCTGACCTCGTGATCCACCTGCCTCGGCCTCCCAAAGTGCTGGATTACAGGCGTGAGCCACCGCACCCGGCCTTTTTTTTTTTTTTTTTTTTTTTTTTTTTTGAGATGAAGTCTCACTCTGTCTCCCAGGCTGGTGTGCAGTGGCACAATCTCGGCTCACTGCAACATCCGCCTCCTGGGTTCAAGTGATTCTCCTGCCTCAGCGTCCCAAGTAGCTGGGATTACAGGTGCCCGCCACTATGCCCGGCTAATTTTTGTATTTTTAGTAGAGACAAGATTTCACCATGTTGAGGCTGGTTTCGAACTCCTCACCTCAGGTAATCCACCTGCCTCAGCTTCCCAAAGTGCTGGGATTACAGGCGTGAGCCACTGCACCCAGCCCTTTTGTTCCTCTTTTAATGTTTTTGTTTTTTATTTGAGATGGAGTCTCACTCTGTCGCCCCAGGTTGGAGTGTAGTGGCACAATCTAAGTTCACTGCAACCTCCGCCTCCCGGGTGCAGTGATTCTCCTGCCTCAGTCTTCTGAGTAGCTGGGATCACAGGCGTGCACCACCACGCCTGGCTAATTTTTGTATTTTTTAGTAGATACAGGGTTTCACCATGTTGCCCACGCTGGTCTTGATCTCCTGACTTCAAATGATCCACCTGCCTCGGCTTCCCAAAGTACTGGGATTACAGGCATGAGGCACTGCACTCAGCCCTCTTGTGATGTTACTCATTTTGCATTAAGTGAGTACTTTGCAGTGTAACATTTTTATTTCTTTAATGATTACTACATATTTTAGTTTTCTTTGAGTTTGCTCTAAGGTTTACCATACATATCTTAACAGAATCGACTTCAGATTTGTATCTCTTTTTTTGTTCTGATGTATAAAACACATACAGAAAAATTCATAAAAAATAAAATCACAGCTTACTGAACTATTATAAAGCAAACCACCCATGCACTTAGCCAAAACAAGAAATACATTGCTGGCACCCACAGATGCCTCTGTGTGTCCACAGATAGTCACGATATGGTGTACTTCACTGATTCAAGCTTAATCCTAAAAGCCCAAGAATCTAGGGAGTGGCAGTGAGCCTGAGTTGGTCTTTTCTTTCTCCAAGAATGCAGAGGCTGTGCATTTTTTCTGCAATTACGAAGAGAGCCGAGGCAATTACCTGGTTGATGTGGACGGCAACCGAATGCTGGATCTTTATTCCCAGATCTCCTCTGTCCCCATAGGTAAGAGCTGGGAAATCATTCCTTGGATATAACCTCTGTTTCTGTCTCTCCTAGTCGTGGCTATCCAGGTATTAGGATGTGGCTTCCAGCAGGCACATCCCAGAGTGTTGCCTGACACTTCACCCAAGGGTAGGAAAAAAATAAATAATGTGTAAAGGGTATATTATTAGACATATTATATGTCCTCTCTCATCTACTCCTTCCCCAAATTCCACAGGGTAAGTATGTATTAATATCCCCATTTTGCAGATAGGTAAACAAAGCATAGAAAGGTTTGGTACCTTGCGTAGGAATCATAGCTAGAATGCAAACCCATCTGTGTGACCACAGTGGCACCCAGGTAGGTGTCTTAGGTTGAGTTTCCTCGAAGAAGAGCCTGAGGTGGGGATTTCCTTTTTCCCTGCTTTTTTTTTTTTTTTTTTTTTTCCAGACGAAGTCTTGTTCTGTCGACCAGGCGGGAGTGAAGTGGCGTGATCTTGGCTCACTGCAACCTCTGCCTCCCGGGTTCAAGTGATTCTCATGCCTCAGCCTCCCAAGTAGCTGGGATTACAGGCACACGCCACCATGCCTATCTAATTTTTGCATTTTTAGTAGAGACGGGGTTTTACCATGTTGGCCAGGGTAGTCTAGAACTCCTGACCGCAAGTGATCTGCCTGCCTCAGCCTCCCACAGTGCTGGGATTACAGGTGTGAGCCACTATACCCAGCCTAATTTTTTTATTTTTTGTAGAGATGGTGGTCTCACTATGCGCTGCCCAGGCTGGTCTCGAACTCCTGGACTCAAGTGATCCTCCCACCTTGGCCTCCCAAAGTGCTAGGATTTCAGGTGTGAGCCACTGAACCCAGCCAGAGGTAGGGATTCTTGGGCAGGTTATTGATTGAGGGAGAGCTCTCAGGAGAAAGGGGAGGAAAGGAAACAGCCTGGGGCAGGGGGAATAAGCTAAGAAGGATGAGGTCTTAGCTAGAACTATCCACAGCCTGACCCCACTTCGGGCTCTGGTGCATACACCACACCCCAGAGTTGGTCTCAGACTGAAGCAAAGGGCCTGGCTTTTTATGACCCTTCACCAGCCAGTCATCGCCCATCAGCTGCGAGAGGGGAGAACTCGTATAATCTCCTCGGAAAAGTGGCTTCCATTTGCCAAGGGCGATTTTCCAGGCAAGGAGGCAGCTGGAGTTATTATCAATCAACACACACAGCAGCTGGAAAACGGTGACCTGCCCAGTAAAAGTGACCTCGGTGGGATGCCCACAGCGTCTGCCTCCCCAGCCTCGCCTCCCAGCCATATAGAGTGTTCACTCGCTGTATAAAAGGGCACACAGACAGGATGGACAGGGCTAAATTGGAAATGCAGGTAGCTGCTATTTGCAGCTTGGATGGTTAATGTTTCTTTGGCTGATGGATTCCTGGCTACATTGAGTAGTCCATAGGCTGTGTCTGATGAAGCCTGTCCCTTCACAGGTAATGCTGGTTCTTCTGCTGCAGAAGAGCCCGGGGCATCCTCCGCTCCCCATCAGCACCTCCCTTTGGACCCTGCTCAGAAGCCTGGAGCCTTTCCCTGAGACCCAGCCTTGGCTGTCCCCCCTCCTCTTCTTCCCCTGCTCATTTCCTCACACCTATTTATTTGCCACTAACATGAGATTAGACAGTAAGCGGATGACTCATTCTTTGGGGGAAGTCCATCATTCAGGAATGCCTCAGCTATGGAAGGCATTTTGGAGACAAGAATTTAAAAACCCCATCTCCCCTTTGTGTGGGAGTGGAAGGGATGGGCTCTTGAGTTGTCCTGGGTTCAAATCCTGGCTCTACTATATATTAGCTGTGGGACTGTGACCCACCCCCGAGGACTCCCTCAGTCTGAATGCCCAGCTAGCCACTGTGTGCATGAAGGTCAGGGAATCAGATTAGCAGCATTTGTTTAAAAAACTAGAAGTTTGGTCGGGCACGGTGGAGCACGCTGATAATCCCAGCACTTTGGGAGGCCAAGGGAAGAGGATTGTTTGAGGCCAGGAGTTTAAGACCAATCTGGGCATTATAGTGAGAACCAACCCCAATCTCTACAAAAGAGTTTTAAAAATTAGCTAGTCATGCTGGTGCATGCCTGTAGTCCCAGCTACTCTGGAGGCTCAGTCAGGAGGATCTCTGGAGCCCAGGAGTTTGAGGCTGCAGTGGGCTATGATCACTCCACTGCACTCCAGCCTGAGGCAACAGTGCAAGACCCTGTCTCAGTAAAAAACAAAAACAGAAAAATTCTAGAAGTTCTAAAAGTTCTCTCTCTGGCCACCTGTCCTCCCGTATCTGTAGTCTTTGAAAAGATTTTTTTAAGTTAATACTTATAGAGAATTTACTATGCACTTGGCATATTGCCAAGTGCCTTATACATTATCTCATTAAATGGCTACAGCCACCTTGGAGTAGGGTCTTCTAACATCACCTCCAGTTGACTGATGGGCCCGAGTCTCAAGAGCTTGCAGGATTTTCCTGGCATACACAGGGAGTCCAAGGCTAAGCCAGGCTGTGCACAAACAACTCTCTGCCTCCCAAGCTTATTCTTTTTTTTTTTTTTTTTTTTAGACGGAGTCTTGCTCTGTCGCCCAGGCTGGAGTGTAGTGGCATGATCTCGGCTCACTGCAAGCTCTGCCTCCTGGGTTCAAGCGATTCTCCTGCCTCAGCTTCCCAAGTAGCTGGGACTACAGGTGCCCACCATCATGCCTGGCTACTTTTTTTTGTATTTTTAGTAGAGACGGGGTTTCACCGTGTTAGCCAGGATGGTCTCGATCTTCTGACCTCGTGATCCACCCACCTTGGCCTCCCAAAGTGCTAGGAATACAGGCGTGAGCCACCGCGCCTGGCCCTCCCAAGCTTATTTCTATGGTAGCTGCCTTGCAGACGCCTGCCCCTGCCCTGCCCTGAAATGTGGGGGTCCCACAGCATAGAAAGCCCAAGGCAGGATTTCCCTGATCAGAGGGACCAGCTCCGCTTTCATCTCTTCTTCAGAAGCCAGTAAGGCACGCCACATCTGAGGCTTAATGAGGTCTACCTGGAACAGGCTTAGCTCTCCAAAGGCAGAAAAGTCATGAACACACAGGCAGTGGTGATAAGGAACCAGGACTTAAAGACCTTTGGCCCCGAAACAGTTGGAGAAACCCAGAGTGTTCCTTTCTTGAGTAAGGTGTACTTTTCAGTCTTGGGGCCAGCGTGTGTTGGAGTAGGATGGGGGAGTGCCAGGGATGAATGTTAACCACCTTGGTCCCCCTCCAAGGCTGTCTCATCCGTCTTCTCGACCAGACAGAGTGGAACCCCAAGGCATTTCAAATCACTTTCACTTTTCTATTCTATTAGCAGAAAGTCTCCCCTGGGTGATGCCAGGTCTTTAATACCTGTCTCCACTGGCTGATCTCTTACTGTGGAGGAGTGCGCGGCCCAGGCTCAGAGGCTTGGGCAGGCAACAGAAAGATTGTTCCTACTGCATTCAACCTCTGGCCACATTGACATAAAGTCTCCTTTCAAAGCAAATGTATTTGGATGGACACAGTGGCTCACGCCTGTAATCCCACACTTTGGGAAGCCAAGACAGGAAAATAGCTTGAGCTCAGGAGTTTGAGACCAGCCTAGCCAACATGTTGAAACCCTGTCTATAAAAAAAAAAAAAAAAAAAAAAAAAATTAGCCGGGCATGGTGGTGCATACCTGTAATCCCAGCTATTCGGGAGGCTGAAGTGGGAGGATTGCTTAAGCTAGGGAGGTTGAGGCTGCAGTGAGCCATGATTACACCACTGCACTCCAGCCTGGGCAACAGAGTGAGACCATGTCTCAAACAAAGAAAACAACAAAAAGAAAAGGTTCAAGGGGTGGATTCTGAGATTAGCCGGTGACTGGTAGAAGGAAGAGGGGGTGGTCTGGAAAGTCCTCAGGCATGGACAGTTATATCCATGCTACTGCAGCGATTGCATGTTCAAATTCAGCAGGAGTTAGTGTGAACCTTGTGGTGGAAATTCAGGCCATGATATCAGCAAGCTCGTTTTGCACAAACTCCATTTGACCATCTTGGTCCCAACAGATTTCAGCTCGTTTCTCCTTGATCTCATAAGCAGAGAGAGTTTCAGCATTTTCAGCAAGTTGATTTATTTATTTCTTTCTTTCTTTCTTTCTTTCTTTCTTTCTTTCTTTCTTTCTTTCTTTCTTTTTTTTTTCTTGAAAACGGAGTCCCATTCTGTTGCCCAGGCTGGAGTGCAGTGGCACAATCTCAGCTCACTACAACCTCTGCCCCCCTGGTTCAAGCGATTCTCCTGCCTCAGCCTCCCAAGTAGCTGGGATTACAGGCACCTGCCACCACGCTGGGCTAATTTTTGTATTTTTAGTAGAGATGGGGTTTCACCATGTTGGCCAAGCTGGTATCAAACTCCTGAGCTGAAGTGACCCACCTGCCTCGGCCTCCCAAGTGAGATTCCTTTCTTATCTGCTATTCTTCAAACTCGAGAATTTCTGTTAGTTACTGGCTTCTTACTCTTTGGGGCACAGTTTCAGCTTTTCAGCACGTTCTTTCTTTCTTTTCTCTGCTTTCCTGTAAGCCCAAGAATATAGTCGTTGATTCGTTTTTGTTTTTTTTTAACTCTCTGAGGCATGGTGTCAAGTCCTGGTTGGCCCCACTGGCTGCCATGGGTGTACTAACCCTGAGGTGGGTCTCCTACGCCTCCCTCCCTCTGGTCTTCTCGACAGGGAGGTCCAGGTGCAACCACAAAGTGTCCCGGGCCTGTGGAGTGGCATCACCATGGACAGGGGACTCTGTGTAGGAGGCAGAGGTGGGAATGAGCATTGTCCACCATCACTGGCCACAGAGGTGATGTGGCCACTTCCCAGGGCTTCAAGACACATGAAAGTGAGGATGCATTCATCAGGGTGAGAGCTGTGATTTTTAGAAACTCAAGTCAAACAAATGAGGTCGGCTGCTGAGTTCTTTTCTCAGAGAGAGACCCTGCTGCCCTGTTGTGCTCCAACCTTATGTGTAATTATCTCCCAGTACTGACTGGGAGATGACCTGCAGGGCAGGTGCATTAATAACCAGGAGATAGACAATGGCTTGACTTCAGGCCGGGTTCGGTGGCTCACACCTGTAATCCTAGCACTTTGGAAGGCCGAGGTGGGTGGATCACTTGAGGGCAGGAGTTCAAGACGAGCCTCGCCAACATGGCAAAACCTCATATCTACTAAAAATACAAAAAAATTGTGGCTGGGTACGGTGACTACCGCCTGTAATCCCAGCACTTTGGGAGGCCGAGGTGGGTGGATCACGAGGTCAGCAGATTGAGACCATCCTGGGTAACACGATGAAACCCCGTCTCTACTAAAAATACAAAAAATTAGCCAGGCGTGGTGATGGGCGCCTGTAGGCCCAGCTACTCGGGAGGCTGAGGCAGGAGAATGGCGTGAACCCAGGAGGCGGAGCTTGCAGTGAGCCGAGATTGCTCCACTTCACTCCAGCCTGGGCAACAGAGCGAGACTCTCTCTCAAAAAAAAAACAAAATTAGCCAGGCATGGTGGCACACACCTATAAACCCAGCTACTCCGGAGGCTGAGGCACGAGACACGAGAATCGCTTGAACCTGGGAGGCAGAGGTCACAACGAGCCACGATTGTGCCACTGCACTCCAGCCTGGGCAACAAGGCAAGACTCTGCTGAAAAGAAGAGGGGAGGGGAAGGAATGGGAGCTTGACTTGTTAGGGGAGGCCAACATGCGATAGAATGGTTAAGAATGTCTTTCAAAAAGCCCTAGAAGATTACAACAATCTTGCTTGAGTTTAACATAACTACAGAGTAATTCTTATTAATTAACGTCAAACATTTTTATTTTAATTTTTTTCTTTTTTTATTTCTTCTTTTTAAAAAAAAGGGATACATGTGTAGAACCTGCCGGTTTGTTACATAGGTAAACGTGTGCCATGGTGGTTTACTGCACCTATTGTCTCGTTATTTTAATTTTAATAGAGTGGGGACCAGTGCCTTTCCTAAGCCTAATCCCCATCTCAATTCCTCTCTCAGAAGCAACCTGCTTCTTCTAGAGAGATACTCAGTGCGTGCGTAAGCATACACATATCCTGTGTCTCTCCTTCTTCACTTAGCAGATCTCAGAGATTATTCTAACTCAGCACAAATAAATCTCTCTCACCCTTTTCTACAGCTGATTCGTTACATTAGAAGGCTTATTTCCCTGACCCACTACTGATGGATGTTAGGTTGCTTTCAAGTCTTGAGATATGAGAGTGTCACAATTAAGATCCATGCTCATAGATCTTTATACACACTGGTAGGATAAATTCATAGAAGAGCAATTGCTGAATCCGAGTGTGCTAAGCCTTGTTGTGCAATGTCAGGCCCAGTCTGGATGGTAAATGCTGTAGGACTCTGGGAATAAGCAGATGTGTGAAGGCAGGATGAGGCATGCGGGTCACAGATTGCAGGTGGCATCACTACTCGCTCAGTCTCTGAGCAAACATTTGTCGAGATTTGACTCAGCCCATGGGCGCTGGGAAGGAAGGTGAGGATCCTATCTGCAATCCAGCACTAGGGCCTGTTGAACCACACTCCCCAGCCAGCCCCAGGCTTGAAATTTTCTTGCATTTATCTCCCTTTTTATTTATTTATTTATTTAAATAGAGTCTCACTGTCACCCAGGCTGGAGTGCAGTGGCGTGATCTCAACTCAATGCAACCTCCGCCTCTTGTGTTCAAGAGATTCTTCTGCCTCAGCCCCCCGAGTACCTGGGATTACAGGCACGTGCTACCTCGCCCGGCTAATTTTTGTATTTTTAGTAGAGACGGGGATTCACCATGTTGGCCAGGCTGGTCTGGAACTCCTGACCTCAAGTGATCCACCCGCCTTGGCCTCCCGAAGTGCTGGGATTACAGGTGTGAGCCACCACACGTGGCGCATTTATCTCACCTTATGTTTATGTAGTCCAGTAGGTCTCAAATCTGAACAAGCATCAGAATCTCCTAGAGAATTTGTTGGATTTCTAGGCTGCCCCTTGAGAGATTCTGAGTCAGGGATGTTAGGTGGGGCCCCAGGAATCTCTTTTTGTCAACAAAGGATAAAAGACCCTTTGGTTTTTAAAGAGAGTTGGGGGGTTGGAAAGGAAGGGAGAGGGAAGGAGAGGTGGGAGGGGCATGGGGAACCCTTGGATGCAATGAGGTCTCTAACAATACTCTCCTGCCCTCAGGTTACAGCCACCCCGCCCTGCTGAAACTCATCCAACAGCCTCAAAATGCGGTAGGTCTTGGGGTTACACAGAAGAAAGACAAAATATGTTCATGGCCATTCACAGAATCACTGGGCAGACTTTGGCAATAGTCCTTTCATTCATTCATTCATTCCATAAATATGTATTGAGCCCATACTATGTGCCAGGTATGTGGCATGCCTTGATGAATGAAAACGCAGTGCCGACATTCCCACGGAGGCAGTCAATTAACCACACACATGAATAGAGAATTGCAACAATATTAAGTGCTACAGAGTAAGGTAGGCAGCGCTTTGTGGGCATAAAAGAATGATGCTAATAGTTAATGTTTATGGAGAGCATAATTTGTACCAAACACTGTGTTCAGCACTTTATAGCGACAATATTGACAAGTCTGTGAAGCAGGTACTTTTGTTATCCCCATTTTTCAGATGCAGAAACTGAGGCACAGAGTGGTTAAGTATTTGCCCGAGGTCACACAGCTAGTGGAGGCGCTGAGAATAAACCCACAGGAGCTGAGCTATTTGGGGATGGAGAGGGTGGGTGTCAGGGAGGCTTCCCAGGGAAATGACTTTTCAGCTGAGATCTGAAGGAGAGGAAGGTCTGGCAGGCCACGAGTCGGGAGGAATGGTCTCAGCAGAGAGAAGAGGGCAGCGGCAAGGGCAGCAGTGTGGCTGGAGCAGAGAGAGTGGGGAGGGACCCAAGGAGGACTGGAGTAGCAGCAGGGCACAGGGTTTTCAGACGCCACCTAGGCCAGGGGTTCAGAACTCTCACACTGTTGACATCCGTAGCCAGATAATTCTGTGTGGTGGGGGGCTGTCCTGTGCATTGAGACATTGAGCAGCATCCCAGGACTCTACCCACTAAATGCCAGTAGCAACTCTCTCCTGAGGTTGTGATAACCAAAAATGTCTGCAGACATGGCCAGATGTCCCCTGGTGGATACGGTAACCCCACGTGAGAACCCCTGCAATACATGACACCTGTCTCTATCCGAAGAGAGATAGAGAGCCATTGCACATTTATACTAAAGAATATGGCCAGGCACGGTGGCTCACGCCTGTAATCCCAGCACTTTGGGAGGCTGAGGCAGGCAGAGCACTTGAGGGAGGTCAGGAGTTCAAGACCAGCCTGGCCAGCATGGTGAAACCCCGTCTCTACTAAAAATACAACAGTTAGCCAGGTGTGGTGGTGTGAGCCTGTAATCTCAGCTACTTGGGAGGCTGAGGCAGGAGAATTGCTTGAACCCAGGAGGTGGAGGTTGCAGTGAGCTGAGATGGTGCCACTGCACTCCAGCTTGGGTGACAGAGGGAGACTTTATCCCAAAAAATAATAATAATAATAATAATAAATAAAAAGTACAACACCCATGCAGGCATGCATACAGCCTAAATGCACCACTCAATGAATTTCCCATGTAACCAAAGTTTCACAACTCTTTTTGTTATTGGAACATCCCTTAAGGAGCATTTTTAGACATTATTTTCCTAGTTGTTCCCTATCATGAAATTGAAATAGAAAAATACAGTACATATGGAGTGTATCTGTGTGTTGTATTTATGTCCGTGCTTTACATGGAACAGAGTAAAAAATTTTTTTTTTTTACTCCCACTGAGAATGCATGAGTTGTAATGAGGAATCAGAACATGCCCCCACCCAGTTATTATTCCTTCCAACCAAATTAAGTAGACCCCTCCCCTTACTTTTAACAGATTGCTGTATTTCTCCAGTTTTGTTTGCTTGTTTTTTTCTTGAGACAGAGTCTTGCTCTGCTGCCCAGGCTAGAGTGCAGGGGTGCAATCATGGCTCACTGCAGCCTCGACCTCCCAGGCTCAAGTGATCCTCCCACCTCAGCCTCCTGAGTAGCAGGGACTACAGGTGCCCACCACCATGCCCAGCTCATTTTTGGTTTTTTGTTGGTTTGTTTGTTGTTTTCTTTTGTTTTTGGTAGAGATGGGGTTTCACCATGTTGCCCAGGCTGGTCTCGAACTCCTGGGCTCAAGTAATCCTCCTGCCTCGGTCTCCCAAAGTCCTGGGATTACAGGCGTGAGCCACCACACCCAGTTGTATTTCTCCAGTTCTTTATTGCCATGTAAATGGAGTTTTGCAGTGTGTATCTTTACCTCGTCTGGCTTATTTCATTCAAAATTACGTCTGGGTGATTCCTCCTGGTGTGTGTAATCGCAGACTGTGTATCCTCATGGCTTTAGAGCGTTCCCCTCT